>NC_000016.10:11213783-12417567 GCF_000001405.40 Homo sapiens | reverse complement strand
GGGAAACAGAAAGAGAAAAGGAAAAGACCAGGGGAGGGATGTAGAGTGTGCAAAGCGGGGAGCAAAGAGAAGGAAGGAAAGGAGAACCACCCACCCCCTCTGACCCACTAGCTCATCTCCCTCCCTGATGTGCCACAGGAATGTCCTCATTGCCCCTGGCCCTCATAGACAGATGCTGGGAGACCAGGTGAGCCAGACAGCCTGAAACAAGGAAAGACACCTGGACAGAGGCGGCTTCCATGGAAGCTCACTTCTGGAACCAGAGCACTCTAGATGCTGAACACAGGAAGCCCAGTGTGCCAAGAGGTACACACAGCCTGGCTACGCAGAAGAAACACAAAGCATTTTCACTGCAGACTAGCCTGAGGGAAATGCAAGTTTCATAAACAGTAAGATACGGATGGATTATGGAGTAGAATGCAAACCGCCCCTGATTGTCTCATGGAATGGTAGGCTCCCAAGAAGTACTGTGCCTGAGGTGGCTGGCACCCTGGCTGCACCTGGGAGGCCCTTCCCCTTACTCAAGCGTATCTCACTAGGCGCAGTGCCTGGCACACAGCAGGGGCTCCATAAATGTTCAGTTTTGTTTTACTTTTAATTGGCACATAATAATTATACACAGTTATGGGGTTGATATGTTTGTCCCCTCCAAATCATGTTGCAATGTCACCCCTGAAGCTGGAGGTGGGCCTAGTGGGAGGTGTCTGGGGCATGGGGCAGATGCCTCATGAATGGCTTGGTGCCCTGCCCATGAGAATGAGTGACTTCTTGTTCTGTTAGTCCATGTGAGGGCTGGTGGTTGGGATAGAGTAACACCTCCTCCTCTCTCTTGCTCCTTCTCTTGCCATGTGACATGCCTGCTCCCCCTGCACCTTCCACCATGACTAAAAGCCTCCAAGGCCTTCCCAGAAGCCGAGCAGATGCTGACACCATGCTTCTTGTACAGCCTGCAGAACTGGGAGCCAAAGAAACCTCTTCTCTTTATCAACTACCCAGCGTCAGGTGTTCCTTCACAGCCACACAAAACAAACGAACTCAGGGGCATGATGTGGTGTTTTGCTACATGTATCTGTTTTGTAATCAAATCAGGGTAATGAGCAGATCCATCACCTCAAATACTTCTCATTTCTTTGTGGTGGAAACATTCAGAACCCTCTCTTCCAGCTATTTTGAAATATACGTCATTGTTAACCATAGTCACCCTGCTGCGCAACAGATCACCAGAACTTCTTCCTCCTGTCTAACTGTGACTCTGCAATGACCAATGAGTGACTGGGCGGTGCCCCGAGACAAGCCCCGGGGCTCTGCTTGCGTCTGTGCTAAGTGCATTTGAGGGGCAGTTTAAGAAAAGCTGAGAGGGACTCGACGTTTAAGGAGGAGGGCCCATGAGCAGTCTCTGGGGTCAGAAACCGAACAGAGCACAGCCTGCCCAGTTCTGGGTTCCTTACCTCCTACAGGCTGATGCAAAGGGGCTGTAGTTGTCTTTTTCAAACCAGAGGACAAGCCAGGCGGCCATCCTCAGAGCCTGTTTAACTGAGGCAGATGCATGTGTCTGACAGTACGGCCCTGGCCACATTCAGAAGACGGCCCCCACTCCAACAATGCTCCCAGGACGAGCTGTACAGGGAAGAGGTCCTGCCATTTCTTCCCGACAAGATGATCTCCCCAGGGGAGATGGGGTTTAAGAGGCATCCCTTTCCAACATCCCTAAAAATAAATATAACTATTTTGGATATAGGAGAGAGTGGGCATTCCCAGCCTGGGTTGGGGAGCACAGGGAGTGTGTGGTGTGGCAGTTCAGGGCAGGTGCCAACTGTTCCCCATGGAGACCCGCTGGGGAGGAGAGTCCATCTACCTGTCAGCCTGACCAAGTCCGCTCACCAGGCCTCACTTCCTCCCCTGGATGTGGGAGGTAACATCCTAGACCAGCCCCAATCATCAGGTGGGATGGAAGGTCTGACGGAGGCAGACGCTGGGCCTGGCATAGTGCAGGACCCCAAGACATCAATACCAACCTGCCTGCGAGGAGAACTTCATGGGTGGATTAATTCATTTTAGAAAGTTTTTTAAGTTTATACTCTGTCCAGGCAGTAGGTGAGGGCAAATGGACAACCTGTCCTTGCTGTGTAATTACAAGGCCTCATCCAAATACATCAGAAATGCTGTGTGTGAGTATGAAACTCAATGGTGCCAGAAGGAGCTGCTGAGTGCATCTTGATCAAGACTCCAAGGCAATCCTGCCGAGTGGGCAGCAAGGCTGTCTCAGCCATTATTGGGGTCCTGCCCACTCCCCAGCCTTCAGGACAGTGTGGCGCTTGTACAGCGCTTATACCTTGCAGAAAGGACTTCCAACCTGCAGACAGTGGCCCACTCACTGCCAGTTTGTGGGTCCTGGTTTTCTGCTCCCAGGGCACACAAGCAAGCTGGAATTTTTGCCCGGACTTGGAGCCTTGCCTCCCTGGGAGGTCTCTCTTGTTCTGGGGCCTGCCATGGAGCCCTTAGCCCCTAGCTGTCTTCTCAAAGGAGTCTCTTTAAAAAGACAACAGGCCGGGTGCAGTGGCTCATGCCTGTAATTCCAGCACTTTGGGAGGCTGAGGCAGGTGGATCATTTGAGGTTAGGAGTTCGAGACCAGCCTAGCCAACATGGTGAAACCCCATCTCTACTAAAAACACAAAAAATTAGCCGGGCATGCTGGTGGGCACACGTAATCCCAGCTACTCAGAAGGCTCAGGTGGGAGAATTGCTTGAACCCCGGAGGCGAAGGTTGCTATAAGCCAAGAGTGTGCCACTCCACTCCAGCCTTGGAGACACAGAGTCTGTCTCTAAATACATACATACATACATACCAACAAATAAACAAACAAAATCGTCCCAAGCTTTTGAAAAACAACGGCCAGGCAGGAAAATGTCTTTGCAGGACTTCTACTTTTACCAGAAATCTCCCTTCAGGTGAGGGAGCAGAAAAGACCAGCTGGCTACAACCAGGGAACTTGGAAAAGGAAAGAGACCGGGGGAATCACAGATCAGTAGCTTAGCAAGTTCCTCTTCTTCATGTTTTTGTTTCTGTAACCGTGGAGGTGAAGATGGGATATGGAGACCACACTTAGAAGGTCCCACTTAAGCCACGGTTAATATGACTTGGTGAAAAGAGGATGATTTCCAAACACCTCTCTTACTTTTTTACTTGTACTTTTAGAGTTGAGGTCTTGCTGTCACCCAGGCTGGAGTGCAGCGGTGTGATCATAGCTCACTGCAGCCTCGATCTCCTGGGCTCAAGCAATTCTCTTACCTCAGTCTGCTGAGTAGCTGTGTTTACAGGCACAAGCCACCACACCTGGCTCAAATTTTTAATTTTTAATACAGTCAGCCCTCCGTATCAGTGGGTTCTGCATCCACAGATTCAACCGACCACAGATTACAAATACTCAAAAAAGTGCATCTCTACTGAACATGCACACACTTTTATCTTGTCATTATTCCCTAAGCAATACCATGTAACAAATATTTACATGATATTTGCATTGTACTAGGTATTGTAAGTAATCTAGAGATGACTTAGCATCTACAGGAGGATGCACTTAGGTTATATGCAAATACTATGGCATTTTATATGAGGGACTTGAGCACCCTCAGATTTGGGTGTCCATGGGGGGTCCCGGAACCAATCCCCCCCAGACAAGCAAGGGATGACTGTATGGTAATTTACATCCCGCCTCATTTAGAACAATGGACACCACCATTTAGGAGCGGTAAGTGAGTAAGGCCACTCTCAGCAAGGCGGCTCTCAAAGCCACAGGCTGATGCAGGAAGTGCGGGGCAGGGCGCCTGGCGTGAGGATCGTCCAGCGCCTGCGTATGCTCAACATGCTGCCCACCTCCAAGACGACTCAACAGGAGAGAGGATGAACAAGCTGTCTCCCCTGCACAGCAGCGTACCACTGAACACTCACGTCACTTCGTTGCTTCCGAGGTGCCATTGTCTCGAGGGCCCTGTCACTTCTCACAGAGCCACTCCTCTGTGTTCACACCTCAGCTTCCTTCTCCACAGTATCCTTCCTGCTGTCTCCACCTCACCTGGCTCCCTTCTCTGTAGCCTCAGGCCTCTTCTGAGAGATCACTGCACCCTGGCTGCCATTCGGTAAGTCAGGACCCTGTTATTCGCTCCCATATCCACCCTGTACCCCACCCTCTGCCACCTGTCTCTTCCCCAGCACTTTCATTTCCAGGAAGGACAGTTATTACTGCTAACGTATTTTGCCTGCAGTTAGGAGATCCCACCACTTCAGCAAGAGTGACCTGGCTATGCCCTTCACTGTTTTTATCTCCCGTTTTGAGACATTCCCCACACTTGTAATGATTATTTCACATTCCCCTTCTCCATTAGAACTTAGCTAATGAGATGAACCTTGCCCAGGCCCAACACTCCCTTCCTAACCAAAACCAAATACTCAGTGACAACTGTGGCCACAGAACAGAAACAAAACAAAACAAAAGCTGCCAATCTCCATGATGAGCAAACGTGACAACATGCTCTAACCTCCCCAGCCCTTGCCTGATAAACACACTGGGTAGCTCTCCGGATGGGTTACTTCTGGGCGCAGAAGGAGTCAGGAAAGGGAGAGAGAGCCAGGTAGCCCTGAGACACAGCAGAAACATGAGTGGCTAGAAAGTGTCACCAATTCCTCCACTCTGTTTGCTACTGAGAGTATGATCTAGTGCAAAACACTTCTTTTGATTTTCTCATATAAAAAGTAAATATAAAAATTCAGACAGTTCACCTGCCAAGAGGGTGTGTCCACCTCTACCTATAGACTATTTACAAAGCCCATGTCTTTAGCTTTCCAAGTAAAAAATTATAATTCTGAATGTACCTTTCAAAACACACACAAAAACACATGCACACGTATGCACGCACACACAGGTGAGCTCTAAGTTTTCTTCAAAGCCTAACACGCGAAGACTTTATGCATATGAGGCTGAAAAGGTCTCCACCTTAACAGACTTGTCACATTCCCAGGGACCCATCAATTCCACACTCTCGTCTTTGCAGCGCTCTCTCCCGTGTGAAAAATATTACCTTGTCACCAGTATCAGCTGCCCACGGCAGCTGTGACAATGAGTGATGGGTCAATGAGAGAGTGACAGAATTCCTTTCAGGAAACATGTTATGGAAACAGGTTCATTTCACTGAGACAAATTTGTGAAGCACACGCCTTGGTGGTTGGGTGAGGAGCAACGTGGAGCAGACAGAGGCATGAGGCAGATCTTGTGCATGACCCAGAGGGACTCATTCAACCCAGAGTCACAGCTGCTTCATCTATAAGATGGGGATCATGAAAACAGTGCCTACCCCATAGGTTGCTGTAAGAATTAAGCAGCAATGTGCATTAAACAGTCTGCAGCAGAGGCTGGGGCGTCCTACCCGATGGCCGGCTCTCCCACCCCTCCGCAAAGCCTCATGTAACCGCCCTTGAACTTCGGTTGCTTTCATGGAGGTCCTGTCTCCCCACCAGGTGCCAGGTACCTTAGGAAAATGCTGTCTTGCTCTTTGCAGCCCATGTAAAGCCCTTGGTGAAGGAGATGCTCCATACAGTTTTTTTGAACACGGGGACATGCCCAGAGACATTTGATTCAACAAGGGGAAAATCTTTTTCCGTTTCCTTCCAGGCTTAATTGCTTATCACAAGTCAAGTGGTTATCAGATCACAAAGGTAACATTCACAGAGTAGCTATGGCCCAAGCATTTCATATGTCATCACACACGGTCACATCCATGCTGCAAGGTGAGTGGTGTCCCGTCCCTCCTCCTTGTTCCTTTCTCTGCAGAGCGAGGCTACCTTTACCCCACACAGCCTGCCTTCTTGCTAAACTAGTGAGACTGGTGACGGTCAGCTCAATGTCAAGTTTGGCTCCCACTGGTTCTGCAGGTTTGGCACATGCTGGGCATATAGCAGAACCTTGATCAACAGCTTTGGGACGAATAAAGGCTTTATACTGGAAGGGAAATTTTAAAAATTCTTCCTATTTGGAAAGATAAAGCAGAAAGAGGACAGCAGTGACACATATGTCCAGCAGGAAGGGGAGAGCATTTTGCCTTTGGCTTTCTGTTTTCACCTACATCAGGCTTTCCTGGGAGCCCTGAGCATTCCAGGAACAGCTAGGGGTTCATGTGCTATGATCCTCAGAACGCCGGGGTGGAAAGCTCTCAAGGAGAGACACAGCAAGAACAAGGGCAAGTGCTCCCCTGGTCTGGCTTGGCCTGCAACACAGGAGCCCACACTGGCTGGGATGAAACTCACAAATCAAACAGCAAACGGCTGCCTCAGTCCACGGCCGGCTCTCCTGTCTACCTGGTATACAACAGGTGTGACAGGAAGGACCAGGTGTGAGCAAGAGAGAAATGCTTCAGCCTTAGAACGGGTCCTTCTCTCCCCTAAATTTGGAATGGTATCTGCTAAGGCAGAGGCTTCTCAGAGCCCACATCACTGCAGCTGCAGTTCCCATTTCTGTACTCGGTCCAACCATTTCATCTTTCTCTACTTAATGAATTCTTCCCTCTCTGCATAGCTACACAGGAAGCAAGCATAAAGACAGAGCTGTGGGTAAAAGAGAACTTGAGGGCCCAAGGGGTAAGCTATCTTAAGAGAGGATGAAAAGGAAGAGCTGAGAAACGCAAAGCCTGAAGTCCAAAAACATCACCATCCTCCAAACCACCTGAAGCTCATGCAGCCTGCCAAGATGCCGTGATCTATTATTAATATAAAAATAATACGCTTTCCCTGCATTACATATATAAATATGCTTAGCTGGATTAAACCTTTAAAAGTCCCCAGAGGCCAGGCACAGTGGCTTGCACCTGTAATCCCAGCACTTTGGGAGGCCCAAGTGGGAAGATCACTTGAGACCAGGAGTTACAGACCAGCCTAGGCAGCACAGTGAGACCCTGTCTCTTCAAAAATATGGGCATTGTGGTACATGCCTACAGTTCCAGATACTTAGGAGGCTGAGGCAGGAGGATTGCTTGACCTGGAAATTCAAGGCTGAAATGAGCCATGATTGTGCCACTGCACCCCAGCCTGAGTGACAAAGCGAGACCCTGTCTCCAACAAAGTAATAATAATAACCACTCAGGCTATGTGATTTTGTTCTGCAGGATGGGAGATGGGAAGAGTTCAGATACTGAACAAGTTTTCCTGGGATACCAACATTCCTCAGGCCAAGACAACACCCTGTGGCCTCTAGGAAACAGAACTTATTCTAGAAGAAAAAAACGCGGCCAGGCGCAGTGGCTCACACCTATAATCCCAGCACTTTGGGAGGTCGAGGCAGGTGGATCACGAGGTCAGAAGATCAAGACCACCCTGGCTAACACAGCGAAACCCTGTCTCTACTAAAACTACAAAAAATTAGCCAGGCGTGGTGATGGGTGCCTGTACTCCCAGCTACTCAGGAGGCTGAGGCAGGAGAATCACTTGAACCCGGGAGGTGGAGCTTGCAGTGAACCGAGATTGCGCTACTGCACTCCAGCCTGGGTGACAGAGCGAGACTCCCTCTCAGAAAAAAACAAAACAAAACAACAACAAAAAAAACGCTTTGCTGAAACAAAGCAACCCTCTTTACAAAGAAGATCTAATCGGTTCTGTTGCGCAAATGAAATATTGTACAACAGCCAGCATTTGTGGTCGCTAGACGCAAAGGCTGAAATTTATCCCACATGGAAGACTGATTCCAAATGTACTTACACTGAAGGTATTTTTCAAAGGGAAAGACCTAAGATCTCAGGTAAGTACACTGATGTATTACTTCATACCAATCTGATGGCTGTAATAGTTGAAGAAAACAAATAGGTGAGCTTTTTTAAGGCCTAACATACCTTTAGAGACACTTGAGTGGGATATTAAGACAGTGAATCTCATTGAGACCATCCTGGCTAACACGGTGAAACACCGTCTCTACTAAAAATACAAAAAAATTAGCCAGGCGTGGTGACAGGCACCTGTAGTCCCAGCTACTCGGGAGGCTGAGGCAGGAGAATGGCATGAACCCGGGAGGTGGAGCTTGCAGTGAACCAAGATTGCGCCACTTCACTCCAGCCTGGGTAACAGAGCGAGACTCCGTCTCAAAAAAAAAAAAAAAAAAAAAAAAAGACAGTGAATCTCAAACCCGTTTGGAGTCAGGGAATTTGGGGAATAAGATCAAACATCTGCAAAGGTATAAACTAGAAATTAATTAACAACAAATTTAACTCTGTCATATGGAAGTGCCAGAAAAATCAAACCAAAATGTGTGTTAACAAGAGAAAGAGAAAAACCCAGCAAAACAAGGTACTGGATTGAGTTTAATTTTGTTTTCCATTTTATTTGACACTCCTTAATCATTTTGTCTCCGGCTAGTGCCTGCCAGCAGCCACGCATCAGCACAGCCTACCGTGTAAGAAGTACTCACGGATGAAAAACTTAAAATCAGGAACTCTCCAGATATTACTTTGTCCTGAAAAGTAGTCAAATGCCGCCATTTCTTATTTTCAGTGGCATAACACACCTCAGCTCCCTCTCAGGACACAGGAACACAAACTTTTTGCAATAATTTGCATTCAACCTTGGCAATGCACAGCACTTCTTGCTAGAATCCTCTGTGCCAAATATAATTCCAGATTTTTCCACAATAGAAGTAGTGGGGGCTCTGTGACTGCACATAGCAGGGGAATTACCTTAATTTCTTTGGCATGTAGGATGACATTTTATTTCCTTTAGAAGTTTTGTTCCTGTCCCCCAGGCTGGAGTGCAATGGCGCAATCTTGGCTCACTGCAACCTCCGCCTCCCAGGTTTAAGTGAGTCTCCTGCCTCAGCCTCTCGAGTGGCTGGGATTACAGCGTGTGCCACCATGCCCAGCTAATTTTTGTATTTTTAGTAGAGATGGGGTTTCACCATGTTGACCAGGCTGGTCTTGAACTCCTGACCTCAGGTGATCCACCCGCCTTGGCTTCCCAAAGTGCTGGGATTACAGGCATGGGCCACTGCACCTGGCCGGAGGACTTTTTCAAGCAGCCACCCCGAGGCAGGTTCTGGGACCCTGACATTGCTCAAACAAGATGTCCTGAGATACTGGACGGCCACAGAAGTTATTGTGGACCAGCAACTGCTCTGACAACTTTCCAAAGCAAACCATCTCAGCCTGGCTCTTGGATGTGGAGGGCTTGCTGGATAATGTGTGCACCACAGTGGACCCAGAGAGGTCCTATGGAAAAGTCCTGGCTTGGCTGCAGGCCTGCCCTTAGCCTACCATCTCAGGGGTGTAGGTGGCTGCCCATGCAGGTGAGATCTTCGTTGAGCTGGGCCTTGCCTTTTGGAATGAGGGTGACTGTCCCAGCTGCTTCTAGTTTTTTTTTTGTTTGTTTGTTTGTTTTTTTGAGAAGGGTCCTGCTCTGCCACCCAGGCCGGAGTGGCAGTGGCATTATAACAGCTCAGTGCAATCTCAAACTCCTGGGCTCAGGCAATCCTCCTGCCTCAGCCTCCCCAGTAGCTGGGACTGTAAGTATGCACCACCATGCCCAGTTAATTTTTACATTCTTTTGGAGAGACAGGGTCTCACTGTGTTGCGTAGGCTGAAATACAGGGGCTATTCACAGATGCAATCGTAGCTCCCTGCAGGCTCAAACTGCTGGGCTCAAGCAATTCTCCTATCTCAGCCTCTGGAGCTGCTGGGACTACAGGCACATGCCATCATGCACAGCTGCTTTTAGGATTTTTAAAGAGCTTGATTCAGCCCTCCTTCAGTAACACAGAATCTCTAAAGACCAGGACCTTGTCAGAGACTGCTTTGGGGGCTGAAAAACATGTCAGTAAATGAGATGCTTCTCTGTGCCTTTGATTCTTCACCTATAAAATGGGGTAAGAGTTTCTTACCCCACAGGATGGCTACAAGGATTGAATGAGCTATTACACAACACACAAACCAGTGAGAGGTGGCTACTAATTATTATACTGGTATTTGTTAATCACAGTCTATCTGTTCCTTTATAGTGCTACCCAAATATCAATCATTCATAGAGCATCATGCTAAACTTTGGACTGTTTTCACGATTGTTTATTTAGTAGCTTTCTTTAAGCTGACTCATTTCCTTTTTACCTAAAATATATTTTAAAGGGGGACTGTACATCACCATGGTAAATGGAAAAATAGAATTCTGTGACATAACTAGGAGGCAAATGTAAAAATGAATACAGAAAAAAAAAAAACAATCTAATTAACCTTAAGCTTGTCACCTGCCAAAGGCAATGACCCCAGCCTTGCTGTTTTTCCTAAGAAAGATCAGAGGGACATGAGAGGTAAGAGAGTGACACAGAGACTTCCTCTTCCAAGGAGCTGGAAGCCATGAAGGGCTGAAAAAGCGGGGGCCCTTCTCCCCGCAGGATGTGGCCTTTCATGGCCAGTGTGGTCCTTCTAAATCCTGACTTGGCACATACACCACCATCTTGCCATCCCACACGCTAGGAGAGCTTGTTCCAAGGCAGCCGCCCTGCAGACCTCTGTGTGTGGGGTAAATGTTCCAGATCTGTGCTGTCCAGAACAGGAGCCATCAGCCACGTCTGGCTGCTCAGCATGTGAAATGTGGTGCAACTGAGGAGCCGAATCTTTCATTTTCTTTCTTTCTTTTTGAGACAGAGTCTCGCTCTGTCGCCCAGGCTTGAGTGTAGTGGCGCGATCTCAGCTCACTGCAACCTCTGCCTCCCAGGTTCAAGCGATTGTCCTGTCTCAGCCTCCCAAGTAGCTGGGATTACAGGCATGCAACAGCAACGCTCAGCTAATTTTTGTATTTTTAGTAGAGATGGGGTTTCACCATGTTGGCCAGGATGGTCTTGAACTCCTGACCTCAAGTGATCCACCCATCTCGGCCTCCCAAAGTGCTGGGATTATAGGCATGAGCCATTTTAATTGATATAAATCTCATTTTAATTAATATAAATCTCAAGAGCCACACATGGCTAGGAGCTCTGGTACAGACAGCGCAGCTCCAGTACCAGGGAGCACCGCTCTCCTGAGAAAGCTACATGTCTTGGCTCTCCAGTCGAATTTATGTTCACTTTGGGGTTATGCCCTTGGTTTCCTTCAAGGGAAATCTTAAGAAAACCAGACAGTGGCTGTCACGGGAATGTAGATGGGGATTGTCTACTCTATCCTTTTTTATTGTTTAATCTCAAATCCTGTGTGGAAATTTCTTTTACAGCTTCTTTTAAAGAATTAACATATTTTCTTATCATTAGCAACAGAATTATCCAAATAACCACATTTCCCTTTCACAATGGCTGCCAGGAAGCCCACAGGAAATTCATAAATCAATGAGTGCAACTGTGTAGAATCTCATGACACATATATATGCTTTCCGCTTTTTCCTTTTAAACCCTTAGTTTACATTTTCATTGACCCTGATGTATTTTTTTTAACCTCTCTTTTATCATTCTTTTTTAGACGTTTCTCTAGAAATTATGTCAAATCTTTTGTGGAATTAAATAGCATACTTGTTTTCTTTTTTTGAGGCAGAGTCTCATTCTTGTCACCCAGTCTGGAGTGCAATGGTGCGATCTCGGCTCACTGCAATCTCTGCCTCCTGGGTTCAAGCCGTTCTCCTGCCTCAGCCTCCCAAGTAGCTGGGATTACAGGCGCCCACCACCACGCCTGGCTAATTTGTATTTTTAGTAGAGATGGGGTTTCACTATGTTGGCCAGGCTGGTCTCAAACTACTGATCTCAGGCGATCCACCCGCCTCAGCCTCCCAAAGTGCTGGGATTACAGGCGTGAGCCACCATGCTTGGCCAGCATACTTTTTTAATTCTAAAATAAGTACTCTTCAACAGTACCAGTATTTTAAATGAGTCACCTTCTATGCAATATCATTTATATAAAGTAAAAACATGGCAATAAAGGATTTCTAAAATGCTTCCAAACACATGCTCTGATTTTGCTCTGCAGGCACCAATCAGAAGCATCATTTGCTAAAAAGAGAAAAATAATTGCATGCAAGAGACACCACTTCACACACCCCAGCATCAGGAAGGCTGCAGAAGGCCAAAGGCGTGGAGTGAAGTTGCTCCCAGCGATGCAGAGCGGCCAGGCCTGAGGCTGGCTGGAAGCAGGGCTGAACCCATGAGAGCTTCACACCGTAAAGGACGGGGAGAGAGTGGCTTCACTGCCACAGTGGCCACTGTGGAAACAATCTCCCAGGCAACGGCATATTTGCTAAGGTCCGTCTCAATTCATAGCTTTCAGGAGCTAAAAATTGCCAAGTTGCTTCATGGGGTAAACAGGGGGAAAAGTCAAAACTGAAAGGTCAAGGAAACCTCTCAAGTGATAACATGTTTTAATTTTGCTCTAAAATAGAGCTGTCTGCTGTACTTTTTTCATCCTCCAGGCTGCACCTTCCAGCTCTCTGATGACCACAATGCAGAACTTGAAGGGTCAAATAAGAAAGTTGGGTTTGTGGGGGACAAAAGGAGAAACAAAGAGAAGAGGATTTTTGAAAATCCATAATATCTAATTCTCCCTTTAAACCGGAGCTGGGAACAACATGAACACTCAAGATTCTCCTATGACTGTTGCCCAGCTGAAGGTGTCAAACTAAAACAAACTTCTCATGCCAAAGTCTAGCTCATCTGTCCCTAAGATTTCCAGTAAGATGTGCATATTATGCTTAGACCTGAGACCAAGCACAGCGGTCATTTGGGAAGGTGAGAAATGAATAGAGTGTCTACTGCAGGCCAGGTATTTCTAATCTCAAAACAGTTTTACAAGATAGATTACTGTCTCCATTTTACAGCTGAAGAAACTAAGACTCATCTAAGGTCACAGGATTTAAACCAGGGATTCCGCTTTCAAGTTCAGTGTCCTTTCTTCAACACCCCACTCTTTGGGGAAAAATATCTTAATAGACAAGAAAATTTCTTCAATAAGTCAATTTCTCACTAAGAAAAATGGCAACAAAATCCAAGGGTTTGCAGAGAGCTCATGGGGAATAAAACAAAACCTAACGACAATTATTTTAGCACAAGCAGACAGGAGAAGCAGGAAGCAGCTGGGGCTCAGCACTGAGAACAAAGCAGTCCCAGAACAAGGGCACACCAAAGCCTGGAAATCAGAGTCCGTGGTAAGAGAGAGGAGGAGAAGGAAGACAGACATGCAGACGAGCTGTGGGCAGGGCTAAAAGAGGCTTCAGAAAATCAGAGAGGAGACGGAGAACTGGAGTCCCCTTGATTGGGTAAAATCACCTCCTAAGCAGACACACATTTCGCTGCCCCAGACACTCAATGCCCACCTGGGTGCGGCTATCCGTACCCCAAGGAAGCAGAGGCGATGTCTACAGGTCCCGCTTGTCCAGTATCCATTGCCCCTTCTTTTGGAAAGAATTCTCTGGCTCTCATTTGGGGAATCTCCTTTCCCCACTCTCAGACATGTGGTCAGGTGAGGTAAACACCCACCCTGGCGACAGTGGTGGTCACATGAGCTGAATCAGGCCAGTCACAGAGTCCGTCACCCAACCCCAAGGTGTAGGAAGAGGCTCAAGATCCAGGACACACCAGTGAGACCCGCCCTTCCAGGCTGAGAACCTGGCGCTGCTGGGGTCATCCTGTCAACCCACGGACAGCTGGCCTGAGAGGGTCACCAAGCAGCAGACACAGGATATGGCAGCAGGTTCCTGATGGCAGGTCCAGCCATGCCCAAGGCCCGACCTACCACTGGACTTTTCAGATGCAAAACAAGCAAACACACATCTCCGTTTCTGCTCATGCAGTCTGAGCTGAGATTCCACAGCAGCCACACTAAGAGCCTGACTGGCACGAAGAGGCCCACCGTATCCCCCTGCCCAACTGAAAGCCACAGACTTCTTCGGCAAGGCCTCTGGGCAGTTAAGATGTGGGTGTCTGGAAGGCCATAGCCTCCTAATCATAGCGCCCCACCACCAAGAGGCAAAAAGCACCACAGCATGACAAATGGGCGTTTTTCCACCCAGCTGTGATGTCCACCTGAAAACCAGGCACTCACCTGATACACGTGGAATGCATTTGCTGCTTTGCCCCGGAGAAACACTGAGGGGATCCAGACGTTGATCAGCGCCCGGTTTGATCTAACCAAAAGGAAGAGAGAGAGACCAACATTAGACATTTTAACTTACAAAAAAATAAAAAATAAAAAAGAGGAAAGGAGACAATTTTCTACTCCAAGAGGTATTATGCACAAGCAATTTATGACAACTTACATCACACCTGATGGCAAGCTAAAGGACAAGTTTAAGTCATCACTCAGTCTGTCTCTCTCTACACACACACACACACACACACACACACACACACACACACACACACACACACATACACACACAATCTGTACTCCGGAATGTGAAAGAGCTCCCTTCAGTTCTTATGGAGTGATCTGGCCCATAATGTATCTGAACCTCAGTCTCCACATCTGAAAATGAAGATAATAACCGGAAGCCCCAAGGACGCGATCACAGGAGGTCACACACAGCAATGCCCAGCGTTTCTGGAGCACCCAGCAGTCACGCTGCCTCCTCACTGAGCTGACTTTAGACCCTGACCCTGAGCCCATTTTAAGATCAGACTCCACAAACGAGCTCAGGAGACCAACACTCATGGCAACAAGGGTGACAGCTGTTTAGGATGGGAGGAGGGAGGGACCAGAGAAAATGACAAGTTAGAAAACCAGGCTGATGGGTACAAATACCTCTCTTTCAGCTTTTCCAAAAACACTGTGTATATGGGTCCAATACACCAAGGTTTAAATTCAAATGCAAAATAATTTACTGAGCACCTACCACGCACAGCTCCATGCTTTTACCTATGGTCAAATCATTTATTTCTCACCTCGCGTGGGCCAGGTGAGGCATGTTTAACAGATATTTTGGTTATGTGATTGTTTTGTCTTCTGTGATGACTTTAAACTTAACTCGTAAGTCACTGTCACATTTGTACCCGGCTGGATCCAAATTACACAGAGCGAATAAGCTGACTGTCCCTGAAACTTCAAGATCAATTGTAATAATTATCAAAACGGTGCTGCACCATTCTGGAAGGGCTGTAAGGTCCCGGCCTTCGCCTCTAATTAGAGCTGTTCCAGGGCTAAATGCTTTCTCCTGAGCTCTCCTTCTCTCTCAAGAGCAGCTCATAAAAACTCGCCAGCCTTCTGGGCTTGGAACACAATTTGAGACACCGGTGATGGAAGATTCCACGACTCAATGTTCTCACAACCTCTAGAGTAAAGACCATTTCATTTTCACAATGACAATAACCCTTCAGGTAATGGGTCTCTCCTGAAATAGCATTTCTTCTCATCTCTGAGCAGAGGAGCTGACCTCCTTTGAGGGGTAAATTAAACCCCATTGATCACTTCCCCAGGGCTCAAGGCAATTTGTACATTGCAATTCTGAGCCATCAAAACTGGTTTGTGTATCTAATCACTTTCCTCCTGGAAAGGTCCCTGAAATTGTATTAGTGCCTAGAACATTCTCCTTTCATTTCTGTGTCAGGCTACAAGGCAGAAATATAAGTAGCACTCTGGTTTTTATTAACTTTTCTGGATTGGTGAGGAGTGGACAACCTCCCAGGGTTAGAGCGAGGTTACCCCAGCCTGGGTTAAATGGTTCTCTCTTTCAGTGCATTGACCACACTGTATCAGAAATTGATTGTTTAAGTGACCCATCTCCCTCCTAGATGTTAGTTCATTTGTTCATCCTTTTGTTCCTTCACTCACTCATTAAACAAGTTTTACTGAGAAGCCACTACTCTGGGTACTGGAGATAGAGCAATAAAAGAAGCAGACAGCCCTTTCTTCTGGAGCATTCAGTTTTAACATGGGAGAGAGACAAATCTCCATAAAATTTACTCTGTTGTGGGCTGGGTGCAGGGGCTCACACCTGTAATCCCAGCACTTTGGGAGGCTGAGGAAGGTGGATCATCTGAGGTCAGGAGTTCGAGACCAGCCTGGCCAAGATGGTGAAACCCTGTCTCTACTAAAAATACAAAAATTAGCTGGGCATGGTGGCACGCGCCTGTAGTCCCAGCTACTTGGGAGGCTGAGGCAGGAGAATCACTTGAACCCGGAGGCAGAGGTTGCAGTGAGCCAAGGTCACACCACTGCACTCCAGCCTGGGCAACAGAGTGAGACTCCATCTCAAAAAAAAAAAAAAAAAAAAAAATTTAACTCTATTGTGGTCAAGGAAGATACTTTGGATGATTTCAATTTTTAAAAATTAATTGAGACTGGTTTTGTGGCCTAACATACAGTCTTTCCTGGAAAGTTACAGGCACTTGAGAAGAATGTGCATTCTGCTGTTAAATCTAATTGGTTTCTCATGTTGTTCAAATCTTCTAACCCCTTACTGATCTGTCTAGTTATCCTATCCATTATTAAAAGTGGGGTACTGAGGCCGGGGGCTGTGGCTCACGCCTGTAATCTCAACACTTTGGGAGGCCGAGGTAGGCGGATCACGAGGTCAGGAGATCGAGACCATCCTGGCTAACATGGTGAAACCCTGTCTCTACTAAAAAATACAAACAAAAAAAATCATAGCCGGGTGTGGTGGCAGGCACCTGTAATCCCAGCTACTCGGGAGGCTGAAGCAGGAGAATGGCATGAACCCAGGAGGCGGAGCTTGCAGTGAGCAGAGATAGTGCCACTGCACTCCAACCTGGGTGACAGAGCAAGACTCCGTCTCTAAATAAATAAATAAATAAATGAAAGTGAGGTACTGAAGTCAAGTCTTATTGTAGAGCTGTTTGTTTCTCCTTTCATTTCTGTTGATTTTTTACATCACATGTTCTGAAGCTTTGTTGTCAGGTGTATATATGCCAATAGTTGTTACAGATAAATTATTTACTATTATTGTAAGTGCCACAAAGGAACACTGGATCTAAGGAGAGTGACTTCCAGGGCCTGCTTTGGTCTGGGACACCAGAGAAGGCTTCTTTGAAGAAGCAATGTTTCGGCCAGGCTTTAAGGGATATTTAGAGTTGGCCAAGTTGAGGATGAGAAAGGTGCTTCAGGCAGGGGAATAAGCATTTGTGGAGAGCACTGAGTCTAGACCAGCACTGCCTGGGTTTGAAACCCGGCTCAATTTCATCATCCGTGAGGAGACACCCATCTCTGAAGGTTGTTGTAGGGACTGAGTGAGTTAGAACAGTGTCCAGCACAGAGGCAATGCTGTGTACAAGTGGTTTAAGTGGGTAAAATAATAATCCTAAAGGGAGAGGACCAAGTGGGTTAGAGGAGCGGAACTGCCAGGATGGCTGGTGCAGGGAGAGGAGTGGGAAAGGCTGGGAACGAAGCCAGAGGTGAGTGAGGGCCTTCTTCGTAAGCTCCACAAAGGATTTCAGTCTCCATGCTGAGAGGGGAATGGTGCCATTGCTGCCTCTGGCTTTAGTGTAGATGAGTAAACTGGTTGGGGGAGGTTCCAAATCTCTGGGGAGAGACAATGTGGCCTGGATCAGGCAGAGACCACTTGAGGGCAGGGACCATGGCTAATTCATCCTCTCTATTAGGGACCTGCCCGGACACCAGCCTGCAGCAGGACATGGGTGAATTCTTGCTTTAATAATGAGTGCTTCCAGCCTCGTGTCTGGGACTCCCCTCTGTGGCTCTCTCTTGTCTTCCCAGTTTCTTCCCACAGCTGCCCTCCGCCGGACTCTGCCGTTCCAGGAGCCTCTTCATGCCATGCTCCCCCTGCCCACAAGCCCACAGCAGGCAAATTCACCTTTGATTTTCATCCTTCACCTCTCACCCACCTCAGCCTCTCCACCCTATCAGCCTAACAGCCACCGCCACCCCCGACCCCAGCAGCTGCCCCAACATGAATAGCCCCGTGATGCCCTCATGCCTTTCATAATCTCACTCATCGCCACCACAAGCTCTGCAAGGTTCGCATCAGGACCTTCGCCTCACAAATTAGGAAAGTGAGGCCCAGTGAGGTCAAATGGCTGGACTGATGCCTGAGATTTCAACGCAGGCCAGCCTGCCTCTGAAGAGATGCTCTTTCCAAGGCCCAGCCCTGCCTGCTCTAAAAGGGACTTTTCCCGGGCTTTTCTTCCCAACGGGTGCTGAACCTTAAACTCGCCAGAGATGAATGAGAGAGGAGACAACTTATCCATTTCCTTTACCAGCCTAAGGGATCTATTTGTCCAAAGCCCAAGAAATCCTGAACAAAAATCGGCTGGGCACGGTGGCTCCCAACTGTAATCCCAGCACTTTGGGAGGCCGAGGTGGGTGGATCACCTGAGGTCAGGAGTTCGAGACCAGCCTGGTCAACAGGAAGAAACCCCATCTCTAGTAAAAAATATAAAAATTAGCCAGGCGTGGTGGTGTGTGCCTGTAATCCCAGCTACTTGGAAGGCTGAGGCAGGAGAATCACTTAAACCCGGTAGGCGGAGGGTGCAATGAGCCGAGATCGTGCCACTGCACTCCAGCCTGGGCGACAGAGATTCTATCTCAAAAATAAAAAAGTCTGATGACCAACTAATCTCTCCCTATGGGTGGCTCAGCAGAGGTGCCAAATAGAATTGAACCCAATCAAAAATCCGACCAAGGCATGGACTACTGTTGTTTCCAATAACCCAGGGGCCACACAGATCATAAAATGAGTGAAGTCGGTCACTTCCAGGCAACAGCAAAGAGCGGGAACTGTGGTCAATTGGACGGCACATGCCCCTGTGCAAAGGGGATAGCTTTTACTCAGCTCCAGCAGACTGTGGCCTCACAGGGACAAGCGTCTCATTTTTAAAGAAAATAAAGGAAATTTGTGTTATGTGATAGCTTCCAAATTCTAAATGTCAGCCAAAAAAAAAAAAAATGTTTTTAAATACCCAAGGGTGAGAAAAAACACATCTGAGGGCGAGACTGAGGCTGTAGGAGAGCGACTCCTACCAGCTCTACAAGAACCACATCAACCTTGTGTGGGTCTCAACAGTGATTTCTGTTTCCCCCTGTGGTCTTCTGGGACAGAAGCCAACAACAGAGTCCAGTTTCTAAAGGACCCCTTGTGAGCACAGGCTGTGGACTTACATTTCAAAATCCGACAAACTCTGGTCTTCGGACGTTTGACTCAAATCTCCAGGCACCTACCATCAGGAGAAGGGGGAGAGGGGAGAAAAAATGCATAATGGTTACCATGGTTTGCATAATCACAGAAGAATTCTGCCTCTCAGAGATCCCTGAACATTTCCTATTCAGAATGAAGTGAAAAAGCAGTCACTGGAAAACGGTAAGAGATTGTGTGGAGGGATGGTTGGAGAGGATGTTGCAGCAATAAAAATATGCCACCATGAGGGATCTCAATTATCTTTATGGCCAAGGGACTGTTAATCCTATTGAGATAATCACAGGCATGTAAGAGCATGTAATTTTGGAGCGATAAAGGCCTAATTAGGATCTGAGATGCAAGTTATCAGATGTGCAATGGAAAAAATATCCATTGTTACCATGATGAACATCACACACACAGACACACCCAGTAGGTAAACACAAAAGGCCAATGTCACCCCCACAAGGGCTCCATCCTTTCCCCTCATAATGTACGAGCAATTTGAGGCAGCAGAATATGGCTTCTCCTGACTCAGAAGGGCCACATGAGATGATGACTAGGGGAGAGAAACTAAACTGTGTGGCATGGTGGACCCCACCACCAGTACTGCTTAGGGGTCCTGACCCCACACTGTGGAGGTGGGGGTGAGGGCAAGCAAGCATTCAAAGGTGCACGTGACCCCCAGTAAGCTACCTATCCTCAGCTCCCTGTCAGATAGGAAACTGATTCTCACAGCTGTCACAAGTATTGCAATTATTATGTAAAGCAGACAACAAAATGCCCAGTAGTGGTAGATGTTCAATAAATGTTGATATTTTTCTCATACCCAGGGAATGAGCTTCTTTTTTTGATCTGCTAGAAACTAAATTGGCTAAAATTTTAAGAAGGAGGATCAAGACTATGAGAAACCAAGTGGAACAGAGAAGGGTGAGGGGTAGTGAAGTGAAAAAAGAGAACACTGAATTTACACCTTTTACCTCTCAGGGTTTCCACACTCCCCACAATCCCCAGCAAGCTTCACAGTGAACCTGAGGACAGGTATCATTCTCCCCACTTTACAGATGAGGAAACCGAGGCTCAGGGAGGCTGTAAAACTTGCCCAAGGTCACACATCTAGGAAATGGATCTGTCCAACTTCAAAGCTTTTCTGCTATAAACCCTCAGCAAACAGGAAAAGTCAGCTAAAAGGTGAAAAAAGAAAGACTGAAGTAGTCTTGAAGGCTTCAAGAAGAAATGAAGAAACTTGAAGGTTAGGACACATTAGAAGGCTCTCCTTAAATCAACAGTGGAGACTGGGTGAAGCGGCTCATGCCTGTAACTCCAGCACTTTGGGAGGTCAAGGTGGGCAGATTGCTTGAGCCCAGGAGTTCAAGACCAGCCTGGGCAACACAGCAAGACCTTGTCTCTCCTAAAAATAATGGAAAAAAACATTAGCCAGGCATGGCGGCAGAAGCCTGTAGTTCCACCTACTCCAGAGGCTGACGTGGGAGCATCACTTGAGTCCTGGAGTTCAAGGCTGCAGTGACCTAACCTGGGTGACAGAGCATGACCCTGTTTCAAAAAAATAAAGAAAGTTAAGAGAATTTGTATTTTCTATTTTGAACTTTTTTGTACTTTCTACAATGAAGACGTATTAACTGCATAACCATAAGCAGATACATTATATATCAATTTAAGTGTGTATCACATTACTAAGTAATCAAATACCCTTTCCACCTCATCCCACTCCATGCATTTCACTCAAATCCAGAAAGCAAGGTGTCAGAGATGGTGCCTTCCTAACAGTTACGCATCATGGATGGAAAAGGGCAAAGAAAGGGTTCTAAGGCCACGCCCCGTTCTAGACAACACCCATTCTCCTCTTTTCATCCATGTGGAGGACGCCAGTATCTTCTCTGGCAGACACTGTAGGGCTGCTCTTGGCCACTCCTCTTTTCTGGGTTTCCCACTCAGCACTGAGGCTGGGAAAAGCTCTTCTGGGCACGCTATGGGGATCAAGTGGGCAGACCAGAGGGGGACTCACAAGCCATCAGGACACCAGCTCCACTGCTACACACAATCGCCACCGCCTTTAGATGCAGCCTCATTTCCAACTGGAAGTGAACAGAGTTTGCACCCAGGAACCTCAATCACAAGAACATCTGGCTGTATCTACCCCACAGAGCACAGGCAGAAGGCAACCAAAAGGACCAAGGTGAAAGACAAGGCAGATTTTTTAAGGACAGACATTACTCTACAATTATCGAAAACAAAGGGCTTCTTCAAAAATGACTAATTCTGGAACAAGGTATTTTTTGGGTAGGTAAGTTTCCCCTGAGGGGTGGGGATTTTCAGGGAACATTTTGAACAGGGGATATGCGTACCCAGGAGTGGTTCAATCCTTCTGACTTAGAGGCTTTTCTTCTAATTACATGGCATTATTAGGATCAGTAAACCCGGAGATTTTGTGTGTCTACATGAGTACCAGGGAGGCTGCTTCGAAAAAGAATTTGGGAACTTTCTAACCTCCGTTAGGAACATAACTTGATAACAAGGCCAGGCACTGTAGCAAATGCATGATGATAATTAAAGGCCGAGCTTACTCAACATCAAATTTTGTCTTTTCTTGCTGTCTTTCAAGACTGGAGCCAGATATTAGCTAGACTTGACAGCAGCCCTTTAGAGAGCTGATTCTATTTTATATTCTGGCAATAAAGAGTGTGGAGCAGAGATTATTTTGTAAGAAAAATCAACTTTCTACTGACACTGGCCACAAACATCCCCTGTTTGTCTGAAGTCTGGGGAATCTTGGAGAACACATCCCTGGGATGCAGATTTCTCTTTAGTTTACCCTCAATATGGGGCACAAACCAGCCATCAGCAACATGGCTATCTCTATTCACCTCTCCCTGACCCTGCAGAGAAGGCAGCTCACACTCTGCCTGTGGTCTGGGCACTCACGCGGCAGTCTTCAGGTGCAAGGAAAGGCAAAGCCCGTTACTAGAGCAACAGAGCAGCCAGGATTCCTGAATCATGCTGGAGCAAACACCCTCGGTGCTGTACACACAAGGATGTGAAATGGTAGATGAGACCAACGGGGAATCCACTTCTGGGCTGCATCAGCAAAGAAGTTTCCATCATCTCCTCTGACTCAGGATTTCCTGGGTTGTTTGGGGCAGATGGGGAGCAGGGACAGAACAGAGACAAGAAGTCTCTTCTCCCTAGTCATGAAACTCTGACCCCAGTGCCAGCGTGGAACTCTGACACAGGCCCACCCTGCCACTTTGACTGGCAAGTCCTCAAACCTGGGAAGACACTAGAGGTTCTGCCAAAAAGAATGAAAAGTATCCACTATGTCCTGAATAAATGTTTATTTAAATAAAAAGGAAAGACAGAAGAGGGAGAGAAAAAGAAAATCAGCCAATTTGCCAAAGCCGTAGAAGAAAAATTACACCTCCTCCCATTGTGGTAAAAAAAATTACCACACCCCCAGGTAAGGCGGTGGTAAAGATGAACAGGGAACCCTTCTGTCATTGGAGCTACCCTCACTTCTAGTCCTGAGGGGTGTGCAAGCATGACACCACCACCACCCAGTATCATCAAAGGCTGCCCACTCCACAAAGCTCTTCCACAGCAGGTGGGCAGAGGTGTGCTTCCGATTTCATGGGCAAGGACAAGAGAGATCACTGTGAATAAACACAGAGGAAGTAAAGATATCAGGAGCCCAAGCCAAATCTCTTAGTCTACTCAGCAGCCTCTCACTCAGCCTCAGTGCCTTCAGGTGCTCGGGCTTTCTCCAGGTGGAGAAGCCACATGAGGTATTCTGATCAATAATCCCATCTGAAGTCCCAGTGGATAGCCAGCACCAACTACCAGATAAATGAGAGCACCATCTTGGATGTCCAGCTCAGTCAAGCCCTGGTCGACACCACATGACGTAAAAGAACCACCCAGCTGAGCCCAGTCGGCCCACAGAATCATGAGAGATAAAAAAATAGCCAAGTTTTTTTAAAAAGCCATTAAGTTTTGGGGTGGTTTCACATACAGAGACATATAATCCATAAAAGTAACTTGCCCAAGGTCCTTCAGGTAGTAAGTAGCATAGGTGGAATTCAAACACAGGTGGTCTGGCTCCAGAGCCTGCTCTTCTAACTGCTAAGCTATACTGCCTCCCACTACAAAGTATCCGTTCTTCGCATCTTGCCTCTGGGATGCCCAGAAGATCAAGTAACCCAAATTCATACTCAAGAGCCTTAGCTGGTAAACGGACCTCTGATGGGTGAAGAAAATCTGAAAGGACTCAATAGCTCCAGAGTAGACATATACAGATGCACAACTGGGTCTAAAACCTTGAGCCTCCTTAAAGCTTGGGGGTTTTCTGATTTTATTTTGCTGTTGCTGCTGCAGGAAGACTTAGGAGGCTTTGCCCCTAGGAAGTCCCAGGTCCTTTTCCATCTCTGGGAACACAGGTCAGCCTCCAGACTCTGAGCCAAGTACATAAGCTCTCAGGAACAGACAGAAATGCACATGTTTTGAGTTCTAATCCTGGGCTTCCTCTGATGATGTGAGAAGTCACTTGGCTTCCGTAAACCTTGGTTTCTTCCTTGCCTACCTCATGACAACCAGCCTCTGATTGCCCTATTAGAAAAAATCAACAAAGGTAAAGGGAGAGGCCAGCATGTGCTGAACAATTACTATGTGCCAAGGACTTCATGGTCTCACAGTTAATCTTCAAACAATCTGCGAAGCAAGTATTATTGTAAGCTACTGCTCCCTTCTCCTCTTCCTCAGCCTCTCTGTAAGGTTAGCTCTTCTCATCTAAGACTCAGCCAAAATATGAATTCCTAGGAGGCACCTTCCCAGACCACCAGAACTAAACAGTGTCTCCACTGTAACCCTCTACGGTTCACATTCTTCAGCTTGTAATGACTCCACGCTGGTTATCTGTGGATTGGAACCCTCCTTGTGAGCTCAGAGAGCTCTATATGTGCTTACCACACCCACCTGTTCACCATGACACACTGCAGCCTGGCCAAGAACCCAGCACATGTAGGCACGAACTAACACACTGAATGAATGAATGAATGAATGCATGCATGCATGCATGCATGAATGAATGAATCATAAGATATGCTATGTTTCCACCCTGAAATGCCAACAGATTTTTAGATTGCTTTGTAGCAAATTCAAAATCTTGATGCATGGGAAGGATAAGTTAGTTTGGAGACAAAAAAAGAACCAAAGAAAGAGAATCTTATTTCTTTCTTCTAATTACCAGGTTCTCAGATTCACTGCTCCAAAGAAAAGCAACAAGGAAGATCCTATGGAGGCAGCAAACCTTTGTTCCAATCATGAAATGGCAGCCATAATTTGTTTTCCAGAGTCACTTTCTCACTCATCCCTATTTTCAAATAGCCTGCCCTTATGCAATTAGCTCTCCCTTTTCACTGCCAAAAAATGACAACTGTTTTCCATCCCACCAATGCGCTTGCTTTCTCATCTCATCTTTTAATAAGGAACAGAATGTGAAATGGCATGGTTCTGTCTCTCAGCTTGGTTGGTCAAGCCAAGCAACAGGCTCAGGCCTGATGATCTGATCATAAAGTCAGCCTGGGCTATCCACGCCTTCAGGACAAAGCCCCCCAGTTCTGGAGCACTTTCAGGGTTCTCTGTTAGTTTTTTCATTTGCTTTACAAACATACCACTAGAGGCATCATATCTCTGTGGCTTTTGTTGTTGTTTTTGTTCTCTGTGGTTTTTAAAAACAGCTGAGGTCAAGGATTCTTTGCTAGGAGTAAAAACTTGGCAAATAAGAGCTTTAAAGAATTTTTATTTTATCCTCTGGGCAGCACTGAAACCTCACACAAACATAGACTATCACACTTCTGTGAATCAGTTTTTGACACATTTGTTTTTCCCAAAAGATAACAAGGGTGTAGAGGACAATATTCTCAGAGTCCAACGTGGTAGGCAGGCACATCTGATCGCTCAGTGAATGTTCCCACTGGATGGACAGACAGGCAGATGTAAAAATGGACAGATGGATGGATGAATGGCTGGAGCAGGGAAAGGGTGGGAGGCAAAGGGCATGGGGAAATGATCGAACTTACTACTTCACTAAGAATGGACATCTACTTTCTTTCCAAGAAATAAAGAGTGATGGACAACATAAGCACAGAGACAAGGATACAAAGACATTTGTTGCAATACCACTTAGGGTAATAAAAGCCTGGAAACAAGGAATGAAATGGTTATATAAAACACAGCACACTCATAGCCAGGCTGCGCAGCTATGAAAAGAACAGCAGGCATCTCCTCTAAAGAGGAGGAGATCTCTAAGATATAATGTCAAATGACAAAAGCTAGACACAAAACAAAGTGTCAGGTGAGCTACTATCCTCTTGAAGTATTAGCGTGTTGGGAGACACACGTGTCTATATGCATGAACCATTTCTATAAAGACACGTAAGAACCTGCTAGCCATGGGTGCCTTTGAGGGAAGGCACTGAGAAGCAAGCGTCAGAGGAGAGACGATGATCTATTCCTATCTGTAAAACTTTACACCTTGTAGATTTTTACCATGTACATGACTTGTTAACCTTTCAAAAAATCAACGTAACAATCACGCAATTTTAAATCGAAAGAAAGAAACTATCATGTCTATGGTGGAAAGAAAATCAGAACAGTGAATACCTCAGGGAGAGTGGAGTGGGAAACACCAGGAAATGGCATGAAGGGACATTCTGGGGCGATGGTAAAGTTCTATGTGCCTACTGAAGTATTTTGGGAGAAACATATACCGACATCTGCAATTTACTATGAAATGCATCCCAAAAAAGATAAAATGATGGACAGATGAATGAATGAATGGATGGATGGATGCACGCATAGATGGATGGATAAAAAAACAGATGATAAAGTACAGCAAAATGTTAATGGTAGACTCTAAGTGGTAGGTATACATGTGTTCACTGTAAAATTCTTTCATATAATTGCTTTTAAAATTTCAAGCAAAATCCTGGAAAGTTTTTGTTCCACCATGCTGGAAGAACGACTGAATTATCCTTCTACTCTCTGTACAGAAAATGATGTAACAGTACTGTCTTCTGAACAGGCTATCAGAGTATGCAGCTTAAAAATGTAGGAGAAAAGGGATCAGAGAAGAGTACCCGATGGTTAATTAATTAACCTATGATGTTTGTCTGGATTCTGTGGTATTTGTGGTATGTATCAGCTCTTTAACAATGATAATTTGTAAGGCTGGGCATGGTGGCTCATGCTTGTAATCCCAGTAATTCAGGAGGCCAATGCAGGAGGATCGCTTGGGCCCAGGAGTCTAAGGCCAGTCTGGGCAACACAGGGAGACCCCATCTCAACAGAATATTTAAAAAGTAGCTGGGTGTGGTGGCATGCTCCTATAGTCCCAACTACTCTTAAGGCTGAAGTGGAAGGATTGCCTGATCCCAGGAGGCAGAGGCTGCAGTGAGACCTGATTGCGCCACTGCACCCCAGCCATGGTGACAGAGTGAGACCCCATCTCGAAACAATAAATAAAGACAATTTGTTGCGATTTATTTCCTCATTCTAAGTAAGTGTTTTTTTCTTTTCTTTTTTTTTTTTTTTAAAGACTGAACAAGACTTGAGTCAGCTGGGCCTGAGCTCTGACTCAGCTGCGTGGCCGAGAATAAGCCACTCCACTTCTCTGGGCCTTACTTCCCTCCTGGAAAATGGGGACAACAGAAGCTGCCCTGGTGGGGTTGTTAGGAAGCTCCAATAGGATCCTGCAAGAACCATCCCAGCCCAGCACCTGGCAGAGAAACATTCTGGGCTCTGTGGAAAACCCGCTGAGGGCATGGTGGTTTTGGGGTTTGGCAGCCCTCGCCCAGAATGAGGGGCTGACTGCTCCATTCCACAAATGCACACTAGTTATGCATACGTTTATTCCACAGATTTGCACTACATTCCATTGAGTAGTCAGACTCTCTGCAGGTGACAGGGGGAGAGGAAGTCCCGGGGCTTGCAGAGCATACAATCCACCAGGAGAGACAGTCTCCACACAGCAGTCAGCACAATTCATTAGACAGTTAAGGCTGTGAAAAGTCCACGGAGGACAGGGATGGATGAGGCATCTGGGAGGAGCCTGAAGCATAAGGGAGATGAGCACGGCTTTGGTCTGTGCTCCGACGGGGGAAACCTATGAGGGATTTAAGCAAGAGAGAGGCTGGTCCAGCTCACACTTCAGTCACTCTGGCTGCAGAGCAGAGATGGGAGGCAAGAGGCAAACTGCCAAGAGGCTGTGCGTGCACACATATACATATACATACACACACACACACACACACACACACACACACCCCTCAATTGCACGCACGGGGTAACATGCCAAACTCTCTGCCATCCTCTTTATATCAACAGACTTTTAAGGATCACCTATAAGAAAAGCACAAATCAACAACTGCCTAGAATTCCTCCAGGCTGAAGCTACCAATATAGAACTATTCTTAAGTTATGAATTTTCAACCAATTGGTGAAACACTCAGACCTACTGCAATGAGTGGAAAGTATTCAACTAACCCAAACTCGCTCCTGCTTCAGATGAGGGAAACAAGGTTTGAAGAGTCAATGAGCAGCCTTACAGTGGCTGGGTCCCTGGGCTGCAGACTTCTCCTGCTCTGCCCTACATCTGTGGTTGTTTTTAGCCTCTCCTCCCAGGTCCCAGGGTTTCCAGGAGATGTTTCAAGGCTCATTGGCCAGAGCCCTCCCTGTGTTCTCCTATGAGGGTAGGTTCTACTTTGACCCATTACCCCTACTGAGTTGCTAAGGAGGAGTTCTTCTTAAAGGGTTACACAAACATGATTTTTTTTTTAAGTTTAGAAAACAGGGAACAAATGTTCTTGTATTAATCTGTTCTCACACTGCTAATAAAGGTAATTATAAAGGAAAGAGGTTTAATGGACTCACAGTTCCACATGGCCAGGGAGGCCTCACAATCACGGTGGAAGGCAAGGAAGAGCAAGTCACATCTTACATGGTGGCAGGCAGGAGAATGAGAGCCAAGCGAAAGCGGAAACTCCTTATAAAACCCTCAGATCTCATGAGACTTAATCACTACCATGAGAACAGTATGGGAGGAAACCGCCCCCGTGATTCGATTATTTCCCACCAGGTCCCTTCCACAACATGTGGGAATGGTGGGGGCTACAATTCAAGATGAAATTTGGGTGGGGACACAGCCAATCCATATCAGTTCTCATGCACTATTTCATCCTTAACTCCAATTTAACAGCCAGGGAAACTGAGGCACAGGTCAACCAGATGATGCCAAAGAAAGGCAGCTGTCCAAAACCGAGAATCTGAACTGGCTCGCGCTAGTGTTACAGTAACATGGGGAGTGGATGTAGGATTTCCTAAGATACGCTACAATCCCAAGGAAAACTATGATGTAAAAATTGGCCTGGGACCACTGAGCAGTATTTAATAGCACTGAGAGATATCAAGGATGTTTAAGCGGCAGGTCTGAGGAGCTCACCCTTGCAGGCAGGAGCAGATTTAGATACACCTGGGTTGATCCTCTAGTGACACCAGCCTGTAAGAACAACCAAAGGCACCTGCCTTTCCTGTTACCTTAAATGTCCTCTTGCAAATAGAATATCCCTTACCAACACTACGTGCAAGTGTGTTACAGGCAGAACCCTCCAGGTCAAGGACTCTCATTCATTTTTGCATTTCCAGCACCTAAACCCAGTACCTCTCCATACTCTACATCAGGGGTCAGCAACTATGGCTCCTGGGCCAAATCCAGCCCGTTTTTGTAAACGAAGTTTTATGGGAACACAGTCCCACTCAGCCAGTTATGTATCATCTATGACCGCTTTCAGGCTGCATCAGCAAAGTGGAGTAACAGTGAGAGAGACAGCGTGACCCGCACAGTCATGTACTATGTGGGCATTTACGGAAAATGTTTGCCAATTCCTAACTGATAGCTGGAAAGATGCAGAAAAATCATTTGTAATTTCAGGGAAATCTCATTTGTCTAGGTAGGGAGGAATAAATCTTTGATCTCCATAGCTTTATAAAATGTCAAGGGCTTGAGAATCAAAAGAGGCCCCTGGCTCCAGGTAGAGAAGGAATGTCAAGACGTTAAGGACTGAGACATTTATTTGTACCCACTCATGTAATTCTTTGAGTAACCTGTTTCCCGTATTCTACAGAGGCTCAGAGAAGCTAAGTGACATGCCCACAGACACAGCAATAATTCAAAGCCAACTTTGGCTGAATCCCAAGTTGTGCTCCTTCTATAACACCTGCTGTCTCCCCCAGAAGAAACATGGGTGCGGAAAAAGAATTCGGGCTCATCTCCTCCGAAAGAAGGAAGCCCTAAAGCTCGGCACGTGCAAAAGGCGGTGCCTCGAAAGGGAAGAGAAGATGCTCTGGCAATCCGAGCATGTGTATGACTGGGCCATTTGCTGTTAACCACACGCATGGAGTGTATTTTTAACATTATAAGCACAATGATGAAATCTGTGGATGAAGAGGCTCTCTGTTTGCTGCTAATTTGCAGATAAAAGCAAAACAACTCTGGAATGTTTCTTCCAGGGTTCTTCCTTAGAGTTTAATTTCCACCAGTCACAAGAAAGAATGCCACATCCCAGAGGCTGCTTCAGGCATGGAGGCATGGAAGTAGGGGAAGAATGTTCTCATGAAGCTCTTCACTGATTAGTTTTGGCTACCAAGGTCTCCCGGAAAAGACCTTAAGGGTCTTAAGGTCAGATGGCTTAAGGTCAAGTAGACTCGGGCCTCAACACTTATTAACAGAAAATCTTGAGCCTCAGTTTCCTCATCTGTAAAACAGAGCCAGTACTCACCCACCACGACGCCTGCGACATCCTATTTTAAAATGCCCAGCATCCTGCTGGCTGCACAATAATAAGCACTCAACAAAATGGCCTTTCTCACCCTCCCACCCCAGCCCCTCCCTTTCACATCCCTGCACTAAAAAGATAACAAATGGCAAGGGGAGTGTAGCCAGCTCTGACCTGAGCCATCGTCCCCTCAGCTCAGCTTGGATGGGAACCTGTTCTCCACTTCTGAGACGCCAACGATTCTCCTCATTGCTCTCCCAAGGCTCGAGTGCTATCCCAAGTAGACCAGTAGACTGCAGCCCTGGGAAGAATGGGGCACCGGAGCAAGCTGTAGCCTTCTCTCTCGGCCTCTCCTAGGACCATTCGGTTGTGTGATGAGGAACAAGGAGGACTGCCGCAGTCCTGCTTCCCTCCCAATCAGTGCAGAAGCAGCAGGAATGGAACCGCTAACTTGGTTTCTTTGGATCAGTAATGGGAATCTAGGTGTGGCTCTCTCTTTTTTTTTTATTTTTTTAATGAGACTGAGTCTCACTCTGTCGCCCAGGCTGGAATACAGTGGCACAATCTCGGCTCACTGCAGCCTCTGCCTCCCAGGTTCAAGTGATTCTCCTGCCTTGGCCTCCAGAGTAGCTGGGATGACAGGCGTATGCCACCATGCCCAGCTAATTTTTCTATTTTTAGTACAGATGAGGTTTCACCATGTCAGCCAGGCTAGTCTTGAATTCCTGACCTCAAGTGATCCACCCGCCTTGGCCTCCCAAACTGCTGGGATTACAGGCGTGAGTCACCACGCCCGACCTAGGTGTGGCTCTCTCTTATTTCTTCTTCCCTCTCTTCTGGAAAAGAAGGCCTTTTTTTGTTTAATTTTTCACCCTTCAACTCTTTTCTTATTAACAGTGAGCAGGCATAGGCACTTTGAACTGTTCAGGAAAGATTCATCTCACATTAAAAAAATGCATCCATGTGTTTTCCATTCCCTGCAGTCGCAGGTTTATTTTTTATTATTTTCTTTTTTAGCAGACTCCTTCTCTGGAATGGCATCTTACCAAGAACCCTGCTATTGGCAACAGTGTCACACTTGCTATCTGGGACAGTATTCTGGTTGGCCAGTGGACTGAGAACAGGTGGGCAGAGCAGTGAAGAGCGTGGAGGGAGACGCAGCCACCCAGTTCACATTGCGAATTGCCTCCTCCTAGCTCTGTGAGCAGGGCAAGTGGCTCCACCTCTCTGCCCTTCGCTTCCTCCTCCATGGAAAGAATATGGTAATTCCAGCTCCCTCAGAGGTTTGTTGTAAGGATTCAATGAGATAATTTGCATAAAGTACTAAGAAGAGTGCCTGAATCACCAGGGCTCTCGGCAAGTGTGACCTTGGCTATCATTATCTGGAAGCCGCACCAGCACACGAGGCCCCAGGAAGAGTCTTTCACTGGCTTAAGGGTTGATGAGAATGACCTTGGTCTTGGATCCAGGAGTTCAGAAATGGATCTGGATCAGGAGGTGCTGGCTCAGAGAGCCTGAGGGTGAGGAAAGAAGATGTTTTGCTGCCCTGGAGTCTCCGTGTGCAGCCAGTCTAAGACCAGAACTCTGCAGTGACGGGGACACCTGGCCAGCTGAGGCCGCCCCTGCCTGGGGACAAGGCCATGCATATTGAGCTGGGTTCGCAGACATCGTCTTCTGCTCCCAGGAGATGTGATGTGTCCCTCAGTCCTCACCCCCACCACTGTGCAGGAGCTGGTGAGGCCTGAGCCCAGGAGGCTGCACATCCCGTTGGTCCCAGAGAATGTTGTCCATCTTGCCGCCCCGTTTTCCAACAATAAATTCTTTCTGTATCTGTTATGTGGGAAAACCCTACAGAGTTACTTGAAAAAGGAAGCCAAGTGGCATCTCGTCAGGTCTTTCTGTCACTCTATGCCTATTATTGTCAGTTGTCGATATAGCTAAGTGGCCTAGAGCACACACGCTTTTCCTTTGTTTGCATGTTTATTTGGGAAGGTTTGGGGACAGCTGATGCACACAGGGTGGGAGGTAACTACAGCCCCCTCAAGCCACTCATTAGCTCCTGCAAATGTCACCTGGCAGAGAGCAGAGGCTGCAGGGACACAGTCCGGGTGAGGGCCCTGAGTGCTGGCCTCCTCCTTCCTTCACTTCTCCCTGCCTTGGCCTGGTGGTCTCTTCTCAGAGCCCTAGAGCCCTGCGGGACACAATGTGAATTCCACCGCCCCATGAAAAAAATTCCAACTCTTTGAGGATGACAATCAAGATCCTCTATGAACAAGTTGTCTCAGGATTCACTTCCTGCTGCAGGCAACATCCCTTCCGGGTTCTTTCCTTCCACAAGTCCCCAGACGTGGGTCTGTCAAGGTTTATTCTTTCAAAGCCAACAAGGCTCAGGTGTCCCCCAATAAGCAAAGACTTTAGAAATGATAATCCCTTCTCCCGTGTCCCCACAGAACTTTTCTTTTTTCTTTTTTGAGATGGAGTTTCGCTCTTGTTGCCAGGCTGGAGTGCAGTGGCGCGATCTCAGGCTCATTGCAACCTCTGCCTCCCGGGTTCAAGCGATTCTCCTGCCTCTGCCTCCCAAGTAGCTAGTACTATAGGCGTGCGCCGCCATGCCCAGCTACTTTTGTATTTTTAGTGGAGATGGGGTTTCACCATGTTGGTCAGGCTGGTCTTGAACTCCTGACCTCAGGTGATCCACCTGCCTCGGCCTCCCAAAGTGCTGGGATTATAGGCAGGAGCCACCATGCCCGGCCTCCACAGCACTTTTTATATGTGTCCATTACACCACCGCCTACACTGCATGGAGATGATGGGTTTATTTCCTACTGCCCCAGAAGTCTGTGGGTCATGCAGACTTTCTAAGAAAGTTACTTAAACCCCAGCAGGCAACCAAAGCAAAAATGGACAAATGGGATCACATCAAGTTCAAAAGCTTCTGCACAGCAAAGAAAACAATGAGCAAAGTGAAGAAACAACCCACAGAATGGGAGAAAATATCTGCAAACTACACATCTGGCAAGGAATTAATAAACAGACTATATCAGAAACTCAAACAACTCAACAAGAAAAAAATCTAATAATCCAATTAAAAACCAGGCAAAAGATCTGAAACGACATTTCTCAAAAGTAGACATACAAATGGCTAACAGGTCTATGAAAAGGTGCTCCAATCACTGATCACAGAAACGCAGATCAAAACTACAATGAGATATCGTGTCACCCCAGTTCAAATGGTTTTAATCCAAAAGACAGGCAGTAACAAATGCTGGCGAGGATATGGAGAAAAGGGAAGCCTTGTACACTGTTGATGGGAATGTAAATTCACACAACCACTGTGGAGAAAATTTGGACGTTTCTCAAAAAACTAAAAATAGAGCTACCATATGATCCAGCAATCCCACTGCTGGGTATATACCCGAAAGAAAGAAAATCAGTATATTGAAGAGAGATCCACACTCCCACGTTTACTGCAGTGCTATTTGCAACAACCAAGATTTGGAAGCAACCTAAATGTCCACCAACAGATGAATGGGTATAGAAAATGTGGTACATATACACAGTGGGGTACTATTCAGCCATTAATAAGAAAAGAGCCTGTCATTTGCAACAACATGGATGGAACTGGAGGCCACTATGTTAAGTGAAATACAACAAGCACAGAAAGACAAACATCTCATGTTCTCACTTATTTGTGGGAGCTAAAAATGAAAACAATTGAACTCATGGAGACAGAGAGTAGAATGATAGTTACCAGAGGCTGAGAAGGGTAGTGGAGGGAGGAGGGCGGAGGAAGGGATGGCTAATGGGTACAAAAAATAGCAAGAATGAATAAGATATGGTATTTGATAGCAAAAAAAAAAAAAAAAAAAGAAAGTTGACGTATCTTTTTTTTTTAATGTTACATCAGGCTGGGCGTGCTGGCTCACGCCTGTAATCCTAGCACTTTGAGAGGCTGAGGTGGAGAGATCACCTAAGGTCAGGAATTCGAGACCAGCCTGGCCAACGTGGTGAAACCCGTCTTTACTAAAAACACAAAAATTACCTGGGCGTGGTGGTGGGCGCCTGTAATCCCAGCTACTCGGGAGGCTGAGGCAGAAGAATCGCTTGAACCCAGGAGGCAGAGGTTGTAGTGAGCCAAGATCGCACCACTGCACTCCAGCCTGGGCAAGAGAGCGAGACTCTGTCCCAAAAAGAAAAAAGAAAAAAAAGAAAGTGACTCATCAGCTACACTATTAACAGTGTTAATTCGGTGGTCACCGAACTGTAATGTATATAGTGAAGTGTTTAAGATGCTTTTTTAAATAATATTCTTATAATGCTATGTCTTATCTCAGAATACCCAAGACCTATCCCAGTGCTTGGCAACAGGACAATAATCCCTGTATGTAAAGATTGCATGTATCTTTCCACCCTAACAGGAAGGTCTGGAAGGATAAGCTCCAAGCTCATCACAATGGTGACCTCAGGGGATGGGAATGGAGGTGACAGCGATGGCCAAAGAGATGCTTAACTTAATGTCTAAAGGCTTATATTGAGAATGTCTTCATGTATTACTTGTATCTTCTAAAAAATTTTTTAAATAATAGCAGCTGTAGTAGGTCGAACGGTGTCCTCCAAAAAGATATGTCCACATCCTAAGCCTCAGAACCTATAAATGTGACTTGTAAATGTGGAAAAAGGTGTCTTTGCAGATGTAATTCAGACTCTTGAGATGAGAACATCCTAGATTATCCAGGTAGGCCCTAAATCCCATGGCAGGTGTCCTTATAAGAGAGATACAGAGAGGCACCAGAGAGAAGCAGGAGAAGGCCAAGTAAAGACAAAGGCAGAGATTGGTGTGACACGGCCATAAACCAAGGGATGCCTGGAGCCACCCGAGGCTAGAAGAGACAGGGAAGGATCTTCCCCTAGAGCCTCCAGGGGGAACACAGCCCTGCCACTGCTGGCACCGTGATTGCCGACTCTGGCCTCCAGAACTGCGAGCAAATAAACGTATGTTGTTTTAAGCCAGCACGTTTATGGTAATTGGTTACAGCAGCTCTAAGAAACTAACACTGGCAGCTAACATCAGGTAACCGCATGCTCAGCACCAGGCCCTGCGTTACGCATTTTTCTATACATCATCCTCCTAAGGAGTAGATATCATGATCATTCTCATTTTACTGATGGGGAAATAGACTCAGAGAGTTGACTTAACTTGCTCAAGGGCACAGGGCTCTAAGTGGCACAGTGAGGACTGGAAGCAGGCAGTGTGGGCTCCAGAGTCCACGCACTAGGTTATAACTCAACTTACAAGACCATGGCTGTGGGGTCCGACGGAGCAAGGTTCACACCATGACTCTGCTATCTTAACAAAAGCACCTGACCTCTCTAACCTTCGCTTTTCTCAGTTAGAAAACAGGGAAATACGACTTCCCTGCTGGTGGAGTAATGAAAATTGAGTTTGGTGTCGTCTATCGCAGGTCCTCATGGCGCTCGGCAAATACCTCCTGAATGAATGAGAGGTAGGGGTCAAATAGGGTTGCTGCCTCCCTTGATGTGGAACCCGGGTGTTATTCATTGGCAGGGGTGGTCATTTCAGATGGCTGGGTTTTGGAAGCTGCTTGAAGACATATTCCTCATGATGAACGTGATGACTTTAGGTACAAATCATTTTCTAAATTCATTTGCACAACTGTATCCACTACTCTATGAGCTCTTAGAAATGCCGGATGTGTGGGTGGGGTGGGTAGATGGATGACGGGAGTGGGGGTGAATGGGAGGATGCATGATGGGTGAGTGGGTGAGTGGATGGATAATGGGTGAGTGGATGGATGATGGGTGGGTGGATGGATGACAGATGGTAGATGATGGGTGGGTGGGTGGCTGGATGATGGGTGCATGGATGGATGATGGGTGGGGTGGGTTGCTGGGTGGATAGGTGGATGGACGATGGGTGGGTGGGTGGTGGGGGGATGGATGATAGATGATGGGTGGGGTGGGTGGGTGGGTGGATAGGTGGATGAATGATGGGTGGGTGGGTGGATGGATGATGGATGGGTGGATGGATGAGTGAGTGGGTGGGTGGATGATGGGTGGGTGGCTGGGTGGATAGGTGGATGGATGATGGGGGGTTGGTGGATGAATGATGGGTGGGTGGGTGGATGAGTGGGTGGGTGGCTAGGTGGATAGGTGGATGGATGATGGGTGGGTAGATGAATGATGGATGGGTGGGTGGGTGGATGATGGGTGGGTGAGTGGATGGATGATGAGTGGGTGGGTGGATGATGGGTCGGTGGGTGGGTGGCTGGATGATGGGTTGGTTGGTGAGATGAACGATGGGTGGGTGGGTAGATGGATAATGGGTGGGTGGATGGGTGGTGGGCAGATGCGTGGATGGATGGTGGGTGGTAGGTGGATAGGTAGATGGATGAGGGGTGGGTGGGTGGGTGGATGGTAGGTGGGTCGGTGGGTGGATGGTGGGTGGGTGGATGGATGGATGGTGGGTGGATGGATGGATGGTGGGTGGGTGGGTGGGTGGATGGATGGTGGGTGGGTGGGTGGATGGATGGTGGGTGGGTGGATGGATGGTAGGTGGGTAGATGGATGGTAGGTGGGTGGATGGATGGTGGGTGGGTGGATGGTGGGTGGGTGGATGGATGGTGGGTGGGTGGATGGATGGATGGTGGGTGGATGAAATTGATGGATGGGTGGATGGATGGATGGTGGATGGATGGATGGTGGGTGGATGGATGGATGGTGGGTAGGTGGATGGATGGTGGGTGGATGGATAGATGGTGGGTGGATGGATAGATGGTGGGTGGGTGGGTGGGTGGATGGATGGCGGGTGGATGGATGGATGGTGTGTGGGTGGATGGGTGGATGGATGGATGGTGGGTGGGTGGATGGATGGTGGGTGGATGGATGGATGGATGGCGGGTGGATGGAATTGATGGTTGGTGGGTGGATGGGTGGATGGTGGATGGATGGATGGTGGGTGGGTGGATGGATGGTGGGTGGATGGATGGATGGTGGGTGGGTGGATGGATGGATGGTGGATGGGTGGATGGATGGTGGGTGGGTGGATGGATGGATGGTGGGTGGATGGATGGATGGTGGGTGGTAGGTGGACAGGTGGATGGATGAGGGGTGGGTAGGTGGATAGGTGGATGGATGGTGGGTGGGTGGATGGATGGTGGGTGGATGGATGGTGGGTGGTAGGTAGCTAGGTGGATGGATGAGGGGTGGGTGGGTGGGTGGATGGATGAGGGGTGGGTGGGTGGGTGGATAAGTGGAGGGATGACAGGTGAAGGGATGGGTGGGTGGGGGGTATGGGTGGGTGGATGATAGGTGGGTGGTTGGGTGTTGGGGGGTAGATGAGAACAGTCTGGACAGGTAAGTGGCCTTCCTCAACCTCAGATTGTCTAAGCCTGTACCCTCCTGATCCAGTTACATTTCTGAACCCCTGGAACCGAGACCAAGGTCATTCTGATCAGCCCTTAGGTCAGCTAAGGACTCTTCCTGGGGTCTCATGTGCTGGTGCAGCTTCCAGATAATTCCATTCTGCAAGGTTAAGAAATTAGGGCATTGGCAGCAGAAAGTAAGAGGGAATTCTTAGGAGTTCTGTCTTCAAACACCAAGAGGTCATATACCAGAATCTGCCTCCTGGACAACTTGCTCTGTGACATTCAATACTGAAGCCTAGCAGTAATTCCAAAAAAGTACCTTCCAGAAATATTCATATGGAAAAGTTAACACATGCCCCCAAACACACACACCAGTGCCTCCCATCAGCAGCTAAACAACAGTCTCATCACTGCTGGGCAGGCCCCACTCACCGGGATCGATGACTTAGGAAGCCAATCACCAAAACCCTCAATTAGAGCCCTGACCTGTTGCTCACAGTGATCAAACCCAAGCAGCAGCCCTGCCAGAGAGAAATCAGCCTCATTTCTCATCTCTTCTGTCAATAAGCAATAAACAACAAAGTTCTGCTCATTGAAAATGCCAGGCATAGTGCAATTAACATCCCTTTTATAATCACCTCCCTTTATCACTGCTTCCCCAATACCCTTTTGAAACTGATGACTCTTTGAGAAGATGTTTTTGGAACTGAGTCAAAGTGGCTAAAGGGCACAGTCCTGGACCCATGGCCTGCCCTGCTTCTAACAAGCTGAGTGGCAGCAGCCAAGTCATTTCCCTGCTCTGAGCTTCAATTTCTTCCCTAAAGAAAGGAAAATGGCTGGGAATAGTGGCTCACGCCTGTAATCCCAATACTTTTAGGAGGCCAAGGCAGGTAGATCGCTTAAGCCCAGGAGTTAAAGATCAACCTGGGCAACATACGGAGACCCCCAACTCTACAAAAAAATTTTTAATTAGCCAGGCATGGTCACAGCTATTTAGGAGCCTGAAGTGGGAGGATAATTTTACCCCAGGAGGGTGAGGCTGCAGGGACTCACCACTACACCCCTGCTTGAGAAAAAGAGCAAGACCTTGTCTCAAAAATAAATAAGTTCATTATCTATTTTTTTAAGAAAAGGAAGAAAAGAAGGGGCAGGAAACAGGAGTGGAGTATGGCTGTCTGCTGCCCCCACCTCCACTCTCCTGTTGGGAAACCATCCTTCCAAGAGATGTGATCCAAGGGTGAGCACTAACTGACTTCAGTCAATCAGCATATCTTGTCCTTCTGGCCGTAGTAACTGGTTCAGGATGGGTCAATTAACTAACATGGTTCAGAGTGAATCTGGGGGTTTCTGCTGGCAACCCTGGGCAGAGACTTGCTCTTTCTCTTGAGTCTAAACAGCCTGAGAACACTGCAGCGACTGCTGTTTCCATGAGGGGAGACGGACTGGGCTGGGGGAGCGGAAGGGAGCAGTGAGAACGGAGTCAGGCAGAAATGTACCAGGTTTCCATGATATCCCAGGTCTCTGGGTCACCGTGAAGCTGACACTTGCTGCTATGGTTGGCATGCCTGCTCCCTCCAAACCTCATGTTGAAATTCATCCCCCAATGTTGGAAGTGGGGCCACATGAGAGGTGTTTGGGTGCTGGGGACCGAGCCCTCTCGGCTCACTGCAACCTCCACCTCTCAGGTTCAAATGATTCTCCTGACTCACCCTCTTGAGTAGCTGGGACTACAGGCACACATCACCACACCCGGCTAATTTTTGTATTTTTAGTAGAAACAAGGTTCACCATATTGGCTAGGCTGGTCTTGAACTCCTGACCTCAGGTAATCCGCCTGCCTCAGCCTCCTAAAGCGCTGGGATTACAGGCATGAGCCACCGCACCTGGCCTCTATTTATTTCTCCAAGAGCTGGTTGTTTTAAAGAACCTGGCACCTCCCCACTCTCTTGCTTTCACTCTTATCGATGTGATCTCTGCACATACCAGCTCCCCTCTGCCTTCTGCTGCCACGAGTGGAAACACCCTCACCAGATGCAGATACCCAATCTTGAACTTTCCAGTCATCAGAATCGTGAGCCAAATAAAACTTTTCCTCATAAATTACCCAGTGTCAGGCATTCCTTTGCAGCAACACAAAACACAATGAGGCACTCACCTACCTCTGGACTTTCTTAGTATCTAATATAAAAAATTCCTTGTTTTGCAGAGGCCAGTTTGTACTGGCTTCTCTGTTTCTTCCACTGGAATCATCCTAATACAAAAACCATGATCCCAAAGGCCTCATCCAGCTCCAGCATTTATTTTATTTGTAAGATTTCCTAACCATGCCAAGGCCTGAAAATGAAAACCCAAAGGAAAACCCTCAATCCCTGTTGCCAAGGAGAGATTGTGGACTATTTAAGGCCACAGACCATGGCAGTCTTCTCTTTGATCCTGAGTTCAAAGCACGGTACCTACAACTCAGGAAACTGAAAAACTCAACACACATGGGCTAAATGAGTGGCTCAGGAAGACAAAGGTTTTGTAAACTGCAGGCCCGAGATAAGCTTTAGTTCTCTAATCAGCATCATTCCCATCACCACCGTAACCACCATCAGCACTACTATCTGTTGATTGCCTACTACGTACCGGGCGCACACATCTCTGCATCTATTACCTGCCTGAAGCCTCATAACCTACCCGTTGAGTGATCAAGACCGCTCACAAGTAACTATGCTCTCTCTTTCCAGGAGCCTGGGAGACTGCCCCTCCCCACCCACCTGCAGTTAGATGTGTCTGTGGAACTTGCTTTACCATTGAAATAAGAGAGATGTGACATGTAATTTCTGGGTGGAAGCTTTAAGAGTCAGAATGTGCTTGGCCAATGTCTCCTGCCCCTCTGCCACAACCTGGGTCTGCAGGTGAGGATGGTGACAACACAGAGCAGTGGCCCAGCCAACTTCACGAAGGACAAGTGACATGAAAGAGACAGAAATCTATGTGTTTTCTGTTCAGGACATTACGGGATTCTTACTGCAGTGCAACTGAACCTACGTTGACTAATATACTACACCCTGTTTTACAGCTGTGAAAACTGAGGCTCAGAGACGTAAAGCTCCTTGCCTGAAACCACATAGTTACTGCAGCAGAAAGGCTTGTATAGGCCTGGAGAACACAGAAAGTCTGGCCATTCTTTCCCAGGTCCTTGATCCCCGTCTTCACCCCAGCTGATTTGGGGCTTTCAATGGAAGCCTTGCCCACATTCTCCTGGTTAGAAAACCCCAGAACCAGAAAAACCTCTGGACCTCAGAAACCAACAGCCAAGACAGAGTAAAATTCACAGAAACCAAGTTCCCCAAACCAACCCTCAAGACATGAAATTACAGACATGTGAGACAATATACAATGTAGGATAGAACGGGGCAAAGAGACAGAGGAAAGAGAAGGGAAACAAAGTACGTTATTGAAGAAGAGGCCAGGGTGAGTCAGTCTGCAGAAACTCCTGCCATAGAATTGTTCTTTTTTTTTTTTTTTTTTTTTTGAGACAGAGTCTTGGTTTGTTGCCCAGGCTGGAGTGCAGTGGTGCGATCTCGGCTCACTGCAACCTCTGCCTCCCAGGTTCAAGCAATTCTCCCTGCCTCCGCCTCCTGAGTAGCTGGGATTATAGGTGCCAGCCGCCATGCCCAGCTAATTTTTGTATTTTTAGTAGAGATGGGGTTTCTCCATGTTGGCCAGACTAGTCTCAAACTCCTGACCTCAAATGATCCACCTGCCTCGGCCTCCCAAAGTGTTGAGATTACAGGTATGAGCCACCATGCCTGGCCCCTGCCACAGATTTTCAATACGACCAATCAATCATTCCTACATAATCAATTACAGGGAAGCAGTAATTTTGGCTCAGATGATTTGTGACCAAAGTACAGTGCAAACACGGTTGTAAGACTCACTTCGTCCATAAAATAACTAGCGATTGCTCGGCTTCACCTGGCATTCAGCCTGTGACAACTCGCTCCCGGGGGGCCAGTAAAGGTGCCAGGGACGTGGCGTGGGGGCTGTCTTCAGTGATATTCCTGTGGTGTGCAGCCTTCTAAAACAGACCCCGTGGCTCCGGTTCCTGGTCCTCACCTCCTGGGTAATCCCCTGAGTGTGGCTTGGCCCTAGTGACTTGCCTCTGTCCTAATGAACAGATTAGAGTAGAATATAGTAGAAATCATGGAATGCCACTTTTTTTTTTTTTTTTTTTTTGAGACGGAGTCTCGCTCTGTCACCCAGACTGGAATGTAGTGGGTCGATCTTGGCTCACTGCAACCTCCGCCTCCCGGGCTCAAGTGATTCTCCTGCCTCAGCCTCCTGAGTAGCTGGGATCACAGGCGTGTGTAACTACCGCCTGGCTAATTTTTGTGTTTTTAGTAGAGATGGGGCTTCACCATGTTGGCCAGGCTGGTCTCGAACTCCTGACCTCAAATGCACCCCCACCTTAGCCTCCCAAAATGCTAGAATTACAGGCGTGAGCCACTGCTCCCGGCCAGAATGCTACCTCTAAAGCTTAGACTACAAAACACCCTGATTCCCATTTAGTTGGTCTCTCTCTTTTGCTTTCTTTGGCCGCAGTGAAGAGGCCTGGATAGGCAAGAAACCGAGGGTGGCCTCCAGTCAACAGCTGGAGAGTAACTGAGGCCCTCAGTCCAAGAGTCCGTAAGAAACTGAATCCTGCCAACAACCACACGGGTTAGCTTGGACGCAGATCCTTCCCTAGGAGAGCCCTGAGGTGTCTGCAGTCACCGGCTGAGGCTGTGGTTGCAGCCTGGGAGAGACCCTGGAGAGAGAACCAGCTGAGTGGCACGAGGACTCCAGGCCCACAGAAACTGTGAGATGGTAAATGCTGTCACTGCCAAATGTCCTTTTTCCTCTCAGTGTTGGGACAATTTGTTACACAGAGAAAGATACAATCACTAAATTGTACCTTTTAGCTATTTCTAAATTGTTTCATTTAGCTATTTCTGCTGTTTGCACTTAATGAGTCATTGGCATAATGTCAAATCATTCCCAATGAGTCTATGGGCGCCAAAATAATGGGGGCTAAAACTGCAATCCATGGATAAAATCTAGAGGAGTGTTCCCCAAACCCCGGTGCATCACAAAGCACCACCAGGATTCTTGCTACACTCGCCTCCCACTTGCACTGTTGCTGAATAACGTTGCCTTTTCAATCCATGCATTTTTTTTTAAGACAGGGTCTCACTATGTTGCCCAGGCTAGTCTGGAGCTCCTGGGCTCAAGTGACCCTGGGGTGGGATTACACCATTCATCTTTTTTCACTTATAACATTTACTTAAAAAGGAAAGTATGTATCACTCTAGCAAACAGAAAGCCAGTATCACTAGAAGGCAACTGGATCTGATGAAAGCCAAATGTCATTAAATCCTAAGTGTTAGTGGTTCTCAACCTCAGGAGCATCAGAATCATGCAAAACAGTGAGAGGTGCCCAGGTCCCATTGAAGAGATTCTCCTGCAGCTGATCTGGGGGTGAGCCTTGGCCTCAAGGCGTCTGGACTTTCTGAGCGGAGTCTACTGCAGCCGCATCTGAGAGCTCGGAACTTCCCAGTGGCCGACGGCACCATGACCCAGAGGCCCACACTCACTTTGTCAGGGTCTCCAAGAGTTAAAGCCGGGCTAGCATCAACCTCAGACCTCACCAGCATGGCCAAAAGGAAAAGGGGAACACCTTCCCAAGCAGAGCCCATATTATTCAACACCTGACCCTGAGACATCTAACATCACTCTACGATCACCAGGGCTACACGCCTCGTACTCCACACAGACAGACCCGAGAGCTGGACAGAGGCGTCTCTTTGGGCAGTCCTCTGTGGAAGTGACTGATCAAAATAAAGACATTCTGAGCAACAGACACTTGTAGGTTACTGCATCTGGTGAGGGACTGGATTCAGTCATTATAGCTCAGCTCACATGGTGTCTCCTCCACCAGGCTGCAGACTGTGTGAGTCCAGGGGACAGTGACCAAGGCCTGCTCTCTGCATCCCTGATGCCTAGGTCAGTCCCTGGCGTAGGGAAGACACTATTAGCATCCAATGAATAAATAGGTGAAGTGTCATCCAAACTGGATCTTGGGGAATGGGCTAGACACAGCCCACCATCCAGTGGGGAGAAGTGGTATTCCAGAGGGGACCTGGAGGAGCAGGGCCAAACCTCTGCTAGCCAGCCCTTGCTCCTCCACCATTAGCTTCCCCAGTTAAGCCCTGGCTTATTCCAACAGCCACTGCTGAAGGCACCAGTTCTCTCTGTGACTGATGGATAATTTCATACCCAAATTGGAAACCACTTAAATTGAGACATCAGGAAAACCAGAGGCGGGCAACATATGATATCTCTTTATATTTGACAGCAAGTAAAATGTGAAAACAGCAGTGTTGACCATCTTGAGACAAATAAACCCACAGTCCCTTGGTGGTTTGTGGGGCAGGCACAGAATGCTTCATTTCAGCCAAATTCACCATGTGTGTTCAGGGCATCGGTAGTCAGGATGCTAAGGTGAAAAGCGGGAACTAAGATTCACGCATTCAGCCAATGCTTTATACTCTGTATCAGGTGCTGGGGACACAGCCATACATAAAATGGACAAAGGAGAGAGCAAATAAACAACTCTATGCCAAGTAGCATTAGTATTATGAGGAAAAATAAAGCAGGAGAGTGCTATTTTAACCAAGTTTATGATATAAGCTGATATTTTATTCCCTACTTTGGATGATTTAGAGGCATTTACTGTTTAAAACCTCATACAACTCTCTTTGGTGGGCATTCCTAGACCCATTTAAAGATGAGGATATGGGCCAGGCATAGCAGCTCATATACTTGTAATCCCAGCACTATGGGAGGCCGAGGCAGGAGGATCACTTGAGCCCAGGAGTTTGAGACCAGCCTGGGCCATATAGTGAAACCCCATCTCTATAAAAATTTGAGTTAGCCAAGTGTGGTGGTGCATGCCTGTAATCCCAGCTACTCAGGAGGCTGAGGTGGGAGGACTGCTTGAGCCCACAAGTCGGAGGCTGCAGCGAGCTATGACTGCACCACTGCACTCCAGTCTGGGCAACACAGCGAGACTGTCTCTTAAAAAAATTAAAAATACAAAATGTAAAGAAATAAAGGTGAGGACATGAAGACTCTAAAAAGAGACTTACAGCTCCATCTCCTACTAATCATGGGGACATGGAGACTTGGGGATATTGCCTACCTTATCTGTGCCTTAGTCTTGTCATCTCTAAAATGGAGACATGAGAACCTACATCAGTGCTTGCTACTACATGCACAGCTCATGGAATAGGATTTGGTATGTAATAAGTGCCAGTATACCTGTCTGCAGGTAGGAGTGTAAATGACACTCCCACTTTCAAGAACTTCATTATCTCATGGAGAAGCCACAGGATACATCCATGAAACTAGCAATGAGAATATTGTGAGCAAACCATGTCGATTGATACCACCATTCCCGCTGCCTAACAGGCCCATCTTCCTGATCAACTTCAACTCATCCTTAAAAACTCAAGTCAAACGTCTCCTCTTTGAAACCTTCCATGACATACCCCAGCAGGTAACTAACCCCACCATTGTGCCATCATTATACTTGATACCTACAGAATTCTATTTCTTACTCATTGCTCATTCTTTCATTCAACTACTGTGCATCAACAGCCTGCCATCTACCACCCCCTCATGAACCTCCAGGGCAAGGTATGTTTAGTATGTCTGTGTCTTCCACCGACGACAAACTTCTTGGGGGCCAAATAACTGAGTGTAGCTCAACGGAATTAATTAACTAATGAATAAACAAAGAACAACATAAGATTAGACAAAGTGAGCGGTCCAGAGGGGAAGAGGATTACAGGAATTTAAAGAACATTAGAAACGTACCTACCAAAACTCACTATTGACAGCGCCACTAGGGGCTTTCTCAAAGAATGAATGACACCTTGAAGGATGGGGAAGATTTGGAAGAGTGTGAAAGAGGAGGAAGTCGACATATATTCATGACTGAAGAATGCAAAGTCTCAAAACAATCTGAACAGTATAAATTATCCCATTTGTGTTAAAAATAGATGTGCGTTAGGCATGTGTGTGTGTATATATATGCCTGCCTATATGCAAATGCATAAAAAATACCTGGAAGGGTATATACCAAACGCTTCACAGCAGGATCGCTAGGAGGGAACACTTGTCTTTTGTACTCTAGATAGTTGTGCATTATTTATATTCTTTCAGAAATGTATTTTTATATTATTTATATAACTTAGAAAAAATGTTAAACCATGTCTTCTAAAAGACAAATGGTGAAAATGCAGAGCGATGGAAGTAGAAGGAACAGGAGGAGCAAATGCTGAGGGACAGGACTCGGTGGAGAAAGAGCAGACGAAAAGACATAGGGCGAAGGCGAGAGTCAGGTCCTGCTTCGCCATCTGCCATATTATTTTTAAAACAAAGCTAAAAAATATCTGCGTTGCATTGCAGCACTGGGGGCAAGAGTTGGCTGCAAGCTTTGCTCTAACAGGACAGTGTGGCGATTCCCACAGGAGGCCCACACACTCAGGCTGGCATAGGCAATGACACCCTGGACAGGAGAAACGAAAGGAAGCCACTCTCCCCGAACAGAAATAAAAATCTGGCTGGGTGCAGTGGCTCACGCCTATAATCCCAGCACTTTGGGAGGCTGAGGCAGGATTGCTTGAGCCCAGAAGTTCGAGACCAGTATGGGCAACATAGAAAGACCCTGTCTCTACAAAAAAATTTTAAAAATAACAAAATTAGCCAGGCATGGTGGTATGCACCTATAGTGCCAGCTTCTCCGGAGCCTGAAGTGCAAGGATCGCTGAGCCCAGGAGTTTGAGGCTGCAGTGAGCTATAAGTACACCACTGCCCTCCAGCCTGAGGGACAGAGAAAGACCCTGTCTCTATTTAGGAAAGAGGAAAGGAAGGAAAGAGGGAAGGAAGGGAGGGAGGGAGGAGGGAAGAGAGAAAGAAAGGAAGGAAGGAAGGAAGGTTGGTCCAAAGGAGCTTGAAGTTCTTCCAACTTTATCAAAAGCCTTGGCTGATCCCCAACGCCTGGCTGGCAACATCAGTTGCATCCCCAACCACCGCTTTGAGATGGACAAGGCCCTCCATTTTCGAATATCTGGGAGAACACCATCTGAACTCTGATCAACAAAATCACCTTCCTCAGAAACCAGGACGGCAGCTCTGCAGACCTCATGGGCAAGAAAGCTGTGGCCCAAGAACACTGGGGTGTAGGTAATACCAAGGTGGTGCCCACCCCTCAAGAAGAGGTTATTTCCAGAAGAACAGGTCAAAGGGAGCCAATGGCTTGGCTTTTTGCAACTAAATCAGGGATCCCTTTACCAAAACATATCTATTCCCATCTAATCACATAACGTGCTGGTCGCCCAGAAAAGAGACAGCAATGAATCTAGGCACAAACTGCTCTGGTTCCCACAGACCAGCTGGCCAGGGAACCAAACTCCATGAAACACACAGCGAAACAGCATTGACTTTTACTAGGAGATTATATAAACTCATTTCAGGGAGATGGGGAAGCCTCCCAGAACACGCCGGAAGATGCCCTTGGTGCTGCTCAGTGCCTCGCCCAAAGTGCCTACGTGACTGATGGCCCAAGAGACAAGGAAGCAGAGATGTACCTTCATTTATTTGTTTTGAGACGGAGTTTCGCTCTGTCACCCAGGCTGAAGTATAATGGCACAATCTCCACTTGCTGCAACCTCCACCTCCCAGGTTCAAGCAATTATCCTGCCTCACCCTCCCAAGTAGCTGGGATTACAGGCACTTGCCATCAAACCCAGCTAATTTTTGTATTTTTAGTAGAGATGGGTTTTCACCACGTTGGCCAGGCTGGTCTCGAACTCCTGACCTCAGGTGATCCGCTCGCCTTGGCCTCCCAAATGCTGGGATTACAGGTGTGAGCCACCGCACCCAGCCACCTTTATTTTTGTTGTTGATTGTTTTTTGTTTTTGTTTTTGTTTTGTTTTGTTTCTGAGATGGAGTCTTGCTCTGTCTCTCAGGCTAGAGTGCAATGGCACCATCTTGGCTCACTGCAGTCTCCACCTCCCGGATTTAAGCGATTCTTCTGCTTCAGCCTCCCGAGTAGCTGGGATTAAGGGCACATGCTACCACGCCCAGTTACTTTTTCGTATTTTTAGTAGAGACAGGGTTTCACCACGTTGGCCAGGCTGGTCTCAAACTCCTGCCTGACCTCAGGTGATCAGCCCACCTCAGCCTCCCAAAGTGCTGGGATTACAGGCATCAGCCACTGTGCCTGGCCTCAAAGAAAGATTTTTTCAAATAAGAAGAAATCGTTCAAAAAATACATAGAACATCAGATGCAACTTGTGCGGAAGGTGTGACTAACAAGAAGTGAACCCTCAATGCAGGGAAATAAATATATTAAATTAAGGAATAAGTATAATGTATTTAGTTAGAAGACTTGTACAACTATTAACATAATCATGTGGTTATTATGTATCCCTGGAAATACTGTGTGTGTTAATTTAGCAGAAATTGAACAAATTAACTTAGTATCTAGAGGGATGCGTCATAGCCAGTGAGATTTACAAGGTGGCACTGAGACAGAATGGAAAGCACTGGGAGGGTCCACATTTTTAGGATGACAGAAATGAAATGGTCAAGGACAGTGTCATCACCTGACCATGTACAGGAGAGGACCTGGCCCAGACCAGCTTCTAGAGGAGTCCCACGCGGTTGCCCCAGGCACAGGAACCCCTTTCCCATGCTCATGACATCATATTAAGATATGAACATGCGGCCGGGCACGGTGGCTCACGCCTGTAATCCCAGCACTTTGGGAGGCCAAGGTGGGTCGATCACTTGAGGCCAGGAGTTCAAGACCAGCCTGGCCAACATGGTGAAACCCCATCTTTACTAAAAATACAAAAATTAGCTGGGCACGGTGGCACACACCTGTAATCCCAGCTACTCGGGAGGCTAAGGCAGGAGAATTGCTTGAACCTAGGAGGCGGAGGTTGTAGTGAGCCGAGATCGAGCCACTGCACTCCAGTCTGAGTGACAGAGCAAAACTCCGTCTCAAAAAAAAAAAAAGATATGAACATGCTAATAACATGCATACCAGGCAGGAGCAAAGAACCAGGGTCTTGAGATTACTCCCTGTGGGAGAGGTGAGTGGAGTCTGGGGGCAGTTTCTATAAGAGACCAAGAATGAGATCAGAGGAAGCTTACTTATTCAATCAGAGCAGGCCTTCCTGCACCAATAATGAATGTGGGTCATGAGCTCAGGATTTTGATGAATCCATATCTGTGCACCCGGTTCAGATGAAATTCAAAGAACAGAGAGGCCATTTCAAGAAGGAATGGGTGGTAACTAAAATGAGAACAAGGGGCACGTGAGCCCCAGGAGAATCCTGGTGGCCGCTGCCTGTCACTTCTCCTGCAGGTGACGTTGTGAGCGGCAAACTCAAACCATGCATTCACAAACATATGCTGGAGAAGAGAAGACAGGACAGGTAGAACGGAGGGGTAAAAAGCTGCCTTCCAATCCCAGCTTCTATTCCTTCAGGATCAGTGGCAGGAAAGATCTCAGCATTATCCAAGCAGGACCTCTGTCTCCATGCCAAATAACCATGAAGTGAAGCCAGAGAGACACAAGTCACACAAAATATATTCTGGGCTTTGACCTTCTCAAAGGCAGGGACTGTATTTTCCACGTCTGCTACATCTCCGTAGTCTTCCTCACATTGGGTAAAGTGGCCACACAAAACACAGTGACCGACAGGCGATGTAAGCCAGTGTGGAAAATGCCTCTCTTGACTCACAGCTGAAGTCATTATAGAGTACCAAGTTTCTAAATCTTGATTATTTTGCACCTTGCCAATGCTTTCTATTTGCATCAACATAGGACCAGCTTTAAAGATAAGCTTGCATACACTGCATTTGCCAGCTGACACGAAACTTTGATCTTCAGGGAAGTGTAAAGTTCCACAGCTGGATGCCTTGGACAACCAAACTCCTCCACTCAAACCCTAGAGTCCAGCCCCTCATGGGTCCCCAGGGGAAACTGACCACCCATGGTGATGAGCAAGCCATGTAAAAGATGAGTTTCACACAAGTGCATCAGAAAAGAAAGCTCTGTGATATTAATACTTCCAACTCCCCCCAGGTGCAAGAAGCACCTGCATGAACAGCAAGGAGCATGTGATCACTTGGGGTATTTGGCCATGGTCAGGAAAACACAGCTAGGCCCAAAGAGATGCTTTTCTTCTCTCGATCTAGAGGTTTAAAGTGGGTTCCACAAGCATCTTTCCAAATAATTTTGTGTCAAAGGCTAATATTTCTGAGTTAAGCCTCTATGTGAGATATATTTTTAGTAGCCCCTCTTAAATGGCACTTTTAAAAATAATCTCCTTCAAGACGGCAGATGATTAAAACAGGGATGTCCAAGCGCTGAGTTAAAAAGCCTCTTATAATTTGGAACACGAAGTTTAACATTGCCGTGGGACAGGAGACAGTTTGGTACTTGATCATTAGCTATGCGGCAAGTGCCACCCGGCAGAAAAATAGATTTCTTATTAAGCTTTCATACTTAAATCGCATCAGCCCTCAAATGAGATCACTCCCTCCGAAGGTTTTAAAGAAACCAAGAAAGTCCCAGGGAGCATTTTATTGTATAGTGAATCTTATTACAAAACTTGGGATGGGGTTTTTCCATCTATCTCATCCCTGGATATGAAATTACTCATCTTTCTCTCCCATCAGCTCAGTCATCTCAGAGGAAGCAAGGTGCCCCAGGTAACACAGACGGCTCACAGCGAGGACCCACATGAGGTGTTATTGAGCAAGACAGGAAGGCAGCTTTCTGGATAATCGAACGTGCTAGTGAACAGAGTGTTGCCAGAGATACTCCAGGTGTACACTCAGATGTATACGTCATATGCTCCCTGAGTGATTACGTGTTCCAGGCTCTGAGGGTAGGAAAATGAAGACAACAGTCTCTGTCTCAGGGAAGCTCCAGGTCCACAGGGGAAAATGGAAGTCAACGCCAAGTGGTACTGCAGAGTGGCAAACAACACAGCACAAAGTGCTCCAGAAACACTCATCAGGGGTCAGCCATATGCTGGAAGGCAGGCAATGGCCCACTCCACAGGGACCCTCACAAAACACACAAGGCTTGGATGATGAAGGGGAGATGGAAAGGCTTTGTAGTTTTTCAGGGCAATTGTAATGAATGGCAATTATCATGGTAACATACAGCAATGTAAATCTTTATTAAACTGGAGACAATGGGAGAGTGGAAGGGAAGGGAGAGGGAGAGGATTGCAACCACAGAGAGAGAGAGTCAGGCAGGGGGAAGAGACAGACAGAGGAAAAGAAAGAGAGAGAGAGAGACAGAGGCAGAGACAAAGAAAGGAGCAGAGAGAGAAACAAAAGGAGAGAGAGGGAGAGAAAGACACAAAAGAAAAACAAAAAGAGAAGCACACAGAGACCAAAGAAGAAACAAAGACACGAAAACAGGAGGAGAAATGGAGAGAGTGGGAGAAAATGCAGAATATAAGAGACAGCCCAGGTGGCAGAGGCCCAAAGTTCCTGGGAAAGGCAGTGCTGTTCTAGACCAAACTCTGACCAGGCTGGTGAGTGGGTGGGAGGCCAGTTGGACCTGGGACTAAACACAGGCAGGCCCACTGCACCCCACAGCCACGCTATGTCACTTCCTCTCCTCCGGGCCCTGCAGACTCCATGCCAGGGCAGGCTCATGAGATAAGGCAGGCTCTGATGAGCTCCCTGCTAGCTAGTACATCAATAAAAAAACATGACATTTAATGGCCCTACCTTTCCCAGATGCACTCGTCGGAAAATAGCTCCATGACCATCTTCTTAGAGAAGATGTTCCTCAGGGAAATAATTCTGGAACATAATGACTGCAATAGTGTTCCTTGGGGAAATAATTTTGGGAAATGCTGCTGTACCTAGCCCATCCCTTTGGAGAAGCACGGAGCACCCCCGTGTGTGACCCTTGAGGGAAATCCCACAGTAAGGAAGACTATCAAACTATCTCTAATCCAACAGTTTTCAGGCTTACTGCATCACAGAACCCCAGGTCCTTTTTTAAAAATATATGAAGCAACTATGCAAACCCCCCACTCAATCATTGTTCTGATTTTTTTTTTTTTTTTTTTTTTTTTTTTGAGACAAGAGTCTCACTCTGACGCCCAGGCTGGAGTGCAGTGGCACGATCTCTGCTCACTGCAACCTCCACCTCCCGGGTTCATGCCATTGTCCTGCCTCAGCCTCCCGAGTAGCTGGGACTACAAGCGCCCGCCACCACGCATGGCTAATTTTTTGTATTTTTAGTAGAGACGGGGTTTCACCATGTTAGCCAGGATGGTCTCGATCTCCTGACCTCATGATCCGCCTGCCTCGGCCTCCCAAAGTGCTGGGATTACAGGCGTGAGCCACCGCGCCCGGCCCACTGTTCTGCTTTTGGGCAACTCTGCCTTCTCTAGATTACAAGTTTCCAAAGAGCCTTTTTTTTTTTTGGAGATGGAGTCTTGCTCTGTCACCCAGGCTGGAGTGTAGTTGCGTGATCTCGGCTCAATTGCAACCTCCGCCACCCGGGTTCAAGCGATTCTCCTGCCTCAGCCTCCCAAGCAGCCGTGATTACAGGCACGCACCACCATGCATGGCTAATTTTTGTATTTTGAGTAGAGATGGGGTTTCACCATGTTGGCCAGGCCGGTCTCGAACTCCTGACCTCAAGTGATCCTCCTGCCTCGGCCTCCCAAAGTGCTGAGATTACAGGCATGAGCCACCACGCCCGGCCTCCGAAGAGCCTGACATAAACACCATGTGATGAGTATGCTAAACACACACACACACACACACACACACACACACACACACAAATCCTGATGTATGAAGTGAGAAGGAGAGATAAGAAAGGGAGAGATTCACTTCGCAGATGAAGAATGGGCATGTTTAAGAGCTTCACCACAGAAGTATCTGAATGTTTAAAACCATCCAGAGTGCTGTGCCTGGAGCACAACAGACACCATATTTTGCTTGAAATTGGAAAACATAAAATAAAGAGTGAGCAGTGTGGTGGTATGGAACAAAAGAGTCCTGGGTTTACATTCAGGTGCTACCATGAAGCTGTGTGCCTTTGGGTGAGTCACAAAACCTCTCTGTACCTCAATTTGCTCAGCTGAAAAATGGGCCTAATAAGAAAATTATAAGGACTGCCTAGAGGGTGCAAGGAAAAAAATGCACACCAAACACACAGCAAAGCTCTGCCAAAGGGTGGTTCCCTCATCAAACAGACAAGGGAAGGGACAAGTGAGAGAGCGGAGGTGGTGGGGAAGGAGCCGACAGCATGGATGCTTGGAGTCAGGGCAGTGGTTCCACAGGCAGCAAGTCTTACCAAGCCAGGCCATCTTTTCTGCTTAAGTGGAGGTGATCAGAAACGGGACAGAGAAACAGAGCCTTGCCAGTGGGACCAAAATAAAGAGGAATCCAATGTCCATTATATGAAGTGAGCTCGTGTTTGCATCCACCATGGGAACAAACTGCATTTAATGAGTGGCTTCACCTTTAGCTTTCACCGCGCTGTGTCTTTAATTGACCTCTATAACTTGCAGTCTTACAAGGTTCTATTTCCCTGTCTCCATTTCTTACTCAAACCGGGAGCTCTTCTCCCAGAGTGTAATCAAATCCCGCTAAAAGGTAAAAATCTCCAGCATTCATTCACATCTTATACCAAAGGGGAAAAACATAATAAGAGTCCTAAAAATACTCACAGTAAAAAAAAAAAAAAAGAAGAAGAGAGAAAAATTCAATCCTTAATCCCAAACTCCTGTTCCTTAAAAGTGTCTTAGCTTAAAAGGATACACAGGCCAAGTTTGGTGGCTCACACCTATAATCCCAGCAATTTGGGAGGCCAAAGCAGGAGGATCGCTTGATGCCAGGTGTTCAAAACCAGTCTGGGCAATATAGTGAGAGCCTGCCTCTACAAAAATAACATAACATAACATAACATAACATAACATAACATAACATAACATAACATAACAAACAAGCCAGGCTTGGTGGCGCACACCTGTAGTCCTAGCTACTCCAGAGACTGAGGCAGGAGGATTGCTTAAGTCTAGGAGTTTGAGGTTACACCGAGCTATGATGGTGCCACTGCACTCCAGCCTGGGCAACACAGCAAGACCCTGTCTCTAAAAAAAAGTAAAGTATATATAGTGATACAAGTTAAGCATTCCTAATCCTAAAATCTGAAATCCAAAATGTTCCAATCTCATTTGAGCATCCTGTTGGCACCCAAAAAATTTTGGATTTTGGAGTACCTCAGATTTCAGATTTTTGGATTAGGGATGCTCAACCCACAAGTATAATGCAAATATTCCAAAATGTAAAGAAATCTGAAACACTTGTGGTCCCAAGTATTTCAGAAAAGAGCTACTCAACCTGCATTATAAAAAGATACCACTGAAAGGAAACTAACCCTGCTCATCTCTTTTTTCCGAATTATCATTTGGTCTATGCACTCAGCCTCTGCCCTATGAAAATGAAGTCATCATGTAGCAAACATTTACTGAGCACCTACTACATGCTGGGAATGGTGCTAGGCACAGGGGATCGGAGTCGGAAATGGGACATGAGGGCCAGCACAGAGAGCACTGTTTCACTGGCAGAATCTCACAGAACCTCGCACTATGGTCAGCACTATGTTTATTCCCAGCAGATAGAAGAGGAGATTTGGGTTTCCACCTAAAGTAGACAGTCCTGACCCTGAGTCACTCGAACACCCTGGTGTCTGGGAGGAAGCCTAATCCAGTGTGGTCAGGGATCCAGGCCCCATGGAAAGGAAGAGGGAAGTGGCTGAGATTCCCATAAATAGATGCCTCTTACAGTGAAAAGCCAGAGAAAAAAACAAAAGACGACTCCAGGAGGAAAACTGAGCTGGAAACGGCCTTCTTTCTTCTGCCCTGGCTGTCTGACTCTGAGATGACGACCAAAGCAGGCCTGAGGCAATAATGGGGTATCCCCTGGGGACCCGGTCCAAATGGCAAGCTCTTCTGACAGCCTTCAGGCCCTTAGTGACCGTTTTACTTGCTCCTCCCTTCTGGCCATCACAGCCTGCCAGAGGAAAGGATCTGATGATGAGAGCTGCCTCTGTGTAAATGGCTGTCTCTGTCCTGCAGGGCATCAGACTTGGGCAGAGGGAGCATGGCACAGAGGAGAGATGGGCTGGCATGGCATGGGGGCCCACTGGTGACATTCATTCATTCACTCAATGAGTTGACCCACATTTACTGAACACCTACCATGTGAATCACTGAAACCCAAAGGGAGCAGAAAGAAACAAAAACTTGCCCTTGTGGACGCGGGAAAGATAACACTGATCAGTGATAAATCAATGTAACATGACATTAAGACAGGAAGGGAGAGACACATGTCAGCATCATAGTCAACTTGGAAAGTGTGACCTTGTCAGGGCTTCAGGGAGGATTCCTGAGGAAGCGTTGAGCTGATATGCAGCCCTGGCACTGGGCAGTGTTCCAGGCGAGGGAACACTAGGAACAAAGGCCCTGGGTGGGGGGCAGCACAGGGCAGGAGGTCCAGCACCCTGGGGGAGCATGAGGAGAAACTGGTGGGGGGGGGGGTGGGGGGGGAGTGCAGCAGCCAAAATCCTTCTGCAACTCAGTTGTCAAATTCATAAAAAGGGAAAATACTTAATTTGGATGCCCAACGCGTTGTTGGAACTACATCGTGACCTCTGAAAGGATTTTGAGCCTCAAAAGGGATATTCCTGCAGCAGGTGGAGGAGGCTGGGAGGAGGTGGTCACCCTTTCCAAAGCCCCAAGAGTCCTGCAGGGCAAGATCTCTGGGTTTTCACCCAGTCTAACTGAGCCCTGTGGACTGCCAGCCAGCCTTCCAGGCTAAAGGGAGGATTTCATCTACACTGAGGATTTCCACCCAGGATGCTATCCCAACATTACTGTAAAAACAAAAACGGGAAACTATGCAACATCCAACAGGGACCTGGGGAAATCCATTACGGTTTTGTCAGTTCAAGGGAACAAGACACGGTTCTTAAAATGAACAACAATTCTACTCGTGAAGTAAAATTAGAAGATCTCTAAAGCACACTGTTAAATGAGGAAAGGTAGGACACAGAACAAGGAATTCAGCAGGCTACTCGTTATTAACATGTATAGGCATGTGCTCGTTATTAACATGTATAGGCATGTGCTCGTTATTAACATGTATAGGCGCAATAAAGCGGTGTACTGAGGCATCACTCATACCTAGAAAGAGAAACCCAAGACTGGTAACAGTTACAGATTCCAGGTAGGAAAATCAGGGGGTAAGAGAAAGGAAGAAATTTATTTCACCCTTTTTTACTACTTAACTTCTTAGCATGGGGATGCTAAGGTTTGTCATGAGTCTAAAAATTTTGATACTTCCCAACTGTTAAAAGCAAAAATATTACCATTAGTATATCATATTGTATAATATGAAAAAAAGTTTAAGAAAAAAATAAATTTAAAAAACCAAAAATTTAATTTTTTAAGTCAGATCCAGAAGTGCCACTTCTCAGTGTGGGATGCTGGGAGAGTTGCATCATTTCTGAGTCTCAGCTTTGTCTTCTGCAAAATGGCCATCATAATATTAATTACTATTAGGCCACGTGAGGATTAAATGAATTACTAATATACAAGAGGGAAGCCAAATTTTTGACTGATATCAATTAATAAATATTAGCTATTAATATCAGCAGTTATTCATTTGTACAGGTTAATCGGGTTTTATTATCCACAATGAGAATGATGCACTGACGTTGCTCTCCAAAAATTTATCTACAGTGACAACAGTCACCTACCATTTACCACCTGACACTGAACCTGTCCTAAGAAATGGGACCACTGCCTGGTTCCTGACTGCCCACTGAGCCCCTCTCTTGCAAGGCTAGCCTTGGAGTAGGCTGGGACCCCTGGTGTTGGGCAGGGACAACAGAGAGGCTGGCCCACCTTCAAGACCTACCCCACTCACACTGGGAGACAGGTCACAGCCAGGCCTCCATCCCCACATCCCATTGTCCTTTCTCAGAGGAGGTAGATTAGATGCTGCCCAAGTCTCTAATGTGCAACACGGGTGGCAGGGCCACTGCAGGGATGCTGGAACCTTGGCTGGTGGAAATGGGTACCGTAAGGGGACCCCCTCTCCCATACCCGTTCCTGCAATTCTCTAGAGCTGGTGTAGCTTGGAGAAAGAAAATGGGCTTTGTAATTAAACCGGAGTCTGAATCCAGGCTCTATTACATACACACTCACAGAATGACTGGAGGCTTCTCTGAACCTCAGTAAACCTGTAAAATGGAGATGATATCACCTCCCTGAAAGGGTTCTTAGTATACAACAGGTCCTTCCTAAATATGCTTCCTCTTAAGGAAACTCCTAACTACCTACTTAAAGAAATCCACAAAAACATGTACAAAGTCTTGGAGCTGTCAGGAATTAGGGAAGCAAACTCAGTCAGGGACTGCACTATTAGGCTTTCAATACGGTAGGGGGTGGGGGGATGGGGATTACATTTGTATACTGGCCCCACTGAAACAAATGGGGTCTGGTGTGAACTCGCACCTCCAATAGTGCTTTCCTAGACCAACATTTATGAGCCTCCTGATGGAAACACACACCACCACCTGTGACATCGTTGGGGCAAAAAACCAAACCTGAAACTCATCAAGCCTCCAGAGTGAATGACCAATTTAAAGGCAAGGTAAGGGACAGAGGAACATGACAAACATCACCATAGGATTGCAATTAGCAAAATCCTAACTGGGAAAACCTACAGTTCAAGGAGCCAAGTGTCTTCCACAATAATGACAAAAAAGACAAGGGAAAAAAGAGAGTGACAGCAAGGGAATCTACAAATTAACAGAGCCTGAAGAGGCACACCAACCAACTGCACTATATGAACTTTATCAGGGTCCTGATCAACACAAAGACATGGAAAACTCTTTTGAGCTAACTGGAGAATATTGAACACTGACTGGGTATTTCATGATATCATGAAATTACTGTTAACAATAGGTGTTAGGCCAGGTGCGGTGGCTCACGCCAGTAATCCCAGCACTCTGGGAGGCCGAGGCGGGCAGATCACTCGAGATCAGGAGTTCGAGACCAGCCTGGCCAAAATGGAGAAACCCCGTCTCTACTAAAAATACAAAAATTAGCCAGGCATAATGGTGGGCGCCTGTAATCCCAGCTACTCAGGAGGCTGAGGCATGAGAATTGCTTGAACCCAGGAGGCGGAGGTTGCATTGAGCTGAGATCGCACCACTGCACTCCAGCCTGGGCGATACAGCATGATTCAGTCTCAAAAAAATAAATAAATAAAATAAAAATAGGTGTGATAATGGTATTGTGAATATATTTTAGCAGTAAATATTGGGTATTTATGAATGAAAGCATAAGATGGATTGGATATACATCCAAATAATGTGAGTTGAGAAGTAATGAGTAGAGTATGAGCAAAGCAAGAATGACCTTGAGTTGATTATTACTGAGGCCGAGTGATAGGGACATGGGTTTTTGTTACATCATTCCCTCTGCTTTTACGTATGTTTTAAATTTTCTACTTTTAAAGTGAATGATTAAGCCAAAGACTAGGAGCAGATATGTAAAATACATGTAACTGAAAAGGAGATATAAAAACAGTGAGAAAGCAAGAAAACCAAATACTGTGCAGTAGAAAAATGGACAAAGGCTGTGAGAAGTCATATGTGAAACCCAGAATGGGGAACAGGCAAATGAAAAGATAGGCAACCTCATCTGTGGTCAGGGAAATGCAAGTTAAACCCATCTCATGCAAAAAGGTATTGGTAGGTACAAGTGGGAAAACATGAACCATTTTCCTTCTGCTGTCATACCACAACCATCAACAAAGACGACTTCTTGGGACAAAATGTGTGGGGGTTTCTCCCTACCACCAAACAATCAGTTCTGCAGCGGACACCAGCTGGGTGTCCTCTGATTCAATTCTGACACATCTACCTGGAGACAGCATCAGATCCCACAGGGTGAGGCTCAGTCCCACAAGACCGCCCCTCACTTCTGATGCCAACCACAAGCCCCAGGTTATTTTACCTGTACTTCTGACTCACTAGCAATAAAATGCGGATCTCACAACCCCCTTCTTGGGTTCCATTAATTTGCTAGAGCAGCTCACAGAACTCAGAGAAACACATTTTCTGGTGATTATAAAGGATATTACAAAGGATACAGTGAAGACATGCACAGGCCAAGGTATGGGAAGCGGTGCGGAGCTTCCATGCTCTCCCCATGTATCAACCTCCAGGAATCTCCACTTATTCAGCTACCTGGAAGCTCCCTGAATCCTGTCTTCCTGGGCCTTTTATGGAGACATCACTGGATAATCAAGATTAACAACGTGATTGGATAAAAAGGGTATGGTCTAAGACGAACAGACTGAGTGGGGAGACCCTGCAAGGCCTGTCTGTCCAGATGCTTCCTGGCTTCTCTGTGCAGTATTCTTTCCTCCAGGGTGCGGGGCTGGACCCCTTCTGAAATGGGGGTCTTGTGACCTACAATCAGACAATAGGGGTCAATTTCTTTATGGATAGCAGGGGAAGATTAGAGTCCTGCCTTGGGTAGAAAAAGGAAGAGGTGAAAAGAGAGCAGGAGAAGGTCAGAGAGATTCTGACCTGGGTTCAAGCAATTCTCATGCCTCAGCCTCCTGAGTAGCTGGGATTACAGGCGCCCACCACATGCCTGGCTAATTTTTGTATTTTTAGTAGAGACGGGGTTTCACCATTTTGACCAGGCTGGTCTCGAACTCCTGATCTCAAGTGATCTGCCCTTCTTCTGAGGCCTAAAGTGCCTCCAACATTACAACAAGGGCTACGGGAATTATGGGCCAGGAACAGCGGATGAAAACACAAATATATAAAATATCACAGCAGGGATGTAAAAGCGTCAGCAGGAACTTTTGCACACAAACAGGGGGTTAATAAATAGGTGCTTTTACTTTATAAAATGGCAAAACTCAGTAAAGTTTAAGACGCCATACACTAAAACGCCGCAATTTCACACTTAGGTACTGACCTTAAAGAAACGTTTGTGTAATGGACCCAGGAAGTGATAAGAGATGGCTGTTAATATCACAAAAAGATAGCAAACATTAGGCATCTCCTGACAGAAAACACCACCCAACGACACAGTCATATAATCAGCAAAATTAAACCTGAATCCAAGCCTCTAATTTAAGGAAATACAGGAAATGAAGAAGCATATCGAATCACACTACAGAGATACCATCAGCAAAGCTGAGGGGTTGAAAACCTCTGTAAGGCAAATCCAGTGTCTTCAGTAAACAAATTATGAGAGAGAAGGGGAGAGAGAGAGATGAGAGAAGACTCTGTTGAAGAAAAGAAACCTAAGACAGTAGTGGATTCATAGAGGAACAAAGTAGAATGGTCGCCAAGGGCTAGGGGGAGTGGGGAGCAGGCACTGACTGTTTAAAGGGGACAGCTTCAGTCGGGGAAGATGGAAAAGTTCTGGAGAGGGGTGGTGGCGATGGCCTCAAAATGTGTGAACGTACTTAATGCCACTCAACTGTACACTTAACGATGGTTAAAATGGTACAAGTTATGTTAGGTATATTTTACCCTAATTTTTAAAATTTAAAGGAAAAGCAACATAGAGACATATTAACCAATTACAATGCATGGGTCTCACATGGATCCTGAATCAAAAAAACTATTCAAAGGTATGAGGCAATTGGAAATTTGAACACTGACTGTGATGACACAAAGCAATTACTGGTAATGGGGGTGATAAGGATATTGTATTTTTTTTTGTATTTTTAGAGATAAATACAAAGATGTCTATACATGAAATAATACCCAGAATTTGATTGAAATGATATAGGAGGAGGAAGCAGATGTAGATAACCTGAAACACAATTGGCCGTGACGGATAATTGTTCACCCTGACAAAGGATATATGAGCGTGCATTACACAGCCTGCCTGAATGTGGGCATTTTACATAATAAAGAAGTTGTAAAATGAGGAAGCTATTATATGTCTGCACAAAAGGACAAGTGTTAGATGCTCACGGCATTGTGGTTTGTAATAGCAAAATACTGGAGACATCCTAAATGTTTACAAAGACACTACTGAATCCAAAATATTGTGCTATTTCATTCAACAGAGAACTACAGAACCAAGCAAGTAGGTGATCTAGATCAGCGAATCTCAACCAGGGGTGATTCTGCCAGGTTCTGAAATGCAGAGGACATCTGGCGATATCTGGAGACATTTGTGGTTGTCAAAACCTGGCGAGGTGAAGCTACTGGCCTCTAGTGGGTGGAACCCAGGGACGCTGCTAGACATCCCACAATGCTCAGAACAGCCCTCACAATAAAGAATCACATGATCCAAAATATCAGCAGTGCTGTGGTTGAAAAGCCCTGTACCTGATGTACGTGGATTACTCCTCAAACCACAATATTCAATTAAAAACAAATAAGCAAAAACAAGTGGCAAACAGATACATACAACAGTAATACCATGTAGGTAAAAGTTAACAACACAAAACCAAGACTGTTTACTGCTCATGGAAATTTACCCATGTAGTAAAGTATGGAAAGATGGGTTTGCGGGGGGAGGGGACTATATGCCAATTTTAACTATAGATGACTAGAAGGAGAAACAGGAAATGTTGCTTCAACAGAACTTGTAACATTTTACTTATTCTACCCCCTCCCCATAAAAAATAAAAAGCAAATGTGGCAGAGGTGAATGTGGGCAAATCTGGCCAGTGGATGCATGGTTGCTTGCTCTGTGAGTCTCTGTGCTTTTCTACTGGGCTGTGGGCAGCAGAGGCTTGACAGACACACAGGGTTGGGGAAACACTCACCGGTCCCCGGAGATCGATGAGCTCCTGCCTCATCTGGGACACGAGGGCTTCCTTGGCTACCAGGGCCCTGTGCAGGCGCTCGTTGAACTCAATCAGCTCGCCATGCATCTCTGCCACCTGGAACACAAGCACGGAAAGGTGAGGCTTAGAGGCAGACATTCCCCAGGGACCAATCCCGCCTTCTCTGGACTCTCCTTCCTGACACCTGTCAGCAAAACATCTGTAGGCTGTTGGGGCTGGAGTCAATGACACTGCTTACCTGTGAACCATGCAATCCACCCATAAGCTCAATGTGTCTTGACCTGCTTCATACCGACACTTCAGAGTCAACAGTATGAAGTTATGGTCCAAATAGGATGGTATCAGATCATGTTTGGACCTTGGGCTTTTTTTTTCCTCTCTCTTTTTTTTTTTTTTTTTTTTTTTTTTTTTTTTTAATAAGATCTCGCTCTGTCAAGGTCAGACATCTAACAAGGAACTGACACCAGAGCCCTGGCTATGCGCTGTGGTCCTGCCACTCCACTCTGCCCACATGCAACCCATTTGGGCCAGCTGTAAGCTGCTGAATTTTTCCAAATTGAATTATTCGATATTCTCAGCTGATCCCCAATAAATAAAACTGGAGGTGACTACAGATGGTCTATAGTCAATGTACAGACTATTCAACTATAATTTACTTAAGCCTTTTAGAGAAATGTGAGATGTAATCCTGCTACACTCTCCAAGAACCCTGAAGGAAGAATCCTGCAAGCATCTTTAAGAGAAGTCCCCAGAATGCGAGGTCAGGCAGATCCTTATCTAGACCCCTAGCTCCCTAACCTTCCCAAGAGATCACCCCTCCAACGCCCCAGGACTCACCTAAGCACTAACTACACTGTATGCAGTGCGAAAACAATACCAGGCCATTTGCAGTAAGTACTTTACATGAGCTACAGAAGACACTGTCAGAGTAAAGGAGGGATACAGGGAGAAGCTCTGTGGAAAAAACAGGGGTCGCTAAATGTGTGTCGTATCTGAGGAGGAATAAAAGGGAGCCCTCTTTTTTTGTTGTTGTATGAAGGGTAACTCACAGAAGAGAATCCGCCAAGATATGAATGATAGCCAAAGGGGTATGTTTCCTTCTCATTCTTTCTACTTTTATTTGAGCTCCCCTTCATCAGTGAGAGAAGCCACTTAGACCCTTTATAAAGAATTAAAATTCTTCATCTGAAATACAAGGGAGCCACTGTGCAATCAACATGAAATATATCAGGCTTCCAGTAACTTGCTCTGTGAGTTCCCCTCCAAAGGTACCCCCTTCTGTCCCTGAGGTACAGACGCTTTCAAACCAGTGTGAAATATGAAATAGTAAGTGAAAATGACACAAAAGATACTGCAAGAACCATGCAATTAACAAAGGCAGAATAAGTCACTGAGCCTTTCTGCCAGCTTTTTTCTTTGTACAGATGTAAAATTAATATTCCTTTGTTACCTTATTCCTTTTGGATAAGAAAAGGTTGAGTCGATCGTCTTTGGGCCTTTAACAAACAAACACAGTACTGCTAATAATGCCTTTGTGCCTCCTCCACACAGAAATCACATAAACCCCCCACGAGCTTCCTCTGGGCTGTGAATCCATTCACCACGCAGCAAACCAGAAATCCACAGCTGCCGATATTACTGCTAAATACCTGCCAATGTGCCCCCACAAAATGTGAGCCTTAAATAAATGCCACTGCCATTTCCAAAGCCAAGCAGGGTTTTGTGTTTTGTTTCTGTTTTGTTTTGCAGTGGGAGCCAGAGTGTTACTGCAATTTTCCATAAATGCAGGAAACACCGAAACGTCCCAGATCCAAGTTGTGTTTACCATAAGCTGTCAAAACCCTGGTGCTCTTCCACAGCCAGAAGAGCAGAACTTGACCACATCAGGCAAATCTTTCATTTCACTAGGGAATGAAAAGGAAAAATCCCATGCAACTTAAGAGACAAAATTTGATCAAATAATTTCCAGCAACCATTAAAACTATGATGTTCATTGTTACTAAGCTAACCTCTGAAACTCTGAGTTTTTATATCACATATCCCTACCTACAGCCATTGGTATCAACAGCTTTCATCTTACATAAACCACACTGAGCTTACTGTTCCTCGAATAACTATTTCCAAACTCCAGTATAACTAGAAATAAATTCAAGACTCAGAAAGAGCCTCAGAAGAGAGAATGTGAGATCACAAAGAGTTCCTGTTATCACAAAAATAAAAGTAGGCTGCACAACCACTGCCTCTTGGAATTTTTATTAGGCTTTGAGGGCACTTATGGGTTCTCATCTGACCTTCTTATTTTTCAACACCCACAGAAAATAGGACAGAGAGAGAACAGGTGCCCTCCAATCCATTCTCCTCCAAGCAGGCACAATGATCTTCCCAAAGTAACATCTAATGTTGTCACCTGCTGTTTAATACTTTCAGTGCTTCCACTGCTTTAAGAGTAAAACCCAAACTCCTTCAAGATGCAGCCCCAGCCTTTCTCTCCAATCCCCCTTCTCCCTCTTGGGGTCTCACTAACTCACTCAGTCCCCACAGGCCTTCTCTGCTCCATAAACATGTTGAGCAATAAGAGGTCACCCTGGAGACAAGGAAGAGAAAGGTATGACCAGTGGAGGAAACTACAGGTGCAAATGCCGGCACCAGAGGCTGGCAGGGAGGAGGCGGAGAGAGGTGGTTCAGGCATCGGGCCTTGGTGCAAGATGGGCCTGGGCTTGATCAGTTACTGACAGTGTGTGTGTTCTGGTATGAGCCTGTGGCTGTGCGTCTATGAAATGGGCATTAAAAACCACACCCATTTCACCAGGCCACTGTGAGGATGGCAAGAGATGCCGCACTTAGCAGGCTTGGCAGCACATCTGGGGCAGGATAAGTTCCCAGTGGATGAGAGCTGGTTTTATGACATGGGTGATCATGACAGGAGACATGGAGGAAGTGGCAGACAAGTAGGTGTCCAGGGGCCAGATGGAGAAAGGCCATGATGTGCCACACCAAGGAGATAGAAATGCTGTGGGGAGCACTCAGTGTGCCCCGAAGCAAGAGCACCACAGAGTTGCTAGCCATCTTCCAGGCACAGTGCTAGGATCTTAGGGAGGAGAAAGGAGAGCCACACAGTTCACATCCTTTGACATTTGGTAAATTATGCTAGAGTGACTCGGAGAGAAGACAGGGTGTCAGGGAAGGCCCACCCCTCCAAGAGTTAACATTCGGGAGTCACCTATCTAATGAGCCTTGGGACATGCCAGGCAGCCTCCCATGCCATATCCAACGCCTATATCCCACGCCTATATCCCCACCAGGCACTTGTGTCCTGACATCATCAGTTTGAGAGTCTGATGTGCTTCCTTCTATCCTCAGTTGTTGTATTTCATGAAAATTAATCCATCTGCAGGTAGTTAAGGAGGAGATGCCATTTGACAACACTATGACAGTGACAAATCAAAAGTAAATGCCAGGTGGAGATACAAAGACCAGGGCTGACACAGCCACAAACCCAGCCCAGCAAGGGACAGAGGACCAGGAATGAAGCCTTGATTCTCCAAAAGGCCCAAGGACACCACCTAGCCAGCAGAAGTTGTGGTTCTGAACTTGTGCTTGCAAGGTGCACAACTTATCAGTTAACGAGGTGCAAAGACTATGAGTCATCATCTGGGTTTCATCTTTTGGGCTGGAGAGAAGGTAGAAGATTCAAGAAGTTTAAGTAACTTGCCTATTTGGCAACATCTATCAAATTTTTTTTTTTATACTTTAAGTTTTAGGGTACGTGTGCACAACGTGCAGGTTTGTTACGTATGTATACATGTGCCATGTTGGTGTGCTGCACCCATTAACTCATCATTTAGCATTAGGTATACCTCCTAATGCTATCCCTCCCCCCTTCCCCCACCGCACAACAGTCCCCGGTGTGTGATGTTCCCCTTCCTGTGTCCATGTGTTCTCATTGTTCAACTCCCACCTATGAGTGAGAACATGCGGTGTTTGGTTTTTTGTCCTTGCCATAGTTTGCTGAGAATGATGGTTTCCAGCTTCATCCATGTCCGTACAAAGGACATGAACTCATCATTTTTTATGGCTGCATAGTATTCCATGGTCTATATGTGCCACATTTCTTTAATCCAGTCTATCATTGTTGGACATTTGGGTGGGTTCCAAGTCTATCAAATTTTTTAAATCACTCACCTTCGATTTAACAAATCATGGCTGGGCAGAAATCCTGCCTCTCTACTTGCATGTGAGCTCAAAATACAAGTTTAACTCCAAATGGCTGGGATCCACCTCAATGCCTATCAAAGGGGACTGGGTAAGTATCTCAGGATGCCACTACTCCCCTGCCCGCTGTTCCCTTGGCAGACAGCACTAATCAATCACTGTTCCTCAAGAAGATACCTAGGCAGTCATAACCAATCAGTGTGTTGCCCAGCAAGATGATGCCTATTTGGTAGCCCTGGCCTAAAAGATGGGGGAAAGCACCACCAAGAAAGTGACATTTGAGTTGGGCTTTGGAAAATGATGCCTTCAGAGCTTTAGGAGATGGAGTAATTCCTTCCAGCTGGAGTATCAGGAAAGATGATCTCCAAAAATAATGTGGCTGTGAGAAAACTTTTAAGTCTGTAAAAATACCAGGAATTATCATAATTACCTGCCAAATCAGAAAAGGATTACAAATTTTTCAAAAACGCCTCTGGCATTTCCTTTCATATCAGAATGTTCCCTCCATCTAATCACATTCAAGTAAATCATGCTTCACCCTCCTCCAGCTAACAAATTAGATGCTTCTTGATTAATTAGATCAAGACACCCCCCAAAATTTCAATAGCAACTGAGGCTCTTTGGGGGTCACATACTCAAAACTCTCCAAGATTATTCACTTCGATGCCTTAGAATCTGTTACGTTTTATAAAACTCACAACCCGTTTTCAGGCCCAGTTTACTCTGGTTGTGGGGAGGGGCCTGAAGCCTCTTTCTGTGATGATGGCATTGCACCTGTTTTGTTAAAAAGTGAACCTAGACAGTCCCCACTTTGCGTTCACACACTCCGGAGCACCAACTAAGTGTCAGGCCTCTTATAGGCATTAGGTGCACCAGCTCATGTAATTCCTACAATCCCCCTGCAGGGCTGGCATGCTTTCCTTACCAATGAGGCAAAGGGAGGTTGGCTTATAAGCCTCAAATGTCAGGACAAGGAAGTGACAGAGTGGGGATTTGAACCTCCACCTTAATGGCCCTACTATCTGTGCTCTTTGCACTCCCTCTTGGGATATGGTAGGAAGATGATCCCTTTGGTGGTTAAGGACAATTCATTTGTACTGCAGAGTAGAGGGAAGTGACATAGTTTAGACTCGTGGCTCCCAACCCAAGCTGATCACTAGTCACTGGGAGGGCTTCTGAAAAATGCGGATTTCTGGGTCTTGGCCCCTGAAATTCTGATTCAGTAGACTGAGGGGAAGGACCTCAAAGAAGTACTTTTTAAAGCCCACGGTGACTGTAATGATCAGTCAGAGTTGAGAGCCACTGGTAAACACAAAAGGAGCATTTCACAGACTCAGCTTTGAACGGCAGTTGGGCCATTCCCTACTTGTAGGAAACAGTTTTCCTCTTCCTCATTTGTAAAACGGGGACGTTGCAGAAGCTCCTCCACTTGTCACCTCTCCACCTCTGAACTCTCGCTGATGTGAACAAAGCCACAAGCCAGAAGAAAATGGCATGAACCCTGCCTGCCCACAGCGGATGGCGGTACAGTCATCCCTCGGTATGGGTGGCGGATTGGTCCCAGGACTCCACACGGATAGCAAAATCCATGGGCACTCCAGTACCTTCTATTAAATGATGTTTTAGTATCTGCAATAGAACCTACACACCTCCTCCTGTATACTCTAAATCATCTCTAAATTACTTACAGTACCTGATATGATGTAAGTGCTATGTAAATAATTGTTCTACCATATTGTTTAGGGAATAAAGAGAAGGAAAAAAGTCTGTACACGTTCAGTACAGATGCATTCTCCCCGCCCGGTATTTTTGCTCCCCAGTTGGTTGAATCACAGATGCAGAGTCGCAGATACAGAGGGCCAACTGTAACTGTCACATGCAGTGTTGCTACCTCAATAATGACACAGCAAGTGCCACACACACACGGCAAGTGACTCTATGACAGTGACATGCACAGGGTGGCCCACAAACTGGTGTGGGTGTGCCACCTGTTTTCTACCAGTATAACATCAGAGGAGGAAAGAAACTGGAAGCAAGCATTTAGAAATGTTTCAAGCAATTTCATATTGCTGTGAAACAGGAGCTTCAGGGTTTTTCTAGACTGTTTTTTGGTGATTTAGCAAAATATCATTCTGCAATGAATTGAAAGTTTTTTAAAAAAGAAAACTGGTTCCCATAGTTTTAGAAGCATTGACCTATAAGTGCTGTGTCTGAAGCAATTTCTTGCATTAATAATTATGAAAAACAAGTATAAAAAATAATGAAAAAAAGCCAAACTGCAGACACATTTGGATAAAATTCAAGAGAGTTGAAAAGAAAAATGAGATAAAACCAATGCTATCAACGCCTGTCATTCTTTTAGATGCCTATACAAGTATCCCTTATCCAAAATGCTCAGGACCAGAAGTATTTTGGATTTTGAATTTTTTGGATTTTGGAGTATTTGCATTATACTTACAGGATGAGCATCCCAAATCTGAAAATCTGAAATCCAAATGCTCCAATGAGCATTTCCTTTGAGCATTATGTCAGCACTCAAAATATGCTGACTTCCGGAATATTTTGAATTTGGGATTTTGGGATTTGGGATGCTCAACCTGTACATTGTCTTACAGTGTCCATTTAGCCTTGAAAACTAAGAAAACTAGAAATGTTCATTGAAATAATGGGTGTCCAGATCTAGCACTAGACACAGAGTCACAGGAAATCCTCAGGGAATTCTAGTAGCCATAGCTCTCTTTGACCTTGGCACGGTGGGTCCAGGGAGTGACAGTGAAATCTGAATCCCAGTTATTAGGGCTCCAAAGCCCATGCTGTTCTGGTCACATGGCCTTTCAGGCAACAAATAAATAACCCAGGAAGAGAAACACTGTGCCTATTTGAGGAAATGTAGGCTTGGCGGGGGGCAAGTGGCCTGTCTAAAGCTACACAGTTTATTTTACTCCCTAACAGAGCCACAACTACACACCAAGCTTCCTGCTTTTAATTCAGCGCTCTCTGCTCCTCTACCGGGAGGCCACAAGACTTTTAAACAAGCTGAGGAATGGGGAAGTGTTCTGTAAACTAAGGGCGCTGTCTTCCCAGAGGGGCGATGGTGACAGTGTGGAGGGGTGGGCAGACTCAGGGGGCACTCCCTGCGCACGAGGAATGTTCCACTTCCTCTCCGAGCAGTACTCACCTGTACCCTACAACTCCCCTGGGAGGTGAGTGGTGTTACCGTCCCTAATTTTGTAGCTAAGAAAACTGAGGCACAGAAAGGGTGTGCAACTTGTCCAAGACCACACAGGAAGTAAGCAGCAGAACTGGGATTCGGATTCCCCAGCCTGTGTTTGTGGCCACACTCCTCTCTCCTCCCTCTCAGCATACGCCATCACTGTGATGCTGAGCTAGCATCTCAAGGTACCAGTGAAGAGCAGAGGACCTGGAAGGGTGCTGAGCCAGGGATGGAGGGCTGGGAGCATCTCAAAGGTAAGGGACACTGTCACACACACACACATGTACACACACACAGAGCCGGGGAAAGGCGCTGTCAACGCCACAGTGAATGGCTGCCATCAGCAGGCAGAGGGGAAAAGCCATGTGGGCTCTGGCTGCTCCCACATCCCCCTCAGGGGGACCCTAGCAGTAAGGGAAGGGGCACCTAGAGTAAGTAAGAACCTCGGCCAATGCAAGGCCAAAGGAGACTCCCAGAGAAGAGTCTAGGAGCTCCCCAGCAGCTAGGGTAAGCCTTCTCCAAAATGGTTTCTGCTTCAGGTGAAGGCAACACCGACAACAGCTTCAAACGAAAATCCCAGCATGAAGACATTCCAGGAGACTGGCAGACATGACTTCCAGATGTTCCATGTCAAGGAGAAAAATGAGGCCCTGGAGGTCAAATCCAGGTCCTGTCTACTCACTGCTGGATGACCTTGTGTAAAGAATCACACGTCTTTGATTCCTGGTACCCTATTTTTTTAATTTTGTTTTCCAGAGACAAGGTCTTATTCTGTTGCCCAGGCTGGAGTACAGTGGTGCAATCACAGCTCATGCAGCCTCGACCTCCTGGGTTCAAGCAATCCTCCTGTCTCAGCCTCCCAAGTAGCTGGGACTACAGCCATGTGCCACCATGCTCACCTATTTTTTTTTTTTTTTTGTAAAGACAGGATATGGCTACGTTTCTCAGGCTGGTCTTGAACTCCTGGACTCAAGGAATCCTCCTGCCTCAGCCTCCCGAAGTGCTACGATTATAGGCATGACCCACCACACCCAGCTCTGATTCCTGGTATCTTATTTGTCAAATGAGGTTATTGTCACCTATTGTACAGGTTTGTCACGAGGTACAAAGGGATGAAAGAGTTCTCGGGCAGTCACCAGTACCTGCCATGATGTGGACAGGATGTAACAGAATGAGCACCTGCTATGGGTCTGATAGCACTCTAAGTGTTTTACATATTAGCAGACACTACAAGCCTGGGAGGTGTATATTTACCCCCATTTTACAGATAAGGAAAACTGAGGCTCAGAAGGGTGACTCGAATGTCCCAAGTCATGCAGTCTGGAAGGGAGGGAGGTGGTCAGTCTGGCTCCAGAGCCTGCATGGAGGCTCATGGTCCTGCATCTCCCATCTTTGGAGTCTCTCCTGTTTCTTTCTTCCTTCCAATACACATTTTGCTTTGGTTCTGCTGTGGGGACGGCTGGCCCCAGGAAGTTATTCAGGCTTGCCCTGATGAGCCAGGTGCTCTGGAATCTCGGGACTCATCCTCCTCAATGCCGCACCATAAAGCCACCATGTAATAAATTCAACTGAGACCTGTGGGGCAGATCATCCTGAAGTGCCACCGAGACAGTGCTGTGTAGGCTCTGTCTGCAGAGTCACTAAGCAGAGGCTTTTAAGTAACCCTGGTGATAACTTCACATTTCAAAGGTTCCCTTGATCACCTCTGCAACAAGCCCCTCAGCACTCAGAACACTGAGATAGCAAGAGGTAATGCTTACACACATCAGGATGGGATTACAGTTTAAAGAGGGACAACACCCATCACTAAAAACAGCTCAGTTAGTAAGGGGACGCCTCTGAGAAGCAGAGGTTTAGGTGACCGTCATCGCTTGGCCACGGGGCTGCCAGGTCTCAGGCCCCAATGTTGGTCATCATTTCTCCCGACATGTGGCCTTTCAGAATATACACAGGCAAGCCAGGGAGGGAGGCTTCATAGAGCAGCAGCTGCTACCCCCCTGGAGACAATGATGCTCTCCTGGCCCCTACAACAGCCCTCCAAGAGCCAAGGCAGAATCCACAGAAATGACCATGTTACAATAGCAGCCAACACCTTCCTGGTGGTTGGTGAGCAATGACAGGGGAAAGAAAGCAAAAAACAAAACCTGGAGCCCCAGCCCTCTGCTGAAAGGTGTGTTCCTTTAAGAAGAACACACAAGAGGCACTCATGCAGCTGTGAGGGTCTTTAAGCGGGTTCCCCAATTCACACCTGTCCTGTGAGAGCAGTACGGGAGAGGGTGTGCGGCGTGGTGCGAACGCCAGAGGCAGGCCATTTGGGATTAAAACCCACCATTCCTGACTCCCTAGATGTGACTTTGGGCAACTTACCTCCACCTCTCTGGGCCTCAGTTTCTCATCCATAAAATCACATTAACAACGATGCAAATGTCAAAGGGCTTTTGTGAGGTTTAAATAATAAAAGAAAGAGGTGCTTTACTTAGGGTTACGTAAAGTACTCCATAAATGTTAATTACCATGATTATCCATTAAAGAGGCACCAGCAGAAGTGTCCAGTACCACTGGTCCTGTAGAATCTACATCCTTCATCTCTCCAAGGTCTGTCCCCGCTCCTCCATCCTGTGGCCAAACCTAGGTTCAGAAGCCCCCTCCCACCTAGACAAACACCACCGCCTCCCTGCTGCCCCCGCCACCAGCTGACGCTCAAATGATCTTTCTAAAACCCAGGATCACACCCCTTTACTGCTTAAAATCCTTCAATAACATTTACAAACTAGATTGCATGATGTCTGCAATTTGCTTCAAAATAATACTAGGAATGGCGGTGGGGAGGGGGGAGTGGGACTGGCTTGGGTTGGTGGCTGCTGAAGCTGACGGGACTGTGTGCTGGGCACACAGAGGTGCATTCTACTATTCTGTCCACATTCACATTTGTCCACAATCCAAACTTAAAAAAAAATTCTTCAATGGCTTTCCACTAATTTTCTTGGCATGGCATAAAAGCAACTGGTGGGAGAGGAGGTGGGAGGAGAGGGCAGAAAACATTTCAAGAGAAGGACCGACATGGATGGAACGAGAATACGGCTGCACCCCCACCTTCCCACTGTGCCCACATCCTAAAATGCTATCCACCCTTCACAACGTCACTCAAATCTCAGTTGATCTCCTTGCCCAACGCCTTCGATCCATTCATCCACCTCCTCCACAGATCATCCCCCAGTAGTAGTGGCAACAACAGTTACTGTTTTCTGAGCACTTACTAAATGTCAAGTACGTCATGTATGACATAAAGGCTCTTTCATGCAATAAAAGGAAGTGCTCCAACTGGCCACAGACCCATGATATCTGAGTTCGGTGAGTGGAGCACGGCTAGATAGAGCTCCCACTGGTCCCCCCAGAGCCATAAGCTGTTGTGCAGTGTACAACCTGCACAACCGCACACAGAAGTCTTAGACATCATACTAGGTGCTGGTGTTGTCCCTATTTTATATGGGAGGAAACTGAGGCCCACAGGGACTAGAACACTTGCCCATGGTCACATGGAGATGGCTGCAGTAGCTAACGCCCAGACCCATGTTCTATCTGTTACATGAGGCTCCCCCAGAAGAAGGTGTAGCATGCACTTCTGCAGATGGTAATGTCTCCTGGGCAGTTCACAGCTCTAGCGCAGAGCACAGGATCTTACCCAACTCCACGTGTGTTACTGGAGATCACTGCCAAAGCCACTGACAACACCAGACACTTGTAGGGCTTATTTCTGCTGCATGGATTATGGGAGGGTCAGCGGAAAAAGGGGCAGAGGCCTCTTTCCTTAAACGTAGCATATGAGGTGGTTTACTTGGCGCCACACAATGGGTGTAATTATAGTTCCATCACAAGCACAAAACATGGTGCTCGGCTAGGCCTGTGAAAATGGGGCCGGAATTACTTTAAAAAGGCTCTGCTGGCCTCTCCTTTCAAAAGCACAGTGGTTACAGGCTGGCTTGCAGAGGACGGCTATTGATTTCCCAAGACCTGGGAGTTAGAAGGCAGCGCAGCGTTGGCCTCCTCTCCTCCCCAGCACAGAAAGCCTTCTCCAGCCTGCTGGGCAGGCAGCCCAGGAGGAGAAAGAGGAAGAGGAGGATACAGTGAGGCCACTGTCATTAAGAGCAAACATTTACTGAGCATGTATTGGACGCCAGACCCAACCCTAAGCCCCATCCTTGTGTTAACTTATCCATACAAGGCCTGTCCATGGCTCCTTCTTAAGAAACTTATCTTCAATATCTGAAAATTCTCAGATTCTTTCATTCATTTATTCATTCATTCCACAAACATCTACTGAGCATCTACCATTTGCCAAACCCTGTTTTAAACACTATGGATACAGCAGCAAACAAGAGAGACTCTTGCCCTCATGGTTTCTATATTCTAGCTAGTGGTTCCATCTACAGATTGAGGAAATGGAGGCTCACGGAGGTTTAGTCCTAGGCAAAGCTAACACTAAAGGCCGTGGGATTGGAACCAGAGTCCTTTCTCACACCACCATGCTGGACAATCTCTCTCTGCTTTGGGTTATTTTATAAACCCTCTCCCTTTGTGAGGTTGTATTAGTCTGTTCTCATGCTGCTGACAAAGACATACCCAAGACTGGGTAATTTATAAAGAAAAAGAGGTTTAATGGACTCACAAGTTCCACATGACTGGGGAGGCCTCCCAATCTGGCAGAAGGCGAAAGGCATGTCTTATATGGCGGCAGACAAGAGAGTGAATGAGAGCCAAGAGAAAGAGGAAACCTCTCATAAAACCATCAGATCTCATGAGACTCACTACCACAAGAACAGGAGAGGGGAACAACCTCTGTGATTCAATTATCTCACACTGGGTCCCTCCCACAACATGTGGGAATTATGGGAGCTACAATTCAAGATGAGATTTAGGTGGGGACACAGCTAAACCACAGAAGAGGTCAAATGCACCTCCCTGCACAGGCCTGGAAGCACTAATTCATTTACTTATTCAGTCATTCATTCACGTTTCTTCATTCATTCAACAAACATTTATTGAGCAACGGTGTGCCAGGCACTGATCTGAGCTCTGGGCATCAGTGTGACAAGGACCCTGCCCCTGCCCCTGCCCCTGCCCTCACAGAGCTCCCTATCTCGTGGGGATCTAGGTGGTCAACGGTTCTCAGACAAAGTGGCCAGTGGCACAGCAGGAAGACTACGGTCCCTGGGAACAGGAAGGGGAGGCAGCTACCCGTCCTAGGGCTTGTGATACTAAGCTGAGGCCAAAGGCAGGAAGAGGTCAGCTGGCAGGAGGCATGAGAACAGGTTCACACCCAAGCCCCATCATTCATCTGCTCCCATTTCCTCGGCTATAAAGTGGGGCTCCATCGTATCGAGCAGGATTTTAAACATGGTTAAGATGTGACTTCAGAGCAGCCAGCCTGGCACAGGGCCTGGGGCAGCTTCTCTTTATCTCCGAGAATAGGTTGCTGGACACAGAAGTTATTTAGTACCGTGAAGCTAACACTAGCACACCAAGTCAGAAGTTTTCTGGAAAACATTTCACCCTGAAGTGCTGCTTTTCCATTCATTCTGCAAGGTGCTGGAAAGCACAGGCTTTCACATAAAGATGTGAATTCTGAAATTATGTGGCTCTTTGTCGTGTTCTCATGTCTTGAGAAATCAGTGGAGGCTGGTGTGCGTTTTTAATCATATTCCCTTCGAAGTAGCACACAGAGACCTCCTGAATATTTCAACCACGGGCTCAATAAATTATGTCCAAGTTTCAAGAGAAAGACAGTAAATGAAAGAACATTAAATTTTATGAGCATCAAAATGTTGTTTTCCTTTGAGAGTCTCTTTCTCACACCCAACAGCACTCCCGTAAAGCTGCCAAGAGCCTCCTTCAGGTAAAGGCTGGCTTGCTCCTCCCAGGAAGGGGTATGCAGCCATTCATTTGTGCCAAGCAGTAATTCATGAACACCAGCACCTGGACAGAGGGAAGACTGTGCTCAAATGTGAGCGAGCACTGTGGGGTACTGGTCTGGGGGATGAACTTGGAGCTGGACGGCCAGGATTCTGTCCCAGTCTGCCAGTAACTTGCTGGGTGACCTTGGGTAAATCATTCAACCTCTCTGGACCTCAGTTTCTGCATCTGAAAAATGGTGGCCATAGGAGCTCTTACATGATAGCGTTGTTATGAGGACTAAATGAGCCAATATACAACTCAAGCTTCGTAAAAGACACAAGATTCTGATTCTTACAGCTTTGATTGACACACAGAACTGGGCACATCCCTACAACTTCCTTAAGCCCCACAGACATTACAATGGAAAGACGAGATGGTATAGTTTAAAACAACAACATGGAATTTAAGGGCTTGAATCTGGGACCACACTTCACTGGCTGTGTCCCATGAACGGGGCAGCCATTGTTTCTACACAGCTCTGAACACCCCTAAGCCTCATGGTTTCATCAGCAACATGGAGACTGTAATCTCTTCTCTCCATGGGACACTGAAGATATGACCGAGATCTTGTATGTTAAAATGCCAAGCATACACTCTTGCCCTCAGGAGGCATGCAGCAGACATCTGTGACTTTTCTTCCCTTGCAGAGGGCAACAGGCAATAAAACTTTTTCTCTGGGTGACTCATATCCCCATGATATACGCAGTGAAGGTAAGTGCAAAAGTATCACAATGCTTCCCTGCCTAGGCCACCCCCAACAGAGTGGCTCATCAAATGTGATCTTCTTCTGTTTTCTATTCAACAGTCAGCATTACAAGACCACATCTACCTCCCAGAATCTGGGAGAGGTAAAAGAGTTCACGTTCTCAGCAGCATCTATGAAGCTGGGGTCTCAAGCCTAAATTTCTTTACTTCCTGGCACGAAGCACTGTGCTGGAAATGACCTGGCAGCTACGGAGTCACTAGCCCACAGCTGCTCTAATCCCTACAATGGGAATGTCATGAAGACAACAAGTGGGTCCTTGTGGCAGAGATACTGGTGCTCACCATGCACCCTACCTGCTCCCCAAGCTTCCCAGCCCCCTCTGCACAACAGGGCACAAGCTTCTGACTTAGGGCCAACGAGTTCCAGGTGGAAGTGACAAATGTTTCTTCTGAGTCATAGCATAGGACTGCTGGCGTGTGACCCTGCACCATCCCTTCCCTGTAACACTAAGTGAGAAAGCCATGGTGTGGCCACAAGATGGGAGCCTCTGTCCACCTAGATTTCTGAGTCATTATGTGGAGCAGAACAGTCCCACTGTTGCCCTTGGGCAACCCATGTTGGACACATACGAACAGGAAATAAGCTTTTATTTTGTTAAAGACCGAGATTGAGGATCATTTGTTACTGTGGCAGAACCAATCCTATTCTGACATGTGTCAACTTGACAACCCTGTATCTTCCTAGCTCTCTCACAATGGGCCTGAAAGTCTGAGGAAAGGCACAGAGGCCAAAGACATTTGTTAAAGGCAGCTTTGCAACAGCCACAGGAAGTAGGTATCATGATATCCTTTTACCCAAGAAGAAACTGGTCTCAGACACATTAAATCATTTGTTCAAGGTCATACAAATCACAAGTGGTGAAGTCAGAATTTGAACCCAGGTCTATCCATCACAAGACTTGTATTCTGTCTGCTATATGGGCCCAGGCAGTACTTTCTAATGAGTTTGTCTGTGAAAGCCCCAAATACAATTCAAATCTCTCCTTGGGCTCCAATAATAATAGTAACCATAGGTTGGATGCGTTCCACAGGCCAGACACTCTTCTTGGTCCTTTATCAATATTCCTTCACTGTAATCATCACGTCTCTTCAAGGCATTATGCCCATTCTACAGGTAAGGAAATAGGGGCTTAGAAGAGACTGTAGGATGAGTTCTCATAACCTCATGGTGAAGTAAATAGAGGAAAGATGCCAGTGGTGACAGACAAAGGATAGGGGCCCCTTTAGTGGATGGAAGGCAAAGACTCCACGTAAAAGGCTATAAAGCGGGACACTGAGGAACACTCTCCACTGGAGGATCTCAGACCTTCAAGAACCCACAAAGATGCTTCAATGCCCAAGATACCACATGCTCCGGGTGACCTAATCAGACTCTTAGAGATGTTTGCTGCCGGGGTTGTGAAAGAGAGACAGGGGAGATCGTCCCTTCTGGTCCCTCCCGACTGTTCTCGCAGTTCTAGCCTCTTGTCTACCTGGCCACCAGGTGCAAGTTACTGATAATAACCTCACACTGCCCCCAAGTGGTCACTCTGCTCCAGATGACTCACAGACCAACGTTTCCAGAACTCCAAACACAAATCTGTTCAATGCAAAACCATGCTCTTCCCATTCTGTCTCCCACATCCATCCATCCTTACTATTACATGCCAAGCACTGTCTAGACACTGGGGATACAACAGGGAACAAACAGATAAAAGCTCCTTCCTCCTCTGAGCTTACATCCTAGAGCTCAAGGTTAGGAATGCTTACTGACTGAGGAACATTGTCTTTATGCCCCGTTACAGAGAATAGGACTTCAAACAAAAGGTTGGGCTTCAATAGAAATTCTCCTTCCTTTGCAGAGACCAGATTCTGCATCTGAGAAATTAACCAGGATTTCTACAGCTGCATTCCATTCTAGTTAGTTTCTCCAGGGAAGGAGAAGAAGGGGAGGAGGATGGAGAAGATGACGATGATGAAAACAAAGATGAAAAAGAAAACAATTTTTGGCTAAGAAACTAAACCTGATCATTATGTCTTGGATTTAAATCTAAAAAGTGATCGTCTCCAATTCCTCATTTGATGCTAAAAGACCCTTTTTCAGTGACCCTCATGGTGAACATCTCTCTTTTTCTCTCTGCCCAAGATGAATTCCCCTCTTTTTTGGCTAATGGAATCCTGCTTTTTCTTAAGAAACCACCTCTCTTCCTAGTGATCTGGGGAAGCTGACCAAACGCCCCCACTGACTGTTGGCCACGTGCCCTGGCCCTGCCAATGAGTGTATTTCATCCTTTAGCCACAGTGACTGGTTCAGGGATGGCAGAAGACTCAAGTCAGGCCAATAAGAGTCAATTCCAAGAATCTTGTTAGAGCTACTGGGAGAGAAACCCTCTCTTCATGACAAGAATTGCTAAGCTCATAGGACATAAGCTTGGAGCTGCTAGGATCCATCACATATAGAGAAAGCCTTCCTAAGAATGAAGACCACAAAAAAGAAAGCAGAGAGCAACAGCAGGAAGAGAACATCCACATTTGCTCATCTGACCTCTGGATGCAACCCTGCCAAAGGTTACACCAATCCTTGGATGTCCAGTTTTCATCACTCAAAAAGCTTCATTTCTTGTTAAGCCCAGTTTGAGTTTTCTGTCATTTGGATTAGAGTCCTGACTCACAGAGCCACCAAGTAACTGCCCAGTTTCTGCTTCAACACCTCCACTCACAAGAAACTCACTACCCATAATCTTTTTTTTTTTTTTTTTTTTTTTTGAGACAGAATCTCACTCTGTCGCCCAGGCTGGAGTGCAATGGCACGATCTCAGGTTACCACAACCTCTGCCTCCCAGGTTCAAGAGATTCTTCTGCCTCAGCCACACAAGTAGCTGGGATTACAGGCATGCGCCACCACGCCTGGCTAATTGTTTTTATATTTTTAGTAGAGACGGGGTTTCACCATGTTGGCCAGGCTGGTCTTGAACTCCTGACCTCAGGTGATCCACCTGCCTCAGCCTCCCAAAATGCTGGAATTACAGGTGTGAGCCACCATGCCCGGCTGCCACTTATTATGAAACAGTCATGATGGCGCAGGTCTCTTTCCACTGAATTCAAAGTTGTCTGTGTGTAGTCCTAGGACAGCCCATGACGGCCACAGGTGGAACAAGTTTAACCTCTCCCTCCATGTGACACTCCTAATCTGGGGGACTCTAAGCTGCAGGGCAGCATCATGAATCCTCCATCTGGAAACACTGTTATGATTTTGGGCCATATGTTGTTAAACATGTTTCTTTCAACCTCTTTCAATCAATAAATATTCCACAAGCGCCTCCCACATGGAAGGTGGGTCTGGGGGTGGGGATGGGGTAGGGGTCTGCAGGGAGAGATTCCATAGAGTCTCATCTCCCAGGCCCCTGCCACCCAGGAAGGCAACAGGTCAAGGATGATGTCCCTTATCAAGCTAGCCATTTCTGATTTGCCTATGGGGATATAGTATGGGCTGTGTGTTCTGGGAGACCTGGTGTGAATGCTGCTGTGTGACCTCACACAAATTACACAGCCTTTCTGAGACTCAGTTTTCTCATCTACAAGTGGAAACTTTAATGATACAGATTTCCTGAAGCTGTGAGGAGAACGTGACACCCCTTGTGGGAACCTGTGCACAACGCCTGATGCACGGTGAGAACCTAAGAGGGGATGAGCTTCCTTGTTCCCGGGAATACCTCCCGGGGGGAAGGCAGCCAAGGAAGGCAGTCCCTCTGCTGGTCTGATCCCCGATGAGCTTCCTTATTTACCCCCAGGGTTCTGAACATCCCCAGGGTTCTGAACAGAGTGTACTTCCCTTCCTCGCCCAACCCCACGGCTCATGAGTTGCCTCCACACTGCTTAAGAAAGTCTACTGGACTCCAACATTTTCCTTTTCAAAGAAAACAAAAGCCGTGGTTTCGGCAAACTGCAGAGGCGATGTCTGGTCTAAACAATTGATCCGCCTCCCACCTCCCTAATGACTCAGCCCCAGAAAACACTGATGACCCATTAGGTAGAAATCTACTTATGCTAAGAAAATAAGCCAAACACCGGTTCCAGGATGCACTGAATAGCTCCAAATGCAGGTGCTTCCTCGGCTCCTCTGGCAGTCGCTGTGAAGAGAACCTGGATTCAACCCAAAGACCGCAGCACTTTCAAGGTGAAGCGGCTGTGAGAGGGCCATGGAAGTGTCACCCGACCGTTCCTCGGCTGCAGAAACTTCCACTTGCAACCTGTTTTCTTCTTCGGAGCTTTTATACCCAGGACATAAAGAGGACTGTCCCAGACTTGAGATGATGAGGGAAGATGCTGACAATGGCAGCAAAATCTCAGGGTTTCTCCATGAGGCCATTGTCCTCACTCGGCCAGGGAAACCACGCCATCACCGTCACTGAATGACAATCCTTCCCTTCGTCCATAAAATCTGGGGCAAATGGGTCACATGTTTGCAAGTATTCTTCTTCAAAGTGAGATATGTGACTAGGTGAAGTGGCTCACACCTGTAATCCTAGCACTTTCGCAGGCCGAGGTGGGAGGATCGCTTGAACCCAGGAGTTTAGGACCAGCCTGGACAATATGGCAAAACCTCGTCTCTACAGAAAATATAAAAGTTAGCCGGGCATGATGGTACGTGCCTGTAGTCCCAGCTACTGGGGAAGCTGAGGTGGGAGGATCACTTGAGCCCAGGAGGTCGAGGCTGTGGTGAACCGAGATCGCACCACTGCACTCCAGCCTGGGTAGCACAGCAAGACCCTGTCTTGAACAACAACAACAACAAAACACCCATCGCATTGCATACCTTAAATCCACATAATTTCCCGTTACCATTTATACCTCAATATAGCTAAGTAAAAAAAAAAAATTAATATACCTATCTCCAGCAACTGTGGAGACAGTGTGACATAAAAGGAACCTCTGGAGGGAAGACAAACCTACTGCTGCCTCCCAGCCCCATCACCTGCCAGCTGGGTGGCCTTCAGAAGGTGACATGCTTTATGCAAACTCAGTTCCTTGTCTGTAAAAGAGTTTAGCACTACCTGCTGCCCAAGATGGTTAAGATCAAACTGAGAAAACATCTCCCAGGCCTGGCCAACTCTGGTGCTCAATGATGCCCAGTCCCTCTGCCTTCCAAGGCTTCTTGTGGTGTCTGTTTTTTGTTTGTTTGTTTGTTTTTGAGACAGGGTCTTACTTTGTTGCCCAAGCTGGAGTATGGTGGCACCATCATAGCTCACTGCAGCCACAACTTCCTGGACTCAAGTGATCCTCCCATATTAGCCTTCTGCGTAGCTGGGATTACAGGTACACATCACCACACCTGGCTAATTTTTTTCAATTTTAGTAGAGACGGAGTTTCACCATGTTGGCCAGTATGGTCTCCAACTCCTGGACTCAAGCGATCCTCCTGCTTCGGCCTCCCAAAGTGCTGGGATTACAAGCATGAGCTACTGTACTCAGCCAACAGAGTTCTCTCATACCTTGATGTTCCATCTCTAAAATGGAAGGACAGGTGACTTGTCACTTGCCAACCCTTCAGAATATACAATGAAGTGCAAATTTCACCACTCCAAATGCAAACCCTGAGTAAAGAGAAAACACAGTATTCCAATATCTTTTCTCTGAGGGGAAAAAATTTTAAGCTATGGGCATGACTGCAACACAAACCATCCAGTGAAACGTGCCAACACGTCCAGGCCAATCTCAACAACACGGTGACAGACACAGGGCAGCAGGGACACAGTTTCATGTCAAGATTTGTTGTTAAATTCTTGCCAAGAACTGCTCTGCCATCAAATTTATTTACGGCTTCTGTGTCAACGCAGGATGCTGAGCAGAGAGTCTATTCTGAATACCTTGGCTTTAACTGTGTTACAGTGAGCGCCAAACCAAAGCTTTCTCCCTACAGGCTGGAAGACCCGCAATATGAAGCCATTTCAACCTCCTGTTAGCTACTCTGAGAATAATCAATGTCTCTGGGTCTGTGGTGATGGCCTAATTTATTTAAAATGTAAATATTATATTTCTCTATGTCCCAAAATGCCAGCTGGTTCTTCTTCTTTGATTTAATAAGGGTTTCATAAAGATATCAAGTGCTGGGCCGTTGTCACAAACACAGACCCAGACAGACTGTCTTCCCGGATGTGCCTTGACCCACAGGAAGCAGGAGAGGGTAGCGGTGGAGGTGGAGTCCAACTGCCTGGGTTCAAATCCTGATCCTGCCAGTGATGAGCCACATGAGCTTGAGCATGTGGTGATCCTGCCTGGGCCTTGGCGTCCTCATTAGTAAACGGGAAGGATAACTATGGTACCCAGTTCACTGAGTTATTGTGAAAAATTCACTGAAATAATCTGGGGAAGGCACTTAACACACTGTCTAGCACATAAAGAAATGCAAAGAGCATTGGCTGCTCTCATCATGACCACCAGCTTCCCCCAAACCCCCAACGCTGACACGGTCTCACTCCGTCACCCCGTCTGGAGTGCAGCAGCACCATCGTAGCTCACTGCAGCCTCAAATGCCTAGGCTCAAGAGATCCTCCCACCTCAGCCTCCTGAGTAGCTGGGAATACAGGCACATGCAACCATGCCCAGCTAATTTTTTTAATGTTTTGTAGAGATGGGGTGGGAGGGGTCCTCCCTATGTTGCCCAGGCTGGTCTTGAACTCTTGACCTGAAGAGATCCTTCCATCTTGGCCTCTCAAAGTGCTGGGATTACAGGTGTGAGCCACTGCACCTGGCCTTATAGTCACCACTAAACATCACTGATTTGAGCTTTTTTTGCTTGATGAAATGAATTCTTATACTCCCAGCAGCAAGAGTTTCACTTCAAGTAAAATTAAAGAATCTTTTCCAAGTCTGGATGACTCCTCCCCCTACCTCCCTGCTGTCCTGGAGTTCAAGGCCCTCAAAGATCTATAACTCAGACATTTAAGACAATAGCGAGATGATGATCCACCTTCCTGGAGATTGCAGCCCCTCTGTCCTGGGACACCACTCTGGGAAGTGCTGCTAAGTGTCCTGCTCCCCTGCTGCAGATGATGTCATTTCCCACAGGAACGGTAGTGAAGCGACAGTCAACCTCCCCTCACATGCATCTTGGCAGGGTTTGTTTTCTGACGCATATTCGCTGACGGAATGCTCAGTCGATGACAGGCCCAAAGGTTTGTGTATGACATCAAATTTGAAAGACTGTTGCTTTTTAAAAAAAAAAAAAAAAAAAAGGCTCTGGGGCTGATAACTTAAAGCAAAAGGGGCTGACACAAATGCCTATAGGGACCAGGCAGGTAAAATAATTGAGAGAAGCAGGCTAGGTGGGGATGGGGTGACATGGTGAGGACTGCCCTCTTGAAAACAGGGCCACCACTACTGAGCCCCAAGTGAACACACCCACCTATGTGGGAGCTTTCCATTTTCTCAAGGGAAATTGGAAATAGTGAGCTTTATGGGAAATGGCCCGAATGTTCAGCATTGTCAATAAATTCAATCCTAAAAACCGAATTAGCCAAATCAAACAGATCTATGGGCTATATGCAGCCCAGGATGCCAGATTCTTATCTTTGATTTAAAGGGGTCCCATAATGTTTGCGGGGAAGGATACTTTGTCATCAGAATAGCATCCCTGTGTCCCTGTTTTATGCATCAAGATTAAGTGAAATCATTCATGCAAAGTGGTTTGCACGGTGCCGAACACAAAAGAACATTCGAATGCACCCGGGGATGATTTTTTTCCCCAAGGTGGGACTCACCTACACAGGAAGACAGAGCTTCACAAAAGCGAAGCCCCAGACCTCAAAGTCTCTCATGTTTCTCTACCAAAGGACCCACCAACAAACAGTTGCTGTGAAAGTTGCCCCAAGCTAAGCGAGTTCCTTGGCGGTGTGCTTTGTTTCAAAACATGCCATCCCAAAGATCTCCAGACTGCTTAGGTTTTTAAACCAACATTTGTCATTTTGCTGCACTTGTCTTTACTCAAAACCTCAAAGACCTAAAGTGGATGGCTTCAGAGGTGACAGTGTCTTTGAAGTGTTTCCCTACGTCTAGCTGAAAGGGATGAGCCATGTTTTCGCTTCCCTACAAGGCCGTCTAAAAATTAAACATCCCAGATATTTAACAAACACACCCATCAGCCACAGGGGAAGACAAGGAACATCCCCATGAGGTTACATTCATTTCAGTGAGATGGCAAAGATAAATGCAGGGCACGGAAACGCGGGATGCATCTGCCTGGCAGCCACACCTGTCATTCTCCATTCGGGTCTCTGAGAATAACTGGAATGGACCTGGCTAAACATGGCCTTTTCTACCTCAGCCATCCTACAGGGTAGGACCCTCCTTCCTGCCCAGTCCCCAGGACATAGGCTCTGTGAGAGATACAGATAATGGCTGAAGTAATAAGACCTTCTCACCTGCTTGGGAAGAAATTCTTATCAGGAGCCATGAAAAGATTAGAGAGTCCGGACTGGGAGCCCTGGGGAAGAGGAAATCACACCCTCTTCATCACAGCTACAAGCCCAACACCTAGACAGCACCAGGCCCATCACAGGTGCTTGATAAATGTTGTTGAATGAACAAAGGTACACTGAATTCAGCACACCCATACTGATCATTGATCAGATGTAATTGATCAAATTACTTAATCTCTGAGCTTCAGCTTTCTTCTCTCTCAAACAGGGAAAACTCTACCAACATCCTAAGAGTTGTAAAAATTAACTGATTGCGGCCAGGTGCGGTGGCTCACGTCTGTAATCCCAACACTTTGGGAGGCCGAGGCAGGCAGATCACGAGGTCAGGAGTTCAAGACGAGCCTGACCAATATGGTGAAATCCCATCTCTACTAAAATACACAAAAATTAGCCGGGCATGGTGGCACGCACCTGTAGTCCCAGTTACTTGGGAGGCTGAGGCAGGACAATCACTTGAACTTGGTAGGCGGAAGTTGCAGTGAGCCAAGATCGCACCACTGCACTCCAGCCTGGACAACAGAACAAGACTCTGCCTCAAAAAAAAAAAAAAAAATTAACTGATTGCCTGCAAAACATTTGTGAATGAACAAATGCACACTGCTAAATATCCAGGATGCTAAATACTCCATTCCCTTCATTCTTTCCTCCCTTCTTCCATTTCCTCCCCTCTGAAATACTGCCTGCGGAGCGTCTGTACATGCACACTAACCGCACGAGCAGGGGTGGCCATGAGGGTCTCAAAGCGGGCCCAGGAGAGAAGTGAGCTTGGAGGTGAGGCTTGAAGGACGAGGGCACATGGAGTGACGAAGCAGGCGGGCAACAGCAGCCAAGACGAAATGAAAGAGGAGCAGACAGGACCGTGAGGACTGACGAGGAGACCAGAGGCCAGAAGAACCAAGGGCAGGAATGGGGAAGTGCTAGAGATCAGGCTGGGAGGATAAGAGAAAGACAGAGGTGCCCAACCCTGGTGGCGGCCAGGGGCTGGGATGCAGGTGGACCTGGAAGGTGGGCCTAAGGACGGGGTTCTTGAGCGTCAAAAGCACCTGCCCATGGACCTCGGGGGAGCTCACAACCACTCCACCATGCAGCACTGGGTCTTCCTCAAGCTTTGTGATCATGGCCTTCAATATGACGAGGACGGGGGAGGATAGAGTCATCACTTTAACAGGCAAAAGGCGCACAAAGAGAGTAACACATTTTTAAAACGCCACCAATAACACAGCTTTAACAAGCCTTTCCTAACAGGCACGACTAGCAAATGAGCAACCCAGCTAGATGCCAAAGTTAATTTGCTCAGAAACTATGGAAAATGACGGAGCTTCATGCAGGGGAAAGCCAGATGCAACCATTTGGCAACGAGCTGAAGACACGCACTTGTGCATGCATATGCCCGTGCACACACACACAAACACACACAAGGACGCAAGTGCACACACCGCACGCACACCTGGCTCTGAGTCAGGTGAAAGTTCATTTTCCCTGACCATCAATTTTCTTCTAGGATGAGGATAATAGTAATAATGTTAATAACAGCATCAGTAACAGCAAAAGTAAGTAATGCTCACATTGTAAATTATTTCTTTATTATTATTATTTTTTTGAGATGGAGTTTCGCTCTGTCACCCAGGCTCCAGTGCAGTGGCATGATCTTGGCTCACTGCAGGCTCCACCTACTAGGTTCAAGCGATCCTCCTGTGTCAGCCTCCCAAGTAGCTGGGACTACAGGCGTGCGCCACCACTTGCCTGCTAAGGTTCCTGGGGCATTCACTGTGCTTGGCCAAATTGTTTAATTCTTAAAACAATATTCTGGCCAGGCATGGTGGCTCACACTTGTAATCCCAGCACATTGGGAGGCTGAGGCAGGCAGATCACCTGAGGTCAGGAGTTCAAGACCAGCCTGGCCAACATGGTGAAACGACATCTCTACTAAAAATACAAAAGTTAGCCAGGTGTGGAGGCGGGCGCCTGTAGTCCCAGCTACTTCAGAGACTGAGGCAGGAGATTTGCATGAACCCAGGAGGCAGAGGCTGCAGTGAGCCAAGATCGCTGCCACTGCACTCCAGCCTGGGCAACAGAGTGAGACTTCATCTCAAAAACAAAAAAATTCTGGAACAGGTCTTCTGTGTTCTCATTTCACAGGTGGGGAAACTGAGGCTCAGAGACATTAAGGAACATGCCCACAATGACACAGTGTGTCAGATACAACACCTCATGCTCTCAGCACCTATACGTACGCTATGCTGCTTCAAATGCTTTTTGGAATAAGACCAGGTAAAAATGAATAAAAATTAAATCAAAGTTTAGACAGCTTCTGTGTCTTTTTCTGGTACCAAGCTAGGCCCAAGAAATGCATGACCAAGGGACCCACTTGGAGCACGTAGAGAAGGCTCTGTCCTGTAAATCTCATGATCTCTGTGTAGGAGTTTCTAGGAGTGAAACCGGGCAGCCAAGCCCAGCAGCCTGGAAAGTTGGGCTCAGCAGCTGAGGCCAAAGCTCTCTCTGGAGAAGGGCCAGTCAGGCCTGCCAAGCTCATACCAGCAGAGGATTCAAGGTAGGAGCCCATGGGGTGCAATCCACAGCCCCCTTCCAAACACAGACACAGGCTCTGAAGCAAGGAACTGTAGTTGGCTACAGAGGCCCAAAGAAGATGAGAAACTGAATTGCTCCCAGTGTGTGGACAACAGTCAAGGAAGCCTTCTGCAGCCTATAAGCCAGGGGGCTAGCATGCCTGGAGTGGCCAACCACATTCTGTGTCAGGGCTCTGCCCCAGGAGCCTTTGCAGGCAAGTGCAGGGAAGACCAGCTTTTCCATCTGAACGTGAAGCTGCACCCAAACTCCTCCATCCGCCAGACCTACACTGGGCTGCTGAGTGACCAAATAGAATCCAGGCCTAAAAATATCTGAAGTGATTTTCTGGGAGCAAGGATGCCACCCTCAGCCCTGAAACCTGCCACAAGCGCCGCCAGGACTCGCGTGCTGGTTAAGAACCAGGGCTCTGGGGTCCAGCCGCCTGGCTCCGCTGCCTGCAAAGATGTCACCTCAGGCTACTATTTCAACCCACTGGGACTCAGTTTCCATATTCTGTAAAAAGGTGACAATGGTGACCACCTGTCGTCCAGAGCTGTCGGGAGGATTAAACAGTTCGCAGTGAAAGCGTGGCTCACAGATGCATTGCGTGAGTGTTAACTATCATTACTTATGACCGTCAAGCCCATTTCAGGCTGGAGTGCCGTGGTGTGATCTCAGCTCACTGCAACCTCTGCCTCCTGGGTTCATGCGATTCTCCTGCCTCAGCCTCCCGAGTAGCTGGGATTAGAGGCGTCCGCCACCATGCTTGGCTAATTTCTCTATTTTTACTGGAAATGGGGTTTCGCCATGTTGGTCAGGCTGGTCGCCAGGTGAGGAAACAGGCACAGAGAGGTTAAGTCGTTTACTCAAGGCCACAAGGGGACCACCATTTCCTGAGCACATCTCTGTCCCAGGCACCAGGCCAACTGTTTCACATCACTGATCCTGAGCCTCCCGCAACAACAACAAAAGTGACTAATACTTAAGCTGTAAATTATTTAATTCTCAAAACAACATTCTGCAATGGGTCTTCATTATCCCCATTTCACAGACAGGGAAAATGAGGTTCAGAGATGTTGAGGAGTGTGCCCATCAGGATAGTGTCTCAGACGCAACAGCCCAAGCTCCTGCACCTATCTGTAAGATATGCCACTCAAATGCCTTTTGGAACAAGACAGGGTATAAATAACTGTTAACGCGTCTTAGTCCCTTCAGAAAAAAACAGCTCTTGTCAAAGAGGAACAGTGATCTTTGTGCTATTCAAAGAACAGGTCTGAAAAATACAAGTCAAGTCATTCAACAGAAGCTGAAAAGAGAAGGGCCACTTGGCATGTGTGCCAACACCTCAATCCCACCTGAGTGATCTGAAGCAGAGGACTCGTTGCCAGTGAACTGTGAGCCAACGCATAGCAGAAAAACATGCTTAGCAGCTGGCATGGATAGACACGAAGGTAATACACACTCCTGTTTATTGCATAGGGCTGTGTGGGGTACAAATCACTCTCCAATCATTTATGCCACTGAAAAATACAATCATAAAAACCATTAAGAGGAGGGCTAGTTCCCAGCTAGGAACCAAATTATCTTTACCAGACAACACTGGTCAGTCCTGCGGTTTATGTGCCAGGCACCATGCAAGTGGCTGGGATGACAAAACCCAGTAAGCCAGCACCTGCCTGTGGAGAGTTCAACTGGACACAGCTGCTAGTAGCAACCCAGTATCCATCCCAGGTCTTTGCCTACAGTTGCTAAGCTGCTGAGATGGACGCCTAGAGCTACTGGGGGTATTTTTTCACTTTTTTTTTTTTTTTTTTTGAGACAAGGTCTCACCATGTTGCTCAGGCTGGAGTGCAGTGGCATAATCATAGCTCACTGCAGCCTTGAACTCCTGGGCTCAAGAGATCCTCCTGCCTCAGCCTCCTGAGTAGCTGGGACCACAGGTACGCACCACCATGCCCAGCTCAATTTTGTTTTCTATTTTTTGTAGAGACTGGGTCTCCTGATGTTGCCTAAGCTGGTCTTGAACTCCTGACCTCAAGCCATCCTCCTGCCTCAGCCTCCCAAAGTGTTGGGATTACAGGTGTGAGCCATCATGCCTGGCCAGGGGGTTATTTTGTCACTGTAGATGAAAAGCCCACCAAGGATGAAGCCAAGATAGGAAACTGAGCCCAGGGAACCAGGGAGACAGTGTCCCGACATCACATCGCTTCAGCTCCCACATCCAGCCATACCTTCAGCCAGCATTCTCAGAATTGTCTGTTACATGAGCCAATCAACTCCATCTTTGCCTAAATCATTTAAAGAAGCATTTGTGGCAATAATGAAAAAAAAGTCTGAGTAAAACAGGGAGAGATACACAGATGAAAATAAGACTTAGCAGACTGTGATAGAAATGTGTTCAAATTTAGAGGGCATCCAAGTGAAAGGATGAACGATTCTTTTCCAAGAAAGGTTTGAATGTGGTAAGACAGTGGAGCTGACCGAGAAGTCAGAGAACCAAGGCCTCTGGGGACAGAGAACGAGGAATCTGGGCACACAGGTATCACTCATGTTCCAGAAGTCCTCCTGCCCACAGCCTCACCCTGGCTGAGAGTCAAGTGCTTTGGGGCAGAGGTCATAGCCTGTGCTTCTAAGAGTTGTTAACACTGTGAAAAATATTGTCACTGGGGATGTGAGGCAGCCAAGGGCTTTCTGTTTGGCTTGTAGAAGAATTTTCTTTACTTCTAAGATACATGAAACCACAAATGCATCACTTTTCAAGTTAGTTGCTACAATAAATAATCTATAGCTGAAAGGCCAAGAGATATCAACAAGCTAGAAACATCGCTGGCTGAGGGTAATACAAACAGTAGTAGTAAAATAATAAAAGCAACAGCTAGGATAAAAGAACAACTAGAGTTTATTGAGGTCTACTCTGCGGGAGGCACTGTGCCAAACGTGCCATATGCAGATTCTCAATCTTCCCACGACTACAAGGGAGAGGTATGTGCAGCTCCATTTTACCAATGGGCAACCCGAGGCTCTGGAAAGTGGTGTCCTGCCTAAGCTGGCTTTAGAAACCCACAACAGTCTGACTTTGTGACACTGCTCATGCCACCAGCTGACAGTGTCTGAATATGGTCTCCGGGTGGGGTTCAACTCCACACGGAGATTATGCGGAAATCCACAGGACGGTGCCATGAGCAGGATGGTGGCAGGAAGGGCCCTGTCCACCTGGCCCTCAGTAGAATGATGCTCAGACCTAATCCCAAATGGTCACCTCATGGGAGTGACCTCAACAGGGGACCCAATTTAGGACCCTTCCTGCCTGTCCTCCCTGCAAGCATCAACAGCCTGACTTCTGGTTTCCTCTCTCTGTCTCTCTCCGGCTCTGTTTCCATGTGCCAAGCAACTCCATCTATTATAGGCTGAACTGTGTCACCCCGTAATTCACATGTTCAAATCCAAACCCCCAGTACTTGAGAATGTGACTATACCTGCAGACAGAGGCTTTAAGGAGGTAACTAAGGGTAAATGAGGTCATTAAGGTGGGCCCTAACCCAACACGACTGTTAATCTCCTCTTCTTAGAAGGACAAGACAGAGTCATGCAGAGAAGAAAGACCACAGTGGGAAGACGGCCGTCTATAAACCAAGGAGAGAGGCCTCAGAAAACAACCCTGCCGACACCTTGATCTCAGCCTTCCAGCCTCCGGAAGGTGAGAAGATACATTTCTGTGATGACACCCAACCCATGGTACTCTGTTAGGGCAGCTCTAGCTAATTAATACACCATCCAATCTCCTCAAACTACAGGACGCCCATCCTGCTACAAAGGCTGATGTCACTCAGAAGCTTAAAAAGACCCCATCACTAGAAAGGAAGCTTTATGGGGGCTGCGATTTCACTGATACTGACCAAGACAGTAACATGACTGACACAAAAAACATGAAATTAAGCCAGGGGGACTGTTTTATTGACTTACAGGGGGAAGACAGAGGTTGTCCAACAGGATATAAAGGGACCCACGAAGAGGGGTCATGTGGTTCCTATAGGATGACACCTCCGATTCTCACAGAGCAACCCAGCAGCCCATCAGCCCCATCGGTCAACCCCATCATCAGCCACGCCCCCAAAGCCTTCAGTGTTTCTCTCCAACTGCAGCAGCTGCCCCCATTCCTAATCCAGTCTTTCCCAAATGCCTCGGACCTTGGCCCACAGTAATAAAAAGCACCACGTTCCAACCAAATGGGGTTGCCCCCACCTCACACCTCCCGCAAGGCCCAGTGGCCCATGCCCTACCACACTGCCCCAGCCTCAGTGCCACCTGCACCACAGTACCACAAGCTAGTATAATATCCACTGTACTCCAAGAAAACAACAGCACAGAGAAACTTGTCCAGGATTGGAGACTTGGGAGTGACTTAAATCCAAACCTAGGTCACCAGATTCCAGACTCCACACAGGGGCCAGCAAGTTACAGCCCCGGGCCAAAGCCAGCCCCAGTGCCCGTTTTTGCACATAAAGTTTTCTTGGAACACAATCCCACCCATTCATTTATGTATCACCTATGACTGCCTGTGAGACACACCGGCAGAGCTGAGCAGATGTGACAGAGACCACATGGCCATCACACCGGACATGTTTCCGACACAGCCCTTTACAGAAAGTTTGCCAACTTGCCCAGTACTCATGCCTCCATGCCATGCCCACCTGGTTCAACCCTTCCAGGGCCCCTCCCAACCTGACTGCCCCTCACACCTGGACAGGGAAAAAAAAAAAAAGACAAAAAAGCTATATATTTATTTGGCTGGGCTCACACCTGTAATACCAGCACTTTGTGGGGCCAAGGCGGGCAGATCACCTGAGAGGTCAGGAGTTCAAGACCAGCCTGGCCAACATGGCGAAACCCCATCTCTACTAAAAAATATACAAAAATTAGCCAGACGTGGTGGCACGTGCATGTAGTCCCAGGCACGAGAATCGCTTGAACCCGGGAGGCAGAGGTTGCAGTGAGCCAAGATCGCACCACTGCACTCCAGCCTGGGCACCAGAGTGAGGCTCCATCTCAAAAAACAAGAAAAAAAGACAGGGTCTCCCTCTGGTGCCCAGGCTGGAATGCAGTGTGTGATTACAGCTCACTGCAACCTCGACCTCCTGGGCTCAAGCAATCTTCCTGCCTCAGTCTCCCTGAACAGTCGAAACTACGGGTACATGCCCCCACACCCAACTAATAGCTTTAAAAAATTTTTAGAGACAGGATCTTGTTGTGTTGTCCAGGCTGGTCTTGAACTCCTGGCCTTAAGCAATTCTCCTGCCTTGGACCCTCAAAACATTGGGATCACAGGCATAACCCCCTGTGCCTGGCCAAAAATTATATTTAAATATAATCCCGCTGATAAAATAAGGAGCAAATCTACTTCTCTGTATATTCTTTTGTTCTCAGAAATTGCCAAGATGTCAACCTCACACAAGATAATAAATAAGAAGAACCAGCAAAGTGCTTCCAAATATTTAATTAATGCATTTTATCTGCTTCACTACCTGAGAACAATGGGCCACAGGTTGGAAGAGCAAGTCTAAACTTCAGCAATGAGTTCTTGCTTTTATAAAATGCTTGTCACAACCTTAATATTACTTAAATGTAGTTTTTTCCCATTATTGTTAATTAGGTTTTCCCTAACAGTCGGAATCACAATTAACCTTCAAATAAGAGCTGCCAGAATGCATTTAAATAATTTTCGCAAAGGAAACCTCTTCTACCTGGCATTGGCTTTTCAATCCTTCCTCTTAGGCGGTTTCCTTGTCAAATTAAAATCTGTTATGATACCATGCAAATAAATGTCTGTGACATTCCAACATTTCTGCTCTTTCTTAAAAATGCCTTTCAGAGGGTCACACTGGAAGGGCTATAGTCAAAATGCAGACATTTCAGATTTCTATTCTTTCTTGCCATTAGGGAGGGGCCTGCAGAAGTAGAGATGGGATACATTGCTAGCGAAGGGCAAAATTTTGCAAAGGAAAGTCAGTTAAAAACTGGGGGCAGTTACATTGTTTTCTGTCTTTCACAAGGCTGTCGTTCTACAAGATTGCTGTAATATACCCATCACTGTGGAGAATTATATAAAGGGCCAGTGGGAGAAAAAACCCTCCTGAGTAAAGCCACCCAAGAGCTTGCGTCCCGGTTGAAACGCTGTTTTTATTGTCATTGTTCTAATTTCCCTGGGTATCTTTCATTACCTAGTGGAGTTTGGGGGCTTCAGAAGTGGGTGTTTGGGTAGCCTGGGAGGTTTCGGTTTTCAGCAACCTCCCAGATAGATGGATTGCTGGGTCAGGAGGCCCGTTTGTCAGCTCTGAGCTGTGTTCATGGCACTGTTTATCATCAAAGGGACTAGGAGATGGGCTGGGGGCCGAGAATAGAGCTTTAAAGTCAACAATGCAGGTAGCAGGAGAGGGGAAGGGGATCAATTCACAAATGGGCTTAGACCAGAGGTTGCAAACAGGTTTTGCTCACCCAGTACAATTTTAAAAAAGAAAACATTGACAGGCACAGTGGCTCAGGCCTAGAATCTCAACACTTTGGGAGGCTGAGGCAGAGGATCGCCTGAGCCCAGGAATTTGAGAACAGCCTGGGCAACATGGCCTGACTCCATCTCCACAAACAAACAAACAAACAAAAAACAGATGCCAGCACTGAAATGCCAAGAGCATTTCCACAGGGCGAGAATCAGCTGGAGAGGAGAAAGGTCATCCTGTTTGGACACTCCTGTCTTCCTCCCAGTCCTCCTGGGACTTCATGCCTCATTATACCACTGGCCTGGAACTTGCTGGCATCCAAGTTGCCTCTGCAGCACCGAGAGACCAGTGGTGATGGGCTGCTCAGTTTTCTGAGGCTCCAAGGATGCTGTCCTCAATGTAAACTCATGGGACCCCCCCAAAAGCCCATGGAATGACCCCCAAAAATGCCTAGAACAGGTCCCAGTCTCATGTGAAAGTTTATAATCACATGAGGAAACAAACCCCAGCACACTGCGATGGTCCAATCTGGGTCTCTGCAGACTGGCTGGATCTCAGGCCCCATGGATAAATTGAGGGAGTACGTCATATTCTTCTCTAGGATCAGTTTGATCACAGAACACTTACAATCAATCTCTATATTTTCAAATTGAAAATATTCCTTAAAAAGTCTGGAACAGTTTAAACAACAACTTAAACCAGTAATAATAAAAGTTAGTACTTAACAACTGCATGTCATACATGAAGACATTTGAAAATACTGCTCCATCTAGTCCCAACATCTCTGGGAGGGAGGTCCACATCACAGATGAAGAAGACGAGGCACAGGGAAGGGATAAAAATGGCACTCAAACTCCAGGCCACCTGGCTTCAGTGCCCACACCCTTAATCACCCCACCAGTGTCTCCCCAAGCATGGAACTCGGAAACCAAGATGGTTTTCTGTGGTGCCTGGATACGACAGTGAACAATGCTGGATGCCAGACAAAGCTTTTCCCTTTCTCATGCCTTCTCAGTCTTTCAAGTCGAGGCTCATCTGCCTTTGCCTGCTAACCTTTGTTCACCATTTTTTTTTTTTTTTAAAACCTCTAGGCAGACTACAGTGGCTGACTAGACACTAACCTACTGTTTTGTATTCATCATGGTACTTTTGAAGTTATTTTTCTATTGATGGCAAATGATGCTCGTTTTCTTTACAAATGAGTTTACTTTAGGTAAAAAGTGAGAGAAAATTTAAAGAAAATATTAAATCAGTAGTGGTGGGCAGACAGCACAACTCACGACTGGAGAAAAGGAATGACTCAAAGTAACGACATTAAAATGCCACAGCACAGAAATGACTCTAGTGACTCCAGTGACCACATCCTGACAGTGGTCCCCGGTGACTCCAGTGACCACATCCTGACAGTGGTCCCCGGTGACTCCAGTGACTCCAGTGACCACATCCTGACAGTGGTCCCCAGTGACTCCAGTGACCACATCCTGACAGTGGTCCCCGGTGACTCCAGTGACCGCATCCTGACAGTGGTCCCCGGTGACTCCAGTGACCGCATCCTGACAGTGGTCCCCAGTGACTCCAGTGACCGCATCCTGACAGTGGTCCCCGGTGACTCCAGTGACCGCATCCTGACAGTGGTCCCCGGTGACTCCAGTGACCGCATCCTGACAGTGGTCCCCGGTGACTCCAGTGACCGCATCCTGACAGTGGTCCCCAGTGACTCCAGTGACCGCATCCTGACAGTGGTCCCCTAGTGACCGCATCCTGACAGTGGTCATCAGTGATTCCAGTGACCATATCCTGACAGTGGCCCCCTACTGACTGCATCCTGACGGTGGTCCCCCAGTAACTCCAGTGACTGCATCCTGACGGTGGTCTCCAGTGACCAAGTCCTGACGGTGGTCCCCAGCGACCGCGTCCTAATGGTAGTCCCCAGTGACTGCATCCTAATAGAGGTCTCCAGCACAGGATGCTTGAGATGATCCCCAAGTTACCCAAAGGAGTATTAGAACTCCACCTTAGTTTCTATTCATCATCTTTAATAAGTTCCTGATTTTTGTTTTGTATATTATAAAGAATCTATGTACACTACAAACAAACAAATGTATATTGCAGTAACCCACAATTCTTTTTAACAATTGGATATGTGATCAGAGAAGTTTCTCAAATCCAGGACTAGACTCTGTACTTTACATGGGACAGAATCCCAAGAGAACTGTCATGAACACTAGGTGCTGGAGTCCAGGGTCCCCTCCCTGCCCTCTCTTGCGATAGCCCCTGATTTCCACCAGAGACCCTATGCAGTTCTGGGCAAGCTGACTCCTCGCCCAGCTCCAGCGTGGAACACAGGATGTAGGTTAGGCCACTCAGGGAGTTCTCCCCACTCCCATCACTAGCGTGACTGGCCTTATGGGTTCTACCCTAGGTCCCCTGCTTAGGACGCAGGGACAAGCATTTGTTCTCAACCTGCAGGTAGGGAGAAGCCTGGCACTGTTGGAGCCATTTTTCCTCCAGTGAAGGGAACCAGGTAGGACTGTGTCACGCAGACACAGGACCGGGACCCCGACGACAGCCTGAACCTCCTCTGGAATCCCCCCTTACCTGGACTTCACCATCACGTGAACCACGACAGGTGCTTTGATGTTTGAGTCAGCCAGAATCGGGGCCCTAACTAACACAAATCCCAAAGCTCATCCACGCTGGGCCACCTCCCTGGCACAGCTGTGATATCCCCGGCTCTCTGTCTTCCCCACCCCACCAAGGAAGTCCCATCAGGACCTGTGCTCTTTGAGTGGGTGGTAGCATGTGTTTGTCCTCTGAGAACTAGATCTATGACTCTTACACCTGCCATCTGTTTGGGCCCAAGTTTCTTCTCCCCGGGGCCCTCATAAGACCTGGGTATCCACAGGCTGGTTGGAGGCCCACTTACACACTCACTCCAGCGTGCGCTTTCAGCCCAGCTCTCAGCGCCCTCTTTGAGCTCATCTGCTCACTGGAGCTCATCCCCTAATCTCTCAACCACCTGCACAGCTCCAAAAACAAAGCACTCCTCCCCCCGCTCTCTCAAAGGCTCTGCAACAATGTTCCACGGAAGAAAGAAATAGCTATGACAGATGACGTCATATGCCCTTGACACAGGTCACCTGTCCTCACTCCCAGGCCTGGCCTGGGAATCACTGTGATTCCAGAGGTGGAAGTGTGGGGGCTAAATTCTGAAAGGCTGAGATGTTTTTCTCTAGCTAGGTCGGACTGGGTTTGGGAAGTCATTCCTCCAGGACACAGTGAACCTACTCCAATGGAGTGTCCCTGTTCTGAGGGGGAGGGTGGCCGCTGGAGAAGACAAGGTGGCTTTGGTCCCTGCGTGGGGAACTAAGGGGGACTATGAGGTCTGAGCAGGAGTGGTAACTGTGGTGGGGTGAGACTGGGATGTGGTAGGAACAGAGCAGTGTGGCAGCTGACAGAAGGGACACTCTGGAAGTCATGGGGAAGCTGAGACCTGGAGGAGGCAGCGGAGGGAACCGGGATGGTGGTAAGGACCTCCTGGAGGAGGCTAGATGAGGAGGGTGAGGATTTTCTTCAACAGGTTGTGCTCAGGCCTTATCGCCTCAGTCCTGATTTGCTCTATGGACAGATAACGAAAAACAAACGTGTTGCTTTTTTCTGTTCTTGTTTATCAACATTTAAACACTGCCGCCATCCTTTTAAGCACCCAAATGTGGGACCTAAGGCAACCTCAGGTCCCAGATTTGCTTAAACTCCCAATTGCCTTTTCATCTAAAGAATTGGAACACGATTCTGATTAGATCACAACTCTTGAGTTTGGAAGGAAGAGTCAGTGTCATTTTGTCACAATGCATGGTGATGTTGTTCTCTTATCGGCCTCATTTATCTAAACTGAGTTCCCTGAAATTGGTCTATGCTGGAGTGATCTTAGTTTCCCCAGCACATGACACACTGCCTGGAACACAGTGGGCAATTCAGAACATTCTAGAAGGGATGAGTGAGGGATCACTCACATCCATACACAAACACACACATGGTTAATCTTAAGTATTCTCCAGTGAGGTCACCAAAAAAGCACCAGTAACGTGTCACGGTTCCCAGCCTCTGACCTCTGCTTCCCACAGCTTGGGGCTGATGATGGTGGCTGAGCGCTTCCTGTCTTCACATTCATTCAGGACAAAAATAAATACCTGCTACGCACCAGCCCCCATGCTGGGCACAGGCATTGCGGCAGGAAGACAGGCATGGTTCTGGCTCTCGGTGACTCTCCTGCAGTTCCTTCCAAGCCCCTTCCAATGGCAGGGCTGGTGCACAGGCTGTGCCCTCTCTGCCTGCTATGCTCCTGCCCAAGTCTCCAGCTGCCTGGCCCCTTCTCATCCTGGAAGGACACCTGCACAGAGGGAGACCTCCCCCTGGGAAGTCAGGGTCGGCCCTTTACTCTGTCTCTCAAGCGTACTATGTCTTAGCACAGTAGTGATTACTTTGTTCATCTCTCTCCTTAGGACCCATCTGTGTCTGCCCCACTGGAAGGTGACTGCAGAGAGGTGGCAGCTCCCCAGGAGCAGGGAGACCAGTGACGAGATGCAGCCACGTCCAGCCAGGAGCTGTCAGGCAAGGCTTCCTGGAACCCGCATTTCCACAACCTACTCGGGTTTCTTCCCATGTGGGAGGCTGAAGAAACCTGCCACCAAGGAACTAATTATGGCTGAGCCCGAGCAGTTCTTGCCTTCCAGGAAATTTCCAAGAGAAAGGGTGTGCATCCCTCCCCCTTCCTGCTTTGAAGTCTCCATAGTTAACAAAGCTGCAGTGATACTGACCACCTGGGGCTGTGGTGTGGATCTGGGCTGAGCTGCTCTGGGCACACAGAGCCCAGAGCACACTACAGAGAGCTATGGCCGAGACAATCTTCTCTCCTCCTGGCGGGTCAGTTTCCTGGTCTGTGAAACCAGCCCTCCTCATCACTACCTCACTCCTTGCCAGGATGATTTAACACAACATCACAGATCAACAGTCTGGCTCACCGCCAACAGGTACTCAACAAATGGCAGCTGGAAACACTGTATTTTTATATGAGTGTCTCTGAAGAGGTGGGATAGGAGTCCTAATTTTTTCTTAAGACAGGGTCTCGCTCTGTCACCCAGGCTGGGGTGATCATAGCTCATTATAGCCTCAGTATCCTGGACTCATGCAATCCTCTCACCTCAGCCTCCCCAGTAGCTGGAACTACAGGTATGCACCATCATGCCCAACTAACTTTTTACTTTTGTAGAGACGGTCTATGTTGCTTGGGCTGGTCTCGAACTCCTGGCCGCAAATGATCCTCCCACAGTGCTGGGATTGTGGCAGGCCAGTTCTCACTAACACAGGCCTCTATAACAATTGTGTCAGCACTGACTGAGTGGTTAAGTTAAATATTAAAAGCTGAGAGAGCTACTGCCCTTATACAAGGGCTGGAATGTAACAAAAGCCCACCCCTAGTTGTGCCCAGGCCTTTCCTGGGCCTTGAAGCATGACAAGATAACGAAGGATTAAACAAGTTTTACTGGGGATGTGAAGAAACTCCCCAGGCCTCCACAAACAAGTTTACTGGGGGTCTGAAGGGACTCCCCAAACCTCCATGATTTAGCAGGAGACAAGATAAGGGTAATCACGCCCACACCTGGACCCATTTAGATTAAGTAAATTTACTGAAGCTCTAGAGGAAGGTCTTCAGGACTCAGACCTTAGTCATAGACTAGAAGAAGCTGATCACTTAGGTCTCTAGAGGAATGCACACTTACACGTGGACACGTAGCTTAGAAGGTATGTAAGCTCCGGGAAACTTTGTAATTTTGAGTTGGTCTGCAGATAATTTCTAAGCCTTCTCCCTGTACCTCGTTACAGAAAAAAAAAAAATTCTTCTCTTCCCAGTTCATCTGCATCTTGTTATTGGGCCATAAGAACAAGCAGCGCAACCCTCGGTTTGGTCCAGGAACAGGATTACAGGCATAAGCCACCGCGTCCAGCCAGGAGCCCTAAATTTTTAAACAGCCCTGACTACTGTCCTGGTTCTACCTGTGAGTTGCTCACTCTTCCCCACCAACAGAGGATGGGAATGAAGCTGCCGGGTTCTGCCCTCCCAAGTCATGCCTCCCTCCATGCTGAGTTTGTATCCAAGTCACGTTCCCGACTCTGACCGGAGGCAGAAAGCCAACACTCTCTACCTGCTGGTTCCCATCCGGCAAACGATGCATCAGCAAGAAGGCAAAATACCCAGAGAAAATTTTGAGTCACGATGCCAAAGGGGCCTCTGGGCAGAAAAACCAGCCTGATCAAGGCCGCTGCTGCTTACGGTTCAACAAAGGCCTGCTGGCTGTAAAATCTAGCAAGAACATGCAGGCTCCCAGGTGTGCATGAGCTCGGAGCAAGATGTGAATTTCAATCCTGGCTCTGCCGCCCTCTCTGGAAGAAGCTCACTCTCTTGCAGCCGTGGGGGCTCACATGTGAAATGGGCCAAGGATGTCTCAGTCACAGCACCGCTGACAGCGAAGAACACCAAGAGCCAGCGTGGGGCCGAACACAAGGTCAGTCCTCCATCGGTGGCGTGATGACAACCACCGCCTCAGCCAAGGCTGTTATTACCACTCCCATCCAAACTAAGCGTGTTTCCCCCAGGCCGGTAGAAATGGCAGGTGCTGATACCTTTCAGCTCTCAGTCGGGTCCTGGGCTGAATGCTTTACTTGCATTATCTCATTTCGACCCCCCACCCCGGCACGGGGAGTCATTAGCATCACCATTTTGCAGATGAAGAGACTGAGGCTTGGAGAGGTTAGGGAACATATCCAGGGTCACCCAGTTAACAATGTTCATTTAATTCATTTTACACTCATTTCACAGCTTGTGTCTGCTGGCCACTAGGCACAAGACGGTGCATAAGACACACTTAGTCCCTGTGAAGCTGATGTCAGGTGTTAATTAAATGCACAATGAATTGCTCACAGGGTGAGGAAGTGAGAGTGTTAGGTGGCAGCACACAGAAATCTAAGCCATGTTATTTGTTCTTTATGGCTTTACAAGCAGCACGTTCCCATCCTTGAGGCCACTGTGGCTCTAAAGGCACAGGAAGGGCCACCAGGTTCTCAAGTCACCCTAGGATGTGGGGCCCAGCTGCCCAAACTCCCAGCATCTCTCAATGAGTCATTAAGCCCCATTGTAAGGACAGCTTATTTGTGAGGGCTTCACGGAAGAGCCAAGACAGAGAAGGACACACAGAAGCCAGGGGGAAGACGAGGGGAGCCACCTGTTCAGACTGAGTCCTGCGCATCTGGGGCCTGCGAAGGTCCCTGCACCCAAGTGTGTCTCTGGAGGGAGTGACAGCCAGCAGCCAAGCCTTCACAGGCCCATGCATGGGCACTGGAGCAGCTGCCCCATGGATTGTTAACCTAAAGACAGTCCGCCACTCCCTTCTCCAAGGTCCTGGGTGCCTGTACAATAGGAAAGTGGAAAGAGAAAACTTCTGGGAGAAACACTGTAACCGAATTTCCTCTCACCTGGGCAGGTAGGAGGCAAACTGGAAAAGAACAATTCAAGTTACATTCCATTTAATAAAGGAATCACTGAATGTGAGGTTTCTAGCCCTCTGTGATGGGCTCCTGCCCTAGCCACCACTGTATGATCAATTTTGAATCCAATAACCAGAATGAGACTGAAAACCTGTCTCTCTACTCAATCCCCTCCATACCTTCCCAAAGGCCTCAGAAGATTTCACTTTCCACCACCTTCAAGGATCACTGTGCAGCAACCTGGAGCTCATGGTTCCATCCCTGGGAGGGCTGCAGAAAGAGCCAGGAGGGAAGAGGATGCAGAGAAGCCAGGGGCAGGAAGGAGGGATGGGAGAGAAGGAAGTGTGCCTGCCCTAACCAAGCCCAGTGAGCGGGACCTTAAGATGTGGAACGGGGCAGGGGGAGCATAACAAAGACCTTGGGGGGCACAGAAGGAGTGGGAGGGAGGCCCCTGAGGTGAGAGAGAGCAAGATCCCGATTTGGGTAAGAAGAGGACTTTTTTTGTTGTTTTTTGAAATGGAGTTTCGCTCTGTCTCCCAGGTTGGAGTGCAGTGGCACAATCTCGGCTCACTGCAACCTCCGCCTCCTGGATTCAAGCAATTCTCTTGCCTCAGCCTCCAGAGTAGCAGGGATTACAGGTGCCTGCCACCACGCCCAGCTAATTTTTGTATTTTTAATAGAGACGGGGTTTCCCCATGTTGGCCAGGATGATCTCAATCTCTTGACCTCGTGATCCACCCACCTCGGCCTTGTGATCCACCCACCCTGGCCTCCCAGAAGAGGCCTTTTGAATCTGATGCTAGTTTAGACAAGTCAGCCCTGTCCCTGTGGAACCTATCCCAAATTCTTCCCGCCCCACTGGCTACAGCCAGTCCCTCCAATCTGCCAAGCTCTCCTGCTTCTGGCCTTCACCTTTGCTGTCTCTCTGCCTGGGATGCTCCCCTCCTAGATCTTTGTACTTCAAGCAACATCTCCCTTCCCCAGCCAGCATTCACCCAATCACATCACCCCGTGCCTTCTTCGGAGCACTCAGCTGTATCTGAGAACAGCCTGGCTACGCAGTTGTGTATCTGTTGAGTGTCTATCTCACTCACTAGAAAGGATCTTCCATGGGAGCAGAGGCCTGATGCAGTTCACCCCATTACATCTCCAGCCCCTGACCCAGAAGAGATGCCTCCTGATTTAATAACAATATTGACAGTCCTATAGAGCAGGGGTGACAAACTCTCTACCATGAGTCAAATCCAGCCCATCATCCATTTTTGTAAATAAGTTTTATTGGAACTGTATTAGTCTGTTAGGGCTGTGGTAACAAAATACCACAGACGGTTGTTCAAACAACAGAAATCTACTTCCCACAGTTGTAGAGGGGCAAAGTCCAAGATCAAGGTGCCAGCAGGGTTGGTTTCTCCTGAGGCCACTCCACGGCTTGCAGATGACCATCTTTTTTGTGGTGTCTTTACACTGTCTCATCTCTGCACGCACACAGGCCCCACCCTAATGACGTTTTATCTTAATTACCTCCTTAATGGCCCTATCTCCATATACATTCACACTGGGGGTTAGGGATTCAATATGTAAATGATGGGGGCAACACAATTCCATCCACATAACAAATGAGCATTGCTGTGTTCTGTTTACATAGCATCTCTGGCTGCTTTCCTGGAATGACAGCCAAGTTGAGGGCTGGAAGCAGAGGCGTTAGATCCACAAGGTGTAAAGAATTTACTCTCTGGCCACCCTTTATGGAAGAAAAATACTCATCCCTGGTCCGGAGCAAGGCCCCTACTGTTTGACATATCACAACAACAATAATTTTCTGCATCACTCTCAACTGGGAGGCCCCACTGAAGCCCGGTCCAATGCACCTGGCCACTCTTCTTCTGCTTCACAGTCACCAGGGGTTCTATCATTCCCCTGAGACAAAAGGAGACAGTGAGGCCTCCCATGATTCCAGAGGATGAAACCAGAGATTAAAAGGTACAAGCCCATGAAGTCATAATTAAGATATGTGCAGAAAATTAGGGAACAGAATTGCCTGTCAAATGCCAGCCCTAGAGCAATTTTGTGGAACTTGTGGTTTGCTAATACCACATCCATTAATAATTCAGAAACCACTCAAGGATTATTGAGAAGACGAGAATTTGGTGCCACAGGCCTCCCGGTAGGAGACAGAATAACATCGTGTGTGTCATGTTTTAGCCACCAAAATCTATCAAGGGCAAGGACATGATGGCTTTTATTCTTCCTGCTGCTTCTTTCTGCTCAACCACAGTTTCAATCAGAACCAATTCAAGTGAACACTGCAACTGCTGACTATCCCCCAACATTCTTTTTGATTTAGTGTTATAAAATCCACCAAGCTGTAGAATCAAAGAACCTCAGTTGCAAAAGCTCACAGGAAAGAAGATGCTGAAGAAACAGCTTTAAGTTTTTAAAATAAAGACTTAAGTGGTATATCTTGCATATCAGGATCCATTCCAGCCTATTCATAAACACTAACTCATTTAGTCCTCACAACAAACCACTATTAAGACCTTCATGTTACAGATGAGTAAAATGAGACAGAGAAAGGCTAGGGAACTCGGCTGAGGCCACACGGCTAGGAAGTCACGGAGCCAAGAGTCCAGCCTGAGCTGTCTGGCTCCAGAGTCCACTCGCAACCACCACTCTGTGCTGCTTCTCTTTCAGGTATAAACTATGTGCATATGTTACATCTGCAGACCATTCATCCAACAGGTACTTCTACAATTAACAAGCTGGGTACAGTGGCTCATGCCTGTAATGCCAGTACTTTGGGAGGCCAAGGCAGGAGAATCGTTTGAGACCAGGAGTTTGGGACCAGCCTGGGCAACACAGAAAGACCCCAGCTGTACAAAGGTTAAAAAAAATAAAAAAATAGCCAGGCCTGCTGGTGGCATGCACCTGTGACCTCCCAGCTACTCAGGAGGCTGAGGTGGGAGGATCACCTGAGCCCAACAGTTGGAGGCTGCAGTGAGCTGTGAGTGCACGACTATGCTCCAGGCTGAGCAAGAGAGTGAGACCTTGACTCTATAAATAATTAAAAATAAACATAAGCAAAAGAATGATTAGCTTAGAAACCAAAGAACTGGACTTGAGTCCTAGGCCCTCCACTTAACAGCCAGATGGTTGTTTTTGAGCCTCAGTCTCATTTGCTGTAAAGCAAGGATCATAAATACCCTCTATGTTATAGGAAGCCATTGTCATAGGATTCAACTGGATTGGCTCTAATTTACTGATCATCTGTCACATACAGAATCACTGACTCAACTGATACCAATGGGGCAATTAAGACTCCATACCCGGCATGGGGTGAGGTGTGGGGGATGCAACAATGAGCAGAACTGAGACTTCCCTGCCCTCATGGGGCCCTGAGTCAGCTGCTATAACACACATGAAACAAACGCTCACAAGAAGAACCACCGAATTCAGAGCTGGGACGATGCTGCAAGGGATAGATGGAATTCCACAAGAGGGCTGACGGAGGCTGCCCCAGTTCATACTGGCAGGTCATGGAAGGGCACTTCTCATCTGGCAGGAACTTATCAAGCCATGGTGGCAGGGACTTTCCCGGAAGAGAGAAGGGCAGGTATAAAGGCCCTGGGGTGATCCTGTAGTTAGGCAACCCCATTTTACCCCTTCTACAACTCAGGGTGTAGGCATAATTATCCTTACTTCACAGACACATCAACCAAGCTTCTCAGAGGTTTAAAAAAACCCAGGCCAGGCGCAGTGGCTCACGCCTGTAATCCCAGCACTTCGGGAGGCCGAGGCAGGTGGATCATCTAAGGTTGGGAGTTCAAGACCAGCCTGGCCAACATGGTGAAACCCCGTCTCTACTAAAAATACAAAAATTAGCCGGGCATGGTGGTGGGCGCCTATAGTCCCAGCTACTCAGGAGGCTGAGGCAGGAGAATCACTTGACCCCAGGAGGCGGAGGTTGTAGTAAGCCGAGATCGCCCCACTCACTCCACCCTGGGTGACAGAGTGATACTCCGTCTAAAAAAAAAAAACAGAAAACAAAAAGTCTCCCCAGGGTCCGAAGCTCCTTTATGACAATGCTAGACCTGAAAAGCCAGATCCCCCTGACTCGGAAGGCCATCCCACCTCTGGCAAGCCACACAGCCTTCTGTGAAAGGGCTTTTAAAGCAGTCTCAGGATGAGGTAGAACTGGTTGTTTTAGAATGGTCACAGGAATGTCTGAGTGTGAACTCAGTAAAACATCCTCTATCTCCATTGCCTAACAGTAAATAATACATCACGAATATCAGTTTCTCCCTTACCATGGAAGTTATTTGGCCTATAAATTGTTTAAGCAATAGGACCACTTGGAAGCTCTTCCCCCTCTGTCCCAAAGCCAAGCAGAAACATCTGACACTCAGCAAAGAAGGTTCTTGAGGAGGGGGAGATGAAGTACGAGATCTTAAGCTCCCAAGAAATGCGAGACCCCCTGGCCTCCCCTGCCCTCACGCCTCACCTCTGCTTCTGGCTCGTGGAGCTTATTTCCGGGTAAAACCTGCCTCAATGGGACACTTCATTTTCATCTACATTTACAAGGAAAGCTCTTCCTGCAGACGAACAGGGTTTTCTCAAAAACAGACCCTCACTCTCACCAATGGCCCAGAGTTAAGGTAAAGTCTCTACAGTGCAGTTGCCAGTTTTTCAACTCAACCTCTGCTAAGTGTCTATTATACCCAGGCTCTGGCTGAGCGCTGGAAATTCAGAGAGGAGCAAGCCCTGACTAAACGACAGCGCAGCAAGTGCTGTGCTAGATGGAAGTGCAGGGGGCTGGGATGGGGACATTCATTCATTCATCAAATACAGATCAAGCACTGCAGCTGCTAAATAGCCCCCAATATCCTTTTTGCCTTTGAGTTAAAAAACCCACCAAGTTGTAGCTGGACACAAGGCTGCAAGATAAAGACTACATTTCCCAGCTTCCCTTGCAGCTCAGAGCAGCCACCTGAGTAGCTAAACTCTGCCCAGCAGGATGTGGAAATTAGTGATGTGAGCAACTTCTGGATCACACACCCTTCCCACAGGCCAGTGGAGTAACAAAGCAGAAGAAACCTGGGCCCCGGTTCCTCATGGAAAAGAGCTGCCTACCCACCCCACACCTACCACTTCATACTTTTATGCAAAGATAGAGATAACTCTATCTTATTTAACCCAATGATAAGCTATGTTAAGTTAAACCAACACTCTCACTAAAACAAGCCCCAGTTTTAGGCTGCCATCCTGCTCCAGGTGCCATAGATACAGCAGAGATGTACAGAGATGGCCAAGCTCTCTGCCTCCAGCAGCTCACACTGGAATTGGCGACAGACAACATACAAAGAAACAAGTAACAGACTGTGTTTTTCCGAAGGAAATAAGCCGGGTGAAGGGTTGGAGATGAATCTAGGCATGGCCAGCCACGCCATCTCAAGGAAGGGAGGGCTCAGACCTAAAGGCGGACGGGCCATCGGCCTTGGGAAGAGCATTTCAGGCAGAGGGAGCTGCAAGCTCAACCGCCCTGCATCTCCTGGAGGAAATGGGAGGCGGCCAGCATGGTGCAGTCCAGCCAGCAGAGGAAGCCAGGAGCCAGGAAAGGAGGACGGAGGAGGGTGTGAGCCCTGCCTGGGAGGTCCCTATGGGCTGCCCAGAGAAACTAACACCTGGACAGGGGTGCAAATAATGTCATGGGGTGAGAGGCTGTGTTTGGAGCAAGGGCTTCAATTCCTGTCCCCTTTGTAATGGAACCTGGTAGGAAAGATCTCTACTCAATCCAGCAAGCTCTGGGAGAGAGGCACTGAAAGGTTAGAAAGAAGTTTCTTTACCTAGGGTAGGGGGCGGGGGGTTCAGAAAAAAACTCCCTGAAGTTCCCAACAGGGTTTCAAATGAAGAGCTTAATTTTTTAGCAATGCAGCTCTGCCCTATCGAGTTGATTAGGAAGGACCAGCCCTCACTTATAACTTTCTTTTTACAAGAAACCTTATTCACTGTCTTTTTATTATAATTTATAACTAAGTTATGGTCCTCCCAGGAAAGCCCCATCTCATCACTTACCTCCTTCCCTTCTCCCACAGCTGTTATTTAGGAAAGAACAAACCTCCCCTGTGGGGGATGTGCTACTTCTTCGTTATTTTGCCCTGAATTGATGGATTTTGAGACGTTTTTTCCTGCAGCAGGGCACTGCTCCTATGTGCCAGGATGCCCTGGGCAGTTCCCACCTTGCCTTTATTTTTTTTTTAAGCTTCACTGAGGTTTAACCAGCAGACAGCAGAGTGCACATATTTAAAGAATACCTTCTGACAAGTTTTGACATATGTTTACGTTTGTGAAACCCCCATCACAAGACACAGAACATGTCCACCACCCCCAAAGGTTCCTTCAGACTCCTGGTAATGCCACCCTCCCATCCCGTCGCCAGACGCCAGTGATCTGCTTTCTGTCCCTATAGATTAGTTTGCATTTTCCAGAGTTTTCTATAAATGGAATCATACAGCATATGCTCCTTATGGTCTTTTTTTTTTTTCACTTGGCACACAGTTATTTTGAGATTCATCCATGCTGTTACGCGTGCCAATGGTTCATTCCTCCTTGACACAACTTGTGTATCTTTTCACTGCCAATGGCCATTTGGCCTTTTCTAGTTGGCTAACACAAAGTTGCTCTGAACATTTGTGCACAAGTCCTTGTGTGAACGTGTATTTCCTTTTCTCTAGGATAAAAACCTAGGAGGGGAATGAGAACCTTGCCTTTGAAGCTGGAGTATTATCTCATTGTTACATCCTTTTTTCAGGGTCAAGTAGCATTTCGGTGAGTCTCTCCTAATGCAATGCATGTATGATCTCTGACATGAGAGAACTTTAGCTGGTGCAGCGGTAAACACCATATGTCAACTATGCAGTGTGTATGTGCATGCATGTGTGCGTGCACGTGTATGTGTGCATGTGTGTGCATGTGTGCACATGTGTATGTATGTGCGTGCATGCGTGTGTGTACATATGTGTGCACACATCCATGTGTGCAAGCGTGCGTGCACACGTCTGTGTTTATCTTGGTGATCCTGCTTCTGATTGAACTCTGCTGCATATTTAGCTCAAGAAGTATCAAGACAAAATACAAACTCGCACCAAGCTGGAACTTCAGCTGCAGAGTTGAGGGGATACACACAGACTTCAGACCAAGGGTAGGGGATGGTCAAAGGCACTGCATGACACCTACGCAGGTGCCTTCAACTCCACTGCCCTTTCTAAAGGAAACCCTTCCAATTCCTCCAAACCACTCAATACCTGCAGCCAGATACTAACTGGCGGGAGCGATTTAAGAGTGTTGAACACATTCACTTCAAGTAACGAGTGAGAACCCACCTCCCTCTGAGAATCACTGTGGGCACCCATTCCTTCACCACATGCTCAGAAAAGACCTACTATGTGACGACAGGTGCCACATTGGGCTCTGGGACACCATGGTGAACAAGTCAGTCTCTGCCGTCAAAGAGTGGACAAGCTAATGGAGAAGCCAGACAGGACACAAATAAATGTCTCTGCTGGGTGCTACCAAGAAAAATGAGACAGAGGGGCCAAGAGAGCAACAGATGGGAGGGGACAGGTTACTTGTGGGGGGATCAGGGAAGAAGGGCTTCCAGAGGGATAAATAACTGAGCAGAGACCATGCACTGCCTTCAGCAGTGAGCCCTCGCAGGTTTTAGGCTACTGTTGCATTGGGAGGCTAGATAGGTAGCCCCTATCTGTGCATCTCCCCAACTTGAGCACCAAAAAGGCAAAATGAGGGATGGGCTAACACAGCGTTCTGTCCACACCAAAGGCTGTTTGTCCTGAACCCAACTCAAACAGACCCTGATTGCAGAGGAAGCCCACCTCTTCTCTCCCATCTCTTGCTGTATATAGAAATCACAGCAGGGTTGCAGAACCCCCAAATAACTCCGAAACACACTTGGTGGGTAATCTGAGAGCAGGTTCTGTCAATGCTAATGGCCCAAAGAGAGACAACCTTTCCATTGCCTCTCTCAAAGTGAGGTTTCCTTTGTAACAGTCTCTGCCATAACCATTTATGTTTGTCCCATTAGCCCCAGCTGGTTGTGACCTGCATTTCCCCGACTCATTCTCTCCTTCCTACATGCAACAGGCTTAAGAGTCTTCTAGCACTTTTCGATATAACGGACAGCTTACATAATCACACTTGCAGCCACCGGGACTTGCAGGCAGGCGTTCTTGTTTCTTTTGCTCATTAGATAAATAAATCCTTACATGTTGTCAAGACTCTCCAGCTGAGAAACTGATGGACTCGTGTTTAATTTGTACCCATCTAGAAATACCATTTATGTGTAAATAGCAGTAGAAAATATTACACAGGCATTGCAAGAGTCTGCCTTATACCTTAGAAGTCGAGGATTTTTTCTGTCTTGTTTCCTGTTTATCCCTGGCACTCGAAGCCGTGACTAGCACACGGAAGGCACTCCGGAGGAGTGCACAACAAGTTGACAAACATGAAGGAGGGATGACGATGGCACCCACCTGGCATGAGTGACCTGAGGATTAATGACAGTATCTGCAGAGGGCCCCAGAAGTGCCAGGCTACAGCAACAATCCAGGATGTGGCCGCTACTAAGAGGTTGATCCCTGCAGAAGGGATAACATGCCACCCAAAGCCTGGATGAAATCCGTAAATACCCCACACCCCATGAGGGAAACGTTCACATTACTGGACAATCAGAATGATACACAGTAGAGGCTGTGGGACCCAGAAGCCACCATGAGCAGGTGATTCTGTGGAATGCCACCTGGTGGGGACAGATGAGCAGTAGGCATAAATGTGCCTGCCTGCCGGGTGTCAGCACCACCAGCGAGGTGCCATCTCTGCTGTTGGTTGGGGAAAAACCCTCAGAGCAGAGACCATGCATCACCTTCAGCAGTGAGCCCTCGCAGGCTGTAGGCTACTGTTACACTGGGAGGCCAGAGCTGAGGTAGACCCTGTCTGTGCATCTCTCCCATATGAGCACCATGAAGGCAGAATGAGGGATGGGTTCAGTGGCTAACACAGCACTCTGTCTACACCAAACGTTGTTTGTCCTGAAGACAACTCAAACAGACCCTGATTGCAGAGGAAGCCCACCTCTTCTCTCCCATCTCTTGGTGGGCCAGGAGTTCAGAAGGTCAGGGTCATTGGGGAAGTGAACGTCACCATGAGAGGATCTCAGGGTAGCAGGACTTTGCTGACCGATGGAGGTGTGTTTTGCCATTGATGGCTACATTGGTGCCTACCAGCCAAGGCCGAGCCTAGCAAAGGCATCTAGGCCTTGACCACTGTGCAGACAGGCAGGCCCTCAAGACAGATTCTCCACGCCATTCCAGGCTTCGGCAAATCCAAGACCATTCATGACCCTGTGTAGCCTCTACATTCTACTGCTGACAACTTCTCCCCTCTTCTTGGCCTAGGCATTAAGCAGGCAAATGTTTGACACCTATTAAGCTTCCCAACTCTGTCCAGACACAGAATAAAGTGGGGACAAAATTGTACCCAGACCAGCCCTGCATGAAAGCATCCATACCCCATTCAACATTCACAAATGTGAGAATTCCACACGCCTGGCACTGTCCTCATGATGTTAGTGACATCACCTCATTTAATGACAGGAATTGCATTTCTCATTTTATACTGGAGGATACAGTTCTCTCTGTGGCCTTAACAACCGCACTCACCATCTATCCCACAACCTCCCTCGGCCAGGCACCTGCATGTAAAACCATTCATCCTCGTGATCATATGCAGATGGCATCACCATGCCATGTGAGCGAGGAAAAAATGTAGACCAAGAGTGGTTAAGAGTACACAGAATTTCAACTCAACTCTTTCTATATCAAAGCCATTCCAGTTGACAGAGCACTATTCTGAAATCCATTGCTAAAATAAAATAGCCTGTTCACAAACTGTTTAAGAAGAAGGAAACAGAGGTTCAGAGGAGAGGGGCCCAATTCAGGGAACTCCCCTCCCTTGTAAGGCCCATACTAAGCATCTACTCCGGGTCCCTCCAAAGGATGACTCTACTTCCCTCACACCCTTTCCCTGCACAAGGGGGTGCAGGCAGCCCTGAAGCTTGTGTTCCTGCGATCACCGAAGCCCTCTCTTATGGCAAACCCTTGAAGAACAGTCACTCTACCCACCTCCCCAAAAGACAAAGCTTCTGCCCAAACTAGGGGCTGGCCACCAGGGAGTTACACAGGACAGCTCGGCTGACAAGGTTGTCCTTTGCTATCGGATCCCTAGTAACTTTTCTGAAGAATTTCTAAAGTGCTGGGGAAGCAATATTGAATATTATCCCCAAAGACCATGCCGCTGCAGCAGGAGTGCTGCCATCAGCAGGGGCCTAACTCAGTGTAATCATCATTAAACTTGAAAGTTGCCTTCAATTTCCGCTGGAGGGAATGTAGTTACAAAGACAGCGAAACACGTATTCAAAGGCATTTACACGCTCAGCCCTGGCCAGGAAAGGACAAAGATTTCAAAGGCTCTGTAATACGCTAATTCTCCAGCCAAAGATTCTATTTCAACAAACTACAAAATGAATTAAATGTCTGTTTAATTCATTTTAAACAGACCTCGTTTTATACTGGAGGACATTGTTCTCTCTGTGGCCTTAACAACCTGACTCACCGTCTATCCCATACCCTCCCTCGGCCAGGCACCTGCATGTAAAACCATTCATCCTCATGACCATATGCAGTTGGCATCACCATGCCGTGTGAGTGAGGAGAAAATGTAGACCCACAGTGGTTAAGAGTACACAGAATTTCGATGCAACTCTTTCTATATCAAAGCCATTCCAGTTGACAGAGCACTATTCTGAAATCCATTGCTAAAATAAAATAGTCTGTTCACAAACTGTTTAAGAAGAGGGAAATGGAGGTTCAGAGGAGAGGGCCCCTCATATGATCATGAGGATGAATGGTTTTACATGCAGGTGCCTGGCTGAGGGAGGGTGTGAGACAGATGGTGAGTCAGGTTGTTAAGGCCACAGAGAGAACCGTGTCCTCCAGTATAAAACGAGGACTATTTAAAATGAATTAAACAGACATTCAATTCATTTTGCAGTTTGTTGAAATAGAATCTTTGGCTGGAGAATTGGCATATTACAGAGCCTTTTAAATCCGAACAGGTTACAGCTCGTCGGTACTCCACCCTGATGTACAGAAAAGGACAAGGGCTTTGACCAAATTCTAAGTGGAAACACAGTCTTTCTGTATTCAAAGCCCAGAGAATTATAATTAAAAATTGTAATTAGGAATGGCACCATTCAGAAGTTTTCGGAGTCTGGATACACAACACCCAGGCATCTAGGTGCAAAATTTAAGGAGGTGGCAAAAAGCTCAGTAATCATGATAAATAATATTTCCATGCAATGTTTTGAAATATCAAAATTAATGCCAAAAAAATAAATCTATGGAGAACAAAATAGCAAAATTTTAAATCAGGCATGAGGACAGGCTCAGGACCACTGATTTTTCCTCTGGCCTATGGCTCCACACTCCTGCTCCTTCTGAAGATGGTCAAGTGTGCCCAGAGAAGTGAAGGGACCTGCCAGTGTCACAGTCACTGGCAGCTAAAATGCCTAGGGCTTGACGCCCTCGGCGCTGTGCCCTTTGGTCCCTGTCACCTTGGGCAGGGATTACTGCCTTAGCCTTGCCCTGCTCCAGTCCTGATACCACTCCGTGGCCGGGGGGGATCTTCGCAACACCTGAGTCTAACCTCGTCACACCTCTGCCAAGACTTGTCAGGTGGCCTCTCCTTTCTCACACTCATCAGCTATGAAAACATGTATGAACTGCTCATATGAGGGGCTCAAAAGACCTATATATACACAGACTGCATGCACAGACTCGAAATTCTAGTTCCCACAGATTTCAAATCATTAGAAAGCCGAAATAACCAGATTTTTATAGTGTCACACTATGATAATTGATGTTCCTAATTACAGCCTTGAGGCACAGCACGCTCTTTAACTGCCTTCTAAATTATCGAAGATCAAATTATGTTCAGTTGCATTTTAGCATTAAGTGTATTTTAATTATATTCTCATTCTTGGAAAATTAGTAACATGCACAGCTGAAATAGATGATCAAGGCAGCTTTGTGAATAAAACATTCTGAATAAAGCTCAGCTTTCCAGAATGTTCTCGTAAAATCATATTCTGCCATCATGCTAGGTAAATGAGAGTTTATAGTTCATATCCTCTCTTTTTAAAAAAATATGGCCACTTATATAAACAAGTGAATTATGGAGTAATATTCTTAAGTGAGGAAATAAAATAGGAGGAGAAGCAAGAAAATAAGTGAAGCTGGCCAGGTGTGGTGGCTCACACCTGTAATCCCAACACTTTGGGAGGCCAAGGCAGGTGGATCACTTGAGGTCAGGCGTTCAAGACCAGCCTGGCCAACATGGTGAAACCCCATCTCTATTCAAAGACATTTACATGCTCAGCCCTGGCCAGAAAAGGACAAAGATTTCAAAGCCTCTGTAATATGCTAATTCTCCAGCCAAAGATTCTATTTCAACAAACTGCAAAATGAATTAAATGTCTGTTTTAAATCTGAACAGCAGACATGGTGGCGTGCACCTGTAGTCCCAACTACTCAGGAGGCTAAGGCAGGAGAATCGCTTGAACCTGGGAGGCAGAGGCTGCAGTGAGCCAAGATCTCGCCATTGCGCTCCAGCCTGGGAGTGCAACAACAACAAAAAAGCCAACAGTAAGTTCCGAACCAAAAACCACATGCCACAAGGTCTCCACTTTTGCTAAAGATGAGCTCACATTTCTGTCAAGCTTCTTAGAAGTCAAGGCAAAAAAAAAAAACAAAAAACAGTGATAGGATTCACAGCCTCCAAAAGATCTGACCACTTGGTCAAGGGACTCATTCCTGCTACTTAGGCCTGGGAAAAATTTCTCTCAGGTAGAAATCATTCTTATTACACACGATATGCATAGGCAACAACTGCCTTACCAATGTGTTAACAGAAAACACTATGACCATTTTCAACAGGCTGTATCCCCTAACATCCCAGGGCCAGACATCCAAACCTCAAACGCCACTGAAAATGGGCAAGACAGGCTCAGCTGGGGGAATAGGAGGGAGAGTACAGCTAAGTACTGTGATAAACCAGAAGGTGCACGTCATTCTCAAGGACTCAGCTGTGACTCCGCCCAGTGAACCGCTGCTATGTGGAAATCATCAGCCCAATGCTTCCAGAACATCTAATTTTTTAAATTACAAAACACTTCAAGCATGCAAGAGAATAACTAATGCATATCTACATATAGGAAATGAGGAACCATAACAAGACATATACCTGTGTACCACCTTAAGGTACAGAACCTCTGGAACTTTTGAGAACCTCTCTCCAATGCTGGCCCTCTCCCATGATCACAACCCTAATTTTTATGGTTACCATGCCCTTGCCTTTCCGTATAGCTTCCCACAAGTGTGAATTCTTAACCTACCTCCTGTTCCATTCTACACTTTTCTCATATTCTTACGAATGTGTTTGGCTGTAACTCGCTTTCTTCGAGCCACACAATTTTCATTAGATCCATCCAAACTGATGTGCACAGCTGAGGTTCATCCATTTTCCTTGCTGTGTTGATTTCTATGCTGTAACACACTTTTTAAAAATCGACTCTCTTATCGATGGATATCTAAGTTGTGTGGAATGTTTTGCCATCGTGAGCGATGCTGTGAACATGGCTGTGTTTCTCCTGGTGTTCGTGGGCAAGTGTTTCACTAGGGTGGGGCTAAAATTCATCTATGTTTTAATATTGGTCAAACTAATTATTTTTTAAAAAAAACAAAAGCAACTATGTGGACCAACTCCATACCTCTATCGACTGCCAGTCTACAGCCTGCAACAGACAGACAGCTTCACGGTAAATTGCAAAAGAAGATTCTCTGAGCAGTAAAATGGTTTGGGCTGCATTTGTTTCTGCCTTTTATCTAGCTTACTTCAAGAACAAAAGGGTCTCACATAGCCAGATCACATGACCTTTGGGCAGGTGTTTATAAACATCATTTCTTGAAAATTATCTTTAAAACTTTTGAACGGTGACAAGCTTGGGCTTATCCTCACTAACACGAGCCCAGAAGCTCCTCAAGAGCCAAGATTGATCCTCTTAAACTAGAAGTGCTTTTAGAAAATGTGCACTGATGAGATGTCTTTTAAAATGCATTCACCCTAACAGTGTGGCCCCAAGTCACTCCATGGCGTTTTATAAAAGGTATTACCTAGCAGGAAGTTTCCAAAGTGAAAGAACAGGAGAAACTATGGTCTGAATGTTTGTGTTCCCTCAAAAGCGCAATGAAATTCTAACCCCCAAGGTAATGTATTAGAAGAGCAGGGCCTTTGGGAGGCGCTTAGGTCATGAGGGCAGAGCCCTCACGAATGGGATTTATGCCCTTATAAAAAAGGCCCCAGAGACCCCCTGTCCTTCCACGATGTGAGAACATGGCAAGAACATGCCCTCTATGAACCACAAAGTGGGCCCTCACCAGACCCCACATCTGCCTTGACCTTGGCCTTCAGAACTGTGAGAAATACATTTTTGTTGTTTATAAGTTTCTCAGTTTATGGTATTTTGTTAAAATAGCCTGAACACACTAAGACAGTAGATAACACAATCAATAATGATAAACAGAAAATTACAGCGTCAGTGCAAAAAACATAGAAGTGTGCCTGCTGTAACTGTAGAAACTGACTTTTACTTTTTGGAAATCAGTTTCATAAAGTTTGACGGAACGTGGCCACAGCCATTTGCTTATATTCATCTGTTTCCATGCCGCTTTGACGGAGGTGAATAGTTACGACGTCCATCCCACCAACACATCCACCCTCTGGCCCTTTACAAAAGAGGTTTTCCCATCTCTGTCTTAGATCACTGGGTCACACACACATTCTAGATTCTGATAAAGAAAGGACCGTAGGCACTGGTTCATTTCCTTCATTGTGAATTGAGACAGAACCAGATTCTAAGTAATTATCTTTCTTTTGTATATAACTGAAATTTACCTTCAGGATCAATATTCTTTAAACATGGTACAAGGGATGAGGACCAGCAGCCGCAATGTTAGGTAAGGAGGAAAGTGATAGTGTGACTATCAAGTGTATTCGGGATGATGCCTGTAAAAGAGCTTCGACTCTGAGAAGGATTAAAATCTTTCTTTCTCTGTCCATAGGGCAAGGCAAACCGCGACTAGAGTCCTCTCAGAGAAACACCAGAATGTTAATGTCACAGTCTTTTAGTGCCTATCTCATGCAGAGTCCATCCTCCGAGCCAGGATTCAAAGGGAAGCAAGGTAAGCTTGATCCCTGCCTTCCTGGAAGTTACATTCTAGAGGGGAGATGGACCATAAAGAGCCAACAACGACGTAATCGAGAAGACTGGGGATCCTGATATTTCAATCAGGAAAATAAAACTGGGCAATACAATGGATTAGTCAGACAGAAGGCACCATTGGATCAGACTGGACTGCCAGGGAAGGCCTCACTGAGGCGGTGACACTGAATGGAGACTGGGAGGACACGAAGCCAGCCATGTGGAGATTTGGGGGAGAGGGAGTATAGGAAACACAAGACCCTGGAGGGTGGAGTAACCCTGGCCCTTCCTAGGGGCAGGCTGAGGGGGCTGGAGAGTAGAACGAGGAGTGTGGTGACAGGTAAGGCAGGAGATGTGGGCACACGCCAGAGCGTGGGCGGATTTGGAATCAGCTTGCAGAGTACAGGAAGGAGTCTACTGGTAGTACTCCCGGCAAGAGAAAATGGCAAGTTAGATTTGTGGTAGCAACACAGATAGAAAACAATGGTTGGCTTTATGAGATATTTTAGAAGGGACTGTAACTCATTGAGTGACTAGATGTAGACAGTGAGGGAAAGAGAGAAATCAAGGATGACTCAGGCTGTTTAACTTGATTAGCTAGCTGAATGGAAAGTGGTGCCATTTAGGAAGATGGAGAAAACCGCAGACGCACAAGTCAGGAGGAAGAACAGAGTTCTGCACTGGCCTTATTCAGTGTGAGATGCCTTTAAACCAGTGGTCCTCAAAGGAGGGTATTTTTGCTTCCAAGGGCAGAGTACGGAATGTCGAGAGACATTTTTGGTGATCACAACTGGGATAGGGAGATGTCACCAGCATCTAGTAGGTAAGGCTAGTGGGGCAATGTCACTAAACACCCTGCAACATGCGGAACAGCCTCCCACAGCAAACAGCTACGCAGTCCAAAATGTCATCAAGGCTGAGTTTGAGAAACCCTACTTTAGACAATCCACGGAGATGTCACGACGGCCGCTGGAGCAACGTGTGCCTGGAACTCAAAGAGAAGTCAGGGTTACAAGTATGCATCTGGTTTTTCTCAACAGCTTGTTTTTCTTGTGTTGCTATTCTCTCTCATCATTCTTTTTTTAGCTGCTCTGCTGGGGAAAAGCAGTTACATAGGAATTAAAAAGGGACTGAGGTTAACAGATCTAAGTAAAAACTGTCAGAACTATTAAGTCGTTCATAAACACTAAGGCAAAACACAATGCCAAACAATGGAAGATAAAAAGACAGTAAAATATACAGAGTAAAATATACAGCTTGGAGAAACCACCAAGCTGATCACTGATGATCGATGCTATCAGAGCGCTGTCTCCAAGGCATTATGGGGACAGGAAGGAAAATGTGATCAACTCTGCCTTGGTTGGAGAAAGTGGTGGAAGACAGGAGGCAAAAAAGGGTTCTTTTCATTCATATTAGAGAAATGCAAATTAAAACTACATGGAGATTACGTTACTTGGCTACCAGATTAGCAAAACCTCATAAGAAATTGTATTTATCCCGGCCAGCTGCAGGGGCTCACACGTGTAACCTCAGCACTTTGGGAGGCCGAGGCAGGCAGATCACCTGAAGTCAGGAGTTCAAGACGAGCCTGGCCAACATGGCGCAGCCCTGTCTCTACTAAAAATACAAAAAATTAGCCAGGCGTGGTGGCAGGCACCTGTGGTCCCAGCTACTCAGGAGGCTGAGGCAGGAGAATCGCTTGAACCAGGGAGGTGGAGGTTGCAGTGAGCCAAGATTGCGCGACTGCACTCCAGCCTGCGTGACAGAGCAAGACTCGATCTCAAAGAAAGAAAAAAAGAAATTTTATTTATGCCATTAAGAGATTTCTAGTGTAAGAAAAAAGATACAAATATTAAATCAAGGTAGTTAAGTAAAAAAAAAAAAAAAAAAATTCGAAATTTGAATTAGAAGTATCTATGGATCATAATATATAGTCTACTAAAAAAGAAGGGATGGGGTGGGGGAAAGGGAGGGAAGAGGCAGGTGGGGAAGAAGAAAGGGAAAGATTTTCTAGCTCTGAACACTGAAAAGGCCTAGAAACAATAGCCAACCCAGTAGCAACGAGCACTCCCCACTACCTAGATTATGCTGTATAAATACCTTTTCCCAGTCAAAGAGCCAGGGCCCCCTGGAGGAACAGGTGTTTCCAGGTCTGGGGCATGAAGTACAAGAAGGGCCTAGAACACCTCAGCTTCCTTGCTTTGATGTCCAGTGTAATGGCAAAAACTACTCTTGAGGACTCAGGAATCAAACTAAACACCGTCCATGGGCTGAAGATAGGACAACTTGAATATCACAAAGAAAAATTACTGTGATGAACTGGAAAACATCAAATAGGCTTAAATACATAAATTTGTAATTTTTTTTTTTTGAGACGGAGTCTCACTGTGTCACCCAGGCTGGAGTACAGTAGCATGATCTCAGCTCACTGCAACCTCCGTCTCCTGGGTGCCAGCGATTCTCCTGCCTCAGCCTCCTCAGTAGCTGAGATTACAAGCATGTGCCACCATACCCAACTAATTTTTGTATTTTTAGTAGAGATAGGGTCTCGCCATGTTGGCCAGGTGGGTCTCGAACTCCTGACCTCAAGTGATTCACCTACCTTGACCTCCCAAAGGGCTGGGATTACAGGCATGAGCCACCGTGCCCAGCCCTATTTTTTTTTTTTTTTTTTAAAGACTCATTGGTCCTCTCTGGAGGAGGGAAAGGAACCAACTCATTATTATGAAAATGGATAAATAAAAGAATCAAAGCCTTGGTTCCTCTGGCTTCCTCATTCCATTATGATAAGGTTAATGTAGGTAACAACTGGTAATACCATCAGGCACATAGGAATCACGCCACATGTGAAAGCAACTCTAACTGTTGTCACTATACCCACATCGTCACCCCTGGGCCCCTGGGGACACCCACATCTAACCTTCCTTGGCCGGTGAGAGACAGCAAGGGTCCTCCCAGCCATGGGAGGCAGCAGAGGATGCCTGGCCTATTCTAGAGAGGAAAGTAAGAGAGTATTTTCTGTCTCTCATTGGCAGGAAAATCTAAAAACACACAACATGCATATATATTTAAGGGCCAGACATTCTTCTAAATGTTAGACACATGTTAACTTATTCTTCACAGTAACACTAGGAGGTAGGAACTATTACCATTCCCATTTTACAGATGAGAAAACTGAGGCTCAGAGAGGTTAATAACTTTCTCATGATCATAGACTTGTTCATGGCAAAGAAAGGTATAATCTGCACAGGCTTGTTCAAGATTCTGCAAAGTATGAAACCTTGAAGAAGGTGATAAACATCAGCCCTGCAGAAAACCATCCAGGGGATGAGGAGTCTAAGGAAATTATCTGTGTTATCATTTTTGTCACTGTCATCATCATCATACCAGTTATTCATTGCATTATGAATTGCATTGCTCAGTTATTCACTGAGCATTGAATTGATCATTCCACATCAATTATGCCATGACTGAAGTGCTATTATTATTTCTTTTCTTTCTGAAACAGAGTCTCGCTCTGTTGCCCAGGCTGGAGTGCAGTGGCACAATCACAGCTCACTGCAACCTCCAATTCCTGGGTTCAAGCAATTCTCCTGCCTCAGCCTCCCAAGTAGCTGGGATCGCAGACGCACACCACCATGCCAAGCTATTTTTTGTATTTTTAGTAGAGACAGGCTTTTGCCATGTTGGCCAGGCTGTTCTTGAACTCTTGGCCTCAAGTGATCTGCCCACCTGGGCCTCCTAAAGTGCTGGGATTACAGGTATGAGCCACAGCGCCTGGCCCATAAGTGCTATTATTGTTCCACTTCCTGGAGGGGAAAAGTGAGGTTCAGCAAAGCTGGGAAGGTTTCGACAGTTGTTCAGTGAGACAGGTGGAGCCAGACGTGGAAGCCAATCAACGATATTCCGCAGCTCACATTTCCCCCAGCTTTACTGAGGTGCAAATGACAAATAAAAATGGAATATATTGGAGATGTACAGAGAAATGATCTGAAGTATGTGTACACTGTGTTATGACGAATGCAATTAAATTAACACATCCATCACCACCCACGGTTATCATTTTTTAACTCTGTGATCTTTATAACACAACAGGGGGTGCTGAGGACACCTCAGATCTCTCTTAGCAAATTTCAAGTAGGAGAGGCCAGGAGAAGGGAAGGAAGCCAGGGATGCGGAGGAGGAGAGAAGTGAATACACACACCGAGGAAAAGAGCTTTGGCTTGGGGGCAGTCATTATTTCTGTGTAGAACAACACAAAACAAACCAATAAACAAAAAAACAAAATCATAAAGACCATCTTTCCAGCCCAGATTTTGACATTAAGAAGTGGTACATCCTACTGGCATTACTTGAAAATCACTCCCAGGCTTTGGCCATGGCAGCAGGTGAGATTCAAGGCCCAGAGCCTCCAGGGCCTCAGCTCACCGCACACTGCCCCGTGTGTGGTGGGGAAACCCAGACCCCAACAGGTGCCGTGGCCTCCGCCCCAGTGCAGCTGCTGGTGTGGTCTGCCCTTGTCTCCAGCCTCCGACCCCTAACCCTGTCTTCTTTCTGCAGCGGGGGGAAAAAAGTGGTATATCCTAGAGGAGTGGTTCTCAACCAGCAGGGATTTTGATCCCAGAGACATGTGGCCATGTCTGGAGACATTTGTGATTATCACAGTTGTGGGGAAGGGGGTGCCACCAGCATCTAGCGGGCAGCAGCCAGGCATGCCGTGAAACATCCTACTACACACAGGAAAGCCCCCATGACAAACGATTATGTGGTCCAAAATGTCAATAGTGTTGGGGTTGAGAACCCTGGCATAGAGCAAGTCACCTGACCTAGGTGGGCCTCGCTTTAGTCCTTTGTTAAGTGGCGATAACCACGTTTACCCTTCATTAAAGTGTTTATGAGCAGTAAATGTATCTATTGCCTGGCCCATGACTGGCACTCAAAACAGCAGCTGATACTAATGGTATAACCATCCCTGTCAGCATCACCACCATCACTAAGTAGGAGAAGTACCTGCATTAGGGATTGGCACAATGTGACCTGCAGGCCCCCTGCCTGTTTTGGTAAATAAAGTTTTATTGACACACAACCATGTTTACAAATTGTCTTGGGCTGTTTCAGTGCTCCAATGGCAGGGGATCACATGGCCCACAACACCGAAAGATTTTACTATTGATCCCTTTATATAAAAAAGTCTGCTGGCCTAGTAATGATCAAGACATGTGAAGTGCTACACCAAAAACAAATTGTTATAATTCTGATGTGTCAAAAAAATTGTAGGAAATTTCTTTCTTCTCCCCATATATAAGGGCCATGGGCACAAACTTACAGGTGCAGAGCATTCTACTTGCTGAAAGCCAATTTTATCCACTCGATTTTATCACTTTTCATCAAAATTGACCACCACTTTGCTTTAAAATACATGCCATCACAGCAGTTCAAACCTCTAACACCAGGAAGGCAGTCATTATGATATTTACAGAGAAACTGAGATCTGTTATCTCCCTCTCCTCCCGAGCCAGAGCACAGGAAGGGGAGAATTTTCCATTAACTTTAAAAGCTTTTTACCACCGAAGGAAGAAAAATTTTTCAGGAAGACAAAAAGATAATATGTTAGCATTTAAATCTAGTTTTCTTCACAAAGGGAAAATGATTTCTACATATTACATAGTAGGAACTGGGTTGTTACCACAGAACATATTTCATTTTGAGGAGAAGAACTGTTTAAAAGACTCATTTTTGGAAACGTTAATCTCAGGCACCTGGAGATGAAAGCGCTGGGCGCAGAAGTTGGTCTTTGTCAAAAGACAGTTTTCAAGTTTTTATAAGACTCATCTCCCTTCTCTACCTTAAAAATGGATTAAAAAAAAAATCTACTTGAAGGGAGTGAGGAAAAAAAAAAAGAACCCAATTTCAATATCCTTTGCTAAAGAAATAGTCTTTGCTCAAAGCAGGGCAGAGAGTTGCCTGTGTGACCCAGAGAAATAAGTGAATTGAAACTTTTCTAAAGTACTTGTCACTGTAAAAGAGTTGCTGAGAGCTTGCCCTGGCAAAGCTGAGTTTTTGGTACTGAAAATGGAACCTGTGAGTCACTCCAAGGAAGCCCGAGGAAACAGGGTATATTCAGCTCTCTGCTCCACCGGTTCCAGAGGTAAAATGTACCTTCGTCAACGGAAGCTGCAGAAAAAGCAGGATACTGATGGGAAAAAATTAGCCACAAAGGAAGTTGTGAGAGTTGTTTTCTCAAAAACAAAACTAAGAAAGTGGTGGGCGACTTGGCAAGAAAAAGTCCTTGGGTTGGTAGGAAGAGAAGGAATGTTCAGGAATTCTGGCAACTTCTCCTGGGAGGCTGGCTTCACTGCCCCATGGTGGGGTGTGCGTATCCTTAAAGGGAACCGGTGACCCCGCTGCCTGTCATCCTAGGAAAGTCAACCCTGGGACGAGTAGAAGTGGAGAAGCAAGGACATGGGAAGGGATATGGTTTAGGTGTGCCCCGGCCCAAATCTCATCTTGACTTGTAGCTCCCATAATTCCCATGTGTTGTGGGAAGAACCAGTGGGGGGATAATTGAATCACTGGGGCAGTTTCCCCCATACTGTTCTTGTGGTAGAGAATAAGTCTCACGAGATGTGTTGGTTTTATAGGGAGAAATCCCTTTCACTTGGTTCTCATTCTCTCTTTGCCTGACGCCATGTAAGACGTGTCTTTCACCTTCTGCCATGATTGTGAGGCCTCCCCAGCCATGTAAAACTGTGACTCCATTAAGCCTTTTTTTTTTAAATAAATTACCCAGTCTCAGATATGTCTTTATCAGCAGCGTGAAAACAGGCTAATACAGGAAGGGACAGTCATCTCTTCCCGGGAGCTCCAGCTGTGTTAGGCCTGAACACAAAGGCCCAGAGAGGTCCAGGGCAGCTCTAGTTCTCAGCCAAGTGACAGACAGCCAGTAGGGAGGCAAGGAGCCAGCCTGGGGACATAGGCAGGTCTGAGCTGTTACTGAAAGGACCTGAACCTACCCAGAGAGGAACTGTGCTCCCCGCTGAGCATAGGCAAAGGGCAGGGAGGCGGGACCAGCTAACAGGGAACCATGATGGCGGCAGCATGAGCCCACAGCCATCCAGAATGCTACAGACAGACAGCAGAGGGAGGCGGGTGCCTATGGACTTCCCAGGCCTGGGAGTAGACAGGGTGAGTCTTTAGAAACCAAGAAGACTCATTCTCCCTGAGTAAGCATGCCGGGCCATTCTCAGCCCATCGGAGGGAGGAACGAGAGAAGATGTCCAGTGACCCTGTACATGACAGGGCTGAGGGCTGTTCCACTGAGAGTGACACTGTCTGTCCCCAAAACAGGCAAATGAGACAAGAGGGTTCCCCATCACAGCAGGCACCTCACCCAAGAGATGACGGGTGACAGGAGCCATGCATACAACTCCCTACTTGATCTATAAATGCTACACATTGGAAATGATGATTCCCAGGCCATAGACGCAGACATCTGAGGCTCACAGAGGTCAGGTGACAGGGCCCAGGCATGCGCCTAGAGCTAGGATTTCGATTCTCACATTCTGACCAGCAGTGGGGACTGACCGTCATCTCCTGGTGTTTGGATTCAAAGTTCTCCTCCCCGGAGAGTGGCTGTGAGCTTCAGGTCTGGAATCTGAGCACCTACATGACCCTGACCATCAGTAAGCACACCACACCTCAGTTTCCTCCTCTGTATAGCGAGGATGAGAGTAATACCGCCACACAGAGTAGCTATAAGGATCACATGAGATAAATAAAGTGCTTAGGAATATGCCTGGCACCGTATAAGCACTGAATGAATGCAAGCTTGCCAGCCTGATAAGGATTTTAACAATCATTGAGAAAGATATCTGCAGCTTTCCAAAAGAACAGAATGGCTCAAAATTAATTGATAAAAAAGATCCTTTGTACTTTATTTTTTTAATCTGTTCAAATATTCCCCCAAAGTGGATTAAGTAAAAAATGTTCAATATGTTCTTTCTACCAAGCTATTGGATGAAAGCACGCTATTAGTTGAGCTAAATAATTCATTTAGTTAATTTGCACTGTAATCAATCAGGAGAAGCTACAAAACCTCAAAGTCATTCCAAGTCCAATTTCAAGTCTCTTTCAGGCTTTAGAAACGTCTTCCACCAGAAGACAGTCATAAAATGTGTCAGGAAACAGAAACGATGAGCTTAACCTCTACCGCAGGCTGGCTAATCTTCGGAAACAAACACACTGTCTGAACAGCAGGAAAGCAGGATCACAGTCACTGCTGTTATCAGAACTGGGTCCAGACGTCAGCTCTGCCACTTGCTGACTATGCAACTCGGGATATTCTACTCAACCTTTCTGAGCCTCAGCATCCACCACCGCCTACCTTGCAAGGTTGTCGTGAAGATTAAATGACACGATGCATATGATGGGGTCAGGCGTGGTGACTCACACCTATAACCCCAGCACTTTCGGAGGCCAAGGTGGGAGGATCACTTGAGGCCAGGAGTTCAAGACTGGCCTGGCCAACATAGCAAGACCGCATCTCTTTGAAAATATATGTATAGTAATAAAAAGATGTATATGATGCCCCTGCAATGTTTGACACATAGTACATGCTTATTAAATGGTGTCAATTATATTAATTTAGATTTAAATAATTTGTCTATTCATTATTCATTCATTAATAAGAGTGAACTACTCTGGTGAAAATTTTGATTTATTCTACATAAGAAAGTTCCTCAGCTGGACGTTAGCAAAAATTCTTCTGTAAGAACTTAAACAAGGTTAGTAAAATCTCTGATCCTTACAAGCTTAACTAACACTAGAGCCACTGTGCCTTGTATCAGCCTCACAGAGGAAGAGAACAGGGAGGCAACAGAAGGTTTTAGATCCTTCAAATTAAACAAACAAGAATATCACACTATTAGAAGCAAAGTCCTAAGTCTCACTATTACATATCGGGGGATGTTTCTAAAATGGCGGGGCACCTGGAGTCAACGCTTTTTACAAGATGTCTTCCAAGCCAAACTGCTACAAGCCATTCAAGCTGAAAGTCTTCTGGCAGTGCCCCTTACAATCAACTAGAAGAGCACCTTTAAGAAACAGAAGCCTCTCAGCACCACTGACCTGACAAAACTCTATCTTCCTCAATGGGTCTGAAATGACTGGCTGGGGACTTAAGAGGAAATTCCTATCCAAAGGCCAAGAGCGGCCACGGGAGGAAGGTGCAGCTCTCCACATGCACCTGTGTTAGGGAGAATCAAGACACAGAAAAAACGAGGAAAAGGGAGAACTTTCCAATCCTACCACTTTCAGAAAAAGAAACATTAATTGTAGCATCTGAAACCTAAAAGACTCTCTCTAGTAGGAATGACAAACAGTGCTAAAAAAGGAACTATGGAGGCGTCTTGCCTCTGTCTCACTCTACGGTCTATCAGTCAGTTGCCACCTGACACGCCCAGGTGGCCAAACCTTCGCACCTGCTGTTCCTGCCATCTGGACTGCCCTTCCCCACCCTGTCTCACTGGCAAGGTCCTATTCTACCTGCAAAGCCCAGCTTCGAAATGAACATTTCTGCACTATCTTGTCTAATACACCCCAAACCACAACCCCTCCACCAGCAGATCTGACAGCGCCAATTTCCCTCTTCTTTTGATTCACTGATTGCTTGCTGCTAAAAATTACTGTTTTATGACGCTAACTCTACTAGTAGGCTGTGAGCACCCGAAGGCAAGGGAGAGGGCTGATTCTTCAATATATCCACTGATCTGGCTCTCACTCACTCTTCACTCACTCATCCATTCATTCATGCACTGAGCACTGAAGTGAACCTTGGTTTTCTGCCACCATGGCATCCGCTTCCCCTAGCAACAGTCCCAGTTTTCATCTGGGGATCCATCCCTCTCCCCAATCTCCCTTCTCCATGTCTCAATGGAGCTCTTCCCTGTCTTAGCACAAGCCAGATCCTGTGATCAGCTGAAAAGAGAGAATGGAACCTAAGTTAACTCTACAGAGTAAACATAAGGTTTTTGACAAGAATGGAGAGACTCTTGCTGTTTCCTATGAATGTGAACCTGGAAGAAAAACTATGTGCCCAGGGGTGATCACAGCCATCTGTGACCCTGAGGAGGAAAACCTACTGATATGGTTTGCCTTTGTCCCCACCCAAATCTCACCTTGAATTGTAGCTCCCACAATTCCCACGTGTCGTGGGAGAGACCCAGTGGGAGGTAACTGAATGATGGGGGCGGGTCTTTCCCGTGCTGTTCTCGTGACAGTGAGCAAGTCTCACGAGATCTGACAGTTGTATAAGGGGCTGCACAAGCTCTTTCTCTTTGCTGCCACCATCCATGTTAGACATGACTTGCTCCTCCTTGCCTTCTGCCATGATTGTGAGGTCTCCCCAGCCATGTGGAACTGTGAGTCCATTAAGCCTCTTTTTCTTCCCGGTCTTGGGCATGTCTTTATCAGCACCGTGACAATGGACTAATAACAGCTACCAAAAATGATGTCAACCCAGAAAGGGAAGAGGAAAGCACTAAAGAGAGAGAAACAGGAGCCTCGTAACACAGCTCAAGTATCAAGCATTTGCCACAGCTAAAGCCAGACTTTTCCTGAGGCCAAAGGATTACCTTCCTCGAGATTACCACGACAGGCTCGACTCAGTGGTAAATAACAAGCTGAATAGATACCATTCAATTCTTGCTCTTAAAAAGTCTATAGTGGATCCAGCAACACAACAGAGAAACTCTCCTCCAAGCAGTGACTCAGGGATCCAGGTCAGTATCATTTTCTAGCTATGCATCATGGAACACAAAGCTTCCAGAATCACCATGGCAGGGGAGCAAGAACCAAGAAAACTCATCCCCACTCTCCTATGCCTCAGTCTAGCATAACACTCATTACCTCTACTTTCAACCCACTGGCCAAAACTAGTCACACAGTCCCAAGCTACCCATAAAGGAGACTAGGAAATGCATCTGTCCTATGTGTCTACAAAAAGAAAAATGAGACAGACCTTGATAAATCACACAGTCTTTGTCACAGACAGCTTGAGCCAAGTTTTTTTATTCTGCAACCAAAAAAATTATTAAATCATACAAGCATCAACCAGGTACCAGAGGTCATGAAGGATGAACACAGGTAAATGGGACACATTCACGACACCGTACTAGGAGGATTAGGAGAGGTGACACAAAGGACGTGCAGGACACCTGGGGCAAACTGAATCAGTCTTCAAGAGTGCAGTGGGGTGATTTGAGAAGGCTTCCAGGATGAGATCTGAAAGATCAGAAGTCAGCCAGCGAAAACGGACAGGAAAGGGTTCATAAAAAAAGAACAGGGTTCCAGGTGGGACCTTACACCTGCCTGTGTGAAGGTCTGCAGTGAGAACACGTGCATTTGAGAAAGGAAAACATGCTCAGAGCAAGGTAAGAAGCATGACTGAAGAGGAAGGCAAGAGTATAGCAAAAAGGCTTACTTTAACATGTGAACATGTTACTTTTACAGGAACCTAAATGCTAAAGTGAGCCACTGGTAAGTTTTAAGCAGAAAAAGAAATGGCCCAAGTAGACTGGGCCCAGAGTAGTTTGTCATTGCCCGTCTACATGCATTAAATGCAACAAGTCCCTCCCTCCGCCCTGTCTCAGCGTTCTCCACTCCCGCTGTATCCCGTTTCTCCAGCTCCACACTGCCAGTGACGAGCCCTTTATGTTGCCTGCAGGCTGAGCTCATGCAGCATTCAGGACAGCCCTGCCCCTTCGCCGGGTGTATACTGAACTCTGAGCCCAACCTTGACAGGACTACATCTCTTTCACTCGCGTCCATCAAGGCCACACGACTCCTTCTGGGGACCCAGAAGTGGCTTCTTGAAGCCACTTCCCGCCTCAAAGAGGAAGGCAAATATAAAACAGGCCCAAAATAGTGTGGGTCTGAAAAGCTGAAAACCAGCCACTATAATTACAAGTATTTTTATCTATCGCCCAAAAAGGAGTATTGGATCATTTTCCAAGTGTTTCTCTAAGGAAGTTCATCTGTTCGTTCGCAAGTACTCCAGACTTCCAGATCAGAGGCACAACTGGAAATGAGGCTTCAGCAGAAATGGAAGCGAAACAGAACACATGGGGTGGAGAAACAGCAAAGATCAGGGCCCAGCGCCACCACCGGAGAGGGTGGTGACCTCACCAGGAAATGGGAAACGAGGTATCCAAGGTTCTGTGAGAGAAATCAAAAGATCAGCAAGGATAAACACTAGAAGGCTAGGGGCGCAAGCATGCCTGCACAGAGGCACAATTGTGACCTGCACCTGAACATGCCCCAGGCAAATGCAAACAGTAACTGAGAGGCCAAGGGAGAGGAGGGAAGAAGGAAGAGCCCTTGAGAAGAAGACAGTGCCAGTAGTGGACCCTTCTCCTCCTGCTGCATGGGCGGATAACCCCAGCACACAGGAACAGATGGGAACATCCAGTGAGCACAAGAGGCATCAGAAGGGGCCTGCCATCCAAGGCAGCACACACGGCTGTTTACCCAGTAAGTGCTCACATCAGAAACCGTGTCGCCAGCTAGAATCTGTTTCCATCCTCCCTCCTTATCTCTTCCATCGTTCTAGTTCTTGACAAGCTAATAGCCAGCATGTTTGTCACTGCATTCATTTTCCTGGCTCCACTTAGAACTAAAAGTTAGAGCTAGTAGGCAAGGCAGGCCTGATTCCTGTTTCTAGTCAGATACAGAGAAGGCCACAGAGGGCGATGGGAAGAGTACCAACTCTGGGGTCAGTCAGGGGGTCAAATCTTGCTTCTACCTATGCTAGCCCCATGACCTCGGGCAGGTGACTTAACCCTTCCAAGCCTCGGCTTCATCATCTGTAGGTATGCAGAGAACAATGAATCAAACAGTCCATGTAATGCAATTAACACAGTGCCTAAAAATAGAATAGCCCCTCAATTTGCACTAACTGCTATTACCTTCATTATCTTTTTTTTTTTTTTTTTTTTCCCCAGATGTCTCGCTCTGTCACCTAGGCTGGAAAGCAGTGGTGCCATCATAGTGATGCAGGACAGATAAGCCCCCAAAGAAGGGCTTAGCCTGCAAGGGTTCTTGGCTTTGTCCAGGAAAGAATTCAAGGGCAAGCTGGAGGTAGAAGAAAACAGCTTTATTGAAGTGGCGGTGTCACAGCTCCAGTGGAGTTACAGCTCCGGGACTGCTGCTGCAGAGCAGGGTGACCCCGCAAACAGAGGGTGGCAGCTCAGGGCAGTTTTGCAGTCACATTTGTAGGTACTTTTACTTATGTGTAGATTAAGGGGTCGTTTATGCAGAAATTTCTAGAGAGGAAGTATTAACTTTTGAGTCATTGGGTCATTGCCATGGAAAGGGGCCGTAACTCCTGGATGTTGCCATGATAATGGTAAACTGACATGGCACCCACGGGCATGTCTGATGGAAAGCTGCTTCCACCCAGTCCTGTTTTAGCTAGTAGTCAGTTTGGTCCAGTGTCTGAGTCCCGCCTCTGGAGTCAAGTCCCACCTCCTACTTCAATAGCTCACTGCAGCCTTGACCTTCTGGACTCAAGCAATCTTCCCACCTCAACTTCCTGAGTGGCTGGGACCACAGGCATGCTGATGTACCCAGCTAGTTAAAAAAATTTTTTTTTGTAATTACAGGGTCTCACTACATTGCCCAGGCTGTGACATCAATATCTATAGCTGCTTTTCATAAAATGCCATGAAAAACCTAACAGGTCACCAAGTACCACACATGTAATACACCCTCAAAAAACACTGGTAGGAGAAATTCTCTAGGATCAACAACCCAGGTTCTTCAACTAATAAATGACACGTAAGGAAGAAAGGGAGAGGCAGGGAGACACAGGTGACAGAACATATGGATTAAAAGACACTGAAGAGATCCATCACCAATCACGAGGTGGGGACCTTACTGGGATCCTGATTCAAACACCTGTTTAAACTACAAATTTGAACACTCACCAGATATTTGACAATACTAAGGAATTACTGCTAACTTTAGGGTGTGATAATGATACTACAGAGTTTTTTCTGTTTTAAAAAGACAGTCCTTGTAGTTTACTACCAATATATTCCTAACTACTTATGGGTGAAATCAACGTTGTGCTTTGGATTTCCTTCCAAACACTACTTGATGCTGGGGAAACAGGAGGGTAAGTGGATGAAACAAGACTGGACAAGAGTTGATAACTATTGAAGTAGGGTGATGAGTATATGGAAGTTCTTTATGCTCTTTTGCCTACTTTTTACCAGTTAAAAAAAAAATTTAAAAAAAACAGAGAGACACCTGTGAGATACAGCCTGCCTCCTCTTCCTTCAGAGACCTTCCTTAGGGAAGGAGTCTGTTTGTAAAGGAGACCATGCTGGAGGCTGGAAACCCATACGCTGGTGGAGCCTGCAGGCTGTGGTCACACCTCCTCATCTCCAAATCCCTCACTTTCCCAGGGCCTGTGTAGTGTGCTGCTGACATGACTATGTGTGTTGTTAACTGAAGTCAAGGCAGAGAGCCAAGCAAAGGGCACATCCAAAAGACAGAAAAGCTCCGAGCTTAGCCATCTTGCATAAATGAGATGCTCCAGTTCCTTGTTCGGGAAGCTGGGAAGGAGAAAGAGTGAGCCAGGGGCCCCCTAAAAGACGTTCTTAAAGAAGCTCCTCTCCCTGATACTCCAACCCAAGAATCAATGGGACTAGCACGAGCCTCTTTTAACAGGCTTTTTAAAGTATGACTATGGTATTGCAGTAATGTGGGGTTTTTAAAAGACCTCTTATCTTTTAAAGATAGATTCTGAAATACTCAGGAATGTAATAATATGGAACCTGGGATTTTCTTCAAAATACCATGAGAGGCTGAGGTTTGATGGGTGGGACGGGATACAGATGAAGCAAGACTGGCCAAGAGGTACTAACAGCTACAGCCAGGTGATGGGTACATAGAGGCTCATTACACTTTTATTTCTGTATATGTTTCAACTTTTACATAATAAAAAAATTTTAAGGACACCTTGGGGCCGGGTACAGTGGCTCACACCTGTAATCCCAGCACTTTGGGAGGCCAAGGCGGGTGGATCATGAGGTGAGGAGATCGAGACCATCCTGGCTTACACGGTGAAACCCCATCTCTACTAAAAATACAAAAAAATTAACCTCACATGGTGGTGGGGCCTGTAGTCCCAGCTACTTGGGAGGCTGAGGCAGAAGAATGGCATGAACCCGGGAGGCAGAGCTTGCAGTGAACCGAGATCACACCACTGCACTCCAGCCTGGGCAATACAGCAAAGCTCCATCTCAAAAAAAAAAAAAAAAAAATCCTTGGAGGTTTAGCCCTGTTAGTCATTCACACTTCAGTGGGAATTACACCTATCCTGCTAGAAACTATAACTTCTTACCCTTTTTCACTGATATATAGGAGACACTTAAACACTCCATTTTGCTTGGTAATCAAACTATATGAGGTAAGAGCCTGGTCTCAATCCACTCAGCTTCATGTGATTAAAAAAAAAAACAAACAGGACAGGCATAGTGGCTCACACCTGTAATCCCAGCACTTTGGGAGGCCGAGGTGGGAGGATCACTTGAGGTCAGGAGTTTGAGACTAGCCTGGCCAATACGGTGAAACCCTGTCTCTACTAAAAATACAAAAATTAGCTGAGCATGGTAGCGTATGCTACTGTGGAGGGGGAAGCAGGAGAATCACTTGAACCCAGGAGGCGGAGGTTGTAGTGAGCTGAGATCGTACCACTGCACTCCAGCCTGGGCAACAGAGTGAAACTCCATCAGAAAAATAAAAAATAAATAAATAAATAAACCTAACATCATACCTTTCATTTTGAGTATCAGTTTAATGTAGATCTCAGCTCAGAGTTTTTTATCCTGAGTCCTTATAAAAAATCCAGTATTTTATTGAAAAGCCCATGCTGCTCTTATACAAAAATGACTCCTGGACACGCATGAGAAGTGTTGGAACCCATTGGTGCCAATTTATGAGGCAGGCACTGGTGGTGTAACTGCTCCCAAGGTCCTGGCTGCTTCCGGAATTTTTACACTTTATTAAAATGATGATCACATTCACAGTTATCTACAGCGTGTGATTATGAGTGTATTTTTTACCAGCTTGATGTTCAAGCTTACTTTTCCATTAATAGCGACTCTGCCATTATAATGAGAACAAATGTTGCTAATACACCATTTATTTTACCCACAAGAAAAATTCAGGGACTAACCACACTCAGACAGTAAACGATAAGTGTCTTATAATTTTAAAAATCAATCATCAGCTAGCTGAGCCCTGCCATATGGAAGGGAGTAAAGTTCTGTTTGCAGAGGATGGACTGGCAATATTGAAGCAGAAGATACACAAGTGGGGCAAACAGCTAGAAAACGGTGCCGGCAAGCAAGAGCTGGGAGAGCCCGAAGACAACATGAGGGAGCTAAGCCCTGCTAAACAGTGAGTGGAAGGAGAACTGAAGGGAAACGGCATCTACTGATTACATACGGATACAAAGCTTTACCTAAGTGAGAGCACCGCTGGTAAGCAAAATAAACAGATTCTAACCTAAGCTAAAATAGAATTCACTATAAACAGGCAGAAAAGTGGGGAAATCAGGCTCAGAAAAGTAACTGAGGCCAGGCACAGTGGCTCATGCCTATAATCCGTCCCATCACTTTGGGAGGCCAAGGTGGGTGGATCACCTGAGGTCAGGAGTTCGAGACCAGCCTGGCCAACACGGCGAAACCCCATCTCTGTTAAAAATATAAAAAATTAGCTGGGTGTGGTGGCACGCATCTGTAATCTCAGCTACTCGGGAGGCTGAGGCAGGAGAATTGCTTGAACCTGGGAGGCAGAGGTTGCAGTGAGCTGAGATTGTGCCATTGCCCTCCAGCCTGGGTGACAGAATGAGACTCTGTCTCAAAAAAAAGAAAAAAAAAAAAGGAACCGAAACCAAAGCAGTTCTGGCAAGTTCAACACAGAAAACAATTAGAGTCTTATCAGACTCATTGCTATTAGTCTATTGAATAAATGCTTACTGTTAATTGCTATTGAATAAACGGCCTCCCAAGCATTGCTGCATTCTTATACAACTCCAGAGTTAAAGCCCCCATGGGCCTAGCTCAGGTCATGTACCCAGCCCTGAACCAAAACCAGGGCAAAGCATTTGGACATACTGTCCCACCCAGACAGCACGCTATGGTGGAGAGGGAAGCCCTCCAAAGAAAGTCAGGATGGAGGGGAGAAGAGGAAGCACAGAGACACCTCCTGTCTACTGCAGGCACTCAGCTGGGTTCTTATGTGTCATTCCCAAAACAAACCCACTCACAGGTATGACTGGCTGCATTTCACTAACAGAGAACTTGAGGCTTAGAGAGGTTAGGGGGCGTGCCCAGGAACATACGGCAGTAAGTGGCAAATCTGAACTCAGTCTGACACGCGATACATGTGCTTTCCAAGTCACCAGGCTGCAGAAGGCAGCGACAAAGTGATGCAGGCCCAAAGTCCGAATGTCGCCAACACTTCACATTGTTGTGAAGACAACTGCTGAAAAAGAATAGAACATCTCTGAAGATGAGTCCAAACCAAAGGAAATGTACTTAAAAGAGGTAAAGAAGCAAGAGTCTCAGAAGAGATCAATCTTGGATGTGTCCAATATCTTATCTTCAAAACCTTGGTTGTTTCTGTTCTGGTGTCTTAGAATTTCAAGAAGCATGGGGAAGTTTACAGAAGAAATTCTGAGCATCACCACTAACAGTCCCTAAGAAGTGGGGAGGAATTATCTAAAGAAGCTGTGGTTAGGTGCCAACCTCTGCAGAACTGCCGTCAAAGACACAGCTCCAGGCCTGTGGGTATAACCCTACCTCTGCACTTCAATTATCTGTCCTGACAATTAGAACAGGCACGTCTGCCTCACCCACAAGAATGCAAGCTCCCTAAACACAGGCACTGCGTCCCATTCATTTTTGTAACTTAGGACCACTCTTGGCATGAGGAAGAGCTAATGCAACTCACAGATGAAACACCAATGACTTTGCAACAGAAGTCGCTCTGCAAGTGGCTCATGCCTGTAATCCCAGCACTTTGGGAGGCTGAGGTGGGTGGATCACGAAGTCAAGAGATCAAGACCATCCTGACCAACATGGTGAAATCCCCATCTCTACTAAAAATACAAAAATTAGCTGGGCATGGTGATGCGTGCCTGTAGTCCCAGCTACTCAGGAGCCTGAGACAGAAGAAGCGCTTGAACCCAGGAGGTGGAGCTTGCAGTGAGCCAAGATCACGCCACTACACTCCAGCCTGGTGACAGAGTGAGGCTCTGTCTCAAAAAAGAAAAAGAAAAAAAAAAAAAACAACTCCATCTAGGGTAGTCAATGCCATTTCAGGGATGTCTCTGTTTCAACCTCACAACTTCCTTGGCTCATCTCCTACAACCATCAACACTGCTGCTCCCAGGGTAAGAAAAGCCACAAAGGGAGGAGAAAGGAAGCTAAGGGCTGGACACTGAGAAGGCGCTCAATGGATGTGCACAAATTGAGTTGGCACCATCTATTACTCAATGGTGTCCCCAGGCTCTCCAAGCTATGCCTCCTGCTAACATTAAGGGCCAGAGTAAAGTGTGCCTCCTCTCCAGAACCCATGTGCTCTTATTAGCTATCTAATCCTTTCTACCAGGTTGCTCTGAGCTCTAGTTAAGACTTAACTGTGGGCCGAGTGCAGTGGCTCACGCCTGTAATCCCAGCACTTTGAGAGGCCAAGGCAGGCGGATCACCTAAGGTTAGGTGTTCGAGACCAGCCTGGCCAACACGATGAAACCCTGTCTCTACTAAAAATACAAAAAATTAGCCAGGCATTGTGGTGGGCACCTGTAATTCCAGCTACTCAGGAGGCTGAGGCAGAAGAATCGCTTGAACCTGGGAGGGGGAGGTTGCAGTGAGCTGAGATCAGGCAATTGCACTCCAGCCCGGGCAAAAAGAGCAAAACTCCATCTCAAAAAACAAAACAAAAAAATACTTAATTGTGATGCCTTAGACAATTCACTCCCAATCTGAGGTTCTAGGACTCACATTTATCATTCTTTACGCATTACACAAGATGACTGAAGCCACTCAACAGGCTGGCCTTCTATTCAATGTTATGTTTCTCCTACTATATGCTGGAGATGGGTTGGGCAATGAAGATACAATTTAAAAGACAATGTCCGCACTGCCCTCGAGGAACTCTCACTCTGCTGTTCTGCTACAAGTTGCTTTGGAAGCAGGTAATCCTTGGCACAGACAAGATGTGCTTTTCCCCTTTCTTCTCCAGTAACAAAGGGTTTGTGATGTCCCCACCACCAGCGCCATCTCAAATGGCTGATATTGCTGCAGTTGCTGTTATCTACTACTAGTTTTCCCCCTTGTGTCCTGCCATTCATTCTCTTGAACATCGGTAGTGATCGTCTCTTCCGTCAAGTTAACCTTCTTCTTCAATGAGCTCAGCCTTCCAAAGCACGGCAGAGAGTTGTGGGTTTGCACTCTGGTGCTCAACTGTGAGGATTCAAATCCAGCTCTGCATTTTTTTTTTTTTTTTTTTTTTTTTGAGATGGAGTCTCACTCTGTCGCCCAGGTTGGAGTGCAGAGCCATGATCCCAGCTCACTGCAACTTCCTCTTCTCGGGTTCAAGTGATTCTCTGCCTCAGCCTCCCAAGTAGCTGGGGACTATAGACATATGCCACCATGACCGGCTAATTTTTGAGAATGGAAACAGATTCTATCTGGCAGACATAGTTTCCCCGTGTTGGCCAGGCTACTCTCGAACTCCTAGTCTGAAGTGATCCACCCGCCTCGTTCTCTCAAAGTGCTGGGATTACAGGTTTGAGCCACCACGCCCAGCCCCAGCTCTGCTTCTTAGCAGCTAAGGACTCTTGGGAAAGTTACTAAACTTCCCAAAGCTTTGTCTGTGAACTGGAGGCAGCAAGAGTGTCCTCCTCAAAGAACTCTTCTCAGGATCACATATGTTCATCTACGTAAAAACCCCAGCACAGTGCCTGGATCTAACAGTACTCACCTGACAGCTGCTGCTAGTATTACAGGGGCTGTGATACTACTAGTGCTTTTACCCTTGCCAGATTAATGTATACCTGCCAGAATTCTCCTGTCCTCCTTGTTTTCCTGAGTTAACAACCACAGGGTGTCAGGAACAATTTTTATACCTCCAGTCCTTGGCACAAGATGCCCACCAGCCATTTAAAGAGGGCTTTATGGCACCGACTTTAGGTTCTGTGCTGTCCAGGACACTGGATTCCAGGTCACCAAGCACAAATGTGTAGTGTGTATGTGCAGATAGATGAGTTGGCTTTCATGCTCTCAAAGACACCTAGATAAAAAAATTCTCAGAAACTCCCTTCGCACTGGGATGAATCACCATGTTTAAGGTGTTCCAAATATCCTTATTATCTAAAATGAGATGGACTGGGCACAATGGCATACACTTGTGATCCCAGCACTTTGAGAGGCCGAGGTGAGAGTATTGTTGGAGGTCACAAGTTTGAGACCAACTTGGGCAGCATAGCAAGATCCCATCTCTAGAAAAAGTAAATTTAAAAAAATTAGCTGGGAATAGTGGCACATGCCTGTAGTCTCAGCTACTTGGGAGGCTGAGGTAGGAAGATCCGTTGAGCCGGGGAGGTTGAGGCTGCAGTGAGCCAAGGCTGTACCACTGCACTCCAGCCTAGGCGACAGACTGAGACCCTGTCTCCATAAATAACTAAATAAATACAATGTTTCTTCTTCTTCCTTTGCCCTTCTGACACGGAAAGAAACTATATCAACTTTTCCCCTCACATTCGTTCATTACTCTAACAAGTCTTTACAACTATTTTGGTAAAAATCAACCCATTAACAGAATGACAGAAGCATCACAAAGAACGTTCTGAGGGTCTCGATTAACAGCAAAAGTATTGGTGTAGTGAAATGCTAATGCTATTCACAGATGAAAGATCACCGGCAGAACCTGTCTTTGCAACCAAAAAAGAAGGAAAAATCAATCCGGTGCAGTAAATGCCGTTTGAGGACATGTCTGCTTCAACCTCACACTTCTCTCAGCTCGTTGACCACAGCCAGCATCTCTACTGCTCCCGGGATAAAAAAAACAAACAAGAAGGAAAAGAAAGGAAGCTTGAGGCCAGTAAGACGAACCTTCATGCCTCAACCTTGAGCCCTCCCGTTTGGTGGTTCCACACTCACCCTCTCACAGCTGGCCAGAACGGCCAGGCAGGTGGACCCTGCAGTAACTCCCCACATGACCTGATCCTCTCCACACATCTCAGCTCAGGTCAGCACAGCAGGGGATGAGATTTTCACATGGTCAAAGCAAAGCGGGTGGTGACACGGCCAGGACACAGCCACAGCATCACCTTTCTCCCCTCATCTACTCTGTTCCCGACCCGTGAGTCTCCTTTCAGTTCCTGCCAATGCTTTCCTTGTACTCAGCCTCTGTTCTTGCTGTTTCTGATGCAGAAAGCAGGCATCTCATAAACACTGAAATAAATCATCCAACCACCCGGCCCACGAATGAACTAGTGGCACTTGGCTCAGAGGGTCAAACACCCAATCAATCAGAGGGTCAAACACCCCCACCCCACCCCTACACGCTGCCCAGCAGCCCCACAGGTGGAGAATCTCCACGGAGAGCGCTGCCTGGACCCAGCACTCAATGCCTTTGTGGACCCTGCGAAGTAGGCACCCTCACTGAGCTGCACTGGTCTGATGGAGTCCTCACCACAGCACCCTTGTTCCCCCAGAGGAACAGAACCTTTCATCCTGCACTTTCATTCTGAGAACCCTTTCACCTTCTCTAGCTCATCAGGCCTTCATTCATTCATTCAGTAAATCCAGACATCCCCATCCCAGGAGAACTTAAAAATTCAAGGGTTACGCAGCACCTACCATTTGCCAATAAGTGGCTGTGGAACGTACAGAGGTGGCAAAGACACAGTCCTACCTTTCAGGGGTTCGAATCCTGACACAAGTCGTCCCAATCCTGAGATTGGGGCCCTGCTTCCCTCTCCACTTGGGACTTCCGGGCACAGACTCATGGCCCAGAACCCTGGCACTGCCACCAGCCAAGTCTGAGTCTCACAGCCCCACTGAGGGAGCTCCCAAGGAAGGGCAGAGCACTGGGCAGAGAGCACACAGGAGTGCCCTGTCCCCAGGCCTCCCCAGCCTGGCTTTTGACTCATCCCCACCAACCTGTGTGTTAAGGCCTCAGCTTGCCTTCCCTTGAGCTCACCTGAGTTAGAATGCAAGCTGTTTCTAAAGCCACCTTCCTTCTTTAGAGGCAATTTAGAGACCAGACAAAACAGATGGTAAGAATGGCAGCCTGCACCAGCAATGAACTTAGGGGAACACCCTCCAAGGCCCTGGGCCTCTGAAACCCACCCAAGCTCAGGTATGTCTACACAGCAATGAGCGAGTGTCTTCTTGATTATCAAAATAAAACTCACTGTAGAAGATTTAGAAAGAACCGAAAGTTTGCTTGTATACTTAGCATGTGTATGTATGTACATACAGACATGACTTACAATACTACCACCAAGGGACCATTACAACATGTACACACACCTCATCAAAAACATAGCTTCTCAACTTTACCATTGAATATGGTAATAAATCAATGGTTTTTGAAAAACCTCTTTATCATATCCAAGAATTACCCTTTTTTTAATCAGGTATCAATAAGGTTATAAAATGATTTTTCATTTCCTACCAAGATAATTATCTGGTTGTCCTCTTTGAGGCTACTAATGAGATGACTTACATGGATGAATTTCCCAACATGCAGCCATCCTTGCAATCCTAAATAAACCCTATGTTTTATGTGCACTGTTCTTTTAATATGCGACTGAATTTGAGTAATGACTTTCTAGAATTTTTGTACATCTTATACACAAATGATTCTATTTGATAGTTTTCTTTTTTATGCTATCTTTGTCAGGATTTTTTTATATCACAGTAATGCATACCTGAACCAAGATAGAGACGTATAAAAACCCTCTCAGGAAATATAAATAGCAAAGGGCTCTTTGTGTATTACCTTGAAGAGTTTCCTAGAAATCACCATGAAACCCTCTAGGCTTGCTGTCTTCTAAGGAAGCAGTTCTTCAGTAATTTGTACAACTTTATTCCAAAATGTTTTGGTTTTTTTTTTCTTTTCTTTTGAGGGTGAGGGGGTCCCTTCGACCAGTTTGCCTCATCTTCAATTAATTCTGATAATGAATGTTTTTCTGAAAAATAGTTCACCTCATCCATATTTTCACATTTAACAGCACAAAGGTGCATGTGATATTCTCTGTTTTCATCTCCAAATCTTACAATTGTTTTATTTTTAATGTTACACATATATGTTTTCTCTTATGTCCTTATCATAAGTGCCAAAAAGTTCCAATATTTAAGTGACATTTTTCAAAGGATCAGCTCATACTTCTTTTTATAAAGCACACTGATTTGGTCTTGCTTTGTTTTGTGGGGCTGAGGAGTTGCTTGGTCGTTTTGCTCACGTGTCTTTAGAATAGGCTGGACCTACCCTGGAAAGTCTCCAACGCAGCCAACATCAGAAACAAAGACACACAGACTCCACCGGCCTTACCTCGATGAGCTTTCTTTCGTAGGAGCTTGCGAGTTCTTCAGCAATTTCTCCCGGCTTCTGTTCAGCTACTGTAACTTCTCCATCAACACTCCAAAGATTTGGCACTTTAGAGAAAGAGAGACATGTCATAAATATTTCAACAGTATCGAAAATTATTCTCCCAGTAAAAAAAGAAAAAATTCTTCTTTCTCAGATGACTTCAGACTGAAAAAGCTCTCAAGAAAAACACACACACACACTTACTAACTACTTCAACAATGGGACATTTTCACCTAAGTACAATAAAACGAGTGACAAGGCCAGGAATGGTGGTGTGCGCCTGTAGTGTCAGCTGCTCAGGAGGCTGAGTTGAGAGGATCGCTTGAGCCCAGGAGGTCGAGGCTGCCATGAGCTATGATTGTGCCACTGTCATCCAGCCTAGGTGACATAACTAGACTTTGTCACTTAAAAAAATAAAAAGCGATAAGCTGTATTTTTAAAATGCAAGAACTGTCATGAGACAGAAGCACAGGAGTCAAGAAATAATCTTGTCACTACTTTCCATTTCAGGAGAAAACAGGCAATGTTTTGGCAGGTTTGGCAAGACATAAGAGCTGGTTGTTTTGGGGGGTGGAGGTTTTGTTTGTTTTTTTGAGATGGGGTCTCCTCTGTCACCCAGGCTGGAGTATAGTGGCACAATCAATCATTTAGCTCACTACAGCCTCGAACTCCTGGGCTCAAACGATCCTCCTGCCTCAGCCTCCTGAGTCACTGGGACTGTAGGCATAACCCTGCTGCAGCAGGCTAGTTCTTTTTTTGTTTTTTTAGTTTTTGTAGAGACAAGGTCTCACCATGTTGACCAGGCTAGTCTCAAACTCCTGGCCTCAAGTGATCCTCCCTCCTCAGCTTCCCAAAGTGCTGAGACTACAGGTGTGAACCACTGCATTCAGTCCACTTACATCTTTTATATTTGCCAAGTTCCTTTTTCTACAACAAAAAAGTGATCCAGTGAGGTAGGGCCTGCTGACAGCCAGCTGTGGAGCACTAATGGGGGTCAGAGTATGTGTAAAACCAAGGATTGGTATTTATAAACCATACTTAGGATGACAGCAAGAAAACCTTTAGAAAAACTCGGAAACCAACACAGAACGTCAATGCAAAAGACATGTTAAAGAGACTGGCTCCCAGGTCAGAGCAAGCATGCACACAAACGGCTCTGAGTAGTGTTTCCATGATTATGTATATGCCCATATATGCCCACTCTGCAGGGAAAAACAAATAAAGAAAAGCTGAGAATGAACCAGATAGTTCCAAGAAAAGCAGAAAACAAGAACAGGGAAGACCTCCCACACCAAGGGCAAAGAAAAACATCCACAGCATGTTTAAGAATGTGGATTAGCCTCAAGCCTCAAAACAAGCATCAATGATGCAGGATCAGTTTCCTGTGTGTTCTGGGACAAGAAATCCCTTGGATGCCCTATCAGCTGTATGGAGGGGCAGTGAGGCTAAACAAGGATCTGAGACTAGCCCCCCAGTGATGCGGGTAGCCTTCAGGAAGAAGGTGAAAGTCAGGAAGGCTGAGCAAAACCAGGAGTCAAAACTGATGCAACTAAGCCAGGTGGCTAAGCCTCCTCAGACCACACTGTTAGAGCCCGCCGAAGGCTCAAGACCCTGAGTGACAGCAGGAAACACGCAGAAAGAAGCCCTGAGTCCTGGGCCACGAATGCAGGGAGTGACCCAATCACAACAGATAACCCCAAACAGTTATGGAAAGAAAAACTGTGAAGAACTCTGTAAAGATGAGAGCCTGAACACAGTAATTTACACTCACATCCTCTCAAAATCCCATTAAAATGTCAATTAAGGCCAGGTGCGGTGGCTCACACCTGTAATGCCAGCACTTTTGGGAGGCCAAGGCGGGTGGATCACTTGAGGTCAGGAGTCCGAAACCAGCCTGGCCAACATGGAGAAACCCTGTCTCTACTAAAAATACAAAAATCAGCTGGACATGGTGGCATGCTCCTGCAATCCCAGCTACTCGGAGGGCTGAAGCAGAAGAGTCACTTAAACCAGGGAGACGGAGATTGCAGCGAGCCGAGATGGTGCCACTGCACTCCAGCCTGGGCAACAGAGCAAGACTCTGACCACGCCCCCCAAAAAAAAAAAAAAAAAAAAACAATTAAAATGTTTCCTATGAGGTGATGATGAATATGGTAAGTACCCAGATTTGATCATTAAATTTTGTATACATCTATCATAATATCACACACTACCTCATACATATGCACAATTTATTATGTGTCAAAAATAACAATAAAAGCAAAAAAAGGTTTTTATAAAGACATCGCTCACAAAAAAAAAAAAAGAATTGGAGAGGAAACAAAAAAAACAAAATTACAGAAGCTAAGAATCAGGTAGATGACTGATAAATAACTTGACAGACCTGAGAAAATTTCATTCCTAAACAGACATGGATGCCACCAAAATAATATCTGATGAGAATGGAATGATTCATAAAACGCTAATGAACTGTTAGCACAAGACACCTCTGGAAATGACGGTGAACACAGGACTAGAAAGCAAAAGAAAGGTTTTAAAAGTCTGTTTAAGAAGCGATTAGCAAAATATACATGTTTATTCTCTGGAGAAAACGCAGTAGGTCTGGACTGAGTTGAGGTTAGGGTATTCCATTTTTTTAATGGAGACATAAAAGTAACACACACTGAACTTCTGAGTTTCTCCCATTCTTCTTCCCTCTCCCCAGCCCCACTCATTCCCAGAAGAGCAGGCAGACAGCATGTGCCTCTAAGCCAGGGAATGGAAAGGTATTCTCCCAGGAATCTAAAAAAACTTTGGAGACCAGGGGTAGTTCTCCAGTGGAATGGCACAGCCAGATCACCCCAAGAGGCCCAAAGTCAAAGTTCACGGAGCTTTGGATCAATTTCTAACCCCATTCCAACACCTGAGTAGACATCTAGAAATCACATCCCATTTGAGAAAAGCACCTAAGATGAAAGACTGAGACAGGAATAAACAGAGAAAAGCAACTTGCAGGAAAGAGAGACTATTTAGGGAAAACACTTCAAAAGCAAACTGTGGGTAATATTTCCAGAGAGAGAGGAGGAGACAGTGTAGTCATGAAATAAGAATACGGAGATATTTAAAAAGGAGAAAAAGAAAAACACAAAGCACACAAAAGCCCTTTTACAGAGTGAAACTATAACAGCAGAAATAGAACAGGGACTGTAAAGGAAAGGGTAGCAAAATTTCCAGAAAATAGAGGCAACGAATAACAAAATAGAATACAAGCCTGGGCAACATGGTGAAGCCCCACCTCTGCAAAAACCACAAAAATTAGTATGGTGTGGTGCCACATGCCTGTAGTCCCAGGTACTCGGGAGGCTGAGGTGGAAGGATCGCTTGAGCCTCGGAGGCAGAGGTTGCAGTGAACTGAGATGGCATAGCTGCACTCCGTCCTGGGCCACAGAGCAAGACTCTGTCTCAAAAAAAAAAAAAAGAGGTGGGGAGAATAGAGAACTACAAGTCCAAATGGAGAAGAGATCAAGAAAGGAGAAAAAGATAACACACAGAAGAGGAAATCAAAGATATAATTCAGAGCCAACAGACACGAGGGGCAGGATGGAAGAGTTCAATGAATGTCCAGCAAAATGGACAAAAGCAAGCCTCACTCACAGACTTGAGAACACAGGGGACAGAGAAGACAGGCTACCAACTTCTGAAGTGGAAGAAGAATTTTTACAAAGGATAAAAACTAGAAATGGCATAGGGTTTCTAAACAGCAACATGGAAAGCTAGAAAACAATGAAGAAACCTCTTCAACATTCTGAAGAAAAATTATTTTGAGCCTTATACACCCAGGCAAGCCACGTGAGAGGCAGGATAAAGGCATTTTCAGACATGTGACCGTGCAGAAACTTTACCCCGCACATAAAGAAGGGAAGAATTCTAGCAATCGTAATACATAGATCCCAAGATATAGGGGATGCAACACAAAAGGGAGCCAGAGAATACTTCATAGTAACAAAAAAGCATAAACAACCCAAATGGCCATCACCTGGTAAGTGAACAAGATGCGGTCTAGCCATGCAGGGTTGTACTATTCAGCCATGAGAGGAATGAAGAGCAGACTCACGCTGCAACACAGATAGACCGTGAGAGCATTCAGCCAGGGGAAAGAAGCCAGATCCGAAAGGCTGCAGATTACCTGAGCCCACGTACACGAAATGTCCAGAGAAGGTCTTAGTTGCCAGGGTCTGGGGGAAGGAGGGATGAAGACCCTACTGCTAAAGGGTATCAGGCTTCTTTGGGGCATGACAAAAATGTTCTGGAATTAGAGAGTGGCGATGGTTGCACAATTTGTGAATATAAAAACCACTGAGGGTCGGGCTTGGTGGCTCACGCCTGTAATCCCAGCACATTGGGAGGTTGAGGTGGGCAGATCACCTGAGGTCAAGTGTTCGAGACCAGCTGGCCAACATGGTGAAACCCTGTCTCTACTAAAAATACAAAAATTAGCCGGGCATGGTGGTGTGCGCCTGTAACCCCAACTACTCGGGAGGCTGAGGCATGACAATCACTTGAATCCGGGAGGCAGAGGTTGCAGTGAGCCGAGATCCCACCATTGCACTACAGCCTGAGCAACAAGAGGAAAACTCCATCTCAAAAACAAACAAACAACAACAAAAAAAAAAAAACAAAAAACAAAAAACCACCACTAAAATTATGCACTCTCAAAGGCTGAACAGTATGTTATGTGCATTATATCTCAAGAAAGCTGTTAAGAAAAAAAGTGAGTTGGAGAGTGTGGGCCCACCAGCAGCAGGCTTCTGGCTAGAGTAGGCCAGAAGGCACCAGGAGAGACTGCCTTGGGTGCAAGCGGGAGGCGGCCTACAGTGCCTGAAGGCACCAGGGGGATTAACACACTGAGGATGAACTTGGAGTTGAATTAAGTATTAACACCAGAGAAATCAAGAGATCGTGCAGGAAAAACGATCATGCACTTCACAGCTGTAGATAGCATTTCCAGTTATAATAATGTAATCACTGAATACTGATCTAACCAAAATGATGATATGACTGTGCCAGAGGATGGGGAGCTGCGTGTTGCGTGTGTTTTCTGGAGGTGGAGCAGTCAAAGACAGTTACCCTTCCTCTTCCACGATGAGAAATAAGTAATTCCAAAAACTGAAAAATAAAAAAGCGGCAACAGGCGTGTTGATCAGAGATATGGAGGCAACAACCCAAAGCATGAGTGGAAAAGCTTCCAAGAGGGGCTTCTGAAGGGTGGCAAGTGGGAGACAGTGACAGCCAGAGGCCTCCTGTCTTTTGTAATAAAGCTAAGAGAACCAATGACTTTATCTATGTACCTGCAAAGTTTTGATTTAAAGACACAAACAAAATTATGTGTAAACTATGATTATATGTTAGTGATATGTAAACTATGTAATCAGAATTTGAGGGGAGCCTGCACTTAGCCATGGGACTTAGAAAAGTCAGGTAAGAGAGCAGTGGAGCCCGTCGGCAGGGCAACCAGGACACAGATACCTTGGCAGGCACCGCAGCATGAAGCTGGCTGCAGCTGCTCAGCAGAGCCTGGTGCTAATACATACGCAAAATGGCGAACTCACAGCCCTGCTCTACCCGTGACTCCAAATGATCTCTTCATCTTGCCCAGGCCCAGGCTGCTGCCCTCTGCAAGGAGGTCCTGCTCATCACAATTCATTCAACCCGCTTCAAGTCCACACATCTCATTAGCAATCACGCCACTGGCCTCCTGTCCCCAAGGCACTAGCCCCGTCCCCAAGGCACCAGCCCCTCTAGGACTATATTTAAGAAGAATCAGCAACCTTCAACACTGGTGGGGGCAGAGGTGCAGAAATAAGCTTTTTGACCTTAAAGGCTTGGGGAAAGACCCTGGACAGTCATGAATTTACATAAGTTCTCTCAGCAACTAGCCAGTCAACCTTCCCCTGCAACTACCTGACTTCCTTGCTGCCCTGGTTCAGTTTTAGCAAGCATGCCAAAAATTTCAATTCCATGTATGAAATAATACAAAATTAAGCCTAACTATATCATACTTTTCCCATCAGTAAGCAGCTTCGAAGATGGACCCCAGGCAGGGCACAGTGGTTCACACCTGAAATCCCAGCACTTCGGGAGGCTAAGGCAGGCGGATCACTTGAGGTTAGGAGTTCAACACCAGCCTGCCCAACAGGTGAAACCCTGGTCTCCACTAAAAATACAAAAATTAGTCGGGCATGGTGGCACATGCCTGTAATCCCAGCTACTCAGGAGGCTTAGGCAGGAGAATCACTTGAACCCAGGAGGCGGAGGTTGCAGTGAGCTGAGATCACGCCACTGCACTCCAGCCTGAGCAACAGAGTGGGACTCTGTCTCAAAAAAAAAAAAAAGATGGTTCCAATATATTACATTCAACAAAGATGGTTCCAATTCCCCCTGCCCCTTGGTATTCACATTCTTATATAATCCCTACCCCTTGAGCATAGGCTGGACTTACCTCCAATAAACAGACTATGTTTATTGACTCACCTCCAATAAACAGACTATGGCAGAAGTGATGGGGTTTCACCACTGAGATTAAGTTATAAAGACTGCAGCTTCTGTGTGAGGTTGCCTTTCTTGTTCATTTATTCTTACGAGCTTCCTACGGAGAGAACCTCATGGCAAGGAACTGATGCACGCAGCCAACAGCCCCCATGAGCCACATGAGGGCAGTGCACACTCCTCCAGTGGAGCCTTGGGACAACCGCAGCCTCCAACTGACACCATGACAGAGCCTTAGGGGAGACCCTGAGCCAGGCATGTGGCTAAGCCACACCCAGGCTGTCTATCCCACACAAAGATTGTAAATGTTTGTTGTTTTAAGCCATCTAACTGTGAGGTAATTTGTTACACAACAATAGTTAACCAACGTAGAGTCTTTAATCATTCCATAGTTACTTCTTGAGAGACCACTTTATTTATTGATTGATTTTTTTGAGAGTCTCGTTCTGTTACCCAGGCTGGAGTGCAGTGGCGCGATCTTGACTCACTGCAACCTCCACCTCCCCAGTTCAAGCCATTCTCCTGCCTCAGCCTCTTGAGTAGCTGGGATTACAGGCACACACCACCACGCCCAGCTAATTTTTTGTATTTTTAGTAGAGATGGCATTTCACCACATTGACCAGGTGGGTCTCGAATGCCTGACCGCAGGCGATCTACCCGCCTTGCCCTCCCAAAGTGCTGGGATTACTGACATGAGCCACTGTGCCCAGCCGAGAGACCACTTTAAATTAGACTGAGTTAGACCATGAAGTGACGGAGATGGTGATATCATTTCATGTAGATGACATGCACAAAAAAATAAAAATATAAATATAAATAAGAGGTAAATGTGCCATGTTGCTCCACAGCATAAGGATTAATATTTACAAAGTGAGGGAATCGACTGAACAGGTTAGACATCTCCCATCTCTCAACTGCCAAAGGTGAGTATGTGGGGTCAAGGCATGAGAGACCATTCATCCCATGAGGCTAAGTTCATGCAAGCACAACATCGGATTTACTTTCAAGTCGAGAAGGTTCAATTTGCCTTGGGAGTAAAAGAACATCTGGGTATTAAGGAAGGCAGCACAATTAAAGTCTGAGTAACGTCAAGTCATTTGAGAGGCAAAAATAACAGATGACAACACCATTCTACACTCTTTGCACATCCCCCCAATAAACCAATCAATTCGTAAAGAATCAATTGTGACTGAATTCTGAAAGTCAAACCTAAACAATAAATACAAACATTTGCAACTGATCAAACTACAACTTTTCTAAGTCGCATCTTTCCTGAGGGTGATTTATGGGTTTTAAAACTGAAAGAACGGGGCTGGACGTGGTGGCTCACATCTGTAATCTCTAGGACTTTGGGAGGCCAAGGTGGGTGGATCACTTGAGGTCAGGAATTTGAGACCAGCCTGGCCAACATGGTGAAACCCCATCTCTACTTAAAATACAAAAATTAGCTGGGCGTGGTGGTGCGTGCCTGCAGTCCCAGCTACTCGGAAGGCTGAGGCAGGAGAATCGCTTGAACCTGGGAGATGGAAACTGCAGCGACCCAAGATCGCACCACTGCACTCCAGCCTGGGCAACAGAGTGAGACCCCATCTCAAATAATAATAATAATAATGATGATGATGATGATGATGATGGTGATGATGATGATGATGATGTAAAGTAAAATGGAAAGAATGACAATTTAATACCCCAAGAGAAAAACATACTTCTCTATTCATGTCGATGATAGCTCACACTGACTTCAAAAATAGAAGGCTTCAAGACATTGGTTAGCAATGCAATCTGAAATGCATTAACAATTTCTGCCCATATTCTGAGTTACCTTGACAGTGTTCAGAAATTTGTATTTTGCCCTGGTCAAGGACCGCATGAAAAGTACACCTGCTGGAATCCAAGAAGACAGAAGCTTTTATCTACATGGCTGGATACTTCCATGTTCAATCAGAAACTTACATTGTGCTTTAAGCACAATGTAGAAAGATAGGTCAGTAAGACCTATCTTATTGTCACAGAAATCAAAATAATGATACTGCTTCAATTTACATAGCACTGCAGATTACACAGTATTTTCACATCAAAATCTCACTGGAGCCTCCAAGCAGGATTCAGTCTGGCCATTTTAATCTCGTGCCAAATGTGAAGATGGTGATGCTATTAACTGGGATTTCCCATTGAGCCAATCAACCTAGTTAACATCTACCTTATTCACGGGAAAAATCCGCAGTCTACTTACCTGCCTATACTCTGAATAGTCAGCAACTTTCTCCTGTGTCTCCCTGATGGCATAATTATAGAAGTTCCACTCCAAATGGGAAAATAATGATTTGGCAAAAACAAGAAGCCTTCTCTCCTTATATTCAAATAGACAGGGAGACTGTGTTTGGTAGAAGTATATAGACATTTATGTTCAACAAGAACTAATTTTCATGTTCCAGAAAAGCTGTGGGTTAGTCAGTACCATCAGCAGGTCATCTAAACTTAGAGAACATTCATAACTTTTCATCTCATCGCAGCCGGCCACATCTGTTTGGGGGTATCTGTGTTAAGTCGTCTAAAATAGGTAGAAACTGTGCTGAGCTTGCTAGCAGGCACCAGAGAACACATAGGGTTTTCTGTCTAAATTAAGTGAAACTTCTGATACCATGGAGAGCGGCATGGCAAACAGTATGATGAGGTTACTGTTTTGCTTTCAATGTGAACAAGCTGAGCATGACCCAGATGCAAACAGTGTGAGATGCTGATGACGAAAATAAAGAATCATTTTAAATTCAGAGATGGTTTTCCAGGACATTCAAATGCATAAAATGAGGTATGCCCAGGTCCCATAACAACGGGCAAGGTTCTGTGTCTTAGGAAATTTGGGACACTTTACAGTTCCGAAGGAGAAAGGACCCTTCCAGGTGAGATGCCAATGATGTCTACAAGACACCGGTTACCCACAGTGTTCCAACAAAGGAAATGGTCTTCCTAACAGTAACATCCACCATCTTCAAGTGCTCACTGTAGCAAAGGGAGAAACACGGGCAACAAGACCCCGGAGCTCTGCGATGAAACAGACCCTGGGAGTCAAAGTCTGGCTCTACCGCTTAGCAGGGGTGACTCTGGGCAAGTATTTCATTTAGTTCCTACACAACTAGCTACTGAAGGTTCATTACCTGCCAGGTACCAGGCACTAGAGATACAGGGATGTATCAAGGGGGGTAAAAGTGAGTGCCAATATGAAGCTTCTGTTCCAGTGAGGAGACTCAGAGACCCAAGAAGTGACTATTTAATATGCCAGGCCAGAGGAAGGGCTAGAGGAAGTTAAAGTGTGAGAAAATGATGGTTGCAAGTGCTAGTTAAATAAGGTTCGAAGAAAGCCCTCGCTAGTGAGGAGCTGTCTGAGCAGAGACTGGGATAAGGCAGGGGAGTGAGCTCCGCACAGCCCTGCAGAGAACGTTCCCGGGAACCGCAAATGCAAAGGGCCTGGGGCGGGCACCCACATGTTCTACCAACAGTGAGGAGGCCCCATGTGGCTAAAGGATAATGGAGGAGGGAGACATTGGTAGGAAATGAGACCAGAGAGGGGACAGTAAGGGTTTGCAGGCTATGGTATTTTATTCTGAGCAAAACAAGCAGCCCCTGGAGGATTCAGAAGAAGTGCGATGATTGGACGTTTTTAGGGATCACTCCACAGGGTATATGCAGTGCAGAGGCTGGGAGGTAGAAGCCAGGGAGTAAACAGCTCAGATCTCCCTCCAAAAGATAACTTGCCGTTCCATTGCGAGGAATGCGGTTACCCAACAGCCTCCAGCTACAGCACCTTCCAGAGGCGCTGCTCTTTCCGGACAGCCCTGGTCAACAGCTGAGCACACATGGCTGCTCCTGCAGGATGAGGGAGGTTCCAGTGCCCTGCCATGGTCTTGGGCTCCAGCACAAACACAAATCCACAGGCAGCAATAAAGGTGCTAAGGGGCTACTGCCTAAAGGACCCCAGGAGCACATCACAGCCTGGACAATTTAACCATCCCACTTGAGAATTCAAACACCACGGCATGAAATCTCTATTTCAGAGCTGAGAAAACGGAGGGCTGGATTTTAGAAAATGCTGTCAATGATGAACCCAGTGATGAAAACCCCAGCCTGCTTAATTTCAAAATCCCCCGCTTGGGAACATCCAAGGCCGTGTGTTAAACACCAAAGGGAGCCTACTCCCCTGCATGCCACACATACACACACACACACACTCGCACCCATGCTAACATTTTTGGTTGTCTACTCATAATTTAAGAAAACTATAAATTTTAACCTTTCCAAATGCTTTAAAAACACATTATACGAACCTACTTCCCAGGTAATGGATTCTCCACTAAAAAGCAAGGGGTTCCAGTGATACCCAAGCCAAGGAAACACTACCCAAAAAGTACAGACTGGGCTGCGCAGAGTGGCTCACTGTGATCCCAGCACTTTGGGAGGCTGAGGCAGGCGGATCACTTGAGATCAAGAGTTCGAGACCAGCCTGGCCAACACGGTAAAACCCCATCTCCACTAAAAATACAAAATTAGCCAGGCGTGGTGGCGGGTGTCTGTAATCCCAGCTACTCAGGAGGCTGAGGCAGGAGAATCACTTGAACCCAGGGGGCAGAGGTTGGAGTGAGCTGAGATTGTGCCACTGCACTTCAGCCTGGGTGGCAGAGCAAGACTCCATCTCAAAGAAAAAAAAAATTTACATACTTGACTGCATCCCTCAAGAACAAGACCAAGAACCACGTTGTCTGAGTGGGATATTCTTTTTTTTTTTTTTTTCAATAATAGATGGGGAATTGCAGATGATCAGTAGTGTGGGCAGAGACACACGCCATCTCTGGGTTCAAATTTTGGCTCTATCACAGTGACACTATAATTCATAATAGCAAATATATATTATTTCATTTTGCAACATTTCCTGGCATACAGCTCTGAAGTCCCTTGGAATCTCCTAAGTGACAGGTGTTGTTCTGTAAGCTACTGAGATGACTGGTAGACCACGGTCTCCAGAGGGGCTGGTTGGTTGGAAGCACAGGTGACAACATGGACTTGCAACTGAAATCCGCAATAGGGGCAGTCCTGGGGCACTAAGCCCTTACCCTATGACGTCCTGTCAGAATTCAACTGTAGGGAGCCCGGCTGGTGTTGGAGAATTGCCTAGTGTGGAAGAAACCCCCATACGTGTGGCGGCAAAAATGGTGTGTTGAGAGCGGTGTGAGTATAAACGGAAAAACAACCTGAAGCTGGACACGGCAGCTCACACCTGCAACCCCAGCACTTTGGGAGGCTGAGGCGGGAGGATCGCTTGAGCCCAGTAGTTCAAGACCAACCTGGGCAACATGGTGAGACCCTGTCTCTATCTTAAAAAAAGAAAAAAGAAAAACACAATTTGTTTTTCCCTATAGGTGTCACTAACTAGCAGCTCTTGGACTCATTACTTCCTTTCTCTGAACCTCAGTTTCCTCATTTGTAAAATGGGGATAATGGTAACTCTTGTGAGAATTAAACATGAGAAAAATAGAAATTACTTTCTATTCTCATGCCAAGTGTCAAAGATATGAGAGTTTTCTTTTTTTGAGACAGGGTGTCTCACTGTCACCCTGACTGGAGTGCAATGATACAATCATGGCTTACTGCAGTCTCGACCTCCCCAGGCTCAGGTGATCCTCCACCTCGGCCTCCCAAGTAGCTGGGACTACAGGCGTGTGCCATCAAACCCAGATAATTAATTTTGCAACTTTTTTTTTTTTTTTTTTTTTTTTTTTTTGGTAGAGTTGAGGTTTTGCCATGTTTCCTAGGCTGGTCTCAAACTCCTAGGCACAATTGATCCACCCACCTCAGCCTCCCAGTGTGCTAGGATTATAGGCATGAGCCACTGTGCCTGGCCGACGTGAGAATTTTTTAAAAGCCAAATACAAGAGTGAGAGCCTGCCCTCTTTTTAAAATCAGAACACCTGTCCATTAAGTTTCATGTCTCATGTGTCTTTCCTAAGAAATCTGCTCACCTGTTTCGAAGCTGCGTCTCGCTTCCAAGAGATCAGCTAAATATATAACGCATCCACGGGGACAGCTGGGAATGGCTGTTGCATAAAATCAAAGCTGTTATCACACCCTTCCCCAGCCACAGTCCCACCTGCTCATGTGATGGAGCCCAGCAGAGGCTTCGATGGAAACTTTAGACTCATGTTTCTCCCCCCCAAGTGAAAAGCAGTTTGACAGTGAAAACTTCTTTGCTGGAATAAAACATGCGGACAGCTGTGCCAGACAGAGTGATTTCCTGCCCTGAAACAAGTGGTGCAAAAGTATTTGCTCGAAAGAACTCTGGGCCCTAACTGCACTCTACAGACCCAAAAAAGGAAGTGTCAGCTTGTCAGCAAAGGGACAGGGTATCATGGATCACCCCAAATGCTGTTTTTAAACCAGCTCATTCCAAACAGAAACAAAAACAAAAACAGAAAACAGCTCATTCCAAACAGCAGATGTATCTGGGTTCAAAAATTAAACTAGTAACAGAAATGCATGTAGTATGGTTCTATTTTGGTGAGAGTGGAAAGGTATCATCCAGGTATGTACACGGAGGTCTGAGCACAAAGGACACACTCAGGCTGTTAACTGTTGTGCCCTGGGATATGGAGGGCAATAGATCAATAGATAATAAGTGTTTTCATCCTAAACCTGTGAAGCTTTTTTTTTTTTTTGAAACAGAGTCTCGTTGGAGTGCAGTGGCATGATCTCGGCTCACTGCAACCTATGCCTCCCGGGTTCAAGAGATCCTCCTCCCTCAGCCTCCCAAGTAGGTGGAACTACAGGCACTTGCTATCACGTCCGGCTAATTTTTGTATTTTCAGTAGAGACAGGGTTTCACCTTGTTAGCCAGGCTCGTCTCAAGCTCCTGACTGCAGGCAATCCTCTGGCTTTAGCCTCCCAAAGTGCTGGGATTACAAACGTGAGCCACAGCACCCGGCCCTGTGGAGCATTTCTATTTGGTGCAATAAGCACATGTGACTTCTGCAATTCATTCTTAAAGCAGCAGAGTTATACATATCAGAGGCGGAAACTGTTGTTTGTAAGGCCTGGGTTTATGGAACAAAGCCTTCCTCGGGAAATTACTGTGCAGCCTGCCCTTAAGAAGAGAACCTTGGAATTTCAAAAGCCCATGCAGAGGATTTCACAGAACTGCCTCAATGCTAGGACTCTATGCCATACCACAGGCAGTTAGATATGGGGCAGCTAAAAAACGATGCACGTCAACAGAGTGAGGACACAACACTGCAAAAGGCACAGGGGCTGGGGCCAGACAGACCTGGGCTCAAATCATGGCTCAGCCACTTTCTGCAAGGGGCTCAGCTGGCCGGCACACAGTCTCCTGCCCAGAACAAAGAGAATAATCACACCTTTCTCGTAGGTTAACATCAGAGGAGGCATCAAGGAAGAGCTGAATCAATCAGAAGGGTGCCTGGTCCGGAAAGCATGCTCCATGGATGGCAATGGTGGTGGAGGTCATTGAAGTCATTAATAGAACATCAGATCATGACCTTGACCGTCTACCTAGATTAGAAGCTTCAAAAGGGCAAAGACTCCATCTAGCTTCTCAGAACCCATGAAACATCCACAAATTGGACTCTCATTCCTTCCTGACTGAATTACTGACCAATACCTCACTTGAGCCTGACTGTAAAAACTTAGCAAAAAATATATATATATGTATCAGTCAACAAAGACAAAATTTGTCACTCTCACTAGGGATGCCATCCAACTAACAAGGTACATTTAACATGGCTTTATAATGTTTTCTCTTTGTTTCTTTAAAAAGTTTATTTTCTCAAATTATATAAGTAACATATGTTCACTGCAGGGAAAATATATGTCCATTTTTAAATGTGTATGGCCCTGTTGTACACATGCCAGACCCCTGCATGTCAAGGAATAGGGATAGAGTATAAATCCCAACCAGGCCAACAAGTTGTATGATAATCTGTTAGATTTCTAGAGAGCTCATTCTCTCTCATCGGGTCCATACAACTATTCAAGATGTTGGGGCCAGGCACGGTGGCTCACACCTGTAATTCCAGCACTTTTGTAGGCCAAGGCGGGCGGGCCACCTGAGGTCAGGAGTTTGAGACTAGCCTGGCCAACATGGCAGAACCCCGTCTCTACTAAAAATATAAAAATTAGCTGGCTATGTTGGTGGCTATAATACCAGCTACTCAGGAGGCTGAGGCAGAAGAATCACTTGAACCCAGGAGGCAGAGGTTGCAGTGAGCCGAGATCATGCCACTGCACTCCAGCTTGGGTGACAGAGTGAGATCCTGTCTCAAAAAAAAAAAAAAAAAGGTGGACAACAGTCCAAGAAGAGAGGACATGACAATAATAACAATGTCAGTTAATATTTCACTGGAGGCTGGCTAAGTGCCCAGCACCACGGCAAGCACTTTACATGCTCTGATCCAGTTCATCTGGCTTCCCATTCTGCACATGAAGGAGCTGAGTCTACTGCATTCAAAAGATAATACACAGAAACAAAAGGTAGTTTCATAGTTGCCAAGGGCTGCAGGGAGAGGTGAGTGACTGCAAATAGGAACAGGATCTCATCAAAATGTTCTGGAGTTGGACAGTGGTGATGGTTGCACAACTCTGTGAATACACGGAAAACCAATGAATTATACACTTAGAACACGTGAACTGCATGGTTTGTGAATGCCATCTGCATTAAAACAATTCAAATGCCTAAGTCCAGAGCACAGAAAGTGCAGGTCACCCTTCATCACTGCCCTGGTCTCCTTACCACTGTCACAGGTTTATGTACTCTTACTGGTTTTGTTTTCTATCAGACAAATGGCACAGCTTGCCGTGTTGCTACCTCTTACTCCGCGACAGGCCTGCGCTCTCATCCCGCCGGTGTACACAGACCAGCCCCGTTCTTTGTCATCGCTGCATTTTAGGATCGAACCAACGATCTATTCCACCAGCCTTTTATTGATCCCAATTCAAATAACACCACCATCTACAGCCTCGTGCCTGTCTCTTTGTGCATGTGCTTAAGTATCTCTTTGGGATGAATGTCTAGAAATGAAGCTGCTGAGTCAAAGGGGATGCAGTTTAAATTTTGATAGCTGACAAATTCCCAGGGAGTGTTCTGTGACCCTGAACAGTCACCTCACTTCCTAGAGCCTGGGTCTCCTCATTTATCAAACCAAGGGGAAGACTTTGAGTCAATTTCAGTTCTAACATTCACTTTTTAAACAAGATCCAGAGGATGAACGACAAACAGCAAAGCAGAGCTGGGACACGTGCACAGACCCGAGCTCAACAACCACTCACTTCAGCTGGGGACGCGCGCACAGACCAGAGCTCAGAGCAAACACTTACTTCAGCCGGGGACGCGCGCACAGACCCGAGCTCAGCAAACACTCACTCCAGCCGGGGACGTGCACACAGACCCGAGCTCAGCAAACACTCACTCCAGCCGGGGACGTGCACACAGACCCGAGCTCAGCAAACACTCACTCCAGCCGGGGACACGTGCAGACCTGGGCTCAGGAACCACTCACTCCAGCCGGGGACGCATGCACAGACCCGAGCTCAGCAAACACTCACTCCAGCCAGGGATGCACGCACAGACCGGAGCTCAGAGCAAACACTTACTCCAGCCGGGGACACGTGCACAGACCCGAGCTCAGCAAACACTCACTCCAGCCGGGGACGCACGCACAGACCCGAGCTCAGCAAACACTCACTCCAGCCGGGGACGCACGCACAGACCCGAGCTCAGCAAACACTCACTCCAGCCGGGGACACGTGCAGACCCGAGCTCAGGAACCACTCACTCCAGCCGGGGACGCATGCACAGACCCGAGCTCAGCAAACACTCACTCCAGCCAGGGATGCACACACAGACCGAAGCTCAGAGCAAACACTTACTCCAGCCGGGGACACGTGCACAGACCCGAGCTCAGCAAACACTCACTCCAGCCGGGGGCGCGCACACAGACCCGAGCTCAGCCAACACTCACTCCAGCGGGGGACACGTGCACAGACCGGAGCTCAGAGCAAACACTTACTCCAGCCGGGGACACGTGCACAGACCCGAGCTCAGCAAACACTCACTCCAGCCAGGGACGCACGCACAGACCGGAGCTCAGAGCAAACACTTACTCCAGCCGGGGACGCGCGCACAGACCCGAGCTCAGCAAACACTCACTTCACCCGGGGGTGCGCACACAGACCCGAGCTCAGCAAACACTCACTCCAGCCAGGGACGCACGCACAGACCGGAGCTCAGCAAACACTCACTCCAGCCGGGGACACGTGCACAGACTGGAGCTCAGGAACCACTCACTCCAGCCGGGGACTCATGCACAGATCCCACCTCAGCAAACACTCACTCCAGCCAGGGACTCATGCGCAGACCCCAGCTCAGCACACACTCACTCCAGCCGGGGACACGTGCACAGACCCGAGCTCAACAAACACTCACTCCAGCCGGGGGCGCGCACACAGACCCGAGCTCAGCAAATACTCACTCCAGCCGGGGGCGCGTGCACTGACCTGAGCTCAACAAACACTCACTCCAGCTGGGGACGCATGCACAGACCCAAGCTCAGAGCAAACATTCACTCCAGCCGGGCACACGCACACAGATCTGAGCTCAGCAAACACTCCCTCCAGCCGGGGGCGCATGCACAGACTGGAGCTCAGCGAACACTCACTCCAGCTGGGGGCGTGTGAACTGACCTGAGCTCAACACTCACTCACTCCAGCCGGGGACGCGTGCACAGACCCAAGCTCATAGCAAACATCCACTCCAGCCGGGGACCTGGCTAAGAAAGCCCTGGAGAGCAAGCAGACGGAGAAGGTGGAACGCACTCCAAGAGACCAGGAGGACATGGATGCCCCCACCCCACATGAGAGAAAAGAGAAGCTCAGAAGGCAAAGACAAATCATCTGCAAGGGGCTGGGCTTTGTGGAGAGACTTCTAGACAACAACAGATAACATGGGCCAGCGCCTCAAGCCGCATGGGAAGGAAGCCCAAAGCCAAGAATACAAAGTCCTCAAGGAGCACCAGGCGCACAACAGATGAAGGATGAGAAGGAAGACGGTAACAGGGAGGTTAAAAGAACAACAAAAATCTCACACAATTCATGTTGGAAATCCAGAATGTATCCCTGCTCCAGGAACCTACAAGGAAAACAATGTCAAGGCTGGAACAAGGACGCCTGTAGCACCAGCAGAAGAGGACTCATCATCCCTGAAACCCAAGGTCAAGGCAAAGTCTCATGTTTCAAGGGGATAAAAAAGATAGGTTTAAAAAAGAAATCACGTTGAAAGCTCACTTCCCTTATGAATTCTGAAGAATGCCATAGGGTCAGGTCACAATGGAGAGAAAAAAGGGGTCACAGAGAAGTGCCTGTGAAGCCTCAATGTGGCAGCTGTCTCCTGCAGGAACAGAAGAGAAGACTGGAGGAACGTGGCCGCGCATCAGCAGGAGCAAAGACCTGAGCGGCTGCATTCATGGGGCAGAGGCAGAGGCAGCGGGGGATTAGGGGGTGGCAGGGCACTTTGGATGTGGCGGTGATCTGAGCAGAGAGGTCCATTATATCAGCAGGGCTCAAAGGGGGACCCTGAACCACGCTCATCAAAGTCACATGGGGAGGGCTGGGAGGGAAGGGGAAACTTGTTACAATGCAGATTCGTGGGTCTCGGTTCCCAGAAACGAATTCCGTGGATCGGAGACGAGGGCCAGGAATCTGCATTTTAATAACTATCCAGGGTGATTTTGATGTACCTTACAGTTTGAAGACTAGCATTAGGTGATGAGAAAATGTCCCAAAGGTAAGAAAAACTAGAAAATAGGAAGACAATCATATTCAAGGGCTCTCATCCATAAAGCCACACGTGACCCTGGGCTGGCTTCAATCCGCTCCTCAGTCCTCTGCGCCACAGCTCTCATAAAAGCTGCGGGGAGCCAGGTGGGGGCTGCGGGCTGGAGGAGGCAGAGAAACATCCCAGCATCCCCCTCACCCAGCAGAACTAGGGCTTGCTCAGGCTGGAGGCAGGGGCAGAGAGGAGGAGGACACCTTCTTAGCCAGTGGCTACACCAAGCCAGCACAGCCAATGCTGCCTCCTCTCAAAGACGGGGTAGAACGAGCAGCCAGGTGGCCCAGCTGTAATCACGCTGTATTTTAAACGATTCCCATGTACACCTGGAAGCGGAGTGCATTTTTTTTCCCCACGTTGAGAAGGAGACCTTGACAAATCGGAACGATATAATAAATGACAAACCAGAGGCTATTTCAAAAGCCCACGGAGATGATGTACAGCCTAGACAACTTCCCGGAAAATCTTAATTATGTCTAGGAAGCCAAAGCAAGGAAGCTCTGGGGAAGCAGAGGGCAGGAGAGAGAGGAGGGGGAATCTGGGGAGGGAGGCGTGGCACTCCTGCCAGAGGGCTGAATCCAGCTCTCTGTCTGCTGATGGAACAACTCTTGTCTACGGAGGATCTCTTTGTACCAGGCTATCATAGTGAGAGAGAATGACACAAGACACAAGTCCTCCTCCGACAGAGACTCAGGGAAATTTCCCAAGGGAGGCTGGAAGTCCTCCTTGGTGTCTCATTATATATTAGATAAAAAATAACAACGCTCTCCACACTGGGCACCTTTAACAGAGGAGACGTCTGATTCAGGAACTACCTCACAAACCCTTACAAGTTCCACGTTTCCTCTGAGCTACTAAGATGGAAAGGCAGCGAAGTACCATTCACTCTCCAAGAAGGCTCTGGAATTCTGATGCCACCACTGCATTTGCTGCCCCAGTATATACATTGTGAGCGACTGCCATGGGTCAGGGCCCTGGGACCTGTGGGGAGTGGAACATGAGAGACAGTTCTGCTGAGCACTTACATCTGGCTTGCAGCAAATGAGCAGATAAGTAAGGAGAATTTCCGGGAGTAACAATTTCTATGCAAAACATACACTGGAGAGGGTGCCTCAGGAGAGCTCCTGCAGACATGGAGGCTGGGCCTCTGTGGGGAGACCTCAACCACACAGAGAACTGACTGACTCGAAGCTCCATCATGGGGCTATCACGGGGGGAATGTTCTGGCAAAGGGAATGGCAAGTGCGATGACATGGGAACGCGGGACTTCTTCCGGGAACAGAAAGGCCACTGTGACTGAAAGAAGGTACACACAGAGACGAGGTGACAGGTCAGAGCAGGACGGCAGGTGGCGGCAGATGACACGGGGCTGGAGGCTGCAGGGGAAACTTCATATCTTATTCTCAGGATGAGGCAAAGCTGTTGGAGGCCTTTCATCAGGGGAGCTGGGAGCTGTGACCTGTTTGCTGATTGCTAAACCACTCTGGCTGCTGTGTGAAGAGCAGACTGCACAGGAGCCAGGATGGAAAGCAGGTGACCAGCTCAGAGCTACAATAGCATCCCAGGCAAAGAGACTCTGGGGGCCTGACCCAGGCGATAGCAGTGAGGACAGTCACAAATGGCCATTCATCTCCAGGGTATATTTTGGAACTGGCAGGACTGGCTATAGATTGTAAATCAGAGACAAAGTCTGCGGAAAAACACAGGATGACTCCCAGATTTCTGGTTTGAGCAACCAAGAGGTGGCATTTATGAGTGGGTGCTGGGTGCGGTGGCTCACATCTGTAATCCTAGCACTTTGGGAGGCTGAGGTGGGAGGACTACTTGAGATCAGGAGTTCGAGACCAGCCTAGGCAATGCAGAGAAACCCTGATGCTACAAAAAAAAAAAAAAAAAATTTTAAATAAGCCGGGCATGGTGGTGCGTGCCTGTAGTTCCAACTTCCCAACTACTCAGGAGGCTGAGGCAGGAGGATCGCTTGATCCCAAGAGTTAAAGGCTTCAGTGAGCTATAGATGTGCCATTGCACTCCAGGCTGGATGGCAGAGCAAGACCCTGTCTCTCTTAAAGAGAGAGAGAGAGAGAGATGCTAGTGGTAGGCAGAATGGCCCCCAAAGATGCCCATGCCCCAAAGATGCTGTGAATATGTTGCTGCACATAGCAAGAGACTTTGCAGATATAATTAGAGTTACAGACCTTGAGATAGGAGAGTATACTGGATTACCTGTGTGAGCCCAATCTAATGACGTGAGCCCTTAAAAGCAGAGAATGCCCTCCAGTCGAAAGCAGAAGAGAGGGATGGCAGAAGACAACCACAGAGGAGAAGCAGGAGAACAGGAAGTCGGATTCCAAGAATGAAAAGGACTCAACATGCCATTGCTTGTTCTGGGTTCTGGGGGCCTCCAGAGCTCAGGGCAGCCCCCAGCTGAGAGCCAACCAGAAGCGGGAACCTTAGTCATTCAGCTACTCGGAACTGGATTCTGTCAACAACGGAATGAGCAAGGAAAGGAATTCTCCCCTAGAGTCTATGGAAACAAATACAACCCTGCCACCACCTCATTCAGCCCATTGAAATCCACGGCTTCTGACCTCCAAATCTGTAAGATAATTTGTTATCAGCCATTTGTTGCCACACCAAAAGAAAACTAATACAGTGGGGAAGACGGTGGAGAAATTGAAGTTTTGGTGGGAAAAGCAGATGTTCTGCTTTAGCTATCATAAGTCCAAGTGGAGGAGGCCAGTAGACCAATGGTTGTGAGCATGTGGAACTAAGCAGAGCCATCAGTGGCCATTCCTGCCTCTTTCACCGTGATTCCCAGTAAAATGGAAATCCCACGTACCCAGGAACTCTGTCTTGTTCCCCATTTTAAGTCAGATAGTAGCCTGGTACCTGGCACATAGCAGGCACTTCATAAACAACTGCTGAATGCTGATTGTCTCTCTTCAAAAAAAATTCTCAGGAGGCCGGGCGCAGTGGCTCACACCTGTAATCCCAACACTTTGGGGGCCGAAGCAGGCGGATCACTTGAGGTCAGGAGTTCAAGACCAGCCTGGCCTACATGGTGAAACCTCGTCTCTGCTACAAATACAAAAACTAGCCGGGCATGATGGTACACGCCTGTAATTCCAGCTATTCAGGAAGCTGAGGCAGGAGAATCGCCTGAACCAGGGAGGCAGAGGTTGCAGTGAGCCAAGATCTGCATGACAGAATGAGACTCCACCTCCAAAAAACAAAAATTCTCAGGAAACCATCAACAGAGTGAAGAGACAACTTACCAAATGGAAGAAACTGTTTGCAAAATAGGTCTGATAAGGGGTTAATATCCAAAATATACAAGGAACTCAAACAACTCAATAGCAGGAAAATATAACCTGATTAAAAAATGGACACAGGATGCAAATAGACATTTCTCAAGGAAGACATCCAAACGGCCAACAGGTGTATGACCAGCTGCTCAACATTACCAATCATCGGAGAAATGCAAATCAAAACCACAATGAGATAGCACCTCACACCTGTTAAGATGGCTGTTATAAAATAGAAGAAAGATAAATGTTGGTGAGGACTGGGAAAAGGGAACCCTTGTACACTGTGGGTAGGAACGTAAATTAGTACAGCCGTTATGGAAAACAGCATGGAGGGTCCTCAAAAAACTAAAAATAGAGCTGCCATATGATCCAGCAATCCCACTACTGCATATTTATCCAAAGGAAATGAAACCAGTATGTCGAAGAGTTATTTATCTGCACTCTCATGTTTATTGCAGCACTATTCACAATAGCCAAGATACAGAATCAACCTGTGTCCATCAACAGATGAATAAACAAAACGTGACGTATATACACAATGGAAAGCTACTCAGCCTTAAAAAAGAAGAAAATCCTGTCATTTGTGATGACACGGATAAACGTGGAGGATATTATGCTAAGTGAACTCAACCAGGCACACAAAGACAAAATACCACATGATCTCACTCATATGGAATCTTATGAGCATAGAAGCAGAGAGCAGAATGGTGATTACCAGAGGTTGGGGTCGGGGCAGGGGAGAGATGGGGGGATGCTGGTCAAAAAGTACAAAGCTTCAGTTGGACAGGATGAATGAGTTCTGGCGGGTTAGGGGACAGCATGGTGGCTGTAGTTAAGAATACTGGACTGTTAGCAGAACAAAGTGGCTCACACTAGCCTGGTTAATATGGCGAAACCCTGTCTCTACTAAAAAAAAATTAGCCAGGCATGGTGGTGGGTGCCTGTAATCCCAGCTACTCGGGAGGCTGAGGCAGGAGAATCACTTGAACCCGGGAAGCAGAGGTGGCAGTGAGCCGAGATCACGCCATTGCGCTCCAGCCTGGGCGTCGCACCAAGACTCAGTCTCAAAAAAATAAAAAAATACAGGATTGTTTCCTTGAAAATTGTGAAGAGATTATATCCTAAATGGTCTCAACACCAAAAAAAAGTATGTGAAGTGATGAATATGTTTATTAACTTGATTTAATCATTTCACAACGTACAGATCAAAACAGCACATTGTACACCATAAAGATACACAGTTGTTGTCAATGATACTTCAATACAGCTGATGGGAAGAAACAATTCCTGCTGCACGTCCCTGCCATTACTGCTGCATTTCCTTACTCCTGTCTGCAGCCAACCTCCTGGAAAGAGCTGTCTCCACTCGCCCTCTCCAGCCCCTCTCCTACTCTCTCATCAATGCTCTGCAACTCAGGCTCTCACCCCTGCAGTCCACTGGCTAGGTCTTGACAATGCCACCAATGGCTGCCACCAGATGACTCAGGGGACCAACTGCGCTTGCCTCATTTGCCCCATCGGCAGCCACAACACAGCTGGGCTCTCCCCTCCTGCAAGCACACTCTCACGTGGCTTCTAGGACTCTAGGAGAGTCTTGTCTCCTCCCTGGTCAGTCCTTCACCTTTTTTTTTTTTGGAGATGGAGTCTCTGGTGCTCTGTCACCCAGGCTGGAATACAGTGGCGCAATCTCAGCTCACTGCAACCTCTGCCTCCCGGGTTCAAGCGATTCTCCTGCCTTAGCCTCCCGAGTAGCTGGGATTACAGGTGCGCACCACCACGCCTGACTCATTTTTCGTATTTTCAGTAGAGACGGGGATGGCCAGGCTGGTCTCAAACTCCTGACCCCAAGTGATCTGCCCGCCTTGGCCTCCCAAAGTGCTGCATTACAGGCGTGAGCCACTGCGCCTGGCCTCCTTCTCCATCTCTTTTGCTGGTATCTCCTTTTTTCCACATCTTAATGTGGGAGGGCCACAGAGCTCAGTCCTGGCCCACCTACACTCACTCTCTCAGAAACGTTATCCAGTTTTGGGGCTTTCAATACCCTCAATGTGTTCCATTCGGTATTGTGGGCCCCGGCATACTAACTGAACTCTTGATACCCACGTTCCTTCTGTCTCTCCGTAGATGTTCAGATAGCTCACACTCAACATGCCTGTACCCAAGCTCCTGCTCGGCCCCCACAAAGCCATCCCCATCCTGGTTAGCAGCCTCCCTCCACATCCTTCTGGCTGCTCAGGACAATGCCCTGGAGGCATCTGGTACTGCTCTCACTCACACCTCACAGCCCGTGTTCCTGGAAATCCTTCCAGCTCCAGCATCCACATAAGGCCAGGGGCAGGCCACTTCTTACCATTCTCACTTCCCCAACTGGTCCCAGCCACCACCGCCTTGTGCCTGAGCTCCTATAACCACCTGCCAGCTCTTCTCTGCCTCCACCCCTGCTCCCACACTCCAGTCTCCACACAGCAAACTTCCAAAACCCTAACTCAGAGGCCACCCCTCCTTTGCTCACAGTCCTCCAGTGGCCCCCTTCTCATTCCCACCTGCGGCCAGCCTCCCTGCCTACCAACCTCACCAGGCCCCAGGGGATGTGACTGTCTGAAGCCTCTGTGGCTTCTCCGCCTCCTCTCTGCCTTGCTGCCTCCTTGGTGTTCCTTGGACGCAACAGGCACACCGCCACCATCCCCCTGCCTGTGTTCACATGGCCAGTGCCCCCTTGGCAACTCTGTGCTCAGGCAACGCCTTCTCAACAAAGTTCATCCCGACTCACTTAAAGTCATGATCTCCCCACACTCCTGAGCCCCCTTAACCTTCTCTATTTTGACTTTTGTTCCATATCAATTATCAGCTTCTGACACGCTATACATCCTTAGTTTATCCTATTTGTTGATTATCTTCTGTCTCCCCCTAACTAGAATGCAACTCCACATAGCAGGAATTTTTATCTGTTTTATTCACTTTCAGCCCAAGGGCCTAGTACAGGACCTGGCCCATGACAGGCACTCAATAAACACAGTATTGAAAGGTGCTATGAATGAATGAAAGATCTACATCAAGGCGAATGCATGGTCACCAACAGGTAATGGCCCGAATGACTGTCTCGCCACCTCTGCTGTTCTCATCTCAAGCACTTGCCTGGCACATGCTGCTGAGGGGCAGGAGGGTTAGGGAACAGCTCGTGAATGAACCCTTGAACATGCCTCTAGAACCGCTAGACCCACAAAAATGACCCAAAGACCTAAATACCAATAGCTTCTCTATCTGGGTCTGGAAATTTCTCAAACCCAACGCAAGAACCCTCCCCCACTCCTATCCCAGCTGCCAGTCCAGGTCACAAAAAAAGATGGCTTGCGATGAAGGAGTGGAATTTGTTAAGCTGGTGCTAAAGTGGGTCTGATGAGCAATTAGACAGCTGGAAGAGCCAGCTGCTCCCTCACTGTGGGCACCGTGCTGCTTGGAGACACAGCTGGCGGCCCACCAAAGGCTCCCCATGGCTGGGTGCCCAGAGCCCCTCCAATGGCGGCTGCCTCTTAGGGGTGTGAGCCAGGGAAGCGGAACAGGCACCAGGCACCTCGGCACCGCAACGGGGCTGCCAGGACCAGAAGGAGGCAATGCTGTGGTGACAGGAGGTCACCTGGTGCAGACAGGAGCGAGAAAGGGCACTGATGGAACCGGGAAATGCACACACGTTCAGGGAGGCAAAGCCTAAATAATGTGATTATTATTGGGTGATGATGATGATTTCAGCAAGCACTTCCTACGAACTTAGAATGGCACACTGCCTTACTGAGTTCCATCAGTCCAAGGAAGCATGTGTGTTCCCCCATCTTAGAGACAGGAAAACTGAATTCCTGAAAGGTCAAGAAGCCAGTTGCTAAAGAAGTGGGGCAGGGGCTCAGAGGACCCAGAGGAGATGAGAGGTAGCCGCCAGGTGGGAGGCCAGACCAGACTTCTCTGGCAACTCCAGCTTTCCAGCTTCCAGCCAGGGGATTCAAAAGCTTTTAGACAGGAGGATAGAGGAAGAGGAAGAGTTTCATTTAAATCTGTCACTTTGAAGTTTGTGGATGTAGCTTGTGGACTGTTTCCTTTGTCACTCAATTCTGTATGCAGAAACCCTTGTGGATTTGGGGAAAGCTGGTAAGAGCAGAAGAGATGATTTCTGGGAGTAAACTGGGCTTGGGAGAATACTGTGATTTTCTTGCAAGGAAATTAGTTATGGGACCCAGGCGTGGTGGCTCATATCCGTAATCCCACTATTCAGGAGGCCAAGGTGAGAGGACTGCTTGAGGCCAGGAGTTCGACACCAGCCTGAGCAACATAGCAGGACCTCATCTCTAACAAAGTTTTTAAAAAATTACTTGACATGGTGGCACACACCTATAGTTCTAGCTACTGGGGAGGCTGAGTCAAGAGGACTGCCTGAGTCCAGAAGCTCGAGGCTGCAGTGAGCCGTGATCGTGCCACCACACTCCAGCCTGGGTGACAGAGCAAGACACTGTCTCTAAAGAAAAAAAAAATTAAAACAAATAAAATTAGTTATGAATTTGTGTTTGGTTTTTGTTTTTGCTTTTGTTTTGGAGACAGAGTCTTACTCTGTTGCCCAGGCTGGAGTGCAATGGCACGATCTCAGCTCACTGCAACCTCCGCCTCCCAGGTTCAAGCAATTCTCCTGCCTCAGCCTCCCGAGTAGCTGGGACTACAGGCGCGTGCCACCATGCCCGGCTAATTTTTGTATTTGTAGTAGAGACGGGGTTTTACCATGTTGGCCAGGATTGTCTCGAACTCCTGACCTCAGGTGATCCACCCACCTTGGCCCCCCAAAGTGTTGGGATTACAGGCATGAGCCACTGTACCCAGCCTATGAATTCTTATATTGCTGGCTTGTGCATCATAAAGGTAAGGTCATTAAAAATCCTCAATAATGGTCCACTGAGGGTCAATAATATTAATGAACATAATGGCGATGACATTTCTTCAGCAGTTTTTTCTGCTGTTCTAAGTCCTTGCCACACATTAGCTCATTTAAAGCTGAGAAAAGCTCTTCTGAGGCAGGAGCTATTATCACGTCCACTTTACAGATGAACCAAGTGAGGCACAGACTTTACAAGCACTTTGCTCAAGGACAGGAAGCCAGCAAATGGCACAGTCAAGACCCCAACCCAGGAAGTTTGCCTTGCGCCTATGCTCCCAACAAAGCAGGATCTTGGTGATGTCCTGCGCAGCCTGGCCACATGGCCCGCAGCCCAGAGGGCAGGGCCCTGAAGGTGAAGAAGGGGGCCATCGTGGAGCTCTGAGGAGCAGCCAGCAGCTGTCTATTTCGCCATCCTTCCCAGTACCTCGCGGCCTGCAGGAGTAACTGCAGTACCGGGGTCAGGGATCCAGGCACCAGCCCAGGGGGACTTCAGGCGACTGGAGCTCTCTGGGAAGAGACGAAGCCACCAGCCCAGTCGCTCTTCTAGAAAACCCGTTTGTCTTTCTGCACTGAGCTCAGATGCTACCTCCTTCAGGAAGCCAGCCCTGAGCCACCCAGGACAGCCCTGCTCTCTGGACCTCACACATGGGGCAGTTACAACCCAGTGCTTCAACCACCTGTGCACAGATCTGCCTGCTTTTCATCTCTGGCACAAAAATGAGTGCTTAAAGAATGGAAACAAATAATAGCCTTCTCCCAAAACACAACCCGAGGACTGCATCAAGCTCTGCATTGTGCTTCGAGCCAGTACCCAGTGGAGCAAGTGAGAGGTAAGTGGGTAAGAGGCTCATGAGCCCTGCAGAAAAAGCTCCCAACACCTTGATCCATAGCTGTGCTTCTGGTCAGCTAACACCTACCTTAAAACCCTCTTCTGCCTGACAGGCCATTGCAACATGAGGCCGAATGGCCCTCTGCCCGGCTCCCACCTGTGGCTTCTCTCCTGGGGCTCTGACTTGTATCTCTTTGCCTGACACTCATTTCTACAGACTGAAAATTGCAAAAGGACCACTATATATTTTGGCTCCCCATGAGAGCTGGGCAGGGGCTCTGCTACCTTCTGTGTGTTTCTATGCACAAGGCTTTCAACTCCCGTGCCCGCTCTTGTCTCTGGGCCTTTGCACATGCTCCTCCACCTGCCTGGAACCCTTTGGCCACCTAAGTCTGTCTAACCCTTCAAGGCTGGTTTTATGTTGGTTCCTGCAGGAAGCTCTCCCTGCCTGTCCCCACCACAGTCCTGGTGATGGGCTCCTGCTCTGGGCTCCCCTGGCACTGGAGCTCCCCAACCCGGGAGAGCCCACACTTCATTGAGATTGCTCCTTGACCTGTCGATCTGCCCTCCCCACCTGCCAACTCCAGGAAGGGATTCTCCTGTATCACAGAACCTAGCAGAGGGCTGGGACCTGCAGGTGTTTAACATTAAATAAGAACAGGAACAGTGTGAAAGAGTAAGTAAAGGAATACATGAGTTAATGGGGCCGGGACAGCTCAGCACACAGGTGGGTTTTGGTCACCCAGTAGCGTATACAGTGTTCCCTATGCACCAAGAAGTAGTCTAAGAACTTTTACATGTATTATTCACCTAATTCTCAATGATCTCCCTGTGAAATACTCTCCACCTCATTTTGCCCATGAGAAAAACAGAGACACAGAAAAGCTCAGCAATTTCCCTGGGGTCCTATCAATAGAGAGTGGTTACATGAAGATTCAGACCCGGCAGGCTGGTTCTACAATCTGTCCTTTCATCTACCTATGGTAATGCCAGTGGTTAGACCAGTGGCCTGGAATGAACCCCACCTCCTGGGATCCACACGCTTGTGCAGTCCCGTCCTGGACTGACTCTGGGCCTGGCCATGTGACTTACTCTGGTCAGTGGAGTATTCGCAAATGTGAGCCTAGCAGAGGCTTGATGAGCCTTGCACGTGGGCTTGTCTTTCAGGATGTTCCCTCTTAGAACTCTGAGACCACTGTGGTATGAATAAGCCCAAGCCAGCCATGTGGGGATGCAATGTGAAGGAAAATGGCAGGACTCGGCCAGCAGCCAGAGCCAAGGACCCAGACACCTTGGCCTTCATTGAGTTGGCCCAGGCCCTTCCAATCATTTCCGCCATGAGCTGAGGCCTCAGACATCATGGAGCAGAGATGAGCTGTCCCCATCACAGCTGCCTCAATCATCACACCCTGACTGAACCCCTAACTCACCCAATTGTTAGTAACCAAAATCGGAGTTGTTTTAAGCCACTCATTTTGGGAATGGTTTGTTAAGCAAAAGTATTTAAAGAAAACATCTCCTTACTATCAGAGACAGAATCATGTGGACCCAGCACCGCACTTCCCAGGTACTCATGCAAGCAACAAACATTACTACAGCATGCTCCACACTACTCACTGTTCTGGACACTAAGACTCGGCAGAGAATAGAACAGTCCTTACTCTTAAGGAGCTTAGATTCTACTGGGGGAGTCAGACAGACCAAAAGATGAATGCATTTTTCTATCATGTGCTGCTAAAAGCTGCACAGAAAAATAAAGCAGTGCCAGAAGTGCCATTCTAGATAAAATGACCTCCTGATAAAGTGACATTTAAGCAGAAACCTGGCTGGGTGCGGTGGCTCATGCCTGTAATCCCAGCACTTTGGGGGCAGAGGGAGGCGGATCACTTGAGATCAGGAGTTCAAGACCAGCCTGGCCAATCTGGCGAGACCCCCTCGCCACTAAAAATACAAAAACTACTACTCTACTAAAAATACAAAAACTAGCCAGGCATGGTGGTGCACGCCTGTAATCGCTCAGGAGGCTGAGGCAGGAGAATCACTTGAACCCAGGAGGCAGACGTTGCAGTGAGCTGAGATTGCACCACTGTACTCCAGCCTGGGTGATAGAGTGAGACTGTCTCAAAAAAAGAAAAAAAAAAAAAAGCAGAGATCTGGATGGGGAGAGGAAGAGAGCCATGTAAAGATGGAGAGGAAGAACTCCAGGAAACAGGGGAAGCAAGAGCAAGGGACCACCCAAGATGCAACACGATGAAGAACAACGATTGGGCATGTCTGAGGGAGGAGGAAGAGGCCAGGGCTGGATCCTGTGGGGATGAGGGCCAGGCTCAGGATATGATTGTGTTCCAGGTAGGAAGGGAAGCCTTAAAGGGTTCCCTCAGAGGGCCCAACAGTGACATGAGCCAACTTCTATTTTCAAAGGATCACCTGGCTACAGAGAAGCCTCACAGGAGAGGGGCATCACCAGAATGAAAGCAGGGAGGGCAGCGGGGAAGCTGCTGTGACAATCTCAGCATCTGATTACGGTGGGCCTGGGGAGGTGGGAGGGCTGCAGTGGAGGGGAAGAGGGGTCAGCCCTGCCCTTGTTCCATGGTAATTCTACACAGTGTGTGGTAAACAACACACCACGCATTATCTTCCTTTCTCTGGGATAAAAGTTAGATTTACTGTCACTCTTGTACAACTGCAGGGTTGGACTAAGAAGCACATGTGGTCATAACTGGTTTACTTTTGGAAGACTCTCCAACAGTACTTCCTGAGAATGCCATGTAAGGAACCCAACCTTAACATTTAAAAAAATTAAAAACTAGTCTGGAGGCCGCTGGGAAGTGGGACTTTTTAAACCTTGAGGCTGAAAATAAACTAAACCACATTGAAATCCTCCACTGGGTCATGCCACTACGAAATGCAGGCCCTGCTGAGCACTTGGTAAATGGAACATGGACCTGATGGCTCTCCAGGAAGAAACTCTGTGCCCATGTCAATCACAGGTGCCCAGTTCCTTTCTCGTGACAAGTCACTGCTCACTGCAGTCACTCACTCATTTACATCATCTGGAAGAGGAGCTGCTGTAAGTCGGAAGGTATTTATTTTTACCCATAGAATGATTTTGAGGGAAAAACAGGAGGAGATAGACTGTGCGGGCCATAAGAAAATTAAGTAAAGGAAGAAAGGCTACAGGAGGAATATATCCTGATAATAGAGTTTTGTCGAAAAATGCAAGCCATGGACTCCTGGTCTTGTCCACTTTATCTCCCATACCCTTTGAACTTATTTTAATTCCCATCATCTCCACCTGAAGAGCCAGCCTCCATCCCTTGCTAAGATGACTGCTATAACGGCCAAATGGTCACCCCATACCGGCCTCTGCCTTCCTGAATTCTCTCCCCGTCGTATAGGGAAGGTGATCAATTTAAAATGCAGGGCTGATACCACCAGCCCTCAGTTTAGGACTCTTCAAAGGTTTTCTATCTTTCTTAGGATAAAGATCAAACCTTTCCAGGGACCTACAAGGCCCTGCTCCCCTCACTCTCTGAGTTCTAGCAACACAGGCCTCTTCTCAACCTCCTGACACCCTGTTTCCCCTTGTGCCTCTGGCCTTCCCCATATCCAAGGCAAGGAGACAAACCTGCCGAGGGGAGGGGACACCTTCCTCTCCCACAGACCTGAGTTCCAACATGTCTTCCACAAAAAGCCATGCCAGATCCATCCCCAACATCCAGACCTAAGCAGACCCTATGCAGCTGTTACTATTGCCAGTGACTGCTGTGGGCCCGGGTCATTGTTCTAAGAATACCACCAATTGGCCCTTCTGTGCTGGTCACATATAAAGCCTGACCTTTGACTCAGGGAGTCAACCATGAAAGATCAGGGTTAACACTGGGTTTTTTTGTTGTTATTTCTTTTTTATGGAGATGGAGTCTCGCTCTGTCACCCAGTGGCACGATCTCGGCTCACTACAACTTCGCCTCCCAGGTCCAAGCAATTCTCCTGCCTCAGCCTCCTGAGTAGCTGGGATTACAGGAGTGTGCCACTACACCCAGCTAATTTTAGTATTTTTAAGAGAGATGGGGTTTCACCACATTGGCCAGGCTGGTCTCAAACTCCTGACCTGAAGTGATCTGCCTGCCCCAGCCTCCCAAAGTGCTGGGATTACAAGCGTGAGCCACCATGCCTGGCCAATGTTTCTTTTTTTTTCATGCAGACATTGAGGGCATTAGCACTGTTTTTAATCCAGAGACTAGTCCCAACTGTGACCCACCCAGAAAGGAGGAGAAAATTATGAGCTGTCTGCCTGCAGCGCTGCCTGTCAGCTGCACCCTCTTGCTTCCTGAGACCTTATTTCCATGTTAATATACATCAGCCTCAATTACAGACTCCAACGGAAGGATAACAAAGTTGACATAGGTTGACACCCTCTTGGTCATCACCTGTGCTTTATGTGGGAAGTAATAACAGAGATAGAAACACAGCAGCTGCTGTTTATGGAGTGCTTCCCACACACCAGGTAGGATGTTAACCTTTTGTTGACTTATCCACTCTGTTCAAAAACCTACTCATTAAGCATTGTTAATATCCCTATTTCACAGAAGATGATTCTGGGGCTTAAGCAAGTTACTCTCCCACAGTCAAATGACTGATAGGTCCAAACACGTAACCTGCAGCCCCAGTGCCTTCCTAACAACCCAGTTCCTGCAGCAGAAACTCTGTGTCTCAAGCACTTCATCTCTCCCTACCCTCACCATCAACCACAAAGCTGCCTGCCCCAGAGCTGCCAACACAAGTGTGTTTCCAGCCAAGGAAACAGATGCCACTCCTGCAGGAAAAATCCTTGTTTCAGAATTCACTGACCAAGGCCTGTGACTAGTTCTATAAACCAGGAGGAGGAGTGGTAGCAAGGGAGGCTAAATCACAACGACGGGTTTTTGTTTGGTCAAAAAGGAAAAAATAAATAAATAAACTACAATCACTCTAATTTTAAAGATGTTTAACAGACTTCTGCCCCATAAATATAACTAGAAGAAGTCAGCATCTCCTACATTACAAAAAAAAAAATCTAGGCAGTTGTCACTATAATTCAAAACCCAAGCAGATGACATGAATTCAAACATGTCATCTTTGACATGTTTGTCAAAAATGAAAGTAGCAGTCACAGTTACTGAGCGCTTTACATAACCTGTCACCGCATGTTAAATATATGGATCATGTACGTAACACCTCAACAAACTTGTGAGGGAGCTTCTCATTACCCCATTTAACAGATGAAAATACTGAGACTGGGGGATGTTAAATAACTCAGCTGAGGTCACACAGCTCATAGGGAGCAATGCCAGGATTCCGCTGTAAGAACGACCAATTTCAGAGCATATGCTCTCAACCACTACTTAAGGAATCCAACAACAAAAATCTTCCCATTGTTCAATTTAAATATACCATTTAGGAGTAATTTTTGTTAGGGGGGCGGGGAATCAATGTTTTCTATCACTGTAAGAAAACTATGCCCTTTCAGACTTATTTTTAAAGCGATGCTACCACCACTTAGGTGGCTCCTACCTGACGCTTCATCAAACAAATATTATAATTAGATCTGCTAATAAATTGCCAAAACAAATCTGAAAGGAGAAACATGACTGTTCTTTTGAGAACACAAAACTGTCATTTCAAATTAAGTAGCAGTAACAAATGGTGAGAAATGTGACTCTGCCAGCAACGCACATCTGTGTTTGAGCATTAACCAGGGATCTTCTTCTTAAGCATCCACACCACTCCCTCCAGCTTAAAGATGCTGAAGTGTTTCTCAAACAGTGGCAAACCATCCTTCATTTAGATACCAGGGCTCTGATCAGTACTGAAAAGATAATTTTGCTTCCAGGAAGCACACAAGAAACCCTCCATTCTGCATAGGTGATTTGGATGATTTTTTTTTTTTCTTTGAGATGGAGTCTCTGTCACCTAGGCTGGAGTGCAATGGCATGATCTCGGCTCACTGCAACCGCTGCCTCCCAGGTTTCAAGCAATTCTCCTGCCACAGCCTCCAGAGCAGCTGGGATTACAGGCATGCACCACCATGCCCAGCTAATTTTTGTATTTTTGGTAGAGACAGTGTTTCTCCATGTTGGCCAGGCTGGTCTCAAACTCCTGACTGCAAGTGATCTTCCCATCTCAGCTTCCCAAAGTGCTGGGATTACAGATGTGAACCATCGTGCCTGGCTTGTATGATTTTATCAAGGAAAAAACAGTCCTTTCTTCCACTCTCAGAATTCTAGACTCCACTTTGGCACCCTAAGGCAGGGGTCTCCAACCCCCAAGGCCACAGACCTGTAATGGTTGTGGCCTGTTAGGAACCAGGCCACACAGCAGGAGTTGAGTGGCGGGTGAGTGAGCATCACCGCCTGAGCTCCACCTCCTGTCAGATCAGAGGTGGCATTAGAATCTCAGAGGTGCATGAACCGTATTGTGAGCTGCGCACCCATGGGATCTAGGCTGAGCACTCCTTGTGAAAATCTAATGCCTGATGATCTGAGGTGGAACAGTTTTATCTTGAAACCACCACCCCCACCACCAGTAGAGTAATTTTATTGGTGAGAACCTAACCTCTACCAGAGCCACAAAGGACTCCATGACATTTGACAATGGTTCCAGACATGCTGAATGGACTTATGCAAAGATACAAAGTTTTAACAGTTATTACCCTACTTAATCCGCATGAGTCTCTGATGCAGGTGCACCAGGAGGTGCTTCTGTCTGAGCAGAGAAGCCACCTGGTGCTCTGAGAGGGTGAATGAGCCCACCAGGCCCCCATGAGGGTAGAACCAGGCCTGCAATCCAGCCTCTGATGTCTTCTAAATGGATGGACCTGAAGCCCAATCATACAACTATTCAACCCAATTACATGCCCCAAAATGTCTGGGCCAAAATAGGGTATCAGACTGGTCCATGAAAAAATTGTCTTCCATGAAACAGGTCCCTGTTGCCCAAAAGGTTGGAGGCTGCTGTCCTAACAGATCAAGAATAACCAGCAGGATCTAGTAAAAGTTAGCTAACAATCTCACACGGTACTGAGTCCCTGAGCCTAATGTGTTCTTATTAAACTATTAATAAATTCATCATAGAGACATCAAATACTTACCAACTGCAGGAGACATCAGGTGTGTAAGAGAGGAATGGCAGGGCAGCAGAACAAAAGTGGCACAGGTTCAGAGATCAGCGAGGGCCAGACAGGAAACCTGTCCAGGCTAGGGGGTCAGACTTTGGTCACCTGGAGCACATGAAGCCTAACCCAGTATCTGGCATACGCCCTAGAGTGGCATCAAATGCACATTTAGCTTATTCACTGTCAACTACATGCACGAATCGGTGTGTGCCCAAGAGATGCCAGGCCTGCACTGAAAGATACAGAAAGAGCGAGAAGACAAATAGTGTCTCTGCTGTGTGCCACCCACAGTTCCATTATTCCAGCCCACAGGCCAGGACACGTGAAAGACGGACATGTGAACTGCCACTCCCCAGGAGCCTCCACAGCCAGGGGCCTCTCCAAAGATGAGGCTCCTGCTGAACTGAGAGATGCGGTAGGGTTTTGGGGGTGGGGAATGGTTGGGTATGGTGGCCCACACCTGCAATCCTAGCACTTTGGGAGGCTGAGGTGGAAGCACTGCTTGAGTCCAGCCTGGGCTATGTGGCAAAACCCTGTCACTACCAAAAATACAAAAAAAAACCCAGCAAGGCGTGGTGGTGGGCACCTGCAGTCCCAGCTACTCAGGGTGGGGCTGAGGTGGGAGGATTGCTGGAGCCTGGTAGGTTGAGGCTGCAGTGAGCTGTGATTGCGTCATTGTACTCCAGCCTGGGTGACACAGTAAGACCCTGCCTCAAAAAAAAAAAGAGAAGAGAAGACAAGAAGAAAAGAAGAAGAGAAGAAGAGAGGAAGAAGAGAAGAAGAAGAGAAGAAGAAGAGAAGAAGAAAAGAAGAAGAAAAGAGCCGGCCAAATCAGACACAGCTGAACCCCTGGGAGGGATGCTCTTCTCTAGGAAACTTAGCCGACTAATTCTCCGACCACTCACAGACAGAGATGGCCACTTTCCAGATAAAAGACAAGTGGACTATGAACATCAAGACTCACAGGATTCAAGATGAGGATTGAATGTAACTCCTCTTCTTAAAAAAAAAAAAAAAATATATATATATATATTATTATATATAATTAGATTCTCCTATGAGAATCTAATGCCACTATAAATAAATAAATAAATAAATAAAATCAGGGCACTGGTAGCTTCCTTCTCCTCCCAAGAAGTCAAACAAGTTGGGTTCAAGGCTGTAGTCCACCGCTCACAAGCAATTATTATTAACATTTACTGTATATCAGAAACCTAAACCCCCATACACCCAACTTCTGGGAAAGAGCACCCATTTTTGGCTGGGGAAGCCAATTCTCCCCAGCTCTCACATTCCACTGACTTTACCCCAGGCCTGACTCCAACCCAGCTTCAGGAGTGGCATGTGACTTGGGCCTGGCCACTCAGAGCTGGGCAACCTCCTTGGCCAGCTATGGGTTCTTAGATGAGCATGCTGGAGTCGGCGCAACCCCAGGAACCTGAGCACAGCCTCCTGGCACAGAGGCAGGAGCCCCCTTTCCACACTGAACATGAACTAGAAAGTTCTGGAACTGCTGCAATCATCCTCTAGCCATAAGGAGAGAGAAAACAGTCTGATGATGGACCCATCATGGATGAAACTAGTGTTGAGAGAAAGAGATGGGGAAACAAAGATAGGCCAGGGAGGCTGGGCCTGGTGGCTCATGCCTGTAATCCCAGCACTTTGGGAGGCCAAGGCAGGCGGATCACTTGAGGTCAGGAGTTTGAGACTAGCCTGGCCAACATGGTGAAACCCCATCTCTACTAAAAATACAAAAATTAGCCAGGTGTGGTGGCAGGTGCCTGTAATCCCCGCTACCCAGGAGACTGACAGGCAGGAAGATCACTTGAACCCAGGAGGTGGAGGTTGCAGTGAGCTAAGATCATGCCACTGCACTCCAGCCTGGGCAACAGAGAGAGACTCCATCTCCAAAAAAAAAAAGATAGACCAGGGAGAGAAATACAGACAGACCAACACAGAGACAGACTAGGTCCACATAACACCAAGTCCTTGATCATGCCATTGTCTGATCAAGACAAAACTTTTGTTAATTCAATCAATAAACCCCCTTTTAACGTAAAACAGTGATTTTCAGGGCTTCTTGCTTCAATTTTAAGCCAGTTTTCTTTTTTTGTTCACAACAATGAATTCTAAGAGACTACCAGGCCAATGCCAGACAAGAATTTTACTCAATACTCATTACTCCTCTTAAAAGCAACCTAGGCAGCTTAAAAAATTATAATTGGAATCCCGGTTAATTATTTTTCTACTGGAATCGAGGTTTAAAGCTTATCTAGAAAATGAGCAAACACAAATAGCTAATTTTTTCAAGAAAAGCAAGCAGAAACTTGTTCCCACAATCACGCATACTACAAACGGAAGAAATTCCACACAAAAAAAGTCACCGGATTTGATTAGGTAAAAATTAAAAACCACTATGGGTCAAAATAATTATGCAGAAAAAGTAAAAGAAAAAGATTTACCACAAGAATGACAAAGATGGCAAGGTGCGGTGGGTAACGCCTGTAATCCCAGCACTTTGACAGGCCAAGGTGGGTGGATCACTTGAGGTCAGCAGATGGAGACCAGCCTGGCCAACATGGTGAAAGACCATCTCCACTAGAAATACAAATATTAGTCCAGTATGGTGGCACACACACACACTTGTAATCCCAGCTACTTGGAAGGCTGAAGAGGGAGGATCACCTGAACCTGGGAGGAGGCAGAGGTTGCAGTAAGCTGAGATCATGCCGCTGCACTCCAGCCTGGGTGACAGAGCGAGACTCCGTCTCACAAAAAAAAAAAAAAAAAAAAAAAAAAAGAAATGACAAAGAAATGCTATTTTATAAGTAAGAAGCACAGCCGCATCAAAAAACATCTAAAAGAAACAAAAACCGACAGAAAAAAAATCAAGATCGTTATAGACTCAATACTAAAAAACTGACAGCAAACAAAACAACAAATGGTCAATAGTCCTGGAAAAATTGAAACACAGTAGAAATACAAAATAAAACTTGCAATCAAATTAGCAACTAAAATGACAATACCCCGTACCAAGGAGGGTGAGGCCTGACAGGCATACTCATACACAGCTGGCGTCAATACATGTTTTTCTGGGAAGCATGTTGACAGTCTTTGCCAAGAATCTTAAAGGGCCCAGCAATTCTCTTCACAGGAGCTGACCCTAGAGAAATAATCAGAATCCTACACTAAAATGTGGATATAAAGATCACCATGGCAGTAATAACAACAAATAACTTCAGTGCCTAGCCGTGGGAAGTTAACAGAGACATCATGCGGCCGTTAAGGCCATTCAGAGATAATATTTAAAGACACAAAACTGCTCGTGATATGATACCAAGTGAAACGAGAGAATGCAAAATGATTTACCTAGAATGATCTAAATGTGTTTTACACAGACACTCTAAATACAAATAAAAAAGACTGGGAAGAGGTACTTCAAATCTCTTCAATAGTGGCTATTTTTGGGTGATGAGATTACAAGTGATTTTTCTTTTTCTGTCCTGGTGCTACTTTAAAAAATTCTAATAGACTTATATTTCTTTATAATCAGGATTTTTTTTTTTGAGACAGGGTGTCAGTCTATTGCTCATGCTGGAGTGCAGTGGCATGACACCAGCTCACGGTAGCCCTGATCTCCTGGGTTCAAGCAATCCTCCTGCCTCAGCCTCCCGAGTAGCTGGGACCACATTGTGCACATCACCACACCGGACTAATTTTTTTTTTTTTTTTTTTTTTTTTTTTTTGTAGAAACAGGGTCTCACTCCTTGCCTCAAGTGATTCTCCAGCTTTGGACTCCCAAAGCGCTGGGATTACAGGAGTGAGCCACCATGCCCTGCCAAAAAATATTTTTTAATTGTAGTTTTCAATAGAAATAGCTTTGGTTTAAATAAGCCAACATTTGGTGACATTTCCTTGGTACTGAGCCAGGTGCTTTGGGAGACAAAAGTAAATACTCCTGTCCTCAAGGAGTTCACGGTCCAGTAGGCTACATACGACCCAGCAAAGAGGGTTCTGACCACTGAAAAACTCTGCTCATCAGCCAAATCCTCACTGGTGCTAGAGACGTGGGCTCCAGCTGGTCACTACACACCACCTCTAATACATGTCAGGTACAGAATGCACTTCCTGGCAACAAACAATGAACGCAATGAACATCAGCTACCTCCAGCACTACCTCTACAACCAGGACAGATTGCCTGGCATCCATCCCCTCCTTCTTCCTTCATCACAGAAGCCCTATTCAGAAAGGCCATGTGCCAAGCTAAAAGACTACACTTCACACGCCCCTTCCATCAAAGTGGTGCCACCGACTAAGTTCTGGCCAGTGAGATGTAAACTCAAGTTGTGAGATGAGACTCCTGAGAAAGCTCCTTAAAGGAAGGACAGTTAGCGGGGGAGAGTCCTTTTGGCCTTCCTGTTTTCTCCTGTTTGCTACCTACAACACAGACATGCTGGCTAGAGCTTCAACAGGCATCTTAGACCAACCTGAGGATAAGAGCCACAGCTAAGGATGGTAGAGCAGAAAGATAAAGTGGACCAGGACACTAGACTGTGGCAGAGACACTCGACAGCTCTGCACTGCCTAAGTGTGACCTTCTAGGAAAGATACGTTGTTCATTTAAGCCACCAGGGCCATATCTCTGTTACCAGCAGCCAAGCACAATTCCAAACCCAAAGAACCAGTAACACTATTATTGGCATGGTTTGCAATGCAGCGGTTTGCGGTCCCCACTGACGTTCCTCACAAGTACCTATTCAAGGCCGGACGCGGTGGCTCAAGCCTGTAATCCCAGCATTCTGGGAGGCCAAGGCGGGCGGATCACTTGAGGTCAGGAGTTTGAGACCAGCCTGGCCAACATGGTAAAACCCCATCTCTACAAAAATACAAAAATTGGCCGGCATGGTGGCACGTGGCTGTAATCCCAGCTACTCGGGAGGCTGATGCGGGAGAATCGCTTGAACTCGGGGGGCGGAGGCTGCAGTGAGCCGAGATCATGCCTGGGTGGTCAAGCGATCCTCCCAGAGTACACTCCAGCCTACGTGATAGAGCGAGACTCCGTCTCAAAAAAAAAAAAAAAAGTGCCCATCCAAAAGGCTGCCATGGAATGGAGAGGCCAAGGCCTTCTTACCCCTTAATTTCCTCCCTTTCACAAATAAGGTTCTGGGTATTTTTTTTTTACAACTGTTACAGTTATAAATCTTATGTAAATCTTAGGTTTCATATGTTTTACCACAATGATTTTTAAAAGGTCTAAAGGCCACTGGCCTGCCCACTGCCCCTCCACCGAGGTTCATCTCCCTTCTCTGGCTTGTAGGTCTCACCCTTATCCAACCTCAACCCCCACACCCAGTTACTTTCTCCTCAGCTGCTATGCATGTCACAAAAGCCTGCCAGCGTCGTTGCTTCTGTGGCCACTGCATCATGAAATCTGACCCCACCTCAGGCCCCATCTTTTATTTATTTATTTATTTAGAAAAGGAGTTTTCACTCTTGTTGCCCAGGCTGGAGTGCAGTGGCATGATCTCAGCTCACTGCAACCTCCATCTCCCGGGTTCAAGTGATTCTCCTGCCTCAGCCTCCCAAGTAGCTGGGATTACAGGCACCTGCCACCACTTCCCACTAATTTTTGTATTTTTAGTAGAGACGGGGGTTTCACCAAGTTGCCCAGTCTGGTCTCAAACTCCTGACCTCAGGTGATCCATCCACCTCAGCCTCCCAAAGTGCTGGGATTACAGGCACCTGCCACCACTTCCCAGTAATTTTTGTATTTTTAGTAGAGACGGGGGTTTCACCATGTTGCCCAGTCTGGTCTCAAACTCCTGACCTCAGGTGATCCACCCACCTCAGCCTCCCAAAGTGCTGGGATTACAGGCGTGAGCCACTGCACCCGGCCAGGCCCCATCTAAATCCTATCCAGGGGCATGGCTGTCACAACAGAACAGCAACATGATGGTCAGAGAGACACGAAAAACGTGAAATGTCCTTAATTGCAAAATCTGGGAGGCTTAGAGATAAGCGCATAAAGCAGGGGAAACTGCCCACTCCCAGACAGAGGCACAGCTCCCCACCTCCCCAAAGGCCCTTCAGTGGACACACTTTGTGATTCTCGCTGTGCATGAGAGGAAACACCGCTGGGCTTCAGAAACTCCCTTTTTCTGTTTTATGCTGGTGGGGGTGAGGAGTCGGGGGTGGACAGAGCTTCGCACCCTCCTGTCCTACGTCCCACCTGCCTACTCTGGAGACTGGGGCACGGCATCTGCCTGCCCCCAGGTACAACTGCTGCAAACAGCCAACACATTCCTGAGAAGTTACTGTGAGACTGAGAGTCAGTTTCCCAAGATATTCTATAAGAATGACCCAGCCAGCCGGAGGTCCAAGCCTGCACCAACCTTCAAGTTCCAGGAAAGCCCTCATGCTGCCCAGTGCCTTTACTCCCCACCCGGCTTTCTCCATCCATTCATGCAGCACCGACTTGCTGACCTTCACCACGTGTCAAGCACAGTTCCCAAGGCAGGAAGAAGGTACAAAGCATTTCCTCCAAGCAACTCAGAATCCACTAGGGGAGGACGGATGACCAAATGCTTGATCACCGAAGCATGTGACGAGTGCTCAGACTAATGTCAGCACAGGGCCAAGGGAGATGCGAAAGAGGAACGCCAGCATCTCAAAGTGTTCACTGTGGTACCTGGCACATAGGGAGTCTTCAATCAGTGGTAGCCTGTGGCTGGTTTTCCAACACAGTGGGACAGATGGCGGTAGTGACAGCAGTCAGCATGACAGGAGGAAGAATAGCATTCAATGGACCCACAGAGTCTTTCCAGAGTAGGTGACACCTCGAACTAAGTCTTCAGGGATGCGGAAAGTCATGCAACAGAGAAGACGTAGTGGGAAAAGGGCTTCTAGGCACCAACCATTGCAGTAAATAATAGCCTTGCTTAATCCCAAGTAGTTCAGCATTGCTGTGGTATAAAGTACAAGAAGAAGAATAGCGAGAAATGAAAGTACAAAAAGAGGTCACCCTCAACAGAAGGGTCAAGACCCCTGGCTTCTCCCCTGCCCCATGCCCTCCTCAGACTCCCCATGGGTCTTCAAATGAAGGCTTTGAAAATAGACACTAGAAGACTAACAGTGACCGCATTCCCTTCTCCAGTTTGATCTTTTGGTTCAACCAGATGATGTATTAACTGTTGGGGCAACAGTGGATGGGTATTTGATGAGATTTATGTCAGATTGATGTGGGAAAACAGATATAAAATCAAAGCCCATAGTATTGGGAAATAAGTACGTAAAGCAGTTCTGGGCTATCTATGCAACCAGGAGCAGCATATATGAGACAGAGAGGACAGGAAGGAAACAGAGAGTTTTAAATAACATTTATTCCGTCCCCTACCCTAGCAGAAAGAAGTCCTACAGAAACAGAAAATTGTACTTTTCCAGTAATCCCTAAGTTGCTATTCATTTCTGAATCTTTACCTGTTACCATTCAGTTTCCTAAGGTTTCTATACACTGCCAAAAGAACTGTGATTTTTATGTCAGAATCTACACTCCAAGCACACACACACATACACATACACACACACACACACACACACACAATTTACAACCCATGTTTTCATCCACCTTTATTGTGTTTAAGTTTTCTGTTCAAAACACTGATGAAGTTTCCTTTCAATAAAAAAAATGTGGATGCAAGTCTTTTTTTTACCCAGAGGTTTTTTCACTTCTTTCCTCTGTGTTATTTTGAGTCTTGCTACTGAATCGTAAAGCAAGAACCCTGAAAAATATGCCAATGTTAGGCAGGTGAAAATATATCAATATAGGAAAGTAACTTGGGAAAATGGAAAGGCAGAAATAGTGATTTCCATAATAAAACTCCTGACAAACTCAAGCAGTAGTGCACAAAAAAAAATCTGTCTGTACTGCTCCCATCTGACATGCCAAATATGTACCTCCAAATGTGAAAATGGATCACTGCCGCTTCCTAACCAAATTTCAAATTAAGTACCGCAGGCCCAGGGGACAGCCTCATACACAGCAAGCTGAAAACACGAGCACTGCGGGATGCCTGGTGCCAGCTGGTCTCTGACTTCTGCCAACTCTGGGGCACGTTGGTGAAGGGGAACTCAATAGTTTGTGCATTTCTTCTCTAAACTTACTGAACACCAGGGACAGAGAGAGAAAGGAAAGAAAGAGTGAGCAAGTGAGCCTGTTTCCAACTGACTGCAAAGTTCATCTGATAAGGTCAACAGCTTAGAAGAAAAAGTTAAAGAAAAATGAAAAAAAAGACACAGAGGGACAGAATAAGGGCAGGACAGAGACAGATTCCAAGAGAAAGAGACAAAGCCAAAGACAGAGAGAGACAGGGAAAGGAGGAAGGAAGGAATGAGGGAGAAAAGTACACATACACACACTCAGAGAAGAGAAGGATGGGTGAAAAGGAGAGAGAAACATAAAGGCAAAGAATGAGAGCCACGTGTAAGGTAGGGAGCTGAGACCCAAACAGGAAGTCATCATCCCATCATCCATCCATTCAGCGGGTATCTTCTGAGTGCCTATGATGCCAGTAGGCAGACGGACATAGCCCTAAGTAATTTCAGGTGGGGAAACACACAATGCAGTGCTAAGTCCAGAGAGGGAATGAACAACTCTCCAACCAACAACCCCCAAAACCTCTGGGCTGAAGCCGACAGCATCTCAGCTCTAACATCAAATCATTTTGAAGCCTAAAATTAACAGAAACACTGCTTTAAAGACAAACTTAGATATGATGCCAAAAGTACATGACAAAAGAAAAAATAGATGAATTCAACTTCATCAGAATTAAAAACAGGTATGCCTCAAGGACACCATCGAGAAAATGAAAAGAAACTTGCAGAATGGTAGAAAAGGTATGCAAATCACGTATCTCTGATACGGGTCTAGTATCCACAATACACAAAGAACTCATACAACTCAACAATAAAAAAGACAACTAAACAAATTAAGCAATGGACAGAAGATTTGAAAAGACACCCTTTGAAGATCTACAAATGGCCAGTAAGCCATTTGTAGAATGAAAAGATACTCAACACCATCAACCATCAGGGAAATGCAAATTGAAACCACTGATTTGCAAACGTGAAGGTGCCACTTCACATCCACTCGATGGCTACAATAAAAAAAAGACAGACAATAACAAGTGTTTGGTGAGGACATGGTAGAATAACTGGAACCTTCATTCACTGCTGGTGGGAAGGTACAGCCGCTTTGACCCAGCAATCCCACTCCTAGGTTATACCCGAGAGAAATGAAAAACACGTCCACACAACTTGTACGTGAATGTTCATTGCAACATTATTTATCACAGCCAAAAAGTGAAACCCAAATGTCCATCGACTAACGAAAGGGTAAACAAAATATGGCATATCCTTATAGTAAAATCTGTTTTAGCCATAAAAGAGAATGCCATCCTGATACATGCTACAATGTAGATAAACCTTGAAAACCTTATGCTAAATGAAGGAAACCTATCACAAACCGCCATACACTGTATCATTCCACTGATATGAAGTGTCCAGAACAGGCACATCCACAGAGACAGGAAGGAGAATGGTGCTTGCCAGGCCCTGGGGTGGAGAGTGACTGCTCAGGAAAATGGGCTTCTTTGTGAGGGAGTGAAAATGTTCTAAAATGTTGTGAATGCACAACTCTATGAATATACTAAAAATCATTAAATCATACACTAAATAGATGAATTGTATGGCATGTGAATTATATCTCAATAAAGTTGTTTGTGTGGTTTTTTTCACCTTTCATTTCAGATTCGGGGGTACAAGTGAAGGTTTGTTACATGGGTATATTGCATAATGCCAAGGTTTGGGGTAAAAATGATCCCATCACCCAGGCAGTAAGCATAGTATCCAACTGGTAGTTTTTCAACCCTTGCTCCTCCCTTCCTCCCCTTCTTGTAGCCCCCAGTGTCTATTGTTAGCATCTTCCTGTCCAGGAGTACCCACTGTTTAGCTCCCACTTATAAGTCAGAACATGCAATATCTGGTTTTCTGTTGGGGCACTAATTTGCTTAGGATAACAGCCTCCAGCTGCATTCATACTGCTGCAAAGGGCAAGATTTCATTCTTTTTAAGGCTGTATAGTATCCCATAGTGTATATGTACCACATTTTCTTTATCCAGTCTACCATTGATGGGTACCTGGACTGACTACATGTTTTTGCAGGGAGGAGGGAGGAAGGAGGAGGAGGAAGAATAGGGGGAGGAGGAGGAGGAGGAAGACAAAGACAAAGAAGACAAAGAAGATGAAGACAAAGAGGAAGGCATTTCCAGCAAATCAAGCTGCTCTTCCATCTCTCATCCAGAACTGTGGTGACTTGCATGTGAGGGTCAGGGTTTCAGTCTCCCAAGACTACAACTTGCCAGGCTGGGGCTTGGGAGGACAAGTTCCGGGTGGACCACCTCCCCCAACCAGCCTCCATGCCCCTCCAAGCCCATGCTGGGTGGGCTGTGAACTCAGCATTGAGGCTGATAGTGAGTACAGAGGTGTCTCCATAGGATACTTTGAAGGACCAATGTGTGCTGACTTCTGTGTGTCATCTCCTTTCCAGCCCTCTCAGGGGACATCTTCTGCCCACAGTCACCCTCTAGGCTGCAGCCATCCTGGGTGACAGAGTGAGACTCTGTCTCAAAAAGAAAAGGAAAAGGGTCCTTGTTGGCTTTGGGGAGAATCACACTCTCATGAATAGCCAGATTCCCCAACGTTTCCACTACTCCACCGTGAAGCCCACTGAAAGATTAAAAACGAAAACTCTTCCTTTGTTTACCAAAGCAAACAAAAGCCACGATTCAAGCATTTATTTGTTTGTTTCTGGCCGAGTCTCACTATGTGGCCCAGCCTGGAGTGCAGTGGCACGATCTTGGCTCACTGCAACCTCCACCCTCCTGGGTTCAAGCGATTCTTGTGCCTCAGTCTCCGAAGGATTACAGGCGCACGCCACTATGTCCAGCTAATTTTTGTATTTTTAGTAGAGACGGGGTTTCACCACGTTGGTCAGGCTGGTCATGAACTCCTGGACTCAAGTGATTTGCCCACCTCGGCCTCCCAAAGTTCAAAGATTACAGGTGTGAGCCACCTTCCCAGCCAATTCAAGCATTTAAACCACATCTACTAACATGGCCTACAAATGCATCTTCCCCCTTAATGGCCATAAGCCCTTTAAAGTATCCTCAAACAGACTTGAAGGTTTCATCCTCAAAATATGGGCTGTCCAAGTGCCTAAATCACAACAACTGCTAAAAACCTAAACTGGGGCACACAACCAGAAGGGCAGGACAATTCATGACAATTCCCAGACATGAGAACTTACGAATCCATTAAAACAAAGGGCCAGCATCTTTATTGATACCAAGTCCTCACATAACCCAGAGGAAAAACCCCTGAAACACATAGGCCAAGGAAATGAGCTGATTATTCACCAAAAAGAAATTCAATTCATAAACACAGAAAAAAGTAAGTATTCCATCTCCACAGTGACTCATGAATTACAAATATAAGGAGCTAGGTTTTTGCCTACTGGAGTTCCAATGGCAACAGTTATGAATGCTGGTGAGAGTGGCCAAGAGGGCCTGTTTGCTGGTGACACTTTAAAATGGCCACAATCCTGGGGAGCAATATGGAAACCCGAAACAGAAGTCAGAAAAACCTTAGCACTTCATTCAACAATTCTGCCTATGAGACCACATCCTCCAAAATAACTAGAAACATGGGGAAATTCTGTACACAAAAGGCATTCCCTGCAGCATTTTACAGTATAGTAAAAGTTTTGTTTTTGTTTTTTGTTTTTTGTTTTTTTTTTAAAAAGGCCCAACAATTGGAAATTGACTAAAACTCTGGTCTATCCACTAGCTGGAATATCACACAGTTGTTACAAATTACAGCAATGCAGTCAACATAATGATAGAAAAGGCTTTGTGATAGACGATTAAGTGGGGTAAAAAGCAACAAACAAAATTGTATGCACAGCAGGAGTTCAATTATGTTTTTAAGAAAGTGTCTACAGAGAGGGAAAATACTTTAAACGAAGTTCTGTTTTCCTCATTTTCCCTAGTGAGCTGGATGGTATGGTGGAAAGGGACTAAGTTTTACAACCCAATCCAGGGACCTTTACATCCTATTTAATCAACCTGTGCCTCTGTTTCCTAATCAGACAGTTTAATGTTTAAATGACTTATTACCGGCAGGGCACATTGGCTAACATCTGTAATTCCAGCACTTTGGGAGGCCGAGGTGGGAGGATCACCTTAGGTCAGGAGTTCGGGACCAGCCTGGCCAACATGGTGAAATCCCATCTGTAATAAAAAAATATTAAAATTAGCCGGGTGTGGTGGTACATGCCTACAGATAGTCCCAGCTACTCGGGAGGCTGAGGCAGGAGAATCGCTTGAACCCAAGAGGCGTAAGTTGCAGTGAGCCGAGATCATGGCACTGCACTCCAGCCTGGGTGACAGAGAGAGACTCCATCTCAGTAAGTACATACATATATACATACATACATACATACATACATACGACTTATTACAAGGGAGAAACATTTTTATTCTTAAGAGTCACAATTGCAACTCCAACGTGCAGCCCAAATAGTTTCTAGGTGATGGCACAGTATTAACGTATTCACTTTGGATTTGGTTTCCCTATTTTCCCCCCAACCTAACTCAAAGATAAGCATTTGGGGCATTCAAGGCCTACCATCTGCTCATTCGTTAAAAAACAAATGCTAAAATTTGTCCACTTGCAGCTTTGTTTGATCTGTCTCAAAATACATTGGCATTTCCCCTAATGTTGAACAGGCCCTTCCAGTATTTAGGCAAGATCGATGAACTCATTTGCAGAATGGTCCAGTTTCCACAAACAAGCTGTCACCAAAGCAAGAGGGTTCGTTTGCACTTTGCAATCCTGCTACTGTGTTTACCAAGGCATCTTTCCTCAGTACTACTGCAGGTCCAGCAGATGGGTTGCTAATGAAGAGAACGTGATTGTCTATTTGGAAAAATACAAGCTATTTATTGCAACTGATAAATCATGGCTTGACTCTTTGCCCAAACGGGAAGTCAGACAATGATGTTTCTCAAGTTTAAGAACAAGCTCCTGAGTCCAAGGACCAGCTTCAGAAGCTTTCAAGACAGTTTGCAGGCAAACTTTGACAACTAATGAAAGCTGTCTTTTACATTTTCTTTGTTTTCGTTTAAACACTCCTAGAACAGACGTGTACAAACTATGGCCCTGAGGCTAAATCCGGGCTGATGCAAGTTTTGTAAATAAAGTTTTATTGGCATACAGCCAAGCCCACTCATCTACACAATGTCTGCGGCTGCTACAACAGCAGAGCTGAGCAGTTGTGACAGAGACCCATCTGGACAACAAAGCCAAAAATATTTACTATCCAGCCTTTTATAGAAAAAGTTTGCTGAACCCTGTCCTAGAAAGAATGAAAGCAGTTCCTCTGAATTATCTCGTAAGTCCAACCAGACCAGTATGAGACAGAGCTGAGCTACCTGAGTGATCTAGGTCCAAGCACAGTTGACCAGTACAGGTCGGACTGCAGAGGTAACCTCAGCGTCAGCTCAGTTCATCCCTTTTGACTTGGCTGAAGGCACTACCCCAAGAACAGCAACCCTCTACACTACTTCAATTGTTAGGTAAATCCCTTTGACGGTAGATCTTTGAAGAATGCAGGAACTTATCTTCCTTGATTTTTCTTTAAACATCATGTGACAGTCAAAAAAAAAAAACCCCACCATTCTTCAAAGGGAATTGTAAAAGATGAAAAATGGTAGGAAGAAGGTTTATTTGGGGCCATCTGATGTGGTCCACTGGACATAAGTCACAAAAGTATCTCTACATTGGCAAAAACTCATGCTGGGTCCAACTGGCCATTTGACATCAGGGAGATGAAACCACTCTTTTTCTTCGCTTAGCCGCATACACGACATGGAAATTGGTTAGATGTTCATTTAGATCCAGACCAGGCCTAAAATCCTAGGACTGGCCTGACCATTTCCATTATTCATTCATGCACACATCCAAATCATATTTACTGAACACCTACTATGTGCCAGGTACTATGCTGGTGCTTTAGTTATGGAGGCCAATAACACAAACAGGAATCCTGCTACCAGGGAGCTTACAGACTAGTGGAGAAACCGAAAACAAGTTCAAACCAGGAATAAATAAGACATACTGCAAATTGTCACAAGTGCTCCATAAAACATAGCTGGAATGCTGAAGGGGGCAAGGTACATCCTGGCAGGCCAGGGAATGGCTCTCTGAGGAGGTGGCAAGTCCAAGGTCTGTGTGAAGGAATGAGGGCAAGCAAGCCCTGCAAGGCATTTGGGAGTGGGGGAGAAAAGCGCATTCTAGACACTCACTTAGGGAGAGCAGCAGGAGTCAGAAGACTCGGTGGAGGCTCCCTCGTGTGGTCACTGCAGGGAGGCAGCCTGCCCCGCATCACCAGCTTTGCAATGAAGTCCCTCTGGCTCTTGACTCGCCATGTGGCCTCAGGCAAATCAAGTCTCTGTGCCCCTAGCTTTTTCACGTGGACAGTGGGAAAACTCAAGAGACGGTGACTTTGGTCAGCCCAGCCCTGAGGCGGGAAAAACACGGCTTGTTCCAGGAACTGAAATGAGGTGATACAGGCAGAGAACAGCATAGGTTGGGGAGCTGCGCACCAGACAGGGTTGAAAAGGTGGGCAGGGCCAAGTCAGGCAGGGTTTTGCAAGTCATGGTAAGGCATCTGGATTTCATTTTAATTGCAACGGGAAGTCACTGAAGGGTTTTAAGCAGGAAAATATCTTGAGCATATTTGTAGTTTTAAAAGAAAGCTCTGTGTTGTAAAGAAAGGGGTAAGAGTGACCAGAGCAGAGGCAGAGAGAGCAGGATGCTGCTGCTGTCATGGACTGTGCTGGAGGCAAGGTAAAGCAGCTGAACCTGACCTCGAGTGCCAACTCGGACCAACTGGAAGTGGCCATCTATAACACTGTGCTGAGAACGTGCTGGAAGTTTAGACAGGGATCATTGGGGAAAAGTATCCTGTTTGATTAATGATGCCTGCCATGGGTGTGGAAGGGAGAATAGCAGTATGGTGTCAATATCTGTCCATCTCTCTACAGAGACCGAGAACATTTCAGTGCCTCTAACACTAATGTGTCTACAGCTCGGCTGGGGGCCTTGTTAAAGTGCAGACTCTGAGACGGTAAGGTCTGACATTCTCCTTTTCTTTTCCTGACAGGGTCTCAACTGTGTTGCCCAGTCTGGTCTTGAACTCCTGGGCTGAAGTGATCCTCCTACCTAAGTCTCTGGAAGTGCTGAGATTACAGGCGTGGGCCAGCCCAGCAACATCCTGCCTCTCTAACATGCTCCCAGGTGACGAGTCCACTACTGCTGGTCCAGAGACCTCACTTCGGTCTTTTTTTTTTTTTTTTTTTTTTTTTTTAAGACAGAGTCTCGCTCTGTTGCCCAGGCTGCAGTGCACTGGCTGGATCTCAGCTCACTGCAACCTCCACCACCTGGGTTTAAGCAATTCTCCTGTCTCAGCCTCCCGAGTAGCTGGGATTACAAGCACGAGCCACCATGCCTGGCTACTTTTTGTATTTATAGTAGAGACTGGGTTTCGCCATGTTGGCTAAGATGGTCTTGAACTCCTGATCTCAGGTGATCTGCCTGTCTCAGCCCGCCAAAGTGCTGGGATTACAGGCATGAGCCACCGCGCCCGGCCTCAGAGACCTCATTTTGAATAGCAAGAATCTAGAGAACTTACTTTCCCCCCATAGATTTGTGTAAGATAAGCTCCAGTTCCCAGGGCCTGACACAGAAAAAGAACACTCAGCAAATGTTGACAGAATTGAGTTGGTCATTTCTGTGTGCCTTTCAGCCTTCAACTGCTATGAAAAGAACTCTGAAGAATTCCAGGCAGTTAACCATAAAACATGAGCAACATCACAAGTGTGTATCATCCATCTTCCGCGGAGCCACTCCACGTTGTCACTGGGGTGCAGATCATTTGGGTTGGGGGAAGGAGTCCAAGAGAAGAAGTGAGGAAAAGGAAAAGGTGAGAAATGCGCTAAACAGGGCTGTTCCTAACCACACGGTCATGATCGGAACATTCAGCTCTGTGGGATGACAAGGGAAGTAAAATGGGGAGAAAGGAAGAGCTACTGCTATGTCCCCAGAAAAGCAGCACCCAATCCGCCAGACCCCCAGATGCACTGCATGACAACAGCAATGCTGGCTTGTACAAAAGCCCCAACAGGGAGTCTCCAGCCTCATCCTACACTTCACCACAGTCCCAGCCCATAATCCCAACTTATCTGAGCATTGGCCAAGTCCAAATTTCCCTTTCAAAGATAGATTCAAATCCGGTCTCGATTAGGGATGGTAGCCAGACCCTGCCGCCTGAAGATGGAATCAGCTAGCCAGTAGACGTGTTACATAAATGCCACCAAAACCTGAAGGCTCAGTGGGGCGTGGTGGCTCATGCCTGTAATCCCAGCACTTTGGGAGGCCAAGGTGGGCAGATAATCTAAGGTCGGGAGTTCGAGACCAGCCTAGCCAATACAGTGAAACCCGTCTCTACTAAAAATACACACAAAAAATTAGCTGGGTATGATGACACACACCTGTAATCCCGGCTACTCGGGAGGCTGAGGCAGGAGAATTGCTTGAACCCAGGAGGCAGAGGTTGCAGTGAGCCAAGATTGCACCAGTGTACTCTAGCCTGGGTGACAGAGCAAGACTCTGTCTCCAAAAAAAAAAAAAAAAGAAGGCTCAGTCCACGCCCTTCAGCTCCCCTGGAAACCCAAACCCTCTTTCTAGAATAAACAGAGAACCTGGGGCTCCATGCAGACCCCTTCAGCTCCACAAGCTGCCTCCTATCAACCATACAGTCTATAGATTCTCTTTCCCTCTCTCTCCTCCTTTTAAACTCACAGAATTACAAAAGCCTTAATTTTTAAACAGTTTACCTTAATAGTGCACATTCATTTTCAGGGGGTCATTAAAAAATCATAAGAACATTCTCCTGTTGCAGGGAGGTGATTCATGCCTTCTGCCAGCATCCACTTCATTTTTGGGCCTCTGCTGGTTACGACATCCCAAACTCCCAGACAATATTAATTCGATTTATTCTGCACCTTTCTAGTGGCTGCCTATTAACATTAAACACATAGAGCACTTTTCAGATCTCCAGAATGTCGAACACGACCGTTCTTCAGATGATGTAAGTTCGAAAAGATTAATCATCACTAGGATTAATTATTAGGAAAGAGTGGAACAACAGAGAAGTCATTTGTATGCGAGGGGTTTAGTACCTTGTATGAATTTGCCCCTTGCTAGAATGCCGGAGGATGAGGGCTGGATGCTGGCTAGTTTCCCAGTGTAAAACACAGAACTCAATTGCTTCATCTGTCTTACTGGGGTTAGTTAAAAGGCAGGAGAGCCTCTTCAGTAACTCTAGTGTATTATTGTGGAGTTAACTACATTGAGGGTGCCCAAGTCAATGTGGGCTGGATGCTAGAAAGTCAACACATTTTTTTAACACATGAGGAAGAACAAGACTTGTTTGGGCTTTGCTGAGATCTGGTCAAATCCCTGTATCAGCTCCTCAAATCTTCATGCGATGCCAGAAAGGCCTTTAACTTTCCATGCTGCCTCTACCTTACAACTTGTACCTGGGCTGACCTGGATGCTGTATTAGTCCGTTTTCACAATGCTGATAAAGACATACCCAAGACTGGGCAACTTACAAAAGAGAGAGGTCTAATGGACTTATAGTTCCACATGGCTGGAGAGGCCTCACAATCATGGCAGAAGGAGGAGCAAATCATATCTTACGTGGATGGCAGACATCAAAGAGAGAGAGCTTGTGCAGGGAAAGTCCCGTTTTTAAAGCCATCAGATCTCATGAGACTTATTCACCATCATGAGAAGAGCATGGGAAAGACCCGCTCCCATGATTCTATTACCTCCCACCGGGATCCTCCCACAACACGTGGGACTTGTGGGAGTTACAATCCAAGATGAGATTTGGATGGGGACACAGCCAAGCCGTTACCAGATGCCTACTACAAAGTTTATGATACACCTAGAGCCAAGTAAAAAAGATGTCCCTTAAAGGTAGATACATTAAGAGTTCAGCTGTCTTTACCTCTGATCAAAAGATAATATCAAAGGCAGTGATATTAATATCACTGATACTGTTATTAATATCAATGCCTTTGATATTAATCAATATTAATCAATACCAAAGGCACTGTTTGTTAGAATAACAGATGTTAGAAAGATTTCTGACTAAAGTAAGAGGAGGTCAAGATCCACAGGCTGGTTTGCAAGGTTATCAACTATCCCACCCTTGCTGGAACAGAGCAGAGCATCTATGAAGCCAAGAGTCTTCACCCTTTGATGGGAGAATGCTCAGGTTTGGTTCTGAGCTGGCCCTATGTACAGCCACAGATCTGAATCCACAGTTCATGAGAACTGATCCTGCTCCTAGAACCCTGTCACGTTTGCCTGGGCTCATTACTGTAAACACATGCAAAAGGACACAGAGCTGGGACTCCATCAGGCTTGTCTTGGTGGACTATCTGGTTTTGTGCCTGCTTACTATCCAAACAAAAAAACAAACCCTTGCCTAGACAAAGATCCACCGGTAAATTCAACAATACTCCCTGCTTTTGCACATGTAGGCTCTTTAGAATTCTTCAGTGAGCTTTGGCCATCTCACTTCCCTGTTTTGACCTGAAGAACTCATACTCAACCTTCAACCCTCTGATCAAATGTCACTTTCTCCAAGAACCCTTCCTTGATCTAGAATGGGTGAGGAGCTCCACACGGTGCTCCAGCTGCACCTGGATGTCCTCAGCACCGTGTTAAGAAACACGTCCTGTGGTGTAGTCACCACTCCCTCCTCTCCAGGCTGGGAGCCCCAGGGGGAGTGACCATGTCTCAGGTCTGCATCATGGCATCCACCGGGGCCTGGCCTATGGCAGGCCCTCTAAAAACAGTTGTCGGAGAAAGCAATAAGGATTGAGAGGGAGAGAGAAAGAAGGAGGGAGGAAGGAGAGGAAAGGAAAAAGGGAAGAGGAGAGGGAGGAATGCAGGGAGCAAGGGAGATGTAGAATTTACCACATCTACTCGACTCCTGAAGGCTGATGCCAGGTGCCCCAATAACCTACTACTCAAGTAGAGTAGTATTTTACATGCTGAGAAAGAAACAAAAGGAAAAAGAGTTCCACCCAGCTCTGCAATACCAACTGCATGCTGGCTAGGGGAGGAAGGCTACCACGGGCAAGGCAAGAGGTAGAAGCCGTGGCTCTGGAGTGAGGAGACCTGGGCATCCACCTGAACTCTCGCCTCCATTATCCACATGGGCTTCAATGAGCTGCTGAACCCCTCCGAGGCTACGTTTCTTCGTATGTCCAACAGGATAAGGATCAGAACGTATCATAAAGTACTGTGGCGTGGATTCCACGAGCCACTGGCCATGAAATGCTTGCCAACAGCCTGGCAAAAAGTAAGCCCTCAATACATGGCAGCCACCATGATGACAGATGAAAAGGTCCCCTCTAGGTCTCAATGCCTCATCACATGCAGAAGCGCTGGGCCCACCCACAGGGCAAAGCAGCAGCACAGTCAACAGATTTCAATTCAGTCAAGTACACATGACTCTCACCTGAATTTTTTTTCTTCTCTTGTCACCCAGGCTGGAGTGCAATGGCGCCATCCTGGCTCACTGCAACCTCCATCTCCTGGGTTCAAGCGATTCTCCTGCCTCAGCCTCCCGAGTAGCTGGGACTACAGGCGCACATGCCCCCACGCCCTGCTAATTTTTGTATTTTTGGTAGAGACAGGGTTTCACCATGTTGGCCAGGCTGGTCTCAAACTCCTGACTTCAGGTGATCCACCCTCCTCAGCCTCCCAAAGTGCTGGGATTACAGGCATAAGCCACCGTGCGAAGCCTAATTTTTGTATTTTTAATAGAGATAGGGTTTTGCCATGTTGGCCACGATGGTCTCAAACTCCTGGCCTCAGGTAATCCTCCAGCCTCGGCCTCCCAAAGTTCTGGGATTACAGGTGTGAGCCACTATGCCCAGCCTAATACTAGTATAATCTCGATTTTACACATAAGTAAACTGAGGCCCAGGGAGGGTATGTAACTTGCCCAGCATCACACAGCTGCTGAGTGGTAGCATTGGGGTTCACCCTTACATGGTCTGACTCCAGAAACCCTACTCATAATGACAACTCACACTGAGGAAACGCATTTCAGATCACTAGTGTCAAAAGGAGACAAGAGCCAGAGTCCCAAATTTAGAATCCAAAGACCTAAACTCAGTTGCCCACTCCGCCACTTGCCAGTTGCAGAGCCCTGCATTGAGCCTCAGTTTAGCCACTTTCAAAGTGAGAATAATATCTACACCTGTGGCCTCAAAGGGCTGTCAAAGCATCCAAATGAAAACAGCACTCTGCAGGCTGGGCGTCGTGGCTTACACCTGTAATCCCAGCACTTTGGGAGTCTGAGGTGGGCGGATCACCTGAGGTCGGGAGTTTGAGAACAGACTGGCCAACATGGCAAAACCTCATCTCTACTAAAAATACAAAAATTAGCTGGGCATGGTGGCGGGTGCCTGTAGTCCTAGCTACCCAAGAGGCTGAGGCAGAAGAATTGCTGGAACCCAGGAGACAGAAGTTGCAGGGAGCCAAGATTGCACCATTGCACTCCAGCCTGGGTGACAGAGAGAGACTCTGTCTCAAAGAAAAAAGACAGCACTCTGCAAACTGTGAAGCTTCACCCAGATATGAAGTAGCCAGCCCCACTCTTCTTCCTGCCTGCACCAGAAGCCCAGCGGGAAGCTGCCCCAACTGAATGTCCATTCGATGTAAACATACAAGCTGGTGGTTGTCTTTTATCAAGTGGTCTTTTTCCCTTATAAAAACAATGCATGTCCACTGTGGAAGAGCTAACAAGGAAAGGAGAGGCTTAGAGGATGGGCTGACATCAATTTCAAGCCCGCTTGTTTGAGAATGTTTCAGTGGGCAGATCAACCATTTCTCCCACTATACAACCCCCTCAACCCACCCTCACCCCTGCACCCATCAGAAATCAATGTAACTTTACCAGGCTTGTTTCTGTTTCCTAATTTGCTCTGTGACCTTGGGCAAGTGACTTAAGCTCTCTGTGTTTCTGCATCTGCAGAATGAAGATCGTAATAGCACCTACCTATGTAGGCTTATGTGACGATTCAATGAGTCAATGTACAGATCTTCAAACAGTGCCCGGCATGGAGTTAGCACTACTTAAATTTTAGCTTTTATTCTTTATCATCCTCTCTACCTAACGTGGAAAGGTCCAGTTCCAAGGCAGGGAGAAGGGAGAGCTCACTTGCTCGTCACTGCTGATGAGTTGAAATGAGATGGTACGGTCAGTGACAGTGCCCTGGAATAAACAACCCCTCTCTTGGGAGTTCCTTAGTGCACCCAAGGAAGCACGGGATCATGCGGGGAAGAGGCAGTTGGGGCATTTTCAACAGACACGCTGGAGAGCAGGCAGACAGGACCAACGCATGCAGGGCCCTGGGCGCCACAATTTTCCAGCAAATGCGACGGATGTTCAGTCCTTCCCTTCCCAATACTTCCCCACAAAGCCACCAAAGTTAAACCCAAGTTGCTGGTCACTATAAGCCATGAATAGCCCATCTGTTCATCCTTTTTTTGTTTGTTCATTTTTGAGACAGTCTTGCTCTGTTGCCCAGGCTGGTGTGCAGTGGCGCCATCTTGGCTTACTGCAACCTCCACCTCCCGGGTTCAAGTGATTCTCCTGCCTCAGCCTCCCAAGTAGCTGCAATTACAGATGTGTGCCACCATGCCCAGCTAATTTTGTATTTTTAGTAGAGATGGGGTTTTACCATGATGGCCAGGCTGATCTCAAACTCCTGACCTCAGGTAATCCACCCACCTCGGCCTCCCGAAGTGCTGGGATTACGGGGCTGAGCCACCACACCTGGTCCATCTGGTCACCCTTTGGACAGGAACAAGACGAGGGCCTGATTTCCCAGGCTCAGTGATCTAGATAGTGACCCCCGGCTTTCTGCCCCCACCCTCCAATCTCTCCCCTCCCCACTCAGCCTGCTGCGTATCAGTGCCAAGTTTGCCATTCTTCAGAAGTACCAGAGATTACTACGTGTGCCTCGCAGAAAATGCCGAGTGGAATGAAGAAGAAGAAGAAAAAAAAACTTCATCATACGATTCATATATGGGCAAGAACTACAAACAATTCAGGGCGCTAAAATTAATTTGCTCCCCTGCCAATGAAGAGAGGGTGAGCATCGAGGCAGACTGTAATAAAGACGTACTTAATGTGTACAGCACATATTTATTCATTTTTAGAAAATGTGCAGCGCTACCACCCCCCTTCTCCCATAAAACCTGACCATCCTACTCAGCTGCTATTCTTATCCCTTGCTCATTTGCGTAATTTTAACACTGCAGAATATAGCCAGCCTAAGAATATGTTTTTATAATTACACCCATCACAGGAACTGTCAGCATCTAATGACGGATAATTTCAGCTATTATAAGAAGCTTAAAAGATCATTTTCATGAATAATTCGTAATATGAATCATTAAATTCAAACAATGTCAGAAATTAAAAGGAAAAGAAAAGAAAAATATTTTAGGTGCCTAAAAGTAACCATCCCTTTAAAGGCAGAATCCAGTCTCTGATGTGCACAGAAACAACGCAACATGCAGGGGAGATCAGCACGAGCAGGGAAGAAACATGCAAATTGGCTCAGGTCATTTCACTCTTTCCATTTTTCACCAGGTCCCCCTAGCCTGAGGATAAAATCACAGCCTCATAGCAGGTCACGCAGAGTCTGCCTGCTTGACCCCTGCCTGTCTCTCCAGTTCATCTCTCACCTCTTCCTCCTGCCACCCTGGGTCCTATGCAGGCCCCTAACCTCCCAGGGCTTTTGTGCCTGTGAATCTGTTGCTCTCCCTCCCTCCCTCCCTCCCTTCCTCCCTCCCTCCCTCCCATAAAGAAAACCTGACTGAAAATGAAATAAGCCTACACTGGAAGCAGAACCAACACAAAAAGTGATGCATCTTCCTGGTAAACTGTTTGAGCACCTGGATCCAGCCACACCTGCACCCCAAGCTTCTCAGCTCTGTGAAATAACACACATTCTTGTTACCTCCAACTCACAGCGCGGTGGCGAAAGGGTGGGGGTTCTTCTTACTAAAATAAGGCTGCAGGTCGCAAGAGACCCTGGAGTAACAGCAGAATCAGTTTTCAAGGCTTGTCTGGGCCAAAGCCAACAAAGCAGGACACTCAGTCAGGGACACAGAGAGAGTTGAGGCCGGGACAGGTACCGGTGGGGTGTGTGTGCGTGCACGTGCACGTGTGTGTACACGTGTGTGCGCTGGGGGGCTGTGGAGTGAGGGGTACCCGGATCAATGTACGAGTGATTGAGCCAGACCCAAGATAGGACAAATCACCTATAAGGTGGCTTGGCCAAGAGGTATGTCTACACTGCATGGTGGTAGCAAAGCCCCTAAATCCACTCTTTTCAGTGAAACACAAAAACCACAGGACAATCCTCATTTCCAGAGGAAACTGGTCTGTGCGTCACTTTGCAATTAGAAAAACATTATGTGTTAAAATACGCATGAATTTTCAATAAGAGAAAACATGTTTATACATTCAATAAGGAAGAGAGAAAGGGAAGAATGGTCTTCACGAACAGACAAGAACATCAAACTTAAGTACACCACGGCATTCCAGAATATTACCCCTTTCTACACAACAACTGCCTTCACACTACAGGTTGTATGTCATTAGCAAGGTAGCGAAAATAATCAGTAAGTCACAAGTGGCGTTTGCTAAAACAGAGTAGAACAGGACATAAAACATGAGAACGTTCTGCACGTAATAAAGGTTAAGTATTGTTCCCAGAAGGTTGTGTCTCAATGACTATATACACATATGTGTATGCTTAAAAGAGTATTTCTTACTGTGGGCCACAGTCAAAAAGGACTGAAAACCACTTTTATAGAAGATGTTACATCAAAAAAAAAAAAAAGATGATGTAGATCAAAGATGACAACTGACGATATAACATGTGGTTTGCAAACCAAATGATGGACGCTGCACCCACGCTTTGAATCAGCAACAGCACTTCTGAACCTCCTTCCTGCCAAAAGGCCCCAGGATATAAGGAGACAGCTTACTACAATCCTCTTTGTAGTAGCAAAAACCTGGAAACAGGGCCAGGCGCGGTGGCTCACACCTGTAATCCCAGCACTTTGGGAGGCCAAGGCGGGCAGATCACAAGGTCAGGAGATCGAGACCAACCTGGCTAACACAGTGAAACCCCGTCTCTACTAAAAATACAAAAAATTAGCCAGGACTGGTGGCAGGTGCCTTTAGTCCCAGCTACTTGGGAGGCTGAGGCAGGAGAATGGCGTGAACCCGGCAGGTGGAGCTTGCAGTGAGCCGAGGTCGCGCCACTGCACTCCAGACTGGGCAACAAAGCGAGACTGTGTCTAAAAAAATAAATAATATATAATAAATAAAAACCTGGAAACAACCTAAATTCCATCTATGAGGAAATGATTTGAAAAATTATAGCATAGCCACATGATGGACTCTAATATGCAGATATTAATGATTTAGCTATACATCTTTTGATCAGGAGGAAAATTCCTGACTGTTCAGTGATACACTCTTACCTGAAAAAAGCAAGGTTGACCAGGGATCAGCACACATTTTCTTCAGCGGGCCAGATGGTAAATATTTTGGGGTTTGCAGGCCACAGGTCTCTGCAAGAACTATTCAACTCTTGTGTTATAGCTCAAAAGCGGAGATGGAAATAATGAATGAATATGGCCATGATCCAATAAAACTTTATTTAAAAAGGTGGCATGCCCATGGGCCATGGTTTCCCAACTCCTGACATAGACTGTAATTCCATTTTTGGAAAAGAAATAGGAAGAATAGATATACGTTTGTTTGTGGAGTAGATTTGTGTGATTACCTCTGGTGATCTAAAAAGGGTAGCATCGGGAGAGATTAACTTCTTTACGTACCTCTGCACTGCTAGACTTGTTATAAAGGGCATATATTACTCATTTTTAAAAATCTAATAAAGTATTAAATTATTTAAAAAATCAAAGTATGAAGTACAAGCTCCAGTGTCTACTTCCACTGAAATCAATTCTCTGTAATATATCCAAACAATTTTTTTATCATTGCAAATAATAGAGCCTTCCATAATTCATATTTAATTGGATGTCAACTGTCATAATTGGAACTCTCCAGCTAAAAATTGTCCCCAAAAGGTGGGAAAAGTGATAACAAGTCATGGGAAACCAAGAAAAATTTTATTGTCTCCCAATGAGGAACCAAATTATACAGAAAGAGTAGTTTAAAACTTACACTCACAAGCCTGGATCTACTGTTCAGTAAGCCAGGCAGTTACCATCCACGTTTTATAGATGGAGGATGAGGCTGAGTTATGCCATCCCCAAATGACATGAGCATGAAGCCAAGATTTAGACCTGGGTCTGAATTCCAGTTGAATGAAATTCACTTGGCACTGATCAATAGCAGATAAACAGCACATATGCCCATGGTAAATCCAATCATTCATGCTCCAAGAACACCCTAGATTTACAGGGGAAATAAGCATGGGACTAAAAGCAGCTGGCCATCTTACTGCTGAAACATTAAGAGAAGGATCAATCCTGTTTCACCCAAACAGGGATGAGTCACTGCCTCACCTACGGGTGGCAGACATACTACAGGTGGTAGATATACTACCTGTACTACCTGTCTACAGGTGTTAGACACACTACCACCTGTAGGTTTCAAAGTATTGAGTAGAGACCATATTTCACATGTCTCCACTGAACTGACCCCATCACCGTATCTCTAGCAAAGCCAGAACCTCCTCCCAGATGGCTCATCAAAAGCACAGTGGCTGCTAACAAACAAGTGTGGCAGAAACAGCAGGTGTTGGGGGCTGGGCATGGTGGCTCACGCCTATAATCCCAGAACTTTGGGAGGCCAAGGCAGGAGGACTGCTCAAGCCCAGGAGTTCAAGACCAGCCTGGGAAACATCGTGAGACCCTGTCTCTACAAAAAATACAAAAAAATTATCCAGGTGTGCTATAGTCCCAGCTACTTCAGAGGCTGAGATGGGAGAATCACCTGAGCCTGGGAAGTCAAGGATGAGGTAAGCCATGATCACACCACTGCACTCCAGCCTGGGCAATGAAGGGACACCCTGTCTCAAAACAAAAACAAAAGAAACCCAGCAGGTGTCCCCTAATACCCATTCTTTTTGTGTTTAGCAAGAAAATCAGCAATTTTTGCTGGGTGCTTGGCCACCTAGGTGGAAAACAAAGAGACTATGTTTCCCAGCATCCCTTGCAGCTAGCTGTGGCCTCATGAAAGTGTCGTGGGCAAACTGCAGAAGAGAAGACAAGTGAACTTGAAGACTCAGCACTAGAAATGGAGAAGATGAATGAACTTGAAGACTTAGCAACAGAAATGGAGAAAGCGAGTGAATTTGAAGACTCAGCAACAGAAATGATCCAAAACGAGATGTAGGGGTGGGTGGGGTGGGGAGGGCACATGGGCAGGCAATGTGCCCAAGGTCACACTGCTAGCAAAGGGCAGAGCTAGAACTTTCTCGGCCAACACCCACAATCTAAGTCTTCATGCTATAAGGCTTCCCAGTACAGGCTGCATAATGAATGCTGTCTCACCTTCCTTAGGAAGACATGAAGGAGCAGACAAGACCAGTGGTCAGCTTGCATGCCCATCAAACCCGACTTCTTGTCATCTCGGACACACGTGTGGCTGGCTGCTGGCAGGTGCTTGATGTTATGTACACTCACATTGTACCTTCATCTGATTTTCCCAAACTCCCTACCAATGATTTATTGCTTTTTGTGCCATCATATTTCTTCTGAGCCCATAAAAAGTCCATGTGTCAAGGAAAGGGTCAGGGGAGGGGTCACAAAGCCCTTCAGGCAGAGAATGCTTCTCCCAAGACTGTTTGTGGCAAAGTGCCATACCTACTCGGAAAAATATATTCCAAAATATTAACAGTGCTTGAGGGTTTATCAATGATATTTTATTTTCTCCTTTTTCTCTTGTGTCTATCTTCTTTAATTTTCTATAATGAATATAATTTTGGGTTTTTAATAAGGAGAAAGAAAACACAAATTGTTTTTCAACAACTTTATTGTTGAGAAACAATTTAAGGCAAGCCACGATGAGCTCCGCAGGCTGCTTCTGGCCCAGGATGTATGCCTGCTTGCTGTCTACTCCAAATCCTTCATTTTGCCCAGAAGGCAGCAAAGACCACCAAAGCAAGGCCCCACAACTGTGCACGCACCACTCCTGATGGGCCAGCAGGAGGACCCCTGCACTCTGCTAATAGCACTATAATGAGGGCAGCCAGATGCAAATGAGGGCAGCAGTAATTAAAGGTACAGCCTTGCTTGGCTTAATTGGCTCCACAGGCAGGAAACGGGGTGTTTTTGGAGGAATTCATTCCCCAAAACAGTGAGATTACGAGGACAAAATCAGAAACAAAGGGTAAGGGGAAGCTGTGCAAGCTGAGGAATTCTGGGTACAGCACGTACCTCAAATGCCTCCCAGTGACTCTAATTAAGTGCACCCAACTAGGGCATCATAGGACTCAAGGTCCACCTGCCTGCCTGTTCCACTGCCTGGCAGAAATCTTGAACTAAAAAGACCAGGCACCCCCCTCTGGAGCCCAGGTTCCTGTGCCTACCCAGTCACCCCAGTCTATGAGCCCCAGGTGGGTAGATATAGAGTATTACTCACTTCTGTATCAGGACATCAGAGATCCAGGCCCTGCCACTCCCCAGCTGTGCACCTGGGGCAAAGCGCTTGATGATAACAATCTAATACTTACATAGAGTGCATGGAGGGGACTTTAGCCCAGAGAGTCTGGCCCCATTATACACCTTCTGATTTTTTTTTTTTTTTTCTGTAGAGATTGCGTCTCAAACTCCTGGCCTTAAGCAACCCTCCTCCTACCTCAGCCTCTCAAAGTGCTGGGATTACAGGTGGAAGCCGCCGTGCCCAGCCGGTCTCTGACCTTTCTAAGCTTCAGTTCTCCCGTGTAAATGGGGATAATAGTACCCACCTCACAGGACAGTTGCCATGAAGCAGTTAGCACAGGGTCTAGCAATGGTGCTTAATGCATGTTGGCTATTATTACTGGGTGCTCAGCAAACTCATTCATGCATTCACTCACTCATTTATTCATCAAATGTCTACTGATAACCCACCAGGGACCAGGCACTGTTTTGGAAGCTAGGTGCACAACAGTATCAACATCAACTCAGTCCCTACTCTCATGACCTTATATCCTGGCTAATGTTTCTTGAATCTGTCACCACAGAAATAAAGAGATTACATTTTTAAAGTATAAAATAGGCAGCAATAGACCTGGGAGTGACCAACTAGCAAAAATGATGGCAGGGAAATCATGGATGGCTTCCTGGAGCAGGGGTATCTGGAGGTCAGTGTGGTGTGCCAGGCATCAGGGAGACTGCAGAGTAAATAGAAGGCACCCCACAGGGAAGACAAGGAGGGAGTCTATTTCTACGGAAATGCAAAGAATGCAAGTGAAGCCATAAACCAGTGAATTAAGCCCAGACCAGGAGAGAGGCTCTCTCTCTGTGCAGGGTATCGATTCTTCCATTCAGTCTGAGAAAAAAAAAAATATTCAGGCAAGTCACTCTCAACCAAGGTCCACGGCATCATTACCCACTCGAGCAAAACAAAATGACCAGTTTCCTTACAAAAGCTGCAATTAGAAACTTAAAATAGAGCAGTTTTCAAAATCAAAGTGGCTTTTTACAAAACAAGCCACCTGTCAGCTCCCAGGACAGAAAGCAGTTGAAAACAAAAGCTGACTGACAAACTACACCAATAAACACAATGCTGAGACAGCCCCAAAAAGTTAATGACGACAACAATAAATATACGTCTGGCCTCCTTCCGAGGAGGGAGCTGAGGCACTCCAATTGTTCCTGTTGTGTTTCTGGGTCTTTGTTTCCTACCAAACAATAAAAATGAAATGAACAACAATCGTGAATCGATACTTGATATTTCCAGGCAATTCCATTTGCAGTGATTTGGGAGAAGAAAGCCCCTGCCAGGGAGGAAATCAGGTCGAACAAATAAAACGTTACCCCTTAATGGAGGTCGCCAGAGAGACGAGGGCCACTTTTAGAACCTGGGACTGGATCCTCTTGCAGCTATGACCCAACATTTGATGACGTTTTCCCAAGGAGTGGGGCAAAAAGGGGTGGCTTGATGGGACTTTAGCACCCTCCATCCCTGACTCCAACAGCCTCATCCTCCCACAAGGCCACCAGAAGCAGCAGGGACTCCTGGCTGCCTACCCAGTATTCATCGCTCCTTCCTTATCTGCCAAATAAGCCCCACGTCTCCCAGCCCACCTTGCAATTTGGGGTGGCCACATAGCTGGGTACTGGGGCTTACCTGTTCAGGGTTTACTTAAAGGTCGGGAAACTGGCTAATCACACAAATACTGTTTTGTCAGGGTAATGGATGGAAAAGCTTTTGAAAAGGTTTGCTCTATAATTCTCATCTTAATTATTTATCCACTTGGAGAAACTAACTTACAGGTGTCTGCTAATGTGCTGTGACCTTCCACAGCCTGGACACTCTCCTAAATGCATTTCCAACCCACAACACCAACCACTGCCTGCTACTTTGCGTGTGTCATCACTTTTAAACTGCAAACAATTCTATAAAGTCAATGTTGTTTTTAATTTTATTTTTTTCCTTTATTTCAACAGTTTTAAGGGTATAAATGGCTTTTGGTGACTTGAATGAACTGTGTAGCGGCAAAGTCTGGGCTTTCAGTGTACCTGTCACTCAAACAACATGTACTCTAGACCCAATAGGTAGTTTTTCATCCCTCGCCTCCCCTCCTGCTCAGAGTTTCTAATGTCCCTTATGTTTCTCTATATGCCCCTGTGTGCCCACAGCTTGGCTCCCACTTCTAAGTTAGAGGATGTGCTATTTTTCTGTTCCTGAGTTACTTCACTTAGGATGATGGCCTCTAGTTCCATCCAAGTGGCTGCAAAAGACAGTATTCCATTCTTTATGTCCGAGTAGTTTTTTTTGTTTGTTTGTGTTTTTCTTTTTTTGAGACAGAGTCTCACTCTGTCACCCAGGCTGGAGTGCAGTGGCACGATCTCGGCTCACTGCAACCTCCACCTCCTGGATTCAAGCTATTCTCCTGCCTCAGCCTCCCGAGTAGCTGGGATTACAGGTGCATGCCACCATGCCCAGCTAATTTTTGTATTTTTAGTAGAGATGGGGTTTCACTATATTGGCCAGGCTCGTCTCAAATTCCTGACCGCAGGTGATTCAACCACCTCGGCCTCCCAAAGTGCTGGGATTACCGGCATGAGCCACAGCGCCCAGCCCTTTATGACTGAGTAGTATTGTATGATGTATACATACCACGTTTTCTTTCTCCACTCAAGAAAGTATTTGCAAAGTACACATCCGATAAGGGGTTAATACCCAGAATCTACAAGGAACTCAAACACATCAGTCATGAAAAAAATGAATAATCTCATTAAAAAGTAAGCAAACAAGAACAGACATTTTTCAAAAGAAGATATACAAACGGCCTACAAACATATATAAAATATATATTATCTTTACTCCTCAAATGGAAATACTGAAGCTCAGAGATGGCAACTTATTCCGTGAGCTCAGAGCTAGTAAATGACAGGGCTGGGATTGGACAGGTTCCTCCAACCAGAAGCTCTGTGCCTGCCTTTCCCGCTCCAGTTCTATTAACACTTCCCCAGGCTCCTCTTCCAGGCAATGGCTTCTGTCTACCATGGACGAAGTAGCCTTCAAGGACAAAGAGCAGGTCCAGTCTACACACAGCCCTGCTCCTGAGAAGCGGAAAGTCAATGGTTCTGCTTTCCGCCAACCCTGATGTCCACTTCCGAGTCCCTCCCACTCTAACCTGGCTCCCCATGTGACTCATGGCACACAATCAGTTTTCAGTCTCCGGGGGGAAAGGCGAACATGGCGCATTTTTTCTCAGGACAAAGTACATGGTAAATGCTAGCCAGTCACACAGAGGCTGCCCCACATAGGCAGGCGTCTCTGGGCTAGCTCGTCACACACCACCACCGAGGCCCAGGAGAGGCAACATACACTATCCCTAGAACACGTCTGAGAGAATAAACTTCAGAAGCACTGGGGAAAGCATGGGTTTAACAGACAGATCTGGGTAGGAATCTCGGCTCTACTACTTTCTAGGTGGATGACTGTAATGATTAACTTCATGTGTCAATGTGGCTAGGTCACAGTACCCAGATATTTCACCCAACACCAGTCTAAATGTCATTGTAAAGGTATTTTTTAAATGAGATTAACAGTTTAATCAGTAAAGCACATTATCTTCCATAATGAGAGTGGGCCTCATCCAATCAGCTGAAGGCTTTAAGAAGAAAAAACAAACAAACAAACAAAAAACGGAGGTTTCATAAGGAAGTACGAATTCTGCCCCCAGACGGCCTTTGGACTTGAGTTGCAACATCAGTTTCTCTCTGGACTCCAGCCTAGAGGCCCACCCTGCAGATTCTGGAGTTGACAGATGCCACCATAACATGGGTCAATTCCTTAAAATATCGATCAATCTCAATCTGTCTACACACACAGACACACACACACACACCCCTATTGGTCCACTTTTGTGGAGAACCCTGACTAATACAGTGAGCTTCAGCACATCCACCTCTCAGAGCCTTGGTTTCTCACATCTGTAAAATGGAGGCAACAGTCCCATCCTCACAGAGCTGTTAGAAGGAAAAAAGCTGCAGGGAAAGCTACCCCGGGGCCCAGCACGTTACAGGTACCCAATGAACAGAGCTTCTGTTATCTGTCAGCCAGGGATTTCTCTAGATGGTTACAAGGCCTTGTGGGAAAAGGTTGGGCTGTATCAGAATATGTATTCGAAATTACCTGCTTGCTTATATGTTTAGTGTCCATCTCTCCCACTAAACCTGAGGAGTCTCCTTGGGCCTGAAGTATACCCAGAACTGTGCCTGGTACTCAAGGAGTATTCAATCAATGTTGGCTGAATGAATGAAACGGTGCCCTGACCTTGTACTCTGCACAAATCAAATAACCTAACTTCCCAAACCACCCAGGGGTTTTGGAGTCTGTGTAAAAAGTGAGGGAGGTGGTGGGAAAAACAGCTTATGAAGCCTCACTCTGCACTAAAGGCTGTGCTGGGAACTTTACATCTAATTCTCTCAATTACTCCTCAAAACAGGGTTGCAGGTGAAAACAGTGCCCAGAAGGCAGTTATTTCAAGCAGTGGGGAGAGCAACGATGAGGTCTCCTGTTTACAAACTTAGTATCTGAAAAGGTAAAGGCCACTTGAGATTCAGCCCATCAAACAAATACAAAATAGACCGGAGCAGAGTGAAACAAGAGAGAAGGGAGAGAGGAGGGGAGGAGATAGGGGAAAAGAGGAGGTAGGGAGGGAATGAGGGAGGGAGGGAACATGTGAGAGAAAATGGCCAGCAGGTGAGGACACCTTGGCTACAACCTGAAGCAAGGATGCAGCTGGAAAAAAGAAGACAAGCCCAGGGGGACCAGAAAGGTGGTGGAAGCTCGGCAGTGGAGGAGTCCAGAGGGAGAGGGAGCTTCAGGCCTGGCTGGATTCACTTTCTCTGTCTCTTGGCTCTACCTTCCTCTGCATCGACTCCATTCTCAGGCAAGACTTCTCAGTCCCACCGAGAGTGATGGTGGACACCAGTGCTCCCAGCTCCTCAGGAGGCCGAGGCAGGAGGGATTGCTTGAGCCCAGAAGGTTGAGGCTGCAGTGAACTATGATCGTCCAGCTGCGCTCCAGCCTGGGCAACACAGCAAGACCCTGTGTCTTTAAAAAAAAAAAAAAAAAGTGGAGGGAACGTCTGAGTCCCTTGAGTGCAAAACGAGGAGCCCCAGCCCCAGCCTCTCCAGTCCAAATCCAGCAAGTAAAGGCATGTGCCTCCTGCTCTGAGACCCCAGCAGCACTGTGACAGCAGTGGCTGGCCCTGACCAAGACACACACACACCCTGAACCAGTGTGCCTGGAAAGTAGCCGACGTAGTGGGATGACAGGCCCACATAAACCACATGGATTGAGGGCTGGACAGAGGGTTCCCCAAAGAAAAAACAGATTACCAGGAAAGGGGGAATGGATACTGATTAGACAATAGGTACCCGATGTTGAAGGTTCCACGTGCACACAGACAGAAACTGAACCAGGACTTCAACCCAAACGAATTCGTCTCCAGAGCCCACACTCTTTCCGCCAGCACCTGCTACCCTTCTCAGCCCCACGCAGAGTCAGATGGGCAGGCTCTTATGAAGCGAGTCTTCAGGCTCGACAACAACAGAGGGCCAGTGTCCTAAAGTCATGCCACCTTGTTAAGGACAACACACAAATAAGCAATGCCTGACTTAAGTGCAGAGCAGCAGGTAGGCAAGGTCTAACTCCTGCTATTGACCGAGGAGGGCTGAGCAGCAGACAGTTGGGGCCACTGCTGGTCTCACGTCTCCTAAGTGGTCCTGATGAGACTATAGAGCAGTCAAACACGCAGCTGGTGGCCCAGGAGCATCCCTTCAGCCACCTACAGGTCCCAGCCATGGAGCCGTTGAGCCCCACCAGGATCTGGTCCAAACAGAAATGAGGGGTCTCGAGCTGGAGAGTGAGAGGACAGCAGGTGGTCACTCAAACTCTTGAACATTCAAAGCCAGGCACAGTGGCTCATGCCTGTAATCCCAGCACTTTGGGAGGCCAAGGTGGGCAGATTACTTGAGGCCAGGAGTTTGAAACCAGTCTGGCCAACATGGCAAAACCCCGTCTCTACTAAAAATACAAAAATGAGCCAGGCATGGTGGCACACGCCTGTAATCCCAGCTATCTGGGAGGCTAAGGTAAGAGAATCGCTTGAACTCAGGAGGCAGAGGTTACAATGAGCTGAGATCATCCTACCACAATCTGCCCATCATCTCTCCAGGCTCCAAACCGTCACAGAGTTAGGACATTATACTTTACCCCCCTGCAACCCGTGAGTTTCACAGGGAATACCTGCTTGCCCCATTTGTCAGTAAACAACTAAATTTATCTAAAGCCCTCTTTTTCCCATTAGTAAACCGAGATTTTCAGGAGAAGCCAAAAGCACCTTACAGAAAGAGGCAGCTACAACATGGTCCCTCTATCGCAACTGGTGCCTCCAATGTAAATGACACCACAATGTACCCGTGCAGAACAGACCTTCTACCAGCCCCTAACAAAGCTAAGTACATTTCCAAGGTGCAACCTAGTAGTGCAAGGATCTCCATAAATGGAGAAATAAACGAGTAACAAGTGACTCAGTCTTTTTTTTTTTTTTTTAAAGAGACATGGTCTCACTCTACCGCCCAAGCTAGAGTGCAGTAGCATGATCATGGCTCAGTGCAGTCTCAACCTTCTGGGCTCAAGTGATCCTCCCACCTCAGCCTCCCAAAGAGCTGGGACTACAGGCACGCACCAGCACACCTGGCCAATTTTTTTTTAACTGTTTGCAGAGACGACCTCTTGCTCCGTCATCCAGACTACAGTGCAGTGGCACAGTCATGGCTCCCTGAAGGCTCTTGCCCAGGCTGATCTTGAACTCCTGGGCTCAAGCAATCATCCTGACTCAGCCTCCCAAAGTGCTGGGGTTATAGGCGTGAGCCACCACACCCAGCCAAGTGACTCAGTATATCTGAGAGACATGTTGCTAGCACATTCTTGGACACCCTTCCTACCATAGATCCTCACAACCTATCAGGCATTCCTTCTGAGAGCTTACAAACCCCAAAGTAAGCTGTTTCTGAAGAGCCACACAAATGAGTGAGAAGATGGAGACCACACACCTCTGAGTGCCCCAGCAGGGACAGCAGAGCTGGCCGACCAGCCACCAAAACTCAATGCTCCCCACTTGCAGTGGGTAGAGTTCTTGTGCAAAGCAGCTGCCCGGCCAGAGAGAACACTTCCGAGACCCTCCGCACCCAGGTGGGCCTGTATGACTAGCCCTCACCCATGGAATGTGAGCAGAGTGGTGTGGTCACTTCGGGCAGAAAGGAGAATGATAATCATCTCCCCGCTCTTAAGTGGTATGGAATGTTGCTTCCCCAAACTTGTTTCCCTTCTCAGGGAATGCTCTTTCCATCTACATCAACATCTCTGTGACTCTGAAATCATTCCTGAAAGTCACTTGGATGGACCCCAGTAACAAATTTTTATTAAGCACCTGTTGTGTACTTGATTAATAAAAGAAGAAAAAACCTGCATGTTTCTAAGTCCCAGACCCTACCCCTTATGTGGTCACAAGGTCTAGCAGAGTAGACAGAGCACACACACAAGACGTGACCACAGAATAACCCATAATAGCAAAAAGCAAATGCCAGACTCTGCTTACTGCTCGTAGCAAGCACCACAGGGGTTTAGGAAACTGAAAGATCCAAGTAATTAGATTTCTTTCAGGTGACAGGAGAAGAGCTGGATCGTACCACAAATGCAACATCTGGCCTGAGCAAGCATAAGGGAAGCGGAGTTTCTAGGAAAGGAGACTGGATGAGCCAAGAGTGGGGTCGTAAAGTGTTTGTGATGGGGGCACATGAGACAAACGTAACAGCAAAGCAGCTCTGTGATGAGCAGTGAGAGCGAGACACTGCGGTGGAACAGGAAGGGTCGGGAACGGAGATGAAATACAATTAACACCCACAGCGGATTCTTGCGGGAGCAGGGATTGGGGCACAGTAAAGGCACTGGGTTAACTCACACAGTGGTGGTGAACAGCTCCCATTGAGCCTCCCTGGTTTTTGTTTTTTATTTTATTTTATTTTTTGACAAAGTTTCACTCTTTCACCTAGGCCGGAGTGAAGTGGTGCGATCTTGGCTCACTGCAGCCTCTGCCTCCCAGGTTCAAGCAATTCTCCTGCCTCAGCCTCCCAAGTAACTAGGATTACAGGCGCCTGCCACCACACCTAGCTAATTTTTGTATTTTTAGTAGAGATGGGGTTTCACCATGTTGGTCTGGCTGGTTTTGAACTCCTGACCTCTGGTGATCCACCCGTCTTGGCCTCCCGAAATGCTGGGATTACAGGCGTGAGCAACCGCGCTTGGCCTAGCCTCCCAGGTCTTAACTCAATGGTACCTACATGAAGCGACAAATTCTGAGGCTAAATCTGGATTCAAGAAGAAAAGTGCACCTTGATTAATTTACAGTGTCAGCTACTGGCCAAGAATCAGAGAGTGTCAGCACATTTGTAGCATATTTGCTGACCCTGAACTTCATTAATTGGAAAGTGATATCCTCCAAGGCAGTGGTTCCAAACGCTGTACTCCAACCTGCACACTGGAATCATTTGGGAAGCTTTAAAAAAAAAAAAAAAAAAAACCACCTCATTCCCACTACTGATTTTTGGGTCTGGGTGGGGCCAAGCATTGGGATTTTTAAAAATTTCCCAGGTGACTCCATTAAAAGCCAATACTAGGAACCATTGCTCTGTGGGGTGAAGAGATGGAAAGACGGGACAGTGAGAGAAGCTCCTCTCCTGCTGGGCCTGCTAGAAAGACTAAAGCTACAGCTGCTGGCAACCTCTTGCCAGCCCAAGGAGAACACCTGGCTGAGAAGGCGGCCAGCACACAGTGAGGGATGGGAGCGCCCGTGTACTGACTCATGGGAGCTAACTGCGTGCATCTCTTTCCAACTCTGCAAACAGTGACATCGTGTTGGCAGAGTCTGAAATCAGACATAGAAGGAGGATTTACAACACCACGGAAATCTGCAAACATTCTAAATCAGGGCTTTTTTTTTTTTTTTTTTTGAAAGCTATTTGTTAGACATTTACCAGCACATCACTCCCAGCAATGAAAAAAATTGGAGTTGAGAAACTGAAGAAAGAAAGAAAAAACTTCCCATGATATTGTTGCAGCCCCTGGATCAAACCATCCCTGAAGGCAGATACTCCTGGACTTCTCTTGTATTTGGCTTAAGACAGATTAAATCAGATTGTATGACTCCTGTCATCACAAGAGCTCTGAATGACACAACCAGGGCAGGGTCAAGGTCACATGATAATCGTGGTCACTAAAAGCAAAAACCACACACGATCAGGAGAATCCAGCTGGAGGCACAACTGAAAGATGCAGTTACATGGGGGTGATGCACATTATTTGGGTGGCACTAGAAGAAAGGTCTATGAATTTGTCCACTACTAGGCTCTCCACAGCTGCAACAGATCTGGAATCAACTCAAGGCCATGAGATCCAACAGCTCCTATTTTATTTATATTCATTTATGTTATAAACATTTATAGAGCACGTGTCATGGATCAAGCACTGTGCAGGCACTTTCAACACAGCAGGGGAAAAGACATGCCAACATCCCTGCTCTTGTGGGCTGTACAGTGCAAGGTGGAACACCGGGAAGAAACAAGCAAGAAAATCAATGACCAAGATACCTTGAGGGCCTGATAAGTGCTGTGATGAAAAGTCGGAGATAGAATGAGGGAGGCAGCACAAGGTAAGACAGGGCAGTCAAGAGGAGGTGGTATCTGAATGGAGACAGGCATGGCAAGGTGGAACCAGCCACACAGAGACCAGGGAAGAGCGTCCCTGCATAGGGGCAGCACGTGCAAAGAGCCTGAGGCAGGAGCCAGCCTGGCATGTTTGAGGATCAGCCTAAAGGCCAGCGTGGGTGGGGTGGAGACAGCAAGAGGGAGGGTGGTGGGAGATGAGGTTGGAACTTAGGGAAGAGCCAGATCACAAGCACTGAAGGCCATCATCAAAAAGTCAGGACTGGAAAACCATGAACGGTAAACAGCAGAGTGACGGGATTTATGAGGTTCCATGTTTATTCCACTTGGGACACATACACACACAGAGCCAGCTTTGGTGGATTGTTATTCCTTGCAACCGAAGACTGCCTCAAACGAGACATCTTTGCCTCTGTGCACAGTGGGAGTGGAAACAGCAGGCCGTGCACATAGGGATGCCTGCAATGGTTCAGAAGCCTGCAATGGTTCAGAAAAAAAGAATAAAAAGTTACCCTGCAAGCTCCCCTGAAACACTGTGGGCTCTAGGAATCATTTAGCCCACGACTCTCCATCTTCACTGAATCAGCCTTCGAAAATGCCCTGCCCCATTCTTTGGAAGGCCGGGGAAACTGACATCCCAGCCAGAGCACAAAACACACGCAGGTGTGGAATCGGGGATTGCTGGACTCATCCCAGGGAAACTGACACCCCAGTGAGAGCACAAAGCGCACATGGGTGTGGAGCTGGGAATCACTGGGCTCACCCCAGGGCAACTAACACCCCAGAGCACAAAGCACACGCAGGAGTGGAATCGGGAATCGCTGCACTCACCCCAGGGAAACTGACACCCCAGTGAGAGCACGAAGCACATGTGGGTGTGGAGCCAGGAATCCCTGAGCACATCACACAGCAGCAAAGACACGACACACCAGACAGGCTGATGACTTCCCAATTTTTTGCTTGTTTCTGAGAACAAACTTTTTAAATTGCTCCCAAGCCTCCCTCATCTGTCAAGTTCCTCCCACTCAGTCTCCTGCCCTTGCTGCTGATTATTTTGATGGCCACCAGCAATGGTCTATTCCTTTTCCCTCTCTCCCTGGGCTGACTGCAGATTAATTAAATGGGGATGCCGAGGAGAGCTCGTGGCTTTAAAATCCATTGCTATTGAACAGGACTACGCTATGGTGGCCATGAACAGTTATGACAGTGGAGCATCCAGTAAGAGGGGAGGTAGGAGGAAAAGCTTTACAGCACAGGAGCAGACACTGTACTTGGAAAGACAATTCCACAGAAATAATCGCCCTTTACAAGGACGAACAGGCCTGTATCCAGGAAAGACATAATAATTTGCCATAGAACACATGAGCTATAGAAAACTAATCAAGCTTGATAACAGGAGCAGGGGAGGCTGGCGGAATGACTGCCCCTATTACCAAAAAGTCCAGGGTAGGACTGTCACGCCAGGCACAGCTGGATTCAGGGGCTCTAAAGACAGGATCAGAGTTCGCTTTCTCTCTGCCTTTCAGCTCAGCTGCTCTTTCTGTGCGATGGCCTCATTCCCAATCTCTATGTGGAAACAAGCTGACTACAGCGGCCCCAGTCTCCCAGCCTAACAGGAAAGCAAGAATTCTTGTTGATTGTGTACTAACGCCCTGAGATCTAGCCAGAGCCATCCAGGTAAGGTGCCAGGCCAAGGATGAAGCCACCGACATCACAGGACTGACAGTGAGGGAGGACGCTGGTCAAGTGAAAACTGGAGCAAGTACAGAGGACACAGATGTTCACTACCCACATGTGGATGGGGAAGTCACTCAAGCCATGTGACACGGACAGACCCATGTCTCTCTGGAGTCACGTGTGGCCAATCCTAGCAGGGGAATCTCTTCTTCAGTACACAGAGCAAGCTCTCACGTCAGGCAAATGCTCCTGGGAAGAGTCCAAGAGAAGCCCACTGCCTAGGATGGTTGTCTTACAGCAAAGACCTCCACAAGAACAACCCTGTTGTGGAAACATCAGAGTGGCCAGCCTCCCAGCTGAACATGCAGCCACTGACCACACCCAAAGAATGATACCACCAGTCCACCTGACAGCAAGGCCACACTACACAACTTCAGAGACGTCACCTCCAATGCCACCAGTCCAACTGACAGCGAGGCCACACTACACAACTTCAGAGACGTCACCTCCAATGCCACCAGTCCACCTGACAGCAAGGCCACACTACACAACTTCAGAGACGTCACCTCCAATGCCACCAGTCCATCTGACATCAGGGCCACACTATACAACTTCAGAGTTGTCACCTCCAATGCCACCAGTCCACCTGACAGCAGGGCCACACTACGCAACTTCAGAGCTGTCACCTCCAATACCACCAGTCCACCTGAGAGTGGGGCCACACTACGCAACTTCAGAAATGTCACCTCCAATACCACCAGTCCACCCGAGAGTGGGGCCACGCTATACAACTTCAGAGCTGTCACCTCCAACGCCACCAGTCCACCTGAGAGTGGGGCCACGATATACAACTTCAGAGCTGTCACCTCCAATGCCACCAGTCCACCTGAGAATGGGGCCACACTACACAACTTGAGAGCTGTCACCTCCAATGCCACCAGTCCACCTCACAGCAGGGCCATGCTACGCAACTTCAGAGCTGTCACCTCCAATGCCACCAGTCCACCTGACAGCGGGGCCATGCTACACAACTTCAGAAATGTCACCTCCCACGCCACCAGTCCACCTGACAGTGGCTAATGTGAGCCCACTCCTAATGAGCCAGTCTTGTCCACACAACCCTAAGGTTGAAGTGATGCACCTGCTCTCCCCAGACCCCTCAGTGAGCTGCCAAGGGGCCTCTCTGCAGGCAGGAAGCCAACTTGCAAACATCTTGTTTCACATTTCAGCAATAAGCCCAAAATGAAAGCATGAGTTTTCAGAGGGATCTCCTGCTCTCGTAAGTGAAAGGAGAGGAGGAGGATCGCCTCCTCTTTTAAGTGATTTCCTACTTTCATAAGTGAAACTTCCCTACACTGGCTCCGTGGCGAGGAGAAAGGGTGTCCAACGCCATTAACAACAGAATTAATCAAATGACCAGTAAGAGTTACAACGAAGTGGAATTGCCAGGCAAGTTCCTGGTAGATATGGCAGCCCTTGCACCAAGGTTCTAATGCTGGAGGAAGAGCATGAAGAATTTGCCCTGAGGTGAGAGATTCAAAAGCGCAAATAAAAGTGTAAACTTCCGGCAAATCTGACATCACCAAGGAAAAACAGCACTTGAGAGGCAAATAACCCAACCTCACTTCTGGACCACATTCGGGGAAGAAAAATAAAACAAAAAAAACTTTCCATTAGATAATGAAGCCACCCAAATTCCAGTCCTTATTTTGGTGCTTAAATAATGATTCTCTTGGAGAGAGAAAAAAAAGGGTGGGAATCTGAAATTTGATACCTGTAAAATTAAAGGTTGCCAATGTTTATTCTAAAAGTTCATTTTAAGTTGTTTTGTTTAAATCCTGGAGGCTTTTTACACAAGAATGTAATAATGCAGAAGTAAGAGACTGCTGCTAGGTGGAGTCGCCGTACGTACGTAACCGCTCTAATTCATGTAAGAGCTGCCGCAACTACATCCTGAAATGGCTCATATCCAGCTGTGGCTCAGGGCACTCAGGATCGGTCTGGGGAAATGGACCTTCAGCTGCTATGAAAAACCATTCTGTACACTGTAGGTTCCATAGGCCCATTTGGGGAGAATGGGCATATGGAACCTGCAAATTAGGTTCAAAATTTTCCTACTTAGAAATGCATTGTGTAGCGCTGAGGTTTTCAAATCAAAAGCAAGCCCAGTGGTGCTTCTTTTTAACCCGACTTTAATGGTCTTTTTGTACTGAATCCAAGTTCTGTGTAAGTAACTTGTAGATTTCACAAAAGGTGGTGGTGCTGTCCACAGGTCACCTGCATTAGAGTCACATTATCTAGACGTGCAAATCTACAGCCTCATCCTAAGTCCACTGGAGTAACTCCCAGCGGCAGTGTCCTGGAAAGAGGTATATTTAATGGGCTCCCCAGGCAATTCCTCTGCACAGTAAAGTTAAAAGCATTTTATAATGCAAAGAACCAGAGGTTTGGAGAAAAATGCGTGAGTTCATTTCCACCACAGACACATATACCAGCCCCTTAAGCTCTCCTAAGCCTCTAATAACAAACTTTAAAATAACAGAAAAATACCTACTCATCACAAGGTTACTGAGTCAAATCAGAGTACATTTGAGCTTGCTTGGAAAGGCTGTAAAGGGCTAGACAAATACTATTCATTCCAAGTATGTAATGAATGTAGTGAATGACTAAAAAGCCAGTTGCTGGAGAAACAGAGATGAGATGTAAAAACTTGGGAGACCAACATATAAATAATTCTGTATAATGAGATGAATTCAGGGCCATAATAGCAATATCTGTATGAAAAGGGCATGAGGCCACAGAGAAAGATGATTAATTCTGCACTGATAACTCCAGAATGACCACAGTTACTGACCCAAATATGAATAAAGCAAGGCATGTTATCAAATAGCATCACCAATAAGCTGATCCTGATCAAACAGTAACCAAAAGAAATATACAAGCTTCAAAAACATTCACATCTTTATACTATTACTAAATAAGCCATAGCCAGATTCTAATCCTGTCTCCATCACACAAAAAAACCACCACCATTTATTATATGCCAGGTACCATACTAGAAACTCTGAATTCATTGTTTTGGAAAATCCTCACAATGCTCTCATGACACTGGTGTGATGTCCTGGTACGTATAGTAAAATAATTCAAAGGGGTCAGGTGGTCGTGGGTGAGCATGAATTCAGTGCAGGTTTGGTTGACTCTGAAGACATGTGGGCTGGGAGCGGTGGCTCATGCCTGTAATCCCAGCTCTTTGGGAGGCCGAGGCGGACGGATCACCTGGAGTCAGGAGTTCAAGACAAGACTGGCCAACATGGTGAAATCCCCCATCTCTACTAAAAATACAAAAATTAGCTGGGCATGGTGGCAGATACCTGTAATCCCAGCTATTTGGGAGGCTGAGGCAGGAGAATCGCTTGAACCCAGGAAGCGGAAGTTGCAGTGAGCCAAGATTGTGCCACTGCACTCCATCCTGGGCGGTAGAGTGAGGCTCTGTCTCAAAAAAAAAAAAAGACACGTGAATGTGGGGAACACCCACTGTTTGTTAAAATGTCCACACTCTATGAGCTTGTCTTTAAGGAAATTTTGTTACGGTCTTTTGGCTGAGGGCTGCAAGACACATCAGCCAGAGTTAAATATCCTTTCTTCAGGCTGCCCTGAGAAATATTTTAGGAGATTTTAGAAGCAGCAGATGGCCCCACCTCATTTGGCAAGATCTTCATGACTGTTCTTCTATCTGCTGGAATTTCTGATTAATAATAATAATAATAGCTAAAATTTATTCAGCATTTATTCTATGGTAGGCATTATGCTAAGACGTCTACATGGATTGCCTCATGAGGTAGGTGCTGTCAACCAACCTCATTGTACAGATGAAAAAACTGAGGTGCAAAGAGATTAGAAAACTTAACCAGAGCTGGAATTGGAACCTGATCAGCCTAAGTCCAGCGCTCTGATTCTCTGCCATCTTGCCTTTCTGTTGCTTGCACCCGTGGCCTGCTGTGACTTCATCATACCACAAGGTTCACTGCCATGCAACTGTCTCAAGACTCTGGACATAAAATTCTCTAAGTACACAAACCAATAAGACTGTTGCTAATAGTCTAGCAAGTGAGTCTTACAATACTAGTTATGCATGTTGCAGGGATACGCATCAGGTTTTCCACCTGATTAATTTTCTGGAACGCTGAGCAGCACCATTATTCTAATCCATCCACATATGCACTCGTCACACATTGAGTGTCTATTGCGTGCCACGTACAGGTGTTAATGGAAAAGCCCGGCCCCTCCCAACCCGGGCTCAGGCTCCCCCTCACCTTCAGCTGTTTGACCTTCTCTTTTCAGCATCTGGACAGCTCCTACATATTTCTTCAGTTGGACTTTGAGCACCTCGTTCTCTCTGCAGGTACAAGAATGTTAAAAAAATATATATTTAAAAAGTGACAATGTGGACCCACAGGAGGGGGCAGGGGTGGGTGGTGAATTTGTGTAAAGAAAAGCACAATTTGCATCTTATAAATGTTAATATATTCTCATGGTTTAGATATCATCACGGGAGATGGTTGTGTTACCTTGGGCATGTCTGCAGAGTGCCTTTAAGAACTATTCTTTCATGAGACAGATAAGCACCAATCGGTTCCAGTGTCCACAAATTCAGAACACAGACACAGGCTGTGCTTAGGCTGTTTGGAGCTACCCACCTATCAGGTGCCTATTCAGTGTCAGGAACTCTAGTCTTCTCTCCATTTGCAGAAGCATGTACTGACTACTGTGCATTCACCCTGGGGAATGCTCTTAATACTTTTATCAACTGTGACTTGTACTAAACATTTATTATTTGCCAGGCATCATGTCAAGTGTCTGTATAGAATCTCCTTGAATCCTTCCAAAGCACTAACACAACCCTCATTTTACAGATAAGGAGATTGTGGCATAAAGACAAGCAGTTGGACCAACTCCACATCCACCCCCATGTAAGATTACACTAAGGAACACAGAACCCAGGGTATGACAGGACCCCACCTGCTGAACTCACTCCCCAGGTACACTGGGTGACAACAGAACATGAGGACAAAGGGGGAAAAACTGCCATTTGTTGAGTATTTAGACTTTACATATGTCTCTTTGAACCAAGCATGCATCCACTCATTCATTCATCCATCCGTCATTCAGCGGAAAGATGCTTCATTCAGTAGAAAAATGCACAATAGCCTGCAGTATTCTCCACATTTTACAGGAGAAGAGTTGGACAAATACGGTGTTTGACCAAGGTCGCCAGTAAAACTCACTGGTAAGATCTGAACCCAGGTTTCCCTGCCCCCAAGGCCCACAAGGACTCTTCGCCATCTGCTTTGAGATTCAGACTTGGTTTCTGACCAGCTCTACCAGAGGGAGGTGCCTCTTACACGTTTTCTATTTCTGCCCCACCCCCTACACCTCAGGTCTTGAGTCTAAGTGCCTTTAAATGTGCTAGAATATTTTTTCTTTCCTTGCAACGAGAAGAGCTGAAGACTGGGTTTTTTCTGTGATTATAAAAATAAAAAATGCTCATTGCAAAATACTCCATCAGAACACATTTAAGAAGAAATGCAAAAAACATGGTAAGACCCCAATACCTTGAAATAAACCCTATTAACATTTTTATATCCATCCTATTATTTCTCTAGGTGCACACACACATCCTAATAATTTTAGGGGGATGATACACCCTTCACAATGCTTTAATTTTTGTGTGAATGTCTGAAGGCTTTTTTCCCTTGTTTACTGTTCCACTCAACACTTTCCCATGGTAACCAATGGCAAAAACCTAGTATATACCTTTCAGGCCTTCCTCCATGCTTTGACAATCACTACCAACCCAAAACACTCAGAGTCTCTATGACAGGATAGTATAAATGTTTCTGAGACTGGTCGTCTCACTTAATAATGCACCACAGTAAGCCTCTCACTCAGTCTATTTACGGATGGAAATACCACCCACTACTATAGATACGCCAAACACTGACTTAGTTGAAAAACTTGAGACTGCTCATCCCTGGTGCCGAGCGTCTGTTTTCAATGCAGCTGACTACTTCTCAGCCCACGGCAACAGCACTTTCTTTGTATTTTGCTTCTCTGTGCTGTATTGTGGCAGAAAAAAAAAAAAAGGATCAAACTCAGACACTACCATAGACTCAGGCATCACCTGAGAACTCGACGTTCATCTCCAAAGCTCTGGAGAAAGTAAACCACAAGGGAGTCCCTTAGTTATCCCCTCGTCCTAGACAAAGCCTGTCATGGATGCCTCCACAGGTGTCTGCACTTTCTCCATCTGTGACATGAATCACAAATGTTTGACACAAAATAACAAGTCCTTAAAATGTTTGTGGGAGACAAAATCTTCCCTGATGGGGATTGTACAGCATGTGTTTTTTTGTTTCTTTTGTTTTTGAGATGCAGTCTCACTCTGTCGCCCAGGCTGGAGTGCAGTAGCATGATCTCGGCTCACTGCAACCTCTGCCTCCTGGGTTCAAGCAATTCTCCTGCCTCAGCCTCCCAAGTATCTGGGATTATAGGCGCCCACCACCATGACCGGCTAATTTTTTTATTTTTAGTAGAGATGGGGGTTTCACCATGTTGGCCAGGCTGGTCTTGAACTCCTGACCTTAAGTGATCCGCCCACCTCAGCCTCCCCAAGTGCTGGGATTACAGGTGTGAGCCACCACGCCCAGCCTGTAGAGCATGTTTTCTAGGATTCCTTTAGCCAGAGCCTCATTGCCCAGCCCAGCCTACTCCCAATCTTCACATGTGAATTCAAGTCACATATCTTAAAATCAGGGAAAGAAAGGCAGTTATAGACATTTCTAAACAACAGTTCATGGAAAAACATTTTCCAAGAGGCCGCATGACCAACAGAAGTCATGTCAGTGTTTGGCGGTCAGGTCTCCTCTCATTTGCTGCCAGCCGTCGGGCCGATCCTCAGCTTCCCTGTTCATCTCCAACTCTGTGGCCAGCACTAAAATGTTTCAGATACCTGCTTTTCTTCTAGTTTGAAGAAATCTTTCAATACTGTGTTAAGATTCCACCTAAAAATCACACCTGGCTGGGTGCAGTGGCTCACACCTGGAATCCCAGCACGCTGGGAGGCTGAGGTGGGTGGATCACGTGAGGCCAAGAGTTTGAGATCAGCCTGGCCAACATGGTGAAACCCTGTCTCTACTGAAAATACAAAAATTAGCTGGGCATGGTGGCATGTGCCTGTAATCCCAGCTACTAAAGAGGCTGAGGCAGAAGAATTGCTTGAACCTGGGAGGCGGAGCTTGCAGTGAGCCAAGATCATGCCACTGCACTCCAGCCTCGCAACAGAGTGAGACTCCGTCTCCAAAAAAAAAAAAAAAAGAAAAAAGAAAAAAGAAAAGTAAAAAAAGTGTTGCCAATGTGGACTGTGGCAGAGTTGGACATTTGAGATGTTTGCACCTTCCTTGAAATCCCTCCTTGCTAGCTATGAAGTGGGAAGCAGCACAGTAGCAAGACCCCCTTACAGGTAAAAGCTGTGCCTCATTCCCAGAGATCCATACGTATGTAGTGGGAAATATGCTTTTCAATCTGCAACACATGAACACCTGCCTCTGAGTAGGGCACTTAATATTCGAGGTGTGGCAGACATGCTCACATTTTATCTACACAGTAACCCTACAAAACAGGTTATTATTGCTGCCATTTTTCTTACTGCCTTCATTTTACACATGAAAAAACTGAAGACCAGGCGTGGTGGCTCATGCTACCCACCTGGGGAGGCTGAGACAGGCCAATTACTTGAGCCCAGGACAACAGCCTGGGCAACATGGTGAAACCCCATCTCTACAAAAAATGCAAAGATTAGCTGGGTGTGGTGGCATGCACCTGTTGTCCCATCTACTTGGGAGGCTGAGGTGGGAGGATCGTTTGAGCCGGGGAGGTGGAGGTTGCAGTGAACAAAGATCCAGCCTGGGTGACAGAGTAAGACCTTGTCTCAAAAAAAAAAAAAAAAAAAAAAGGAAAAGAAACTGAGGCTCAATGAGGCTAATTGAACTATCCAAAAACTCACAACCAGCAAAGGCAGAGCCACAGTTCACTTCAGCCTCTCCATGCCTATGTCCCTCTCCTCTCTGCCACACACTTGGTGTCTCATTAGACCACCAGCAACACATCACGAGGTTGGTTTTACTGTGCCCATTTTACAGATGAGAAATTTGAGGCCCAGAGAGTCTAACACACACTCCAACTTGGGATTTAAACCCATATCCTTTAACTTCAAAGTCTCCTATTACATTATACACGTTTAGCGAATTAAGTGAACAGGGCAACATTGAAAACGTAAGGCCTTGAAAAATTGCGTGAGAAAACGAGCACAGGTCTGCAGAATCTCTTGGGCGGTTAAGACTCCTGCACAGATGTGAACAGGATCCTCCTGACCAGCCAGCTTTGCTAAGAGAGGCTAAGGAACTTTCCTCGAGTTATGGAGCTCAAGCTTCTGCTGCCAACCCCCTTAGGCATCTCATAAATGTAAGCAGTTGGTGACAGGTGAGCTTTAGGAAATATGAATCAACAGCTTCAAGAACTGTAACCTTCTGACCCAGCAAGTCTACTTCTAAGAAACTGTATTTAGAAAAGAAAGAGAAGTCTCAAAACCATATGCATGAGGATGCTTTGAATATAAAAGAAAGAAGCTGGCTGCAAATTAATTGTCTGATAATGTAAGAGTGGGTGGAAAGTTATGGTGCATCCTCCTATAATAGGACGCTATAGGACTGTCAAAGCTATGATAAATATGTATGTTTATCCCCAGGGATGAATATTACGTATATACACACACACACATATATACTCACACTGATATACCATTAACTGAATGCAGCAGAGTACAGAGTGTATTTACTCTAACCCCTTATATCTATTTACATGGATATATTTGCACTGGAAATGTATAGACCACAACGTTAACAGTGCTCATTTCTATATGATAAAATTAATTGGAAATTTTTCTTTAATTTTTCAACAATGCACTTTACTAGAGCACTTTTTAAAATGTATGAAGAGGTTAGAAATACCCCCAGGCCAGATGCAGTGGCTCATGCCTGTAATCCCAGCACTTTGGGAGACCGAGGTGAGTGGATCATCTGAGGTCGGGAGTTCGAGACCAGCTTGGCCAACATGGTGAAACCCCATCTCTACTAAAAATACAAAAATGAGCTGGGCCTGGTGGTGCATGCCTGTAATCCCAGCTGGTCGGGAGGCTGAGACACAAGAATTGCTTGAACCTGGGAGGCGGAGGTTGCACTGAGCCAAGATCACACCACTGCACTCCAGCCTAGGTGACAGAGTCTGCGATTCCTTCTTAAAAAAAAAAAAAAAAAAAACTACCCACCCCCAAATCCTATAGTAACATCACACATAATGATTAAAGGCTGAATATTTTCCTCCAAAGACTGAAAATGAGTCAAGCAATTCTTCCCTCACCACTCCTGTTCAGCACAGTAGATTCTAGCTGGTGAAATAAGGCCCTCCCCACCCAAAAAAACATACAGGTTAGGAAGGAAGGACTAAAACTTTCCCTCTTCACAAGAGACATGACCATCTACAAAGGAAATCCCAAGAACTGACAAAAATGGTCACAGAATAACCGAGTTTTTCAAGGTCACAGAACACAGGGTCAAATGTAAACATCAACTGTATTTCTATACACTAACAATGAACAATGAGAAGGCAAATTACTTTTAAAAAGAATCATTTATAACAGCTCCAAAAGATGAAATACATTCATATAAATCTAACAAAATGTGTCCAGGATCTGCATGCTGAAAACTACAAAATACTAACAAAAGAAATCAAAGAAGAGCTAACTACCTGGAGATACCAGGTTCATGGCTTAGAAGACTCAAAAGAATTAAGATGTCAATTTCCCCAAAATTGATCTATAAATTTAATGAAAGCCCAATCAAAATCCCAGCAGGATTTCTTATAGATATAGACTAGCAGATTGTAACATTCATATGGAAAGACAAAGAAACTAAAATAGCCAAAATCATTTTTGAAAAAGCAGCACAAAGCAGGAAGACTCACATTGCCCAATTTTAGAACTTCCTGTAAAGCTACAGCCCTCAAGCCAATGTCATATGGGCAAAATGACAGACACACACCAACAAGACAGACCAAAGAATCAGGGAATAAACCCATACACACAATCAAGCAATGTGACGAAGGTAGGAAGGCGCTTCTGGAGAAAGGACAATCTTTTCCACACATGATTTTGGAACAACAAGACATTCATATGCAAAAAAAATAAACTTCAACCAATACTCACACCTTATACAAATATTAAGTAAAACTGGACCACAAACAAATGTAATTTAAAACTATAAAAGGTTTAGAAGAAAATGTTGGAGAAAATCATACCTAACCTGAGTTAGACAAAGAAGATTTCTTAGATATAATACTAAAAGCATCGTCCAGAGTAGAAAAAAGAGTTTAACTGGATTTGCTATGTGAAAGACTTTTTCTTTTTTTTTTTTGAAGATGGAGTTTCACTCTTGTTGCCCAGGCTGGAGTGCAGTGGTGCGATCTCGGCTCACTACAACCTTCACCTCCTGGCTTCAAGTGATTCTCCTGCCTCAGATCCCAAGTAGCTGGGATTACCGGCACCCACCACTAGGCCCGGCTAATTGTTTTATTTTCAGTAGGGACGGGGTTTTGCCATGTTGGTCAGGCTGGTATCAAACTCTTGTAATGGAATTACAAACTCCTGTAGTGGAATGTAAGTAATGGAATGCTTACTCATCAATAAAAAGGAATGCACTATTGATACATGCAACAACTTGGATGAAACTCCAAAAACATTATGATAAATGTTTTGGGCGCAGTGGCACATTCCTGTAATTGCAGCACTTAGGAAGGCTGAGGCAGGAGGATCACCTGAGCCTAGAAGTTTGAGACTAGCCTGGGCAATACAGCAAGATCACATCTCTACAAAAAAATTTTTTAGACTGAGCACAGTGGCTTACGCCTGTAATCCCAGCACTTTGGGAGGCCGAGGCAGGTGGATCACCTGAGGTCAGGAGTTCAAGACCAGCCTGGCCAACATGGTGAAACCCTGCCTCTACTAAATATACAAAAATTATCTGGGCATGGTAGCAGGCACCTGTAATCCCAGCTACTTGGGAGCTGAGGCAGGAAAACTGCTTGAACCCGGGAGGCAGAGGTTGCAGTGAGCCGAGATCGTGCCATTGAACTCCAGCCTGGGTGAAAGTGAGACCTTGTCTCAATAAATAAATAAATAAATAAATGAAATAAAATTAATTTAAAAATTAGCTGGACACGGTGACATGTGCCTGTAGTCCCAGCTTCTCCAGAGGCTGAGGCAGGAGGATCACTTGAGCACAGGAGTTGCAGGCTGCAGTGAGCTGTGATCGCACCATTGCACTCCAGCCTGGGCAACAGAGTGAGACTGCAATTCACAAACAAAAAAATAAATTAAAAAGGTGTCAAGCAAGGGAATGCAGACTTGCTATGTGGAAAAAGCAAATGGAATGAGGGGTGGAAACAGAAGAAGCCGGAAGATAGGAGGCCATTACGGTCATCCAGGCAAGAAACGATGGTGGCCAGAACTGAGAGGACCGAAGAGGTAGCCGTGCACATGGAGACAAGTATTCAAATATTCGCCTGTCCAATTCTAGAAAGCCTTGCCAACTCCTTCCCACTCCCAGCCCCAAACAAGCCTGCTGGCTACCCTGCAGATTTCTTTAAAAGCATGGGAACGAAAGCAAATCATTGAGTAGGTGGCAAGTACCTCTCAAACAGCTTCCAACGACTGCAATAATTAATGTTTGTAAGTCAAAGCAATTAGGCCTGCCCCAATGTCAGAGTAAACAACCAGCAACCCCAGACAGCACTACTCAAAGGAAAATTACTCACAACAAAACTAACGAACCTGGTAAGTACATTTGGTAATTCTCAGGCATCAAAACACCACACTAAGATACACCTATGGGAATTATACTTTCCCTAGATGTAAAAAAGCACAGCTCGAGGGGACCTCATGCCTACCGTCCAGCAGGTACTGAGTAGGCATCAACCATAACCACACCCAACTACAAGAAGAAGGTGGCCCAGTGGCAAGGCTATCCAAGACCATGAGGACTCCCCCAGAATAGGCACCAATAAAAGGCAAGAAGGGAGGCATAAATCGCCTGGCTTTGTGGTGTTTGCAGCCACATCCTAAATCTTCAAAGGTCAAGTTCACTGCAAAATAAAACAACCAATGTTGAAAAACCATTTTTCCCTAACTGTACATATTCCTGTTAAGTCTCTTCTGACCCTAACTCCAACCCCGCCACCTTTTCTAAGGCATCAGAACTCCTTTAGCCTGTTGCTGCACTGAGCCCAACATGCATTCTTACACTGCCCTTTACAGAACACTTTTGCCCTCACACCCTCGAGTAATTGTCACCATGACAATGATGCTAGTAGCTACCACCTGTCCAGCACTGAGTGGGGGAGGAGAGAAGGGGAAAGGTGTAAGCAAAGCTTTTTAGACGGCTGCAGGCTGAGATACCTACAGAGGAGGTAAGTCATGTTCCTGGCAAGTGACAAGCTGACAAGTGGCAGAGCTGGGACTCACAAGCAGACAGTGCAACTCCAGAGTGAAAACTGGACCAGTCCTCTACACCAGGGGTCATCCATCACCGTGGCTGTCAGGAACCAAGCCGCACAGCAGGAGGTGATGGAGCGGTGAGTGAGCGGTGAGCAAGCATTACCACCTGAACTCTCTCTCCTGTCAGATCAGCAGCAGCCTTAGATTCTCATAGGAGCACGAACCCTATTGTGAACTGGGCATGCAAGATCTAGGTTGCACACTCCCTATAAAAATCTAATGTCTGAGGATCTGAGATGGAACGGTTTTATCCCAAAACCATTCCACCAACCCATCCCCATGGAAAAATTGTCTTCCACGCAACCAGTCCCTGGTGCCAAAAAAGTTGGGGACCGCTGCTCTACACCATCTTTGTGAAACAATCAATCCTAAGAGGTCTGAAGGAATAAACCCAGCCAGCCAGCGCCTCTGGCACTGAGGTCATCAGGGCAAGAGGGAAAGCAAAAGATACCTTCCAGAGCACTTTCCCCCAGCGTCATCTTGGAAAGGCTCCTCCCGGGTTCTACCCAGGCTGCTGCCCCGCTACCCAATACACCATGCTCTCTAAGCTAGACCCGACCCCCTCCCCTCCTCTTGCAGCTGTCAGGGCTCCCAGAGCAGCTGAGACATCCACCTAATACAGCCTCAGACCTCCACTCTGGGATTTGGCCAATCACAGCTCTTCCCTGTTGCCCATACCAGCCAAGCTCTTTCTGCCCCATGTGTCTTTGCTAAGGTTGATCTGATTCTCTGTCTGCAACTCTCCCATCTGCCCCAGGCCCCTGGTGAACAGCTACACATTTTGCAAGTGTCTCCTCAAAGGCCCTCTTCTCTCTGAAGTCCTTCCTGCCAACCCTGCCTCCACCACATGGGGCTTGTGACAGCTCCCTCCTCTGCCCCCAGCGTATTCTAGACAAGCTTCTCTCTTAACAAGTCTCATACTTTAATACCCCTGGCCTGTGCTCATCTTCCCCTATCTAGAGTATGAGATCCTTGAAGACAGTGGCCATGTCTTATTTTTCTCTGTACCATGAAATATTGCCCTCATCCATAAGGAAATGGAGTCTCGGTGTGGTCAGTGACCGGCCAAGGTCAATCAGGAGTGGAAGTGGAACTGACATCAGGGCAACTCCAAAGCCTCTACCCTCCAGCACTAGGCCAGGGTCCTTCCAGATGTGGTCAGAGGATGGAGGATCTCTATAATGAAGAGAGCAGAGGAGCTTCTCCAGAAAGCAAATCTCCCCATAACCCTGACTTTCTATTCCCAAGCAATTCAGCCCAAAGCTATCAGAGATTAGTTAACTTACAAGGGGATGGATCAATAACTGAATATATTACTGATAACTGGAGCCAGGTATCTTGTTATTGGAGAAGAGAATAACAAATACGTCAAGAAAGTGAGAAGTCAATGGTGATGTTGGACTGGGATTAAAGACATCAATGTGAACTTACAGGCCCACTTTAAAAGGACACAGAAGCCAGCTCATAAAAGTTCCCACTGATAAATGGGATGGATGGGACGGATTCAGCTTATAATCCATTATTATCACTGTTTTGATGCTCGGACGCTCTGAGACGATCCGGGCATCAAAACAGTGATAGTAATGCATTATAAGCTGAATAAAATAGAAACTGAACAATCCAAAATTAATTAATGGAAAATTTAATGCATAATAGGGTATTTCGAGCTCAAAAACCTCCCTACAAAATATGTATTAATTGTAAAGGGGAAACTCCACAGTGAAGGAGCATAACAGACATCATTTTAATCAGAGGATCAAAGTTAACATCAGGAATGGAACAAATTGAAGCCATGCACCACCTGCCAGGATGCACTAAAAAGATGCATCGCCTCTGCAACATTCCTACGAAGATGCATAAACCGAATCTAATCAAAAGGAAACATCAAGCAAACCAAAGGCACGGACATTCTGCACAATAAACTGGCCTATCATCTTCAAAAACGTCAAGGTCATGAAAGTCAAGAAAAGAGACAACTGTTCTAGCCCGAACAGACATGAAAATCACATGCCATGTGTCATTCCGGACTCAACCATTTTGCAAGAAAAGACATTGCTGGGACTACTGGTTAAAGTTGAGCATAATGTGAAGATTAGACAGCAGAAATGTGTCAATGTTAATTTTCTAATTCTGATTGTTATATTGTTATTACAAAGGAGAATGTTTTGCTTGTAGGAAACACATTAACAGACTCAGGGGTGAAAAATTAAAAAGTAAAAAGCAGATTCCCAGGCCCTCTCTGTAATCACCCTCTTGGGGTGAAGCCTGGAATCTGTATTTTGGCAAGCCTCCAGGACACTTCTGGGCCACTCTGGCACCTGGGAGCCACTCCCTGCCATGTGCCCTCCTGCCATATCACAATCATAACGATTATTGCTCATAACCCTGTTCAGAAAACAGTGGTACCTCCCACGTACAAGAAGTCTGGGTAACTTTTCCTTTCCTTCCAGTTTTCTCTAATAAGACAGGGCAAGGGCTGCTGCCAGGGGACTCAAATTCCAGGATGTCTGCATTCCTCCTTGGCTGTTCTCTGGATTAAGCTGTGTGGCATCTCATTTCTGCCAGCTGGAGGGGGTGGAAAATGGAGCTGTAAAAAGCTTGTTTGATTTTTAGTGCTCTCTCCCCCGTAACCATCCTTGCACTATTTATTTTATAAAGCCCATCTCATTAGCCACCTGGTAAATCCCACTCAGAATGGCACACTGGCCCCTGTATTGCATATCCAGAGCCAGAGAAACAGCCCAAACAACTCGTCACTCAAGAAGGTAATTAATTACAGATGACACACACCCAAAATATCCTGGGTGCAATGGGAAAATCACAGGGTTCCAAACTTAACAGCCGGAATCATACTTGTCAGTCCCTCACTCAAAACTTACATAAGCTACTCCTCTGGCACCAAGAAGGCAGCTCATTTCAGCACTTTGTGCCATTAAAAAGTGTTTGCTTTCAGGTCAGACAGCCCTGACGGGAATGCTTGCTCTACCTCTGTATGACCTTGGGCAAGTTGCTTAACCTCTCTGAGCCCCAGTTTAGCATTTATAAAATGGGATGATGAAAGTATCTACCTTCAGAAACTACAGACAGAATTAAAATAAGTATGTGTGTGTATAAATAAAGTGTCTGGCATATGGTAATTATTAAATAAATGTTAGCGGTTAGTAATTCATTGTCATCATCATTATTACTCATAAATTGCAAACCAGGGCTCCAGTGTCATCATATTCCAAATCAAGGAGGACTATTTTCTCCTAGGGAGTGAGGACTAGGGAAACACTTGGAATAATGCTCAAATTATCACCTGGACATATTTCAAGGTCAGGCATCAAACGACTGAGTCCTCTTCCCCAGCTCATCCCCTAGCTAACTCCTAGGGCATGGTGGATTCAACCTCACCACTTCAGAAAATGATTATCCGATTTCCCTCAGCTGCATCAGGTCCCTCGAGGGATGCAGGATTTCCCTAAATAATGGGAAGGTGAGGGAGCCTCTCATGGACTCAACTGGGCTTCCATGGAAGCCAGTGTGGAATACCCTAATGTACCAATGTGACAACTCACCTTTTGGAGGAGTGAATGCCAACAGTACCACTGCATGAAGAGGTACATAAACACAAGTCTGGCAACCCAAATAAACACCTTCAAAAAAAGGGGGTTGGGGGGAGAACAGGCAAGAGAAACTACTATGAAATAGAAAATTGTTTCCCGACAGGCCCCAAGAAGACTACAGAGCAGCAGATGGAGAGAACACAACTGGGAGCCTATCCTGGATTTTTTTTTTTTTTTTAAACAGAGTCTCACTCTGTCACCCAGGCTGGAGTGCAGTGGCATGATCTCGGCTCACAGCAACCTCCGCCTCCTGGGTTCAAGCAATTCTCCTGCCTCAGCCTCCCAAGTAGCTGGGATTACAGGCGTGCACACCCGGCTAATTTTGTACTTTTAGTAGAGACAGGGTTTTGCCCCGCTGGCCAGACTGAAACTCCTGGCCTCACACGATCTACCCGCCTTGGCCTCCCAAAGTGCTGGGATTCCAGGAGTGGGCCACCGCGCCCAGCTCTATAACATATCTTTCAGAGTCCCAGGCATAGAGGGGCAGTGCAGGTAACAGAAGAATGAAGCATGCCCAGGGGACATGCACAGGGGCATCTTGTGAATGGTGGAGGCCACAGCAAAGTAGAGAATGTGTGCCCATTGTCCAGGACTCAAAACCAGGCAGACAGGAATATGGCCCTGTGTGGCCAGATCTTCCAACTCTTCAAGAGCAGGTGGAAGTCCGGATTCCTCCGGGACCCATCAGGTCTTTAACCAGTGATTGACTCATTTTTCAAACATCTCAAGTGCCAAACAAAACACAGCTGTGAGCCACAGTCAGCCCCGGCCACTGAGTGCTACATCTCTCTTGACTTTGACCTCTTGGCATTGAGTTTTGCCATCTGTGAGACCAGAAGTCTACTTGCTATAGTGTCTCTTTATTAGGCCAAAAGGAGATGGATTAAAAGCCTTGAGTTCCTGTCAAAAACACATAACCTGAACCTAATCATGAGGAAACAGCTGACAAACCCAAATTGAGGGATGTTCTATCAAGCAACTGGCCAGAAGAGGGACCCAGAAAAAAAAGTCAAGGTCATGAAAGACAAAGAAGCTGTGGAGGTGTTCCCCAGATTAAAGAGACAGGACCCTTCAGTGCAATGCCTGATCCTGGACTGGATCCCAACTCAGTCAGAGAGATTAGCCATGAAAGGTTAAATTGGCCCCATTGGTGAAATATGAATATAGCCTAAATATCACGTCATAATACTGCACCAGTGTTACATTTCCTGCATTTTATCATCACACTGCGGTCGTGTAAGGAAGTATCCTTGTTCTTAGAAAATTATCTGCTTGAGTATTTAGGGGCAAATGGTCATGATGTTTGCAACTAATTCTTAAATAGATCAGGAAAAAAGTTTGTATGGATACACAGAGATATAGATACAGATAAATCTGTCTCCAATAGAGCAAAATATTAACTAGTCGCTCTGCAGGAAGAGCACATGGGAGTTCTTTTTTTGTCCCTGCAATTCTTGAGCAAATCTCAGATTACTTCAAAATAAAGATTTTTTAAAAAAAGAAGTTCCTTTAGAAACTGAAAAGCTCCCAACAACAAATATATATATAGATTTACAGTAATGGCCCACGTGGTAAGGGTTAAAAGGGTTAACTGAATAGCTCATAACTGGTACTATAAAGCCAAGAACATTTGTTTGGTCAATATAAAAACAGCATATTAAATAATAAACAGTATCTGGGAATAACAAGACCCACCTACTATTATTACTTTGATAAATACTGGGGTTTTAAGGGGTGCAGTTCACCTGTCTCCTCTGTGACAATTCCAGCAGAGGCAGTGACAGAACCTAGGAAACACTTTGAGTGACATTTGGGAACAAGGAGGTACAATCGCTATTATCTTGCAACTTGCATCTGAGCATCTGACCTCAAATGAGTCCCTTTCCTACAATGCAGAGGCATAGCATCTGGGGACTGCGACTGCTGCACAGTTGCAGTTGTTGTTGCTGATAACAGCTGGAGGGTGAGATGTCCCGAATCTGAATACCAAGCTGAAAACTCAATCTGGCTCTTGCACAAGTCACAGTCGTCTCAACAAATCTCGGCCTCTTGAGACTACAGGCAGAAACATGGACTGCGAATGCAGTAAGGATAAAAAGTTAACAACAAAATACAACGATGTGGGCCATGCAGCAGAGACAGAGGGAGAGAGAAAGGTGATTGAAGGAGGGGGACCATCACCACGTATCCAACAGGAGAACCACACCCCACTGGCCTGGCTGACTGAAACACACGTTTGCAGGGCGAGTAGGAGGAAGACAGAGAGGAGGGAGGGAAAGAAGGTGGCTTTTAAATTCTGTGCAAATAATTAAAATTCAGGACATTTCCCTTAAAAATCTAGGTTTCTCTTGAAAAAGCCAAGTGTCCGACCACAAGGGGCCTGGGCACCCTCAGAGCAACCAGGGCTGGCACTAAGGACTTGATGCCCCTTTAGACCAGCCAAGTACCCTCCAGTTCCCCCAAAGATCCCTCCCCACTCCCTAGTCTCTCACATGTGGCTGATTTATTCACTTCCGTTATCTACCTGGCCCCTGTAGGAATTCCAGTTTGAGACCCCCTACTGCATACGAACTCTGGGAATCCTACAAATTCTACAGGCAGCTGTGGACTGGGAATCTCAGAACCAAAGCAAGAACATGGTATAAAAATAAGGTGGCCACAGGATTCTAAGTCCAGGTTCATACAAACAGCCTTTCTTGTGACAGCTGATGGTTCAGCATCCACAGCAGAACTGCTGTTGGCCCCTCAAACACACACCTTGCCCTTGACACAAACCAGTCCCAAAGGATCTAGCCAAATAAACCACATTTCTGAGGAAACACAATGATTTTCCCCTTGACAGCTAATGACTGCAAGAGTTGATACAGCAAAAGGAAAACAAGACTCCCTCAAGCTGTCTGTCACTGCTGCTAGTCTACGCTTGAGTAAAACATGTTTCTGCTATGTTCCATTCCAGCCCATGCCTTGGGGATGAATTACATGAGAACTACAGAAGGCATTTCTAGGGAGTGTCTGTTCTCTGGCCTCCAGGCTCCCAGTTCAAAACTCAAGAGAGCCAAGACAATGTACCTGGAAGCCTTTTAAGATGGCTTTTTACAGGTCAGTGCCCAAGCGTGAAAGGATTCTGTGGATTCCAGGAAGCTAACAAGGCATGGAGAGTTTGAAGACCATGAGGGAACTGGATGCCATTTATTTACAAGGTAAATCGGAACTCTTGGAAATAAGGCTACCAGCAGGAGGCTCTAGGAGATCTGAACCTTTATTGCTTTTGTTTGTAACAAGGCTGTTCCTCAGCCATGACCTCCTGAAAACCAACAACTCTGGGCCTGCCTAGTTTCTACAGCCCAACATTCAGCACGGTGCATGGCACGCAACTCAGCCTCAAGGACCATCTGATGACATCCAGCTGAAGCTAACATACAAACCTTGTTTGGATCCTGACTTGGGAAGAAATGGCTATAAAAGACACTTTAGGAACAATCAGGGAACCGTGAATATGAACCGTATGTTAGATACTGTGGAGTTACTGTCCTTTTTCTCCAGCATAATACTATTACAGAAAAGGAGTTCTGATCCAGACCCCAAGAGAGGGTTCTTGGATCTCACGCAAGAAAGAAATTAGGGTGAGTCCATAAAGTGAAATCAAGTTTATTAAGAAAGTAAAGGAATAAAAGCATGGCTACTCCATCAACAGAGCAGCCCCGAGGGATGCCGGTGGCCCATTGTCATGGTTATTTTTTGATAACGTGCTAAACACAGGGTGCATACCCCCCTTTTAGACCATACAGGGTAACTTCTTGATGTTGCCATGGCATTTGTAAACTGTCATGGCACTAGTGGACTGTCACATAGCAGTGATGATGACTAGAGGTCACTCTCATCGTCATCGTGGTTTTGGTGGGATTCAGCCGGCTTCTTTACTGCAAACTGTTCTATCAGCAAGGTCTTTGGGACCTGTATCTTGTGCCGACCTCCTATCTCATCCAGTGACTTAGAATGCCTTAACCATCTGGGAATGCAGCCTAGTAGTTTCAGCCTCATTCTACCCAGCCCCTATTCCAGATGGAGTTGTTCTGGTTCAAATGCCTCTGACATTCCTATGGGGTAATGTAGGAGAATATCCTTGTTCTTCGGAAAGAAGTGCAGAAGAGTTCAGGGAAAAAGAATCACAATGTCTGAAACAACTTTCACATTGCTTAGGAAAAGTATATTTACATACACACATACATATCTATACACAGTATGTATCTCTGTATGTTTGTGTTTATTCATTTATTTAGAAAAACACTGAGAAATATGCAAAAAAAAAAGTTGGTAAATCTAGGTGGACGGTAGGTACATCCAAGTTTATAGTACTAGGACTTTTCAGCAGGTTTGAAATTTCTCAAAATAAAAAGGAAATTTAAAAAAAATACAAAGTATTTGTCTAGGTGCCATGGCTCATACCTGTAATCTCAGCACTTTGGGAGGCTAAGGCGGGAGGATCGCTTGAGCCCAGGAGTTCAAGACCAGCCTGAGCAACATAGGGAGACTCCACCTCTAAAACAAAAATTTAAAATTAGCCCAGTGTGGTGGCGCACGCCCGTGCTCCCAGCTACTTGGGAGTCTGAGGCAGGAGGATTGCTTGATCCCAGGAGGCTGCAGCTGCAGTGAGCTATGATCTACTGCACTCCAACCTGGGTGACAAAGTGAGACCCTGTCTCTACCCCCAACCATGAAAAAAGAGTGATGAATAAATAAATCCATATTGCAAAGCTCATGATGTCCTTTTTTTTTTTTTTTTTTTTTTTTGAGACAGAGTCTCGCTCTGTCGTCCAGGCTGGAGTGCAGTGGTGTAATCTCAGCTCACTGCAACCTCCGCCTCCCAGGTTCAAGGGAGTCTCCTGCCTCAGCCTTCTGACTAGCTGGGACTACAGGTGCCCACCACCACACCTGGCTAATTTTTTTTTGCATTTCTAGTAGAGATGGGGTTTCACCATGTTGGTCAGGCTGGTCTCGAACTCCTGACCTCAAGTGATCCACCCGCCTCAGCGTCCCAAAGTGCTGGGAGGTGTAAGCCACTGCATCGGGCCTCAGGATGACATTTCTATGTCCCATTGAGGGTAAACAGATGAAACTCAGGCTAGAGGTAACTGGTTGGCAGGGGTGCGGAGCTCCTGCCACCTCAGTACTACCCTGAGTGCTGAAGGAATCACTATCTCAGCCCTCCCAAGAACCAACTGCAGCACAGTGGCTGGGAAGCTCTGCTCTGAATGAGCAAGCGTTAGCAGCCATCAGAGTAATTACTTTTGTGAAGCAAAATGAGCTCTAATCCACCGTAATCAATTGGCCTATTACCAGCTGCCTGTTCGCCTTTAATTTCACCCTTGCTGGCAGCTTCCTTCCTTTGTGCTTTGTCCAGTGGGATTATTATCAAAGGGGGATTAGTATTATTTTAAATGCCCGTTTAGAAATAGATTCTGGAAAGACGACAGTGACAGCAGAATAATTTTTTAATCTCTCAAAATCCCCATTAAAAAAAAAAAAAAAAAAAAACTAGGCCGGGCACAGTGGCTCATGCCTGTTATCCCAGCACTTTGGGAGACCGAAACAGGTAGGTCACCTGAGGTCAGGAGTTCAAGACCAGTCTGGTCAACATGGCAAAAACCCCATCTCTACTAAAAATACAAAAAAATTAACCAGGCGTGGTGGCGCATGCCTGTAGTCCTAGCTACTTAGAACAGTGAGGCAGGAGAATCGCTTGAACCCCAGAGGCACAGGTTGCATTGAGCTGAGATCGTGCCACTGCACTTCAGCCTGCGTGACAGAGTGAGACTCCGTCTCCAGAAAAAAAAAAAAAAAGGCAGAAGCCCACAGACAGCATTTACAACAACGCTAGGTGACAAGGTACCCCCATAAACCCCAAAATATAAGCAGGCAAGGATAAAGTCACAGCCACAAGGCCTACATGGTATCTGCGTAGAACACAGAGGCAAGCGACAGATCTGATGAAAAGCCCTGAGGAGGACCCCCCCTCAATCACCAACAGACCTCCCAAAATCACCAACAGGCCCCCAAATCACCGGCAGCCCCCTCCCCGCAAATCACCAACAGGTGCTCCTTGGAAGGAAAGTGAAAGGAAAAGAAATCTTGGGGCCCCCATATCACTAAGCTAAAGGGAAAAGTCAAGCTGGGAACTGCTTAGGGCAAACCTGCCTCCCATTCTATTCAAAGTCACCCCTCTACTCACTGAGCTGAATGCCTATCTGGTTGCCTCCTTTGGAGAGGCTAATCAGAAACTCAAAAGAATGCAACTATTTGTCTCTAATCTACCTAGGACCTGGAAGCCCTGCTTCGAGTTGTCCCGCCTTCCAGACCGAACCAATGTTCATCTTGCATATGTTGATTGATGCCTCATGTCTCCCTAGAACGTATAAAACCCAACCATGCTCTGACCACCTTGGGCACATGTCCTCGGGACCTCCGGAGGCTGTGTCATGGGCACGCCCTCAACCTTAGCAAAATAAACTTTCTAAATTAACTGAGGCCTGTCTCAGATATTCGGGGTTCATAAAAGCGTGGTGGGCCACGTTGAGAAGTGCAGTAAAGCCAGGAGATTCTTCCTCTCCCCTAGCAGGTGAGCGCAAGGAGATCCACGGTAACCCAGGCCCACCTCCACTGACTCTCAAATCTGTACTGTCAGGACTCCCTTCCAGGACTGGGCCCTGCAGTGAGGGAAAAAGCTACAGAAGCAGAATCACAGTTTAGCAGGAGCGAGACATTAGAGAAGAGGGAAAAAGAAGATCCAGATGAAATGGGGGATAAGAGCCAGGAAAGCTCAGAAAACAAGCTGCAGTATGCCTAACACCACACGAAATCCACAGGAGAGAGAGCTCTGCTCCCTCTACCACGCCTCTCTCCTAAAGTTTCACTTCCTAACTACACATAAAGAGAAGCAACGGGCCAGGCGAGGTGGCTCACACCTGTAATCCCAGCACTTTGGGAGGCCGAGGCCGGTGGATCATGAGGTCAAGAGATCGAGACCATCCTGGCTTACACGGTGAAACCCCGTCTCTACTAAAAATATTTAAAAAATTAGCCGGACGTGGTGGCGGGCGCCTGTAGTCCCAGCTACTCGGGAGGCTGAGGCAGGAGAATGGCGTGAACCCGGGAGGCGTAGCTTGCAGTGAGCCGAGATCGCGCCACTGCACTCCAGCCTGGGCGACAGAGCAAGACTCCATCTCAAAAAAAAAAAGAGACAGAGAAGCAACAAAGAAGTATCCAATAAAACCATACACAATATTATGAGGAGAAACAGAATAAGTAATAGAATATAGCTGCAGATAAAGATGCGCCAGAAATTCTCAAGTGACTTTGACCTACTGCAAAACAAGCTGGAGACAATACAAAAATGACATAAAAGAACAACGTACGCCAGAACCAGAAAAATGCAGCGAGGTAACCAAACTCAGAACATTAAAGAAAGTATTTCAGAAATGAAGACCAACCTAGAAGGAACACCTAGAAGATGAAAAGAGCAAGTTTGTTTTTTGTTTGTTTTTTTTAGAAAAAGAAAAGGATATGAAGAAAGGGATAGATTTGAGAGGAAGTGACAAATACTGAAGACAGGTAAATAAGATGAACAGAAAACAGAAGCCCCTGGAGAAGAAACCAAAATAACAGGTACTAAAAACTCAATTCAAAAACACTTTGTTGGAATAAAGAGACCCGAAGTTCCACATTGAAAGAGACTGAAAGAACATGCCATGTACCTGAAAATACTGACGGAATGACTAACACCTAGATATAGTCTAGTAAAATCGCTGACGTTTAGAGAAAGAAGAGTTCCTTTGGGCAAGTCTTCTAAGGAGAAGACTTTGACAGCAATGCCTCAAGAAAATGTAGTAACATATTTAAGACTCTCAGAAAATGTGACCTACAAATTTTTGGATCCACAATACTGATTTGTAAGTATAAAGAGCACAAACTAGTAACAACGTGTAACAACTCTGGGAATACTGTAACCATCAACAGTCCCTTGCAGAATCCGTCACAGATGAAGCTTGCAATAACCTAAACGACTAGCAACATACCAACAGAGAACTGGTGGAAAGCATTAAACATAAACTCAAGATGAGACCAGGATTCAAAAGGAATGAGTAAAGTATATACTGGCCATAGGCTCAGGTAAAGTAGATTTAAAATGAATATTTTCTTAAAATGGAAGAAAACAGGGAAACATATGCCAGTTTGTCTGTTTTTGAGACAGGGTCTCACTCTGTCACCAAAGCTGGAGTACAGTGGCGCCATCATGGCTCATTCAGCCTCCAACTCCTGGGCTCAGGCGATCCTCTTGCCTCGGCCTCCCGAGTAGCTAGGCCTACAGGTGTGCACCCCCACACCTGGCTAACTTTTTCTATTTTGTATAGAGATGGGGCTTCGCCACGTTGCCCAGTCTGATCTCGAACTCCTGAACTCAAGTGATCCTCCCATCTCAGCCTCCCAAAGCTAAGAGTACAGGTGTGAGCAACTGTGCCCGGCCCTCACAAGCCAATATTTTTATATGTTCTTGGCAATTATATTGTTGTAGTAGTGTTATTCTAAAACCTTATAGATATCTACACATAGGAATATATATATACACACACACAGACACACAAACACAATTTTAAAATACCTCATCATTTCACACTGAAATTTCCCATTCAAACTCAGTATTACAGGGTTATTTATTTATGCTATTTTATATTTAACCCATATACAAAGCATTCACATACAAAGCATCTCAGGGATACATGGGATAATACACTTGGAATGATCCATAATAACTCATTTGCTTTCTAGCACAATACAGACACAGCCTCAGAAAAATAATACACTATTACGATCAGAGCAGGAACTCCAGAGAAGCCCATGTGTCATCTAGTCAAATATGCTCCTTCCAAGTCACACATGCACAACTGTACAAAGAAAAGAAAATACTACTCAAGTCGGAAAACTACACACACTGTCTGATACTTTGGATGCTGAAGACAGGCGACCACCACTAAGAGCATTGCGTATGCACGATAACAGAGAGGGCCCGGGCCATACCCTGGAAGGTCCTGTTTTGACTCATCTCTGATCTCCTATACAAAAAGTCAGAAGGCCTATCAAGCGAGCTTCCCAACTGTTGGGGGTTCCATGTTTTTTCCAGGACCATGACGGAACATTCAGGACATCTGGCCCCTTGTGTCCTGGGCTGACTCAACAGAAGACAAAAGCCAGGCTGGTTTTGCGAAATCTGGGGACAGCTGGGTGCCGTCCTGACTGAGGGTTGCATTCCATGGAACAGAAAGCAATACGTCTCCAGCATCACACTCCAATGAGCATGACTTAAACCTCCCACCTCTTCTGGCTGCTAACAGTTTACATGCCTCTCCCAGCACCGGCGCCCTTCCAACATAACCACCACCCCCACATCATAGCAAATGGAAGGAACATAAGCAAGGGAGCCCAGAGGAACCCATCAGCCCATGCCCCGGTCCCTGTAACCACGAGATGCTCATCCTGCCAGGGTCCCTGTGCGTCTTGTCCCCTTGAGCCTGCAGCATCTGTAACCTCCAGCCTGGCATTTCCTGCCCTGGCTCCCTCCCCCATGTCTAGTGACTATTGATCATATGAAAACTAAGATGACATAGAGCATTTACCAGCAATGTCTGAAACAGTGAGGACAACGAGGTCTAAGACAAAGTAGACTACGGGTTATCACTAGCCAGCTAACCATCTCTGCACAACAGCTGGAGAAAAGCTAGACAAAAAACAGATGCCAAAAAACTATCATATCTAGGCACAGAGTGTTCTCCCAACAAGAACCTAAGCTCCGTGAGGGCAGGGGGAATTTCATCTGATTGTCGGACTGCTATCTCCCCAGTGTTGAGACCAGCACCCCGCCCACAGCAGGCATTTGGCAAATATTGACTGATTGAAGTTAACACTGTTACAGACAAAGCACCAGATACAGAATTCATTCACTCATTTTAAAAGACTGGAAAAAAATAATTGTATACTGTTAATATATAAAAAACCACTGAATTGCATAGGTGGGTGGGTGAATTGTAAGAGATGTAAATCCCATCTTAATACAGCTATTAAAAAATTCACAATAATTAAGCATCTATTATATACCAGGCATTGAGACAAGCACTGCAGCTGTGAGAGAATATGACAGTCTGCTTGTGAAGATGATAGGTGTAACTTTCATTAAGACCTACACAGATAAACACACACACGTGGGGACAAAGACCACAGGAGGGTCATGAGGACCTAGTCACATCTCGATAATTAAAATGGAGCCATAAAAATCATATAACTGGCATCACATACAAGAATGCTAACGATCCAGCCCAATTCCACTCTCCTCCTACTACTTTACAGCTAAGTAAACTGAGGCTGTGAGTAGGAAAGCAGCTAGACACACCGACACAGAAGTAAAACAGAGAAAAACCTGAACTCAGCCAGGCATGGTGGCTCACACCCATAATCCCAGCACTTTGGGAGGCTGAGGTGGGAGGATCGCTTGAGGATCTCTTGGAGTTCAAGACCAGCCCAGAAAACACAAGGAGACCATGTCTCTACAAAAAGTAAAATGATTAGCCGGGTGTAGTGGTGTGTACCTCTAGTCTCTGCTATTCAGGAGGCTGAGGTAGGAGGATTGCTTGATCCCAGGAGTTGGAAGCTACAGTAAGCTATGATTGAGCCACTACACTCCAGCCTGGATGACAAATTGAGACTCCATCACAGAAAACAAAAAACAGAAACAAAAAAAAACCCTGAACAGCCCGACCCCAGGACCTGCAAATTTTCCCCCACACCACACTGCCTCAGTCATAAACCCTAGTAAAATGTGTATCCCCAGGTTGTCAAATTCAAATCACTGAGAACAAATGAGAATCAACATTTGATAGCAACACTCAGATGTAGCCAATCTCTTTCACAATTCACACTAAAACAACACACAGACACATCCTTTGGTATCCATGGGGTATTGGCTCCAGGACCCACCTCACATACCACAGTCCAAGGGTGCTCAAGTCCCTTATATGAAATGGCACAGTATTTGTAAATAGCCTAAACACATCCCCCGGTAGACTTTAAATCACCTCTAGATTACTTATAATACCTAATATAATGCAAATGCTATATAAATAATTGGTATACTATTTTGGATTTTTATTTGTGTTGTTTTCTATTATTGTATTGATATTTTGTATGTTCTTCCTGAATATTTTCAATCTGCAGTTGGTTGAATCTATGGATGTAAAACCCACAGATACTGAGGACTGACTAGACATAGTTTCTGGAACATTCACTATTCCCATTTCACATAAATGGAAACCGGGGCACGGAAAGGTTATCAGCTTGTCTAAAGACTCAAGCTGCTAAGCAGCAGAACCAAGATTTGAACCTGCACCTGTCAAAAGCTGGGAGAAGAGACATCACTAATGTCTATCAGTCTGCCAGGGCTGCCATAACAAAATACCAGAGACTGGGCAGTTGAAACCACAGAAATGTATTTCTCACAGTTCTGGAGGCTGGAAGTCTAACACTGAGGTGTTGGCAGAGTTGGTTTCTTCTGAGGTCTCTCTCCTTGATTTGTAGATGGCTGCCTTTTCCCCCCACTCCTCACATGATCTTCTCTCTGCCAGTGTGTCCCCTGATATCATTTTTCTTCTTTGTTTTGTTGTTGTTGTTGTTGTTTTAGACAAGGTCTTGCTCTATTGCCCAGGCTGGACCGCAATGACACAATCATAGCTCACTGTAACCTCCAACTTCTGGGCTCAAGCAATCTCCCTGCCTCAGCCTTCCAAGTAGCTAGGACTACAAGGGTAGTCCATGGCTAATTTTTTTTTTAATTATTTTTGTAGAAACATGGTCTTCCTATGTGTCCCAAGCTAGTCTCAAACTCCAAGAGATCCTCAAGTGATCCTCCTGCCTCAGCCTCCCAAAGTGCTGGGATTATGGGTGTGAGCTATTATACCACACCCAACCTCCCCTCTTCTTATAAGGGTATCGGTCCTATCGTATTACAGCCCCGTACTTTTTTTTTTTTTTTGAGACGGAGTCTTGCTGTGTCCACCCAGGCCGGAGTGCAGGGGCACCATCTCGGCTCACTGAAACCTCTGCCTCCCAGGTTCAAGAGATTCTTGTGCCTCTACCTCTCAAGTAGCTGGGATTACAGGTGTGTACCACCATCCCTGGCTAATTTTTTGTTTGTTTGTTTGTTTGTTTTGTATTTTTAGCAGAGAAGGGGTTTCATCTTTTTGGCCAGGCTGGGCTCGAACTCCTGACCTCAAGTGATCCACCTGCCATGGTCTCCCAAAGGCATGATCCACCATGCCCGGCCAGCCCCCCACTTATGACCTCATTTCACTTCAATTACATCCTTAAAAGCCCTATCTCCAGATACAATCACATTGGGAGTTAGGGCTTAACATATATATTCGGGGGGTAGGCGGACATAATTCACTCCATGACCAAGAGTGACCCACTTCTGGCCAGGGGCCAAATTTGCCTGCTACAAATTTATAATAGAGGAAGTTTATAAAAATGCAACCTAGTAATAGATCAGTAAAAATTTAGATAATCCCTGAACATAAACCCTAAAAACAGAATAATCCCCAAATAATTATTCCCAAGTCAATCTCCCTTTAGAAGCCACCTAAGCAGTAAATGAAATATAATTAGCATTGCTTGTGAGACCTCTCAGGAGAGGACACTAAGCTGTTTACTAGCCCTCTTACCTCAGGGACAAGATAATTGGTTGTTTTTTTTTTAATAGTAATAATACTTTCCATTTATAGGACCACTTTCTTCCCCCTAAAAATCCAAAGAGCAAAAATGCCAAACATAAAACCTCCTTCAACATGCTGTTTATTACTAAGAGGAGGGGAGAGCTTAGCAACTTTCAAACAAGCCACATGGCACAGATCCCACATCCATGTCATTTGATAACCTCCTAATCTTTTTATTGTTCATCATTTATAAAGCACCAACAGCATTATCACGTGGAAAATAAACCTATTCCCTTGAACAAGCTTTGAGAATTCTTTTGTGCTGGCTCAAATGCTGCCTTGAAAACTGGTGAACGCCACAAGAGGTTGGTTTGTCTGTCATTGTTAATTCCTCTTCCAGCCCAGCTTGGGTCAACAAAGGAGCTAATGCCGCTGCAGAGTTGGCCAAAATCCCATGATAAATCTCCCTACCTCCCATCTGCCCAGAGCTCAAATGGGCAGCAACAGCTAGATTCTCTCGCCCTTTCCTTTGGGCAGAGGTCAAGGCTGAAAATCTCAAACGATGTATCTTGCCAAGATGGGACCACTGTCTTCTTGCCCTGAGTTTCTGCAGTCAAAGAGGTCACTAGGCTAACTGTGTACCCACCACCTGCTCTCTTGATGAGTTTCACTGCACCAAACTTCCCACATCATAATTCCTACAGCTCAGAAGCACAGGGGAGACGCTCTAGCTACATGTCCCAGGAGACACTGCTCTGTAATACCAGTAGTGCACCAGGGAAGCATCTATCTGCCCTCTAGAGGGGGAGTTAACAGGAACATGCAGTTCCCAATAATGACCTTGGGTTATTCAGACTTGCTTCTGCAGAACCACTAATAAGAAGCACAGGGGGCCGGGGGCAGTGGCTCATGTCTGTAATCCCAACACTTTGGGAGGCCAAGGTTGGGGGGGACCACTTAAGGTCAAGATTTCGAAACCAGCCTGGCCAGTATGGTGAAACCCCATCTCTACTAAAAATACAAAAATTAGCCCAGCATGGTGGGGCATACTTGTAATCCCAGTTACTTAGGAGGCTGAGGCAGGAAAATTGCTTGAAGCCGGGAGGCAGAGTGAGCTGAGATCGCACCACTGCACTCCAGCCTGGGCAACAGAGTGAGACTCTGTCTCTAAATAAATAAATAAGAAGCAGAGGGGCAGCAGCACCCATCCAAAAGTCAAGGGGATCAAATCGCATTAAGTTATAAGCAAGGAAACATCTCTGCAGGCATCACAGAGGTTGGAAAATGAAGCCTTCCCTTCTCCCAAACATTAGCATTGGCTCCAGAAGCAGAAGGTGTTTGGCTCCTGGTTAACAGATATAAGCTTCTCCTGATTGGGACGTAGAGGAAGCTACATGACAGAATGAGAGAGAGCTAGAATTTGGAGCCAAAAGATACAGATTCAAGACCTCACTCAGCACTTGGGCACTGAAGTCAGGGGGTCAAAAACTAGAGCCCACAGGCCAAACCCAGCCAGCATCTGTTTTTTGTAAATAAAGTTTTATTGAAACACAGGCATGCCATTAGAGCATACAGTATCTGTGCCTGCTTGTGAAAGCTGATCACACAAACTGGGTCATTCTTGTCACACCCAACTAAAACAGAGTCAAGTGGCCAGTAGGGAAAAGCACTCAGGGAATATAACATTGCTCCACGAATGTAACTCTCTGCAAGCCTGGCTGTTGGAACCGCCTGTTGGAACCAGAACCCACTTTTATCTAATAGCTACTGAAACTGGCTGCAATTCTAAGACCAGCTTTATCTCCGGCAGTCACTCACCAATCAGAGGTTGTCGGTTCCACAGAACTTACCGGCGCCAATTGACTTCCTTGCAGAGCAATGTGGAACATTTTTCCTGTTTAGAAAACCTCCAACCCTCTCTTTGTTCTTTGGACCTACCAGAGACCACCTGGTCTGTGTGTACACCCTGAATTCCAATTCTTGCTTCCCAAATAAACGTTTTAAATGTAGATTCATCTCCATATTTCACCTGACTTCAACACTGCTTTCACACTACAATGGCAGAGTTGAGCAGCTGCGACGAAGACCATACGGCCCACAAAGCTGAAAGTATTTCCCATCTTCACATAGAACACTGACTGACCCCTGCCCTGTGTGCCACTTCACATCCATTACTTTACCTCTTTGAATCTCAGTGCCCATGTCCCTTAAATCGAGAATGGCATGATCATCTGTCCTTCCTATCTCGAGGGATTATAAAAGTCAAGTCCGTTTATCATAATATCATGTTAATGACAATGACAATTCTTTGAGCCCTTAATATCTGTCAGGCAGTATTCTAAGCACCTTGCCTGATTTCATTTAATCCTTCAACATTGCTGAAAGGAAGAGAATATTATAAACCCATTTTATAGATGAGAACACTGAGATCCAGAGAGGTGAATGATGGTGAGGTGAAGGAGAGGTGAAGGATGGTGACCAAGATGACCCCTCTGCCAGATGGTAGAGGTGGGATCCCACCCAAGCTTTTCCTCCATCCAGCATCCTCTTCTCTTCCTGGCCCTGGGGGACTCAGAGATATTGGAGGTACCACCCAGCAGAAGAGTAAAATGACAGATCTCAGCCCTGCACTGACACCTTGCCACCCTCTGGCCTGTCTCCACCTTTTCCCTCCAGCCTCGCCCCTTTCCTCCTCCCTTCTTTTTCTTCCCATCTTGAATTCCCAAGAAGAGTTTGCCATCTTCCTTTTCAGAAACATACGTGGCCTACTTCTCAGCTGACAAGCAAAGCCACAATGAGAGCCACCAGGTACCGATTTGCATTTCATTCTTAGGCAACACTTCATGTTGTTAAGTCTATAAAAACACTGCTAAAACAGAGAGTAACACTTCCAGAATAAAGACTCAAAGCTTTTGGTGTAATTTAGAAAAATAAGTGGTAACGTAGAACACCACCACTAATAAGCAGCAGCGGGGATGTCTGCTGGCAATCTCAGAATTCTCACCGCATCCTCGTCAATGTCCTGTGAGGCTTGGGATTCACTGGACACTGGGGCCCAGAGAGGTCAGGGAATTGCCTGACAGTGCACAGCCAGAAAGCAGCAGAACTGATGATCAAAACTAGGTCTTCTACCAAATCTAACAATTGGGCCATACCACCACACCACAAGACATTAGAGGCTGAGTACATATAACAATCATTAGTGAAACAGGAACGCAAGCAAATACTGTACAATGCCCAAGCTAAGGCCTCCCTATCCTTTCGGTCAGGAGAAATCCATCTACTCTTCAGTTCCCTGTCCTGAAATCTGGGCTGCCTGTGGCTCTTGGCACTTGCCAAGGTTCCCCAGGGAGGGCAACGCTACCCCAGAAGAGGGCTAAGCCCTGAACCAGCCTCTCCACTGTAAAGGCAGAAACCCACCCACGGCCTGTGGAACACAGCTACAGCCAGAGCTGGGTGCTCAGCAGACCTCCTGCCCTCCCTAGAGCCCTCCCTCTGAAGCACAGGCTCAAAACGTGAGAATCTTCTGCTGAAAAAGCCCATGCTCTGGTATGACTTCAAAACCACACATTTGCTGCTATCTGACTCAGGATGATCCAAAAGATGGGACTAACTGTGCGTGTTTTCTCCCTCCCTCCCTTCAAAAAAAAAAAGTAAGCCTTTTCAGAAAGGTTTAGGGATGCAACGGCAGACCCCAGACCTGGGTTCCATTTGGCGCTCTTAGTCATCACGTGAAGATAGTGTGGGCAGCTTTCTAAAACCTCCAATTAGCAGCAGGAATAATACAGGTCAGTAGGAACCTCTCAGCTCTCAAAGAGCCCGTGTCAACCAGGCAGGAGGGTGAGGCTGTCCCACAGGGTCCATGAGGAGCTAGAGAAGGAATTATAGACCGCAAACAAGCACCGGGCCTAGTGAAAGGTCCCTCCAAGCTCTCCTCCAAGCTGCTATGTGATCTAAGATATGTAAAATCACGCTGCGCCCCTAACACCCTAAACACGCTGGCCGGGATTTTTCTCCTGGGCTCCAGGTCGTCAGTAAATCCTACGGCTCTCTCTCCAGCCATCAGGGCCTCCGGGATGTCTCGGAGGCCCTGTAAACAGCACGCGCGCGCGCACAGACACTCCTCATACACTCACACTCTCATACTCCTTAGTCACACACCCCATACACACACACGTGCTCTCACTCTCACACACACACTCACACTCCTCTCACACACACACACTCACTCACTCACACAGCCTCCTCTCCCACAGAACCCCTTCTCTGGGACCGTGTCTACCACCCACTCAGCCACTTAAACCAGAATCCTGGCTGTCGCCCTCCACAGCTCCCTCTGTAACCAATCCGTGAGAAGTCCCAGAAGCCTCCGTCCCATGTCAGAGCATTCTTCTCCACCCCCACAGCCCCACGAACAGCCCATCTACCCTCCTCCTTCTGCCTGAGCTTTTCCTCTCTGTTCTGATACACGCATACCAGCAGGCAGGCACACCCATCCACACGCCTCCCCCACTGATGACCTCAGGGCTAAGTGGTCTCCCCCACGTAACAGAGGAGACCCAGAGCTGGCTTTGCTCCATGGGTCTGGATCCAGTGCTCTCAACTGCCACAAACGCTACACGGCCTCCCCAGTCGCCAGCTCACATACACACGTTCACTGAGATTCACTAAGGAACCCGCTCCCTGTCACCCACACACCATCACATGCGCTGCCACTCTCACACCATGTGTTCTCCATGGCTCCTCCGCCACAGGATCTGCCCCCACCATCTAGAGCCAGGCTTCTCAACTGGGGCAATTTCAACCCCAGGGGACACTGGGCAACATCTGGAGACTTCTTTAGTTCTCATAACGGGGAAGGGAGGAGCACTCCTGGCATCTAGAAGTCAGAGGTGCACAGGACAGCCCCCACTACAAAGGATTATCCAGCCCAAGTGTCGGCACGGAGAGCAAGAAACCCGATCTAGAACTTGAGCTTCTTATCCACCTTCTTTACCATTTCCTGCAGCACCAATATTTAATAAATGAATGTGGCCAGGTACGGTGGCTCACCCCTGTAATCCCAGCACTTTGGGAGGCCGAGGCAGGATAATCACTTGAACCCAGGAGGCGGCTGTTGAACCCTGGATGGTCCCCAGGCTGGAGTGCAGTGGCATGATCTCAGCTCACTGCAACCTCCGCCTCTGGGGTTCAAGTGATTCTCCTGCCTCAGCCTCCCAAAGTAGCTGGCATTACAGGCACACACAACCATTCCCGGCTAATTTTTTGTATTTTTAGTACAGATAGCATTTCACCATGTTGGCCAGGCTGGTCTCGAACTACTGACCTCAGGTGATCCACCCATCTTGGCCTCCCAGAGTGCTGGGATTACAGGCGTGAGCCACAACGCCTGGCCATGAATGCATTTTAAATGTCTGCCATCCCCTCCTGTTCACACAGTACGTCCATGTTGCCTTGCCCGAAGACAAAGCCACTTCACCAAGGCAGTAGGCGGCAAAGGACCATCCCCAGCCCAGGCCCTCCAGCCAAGTCCGTGCCCACTGACAAGACCCACATGGCCTCCTGGGGTCATTTCTGAAAAGGAAGCCCGTGATCAGCTCCCACCCACGAGAGCTACATTTTGGCTTGTTTCAGTGTCACAGCCTCACGGGGCCATGAACAAACCAGGCGGCGTCACTTGCGCTTTGAGCCTACAGGGCACCCTCCCTAGAACTGGGGCTCCCGGACAGCCTCCCTGAAGCTTTGTCAGGCTTCTCCTTCTTAAAAGAACAGCTGTGAGATACAATTCACATACCAAACAATTCACCCAGTTCAAGCATACGATTCAGTGGTTTTCAGCATATTCACAGAGCTGTGCAGCTATCCCGACAATGTTATCGTAGAACACTGCATCACCTGCACAAGAAACCTCACACCCCTCAGCAGTGAGGCCAAGTCTTGAGATCACCTCCAAAGCCATCCTTCAGCTGTGACGGAAAACCCTTTCTGGTAAAAGCTCTCCCCAGCACGTGCAGGTCAGAAGGGGACCACCACCCTCCTCACCCCACAACCCAGGTGCCAAGGTTCTGCCCTCTCTCCGGATGATCTGGGGCAAGAAGAAACCGGCATGCAAAGAACTCACTCCCTCACATCACTCTTCTAAGAGCTTTTCTCCTGAAGGAGCTCTCTAGAGGGCAAATCTACCAGAATGCGTTGATAGAAATTTATGTAACGATCTAATAATAACTCAATACGTTATTGTTAAGAAGATTCTAGCAGCAAAGGTGAACCAGAAATGTGGCTGAAGCGCCTCTGTGTGATGAGAGATGAAGCAAAGGGAAAAACCAGGAATGTACAGTAGGCTGGCTCCAGAAACCACGCCAATGCCCCTGTGCTACGGCCAAGGCACATTCCAAGGTCACGAGGGCACCCGTCAGCCTGTTCAGTTATGGGAAGATGCTAGCTGGGGCGAGGTATGTAACGAGGTGGGGACCTAGGAGCAGAGGAACCTAGAATAGGAGCAACAACATGGGGCTTAGATTCAAACAAAGTTGGTTCGATTCTCTGAGCAACCATTCAGCTTGCCATGTGACCCGTGACAAGGGTTCCTTAAGCTTCCAGTTTCCTCACATGCAAAGGGGAATCACGCTTTCCTCTAGGTCATGGTTGCTCACTTCTGGGCTTTTGCACATCCTTTCCTTCCCCCAAAGGCTCCTCCCTCCACCCTCATCTGCTCAAATGTCACTTCCACCAGCGAAACTGCCTGGATCCCCGCCCTCCAGCATAGACATGCAAGCACTCGCTGCCTGTGTTTGCTGCTTTCTTGACAGCCTACACTTTTCCTTCAGAGCAATTCTCTCTTTGTACTAAAGTGAGTATATCATTACTGTCTGCCTCCTCACCAGAATACGCCACTTCATGACTGTCTCCCAGTGCCTGGGACACTGTGGAAACCTGGTGATTTTGTCTTTCCTTGAGAGCCAGCGCAGCGTGCTGGCTGAGAGCTTGGGTTCCAGAACAGGGTGCCAGGTGAGCTCTTTTGGTAAAGGGTCAGGCCTGTGAGCCACGCAGTCTCCTTTGTAACTACTCACCTCTGCTGCTGCCACATGCAAGCTGCCAAGGACCATTCCTAAACAAATGGGTTACAATAACACCTTATTCACGAAATAAACGGTGGCCCTGCAGGTGACAGTTTGCCAACCCCTGATGTAGAATCACACTGAAACTGGATCCTGGCTCATTCACTCCCCGGCTTGTTACCTTCAACAAGTGATGACTTCTTTGTGCCTTGGTCCCACATCTCTAAGAGGGCAGTGGTACTTCTACCTACCTCATTGGGAGGATTAAAAGAATGTCTGAAACACACTAAACACTCAATAAATGTGAGCTGCAGTCATCATAATCATCATTACTTAATGGTGGCGATAATGGAATCAATGATTGCACCTCCCAACCCTGGGCAATTAATGGTGGCTACTATGATGATGATCATATTGATGATGGTGGTGGTGGTGGGTGGAGAAGTCAACCCTGACAAAAAGAAGGGCAACCAGGTGAGCTCAGGGAAGGAACAAGAAATATCAAGAGCTCTACCTGGACCCACAGAGGCTCTGTGACATCTGACACCTGGACAGTCTGGAGGGCCAGACAGGTGGCCCCCACAGCCACCTCTCTGCAACCTCATCTGCATCGGCGGCAGAGCTCAGACAAGGACCATCAGGTGACTCCAGCTCTGGGCCAGACAACCAGCTGGTGCAGTCATAGGCCACTGGAACCAGACTTCTCATGAGGGAAACAAAGAAAAAACAGTTTCCAAATGGGAAGAACGACCTCACCAGCTATGAGATGGCCAGGAAGGCAATATACTCGGTTCAGCCAGCAAAGCCAAGACTTCATCATAGCATGCCCCACAAAGTCAAAATTCCTTTGGAAGCAAAAAAGACATGCATTGAGCAAATGGGCCATGTGGAAGACTGTAACAGAAAGTCCCCAGTTTACCACCTTCCTTAACCACTGGCTGATCCACGTAAGGAGAGCTCCATGCAGCAACCCAAAGCAAAGACGGAGCATTTTCTTCTTCCTAGTAGGGCTTGAGTTTTGCTTTGCAAAATAAGCATATAAATAGTCCAAACAAACCAACAGTTATTAAATTCACAATATTAAGTTGGACACGAGATCTGCTGGAAGCACTGAATGAAAGTGGATCATGACTTCCTGGTTTTCAACAGCCACACACACCCAACTCTGATGCCTGAAGCTGCTGGTGGCAATCATCAAACAAATAAATACGGGGCCTCTAAAGGAGGGTGGGTACACGGGATCTTTGGGTTTTCCAGGAGCTGTGTCTACATAACAATTCATATCCTTCTTGGTCCAGCCACCTGAGAAGTAGGTGGGGAAAGGCTCTGGTAAGGAAATGGCCCAATACCATAATCAGCTCCAAGTGAACTGAGCGCCACGCTCCCCTGCACACTACAAGACTCGGCTGCCTATGCCCCCCGCCTTCCTGCTCGCCAGCTCCTCCAAGTGGAGAGCCCTTCCTTCACCATGTTAACCTGGCTAGCCCTCCAGTTTCAAGGCTCAGCCTTGCCTGACCACAGCCCATGGATAGATTTCTTCCTCTGTGCTCCCAAACCACCCTCTGTTTAATTTGCTTCCAGCGCTCACTGCTCTGAATGCCCATCATGGCCCCCTCATTTGTCTCTCCCATTTGCCTGGCTGCTCTTCCACAAGAGCCCTACCCACTTATCTCTGTATCCCAAGTATTTTGCTCAGTGCCTGACACACAGGAGATGCTCAATAAATGTTTGTTTCATCAATGAATTAATGTATCCACTTTGGCAAACCACCAAATCACATTTTTAACCAAGACTGCTGCTACTATTATTACGATAACGGCAATGACTACTACTGTTAATACTACTACCATGAATAGATGACATGGATTAAATGCTTCCATGCATTAAACACCAGGATAAGGACTTCAAACAACTCTCGACAACCCCCTAAGGTAGCCCCATTAGACAGGGTCAAACACGGCCTAGAGAGGTGAGGTGGTAGATCCAAGGTCACATGGCTAGTGTGCAGCAGAGCTGGCTGACTCTCATCAGTCAGAAGGGAATCAAAGTCTGGCCGGGTGTGGTGGCTCACGCCAGTAATCCCAACACTTTGGGAGGCCGAGGCAGGTGGATCAGTTGAGGCCAGGAGTTCGAGACCAACCTGGACAACATGGCAAAACACCGTCTCCACTGAACACACAAAAATTTGCCAGGCATGGTGGCGGCGTGCGCCTGTAATCCCAGCTACTCGGGAGGCTGAGGCAGAAGAACTGCTTGAACCTGGGAGGCAGAGGTTGCAGTGGGCCAAGATTGCAACACTGCACTCCAGTCTGGGTGACAGAGCAAGACTCTGTCTCAAAATATAAAATAAAAATAAGTAAAGTTTATATTTAATATTTGAATGGTAAAAAACAAACCTGTAAAAGGAGGCTTACAAAAAATGTTTAGCTGATACAGACTCAAACTAAAGGATTGACTATTTTGCCTACATGTATCATTTTTCATCTTTTCTTAGGCATAAGTGACTTGACCTGAGACAAAAATTGACAAGCAGGTTATCTTTTTATGCCACTAAATTGCTGAACAACTTCACAAGCTGTATATGCACCACATAATAACTAGAAAGCACACTGCAAAAGGGAGCAAGATGTTTGCAGAATGCATGTCACTCAAGCTCCTCTCTTCTTCAGGACAATTACGCAGGAAACACATGAGCAACAGAGATTCCAAAGCAAAAACACAGGCCTACTCGATTTATACTCACTTCCATGTGAAACCATGTATTTCCCACTTAATAAGATGCCAGTATGTCTCCAAAAGTTCTGCTAAGTGGTCCTTATCCTGTTCCTCAAAAGGCCGAACACGACAAACTCTTGATTCACTCACATGATGGCAAATGCAAATTCAAGAACAGCCACAGGAGAAGTGAGTCAAAAAGGCATGAATAAGGCCGGGTGCGGTGGCTCACACCTGTAACCCCAGCACTTTGGGAGATCAAGGTGGGCAGATCACCTGAGGTCAGGAGTTCAAGACCAGCCTGACAAACATGGTAAAACCCTGTCTCTACTAAAAATACAAAAATTAGCTGGGCATGGTGGTGGGCACCTGTAATCCCAGCTACTCAGGAGGCTGAGGCAGGAGAGCTGCTTGAACCCGGGAGGCGGATGTTGCAGTGAGCTAAGATCATACCACCGCACTCCAGCCTGGACAACAAGAGCCAAAAAACTTCATCTCAAAAAAAAAAAAAAAAAAAAAGGCATGAATAAACACACTTATATGAATTCTGCTGCCCAAAGTAAGAAAATCCCATGATTAAATCCAAGCCAAATGCTCAGGCTGCCCATACAGCTTCCAAATGCTGTATGGCCCCTTTCAAAGTGAGAAGTTTCAAGAAATATTATCAACCAAAAAAGTACATACTTGTAAACAGTACTCAATCTTCTCAAGGTTGTAATGCTAGGCCAGGGGCAAAAATGTAGCAGTTGAACTTCTCAAAATCACGAACCTACAGGATCAAGGATTCCCAAGTACATCTTATAAATCCTTATTACAGTCATTCACTATCGCACGGGTTTTCTTAAACCAGCATAACTAGTACTCTATTAACCAGAAATCTTGGTCAACTGGAAATTCTGTTTTCCAAACTCCACTCAAATGCCTTATTTCGTACCTCATTGCCCTCTCACATTCTGCTCTGCGCCCCTCTTGACATTTCTTCCATACCCCACACTCATCCCTACCCCAGGGCCTTTGCATATGCCCTTCCCTGTCTTCCCCCAGACACTGGGAGAGCTGGTTCCTCCTCATCCTTCCAGTCTTGGCTCCTTTGTGCCCCTACACACACACCGCACCTCCAAAATGCTTTCCCCAACTAAGAAAGCAAACCCTCCCAACCAAAAGATATTCCCACTCCATAGGTCCTTTGCAGATTCACATCATCATCTTGTACTGTCTTCTTGAGAGCTGTACTACCTGTGACCTCATTTTTCAATTACTTGTTAACATCTCAGTTCTCCCCACCCCACTCCTGTAGAATGTCCAAATCTGGACACACCCTCTCCTCACCTACACCTGCTCATCCTCTGCACCACGGAACAGTACCACCATCGAGCAAGCCAGAAACAGAGCCTGCATCAGCTTATGGTCCGTTCTCTCCAACAGAGACCGCAGGATGTGCCGAGGCAGGGAACAGTCCTCAGCCCTGGCTGAACAAAAGGTTCGGTTTAACAAATACAAATCCTCCCAAGACCCCACCCTAGACCAAGACCCATGTGGGGCAAGAAGCTTCTATAGAGGGAAGCTTCTACAGGAGATTTCTAGTCTCCTGTTGCCACCAGCCCCTCCATGACTCTCCACACTGCTCTCAATGGAAACGCCTCTCTAACCATGTGAATTCATCGGTGCTGCATCCTCAGTGCTGCTCCATCGCCTAGAGGATAATGACCCACCACCAGGCATGGTGTGCAGGCCTCTGGTCTGGCCTCTGTCCACTTGAGCTCCTCTCCAGTCACCCTCAACACCCTGGGTAGCAGAGTCTAGTCCGTCAAACACACCAGGCCCTCTCAAGCTTCTCGTAAAGCCCTCCTCCCTGCTACCCCACCTCACCCACCTGCCAAACCCCTAATCAGCCTTCCAGACGCAGCTCCAGTGTTCCCTCCTCAGGGAGGCCAGTCCCGCCTTTCTCAGCAGGGTGACCCAATTCACCCTGGGGGCTCCGCAAAGGACATTCCTATCTACCATCAGAAGCAACAACTGGCCAGACGCAGTGGCTCACGCCTGTAATCCCAGGACTTTGGGAGGCCAAGGTGGGCGTATCACCTGAGGTCAGGAGTTCGAGACCAGCCTGGCCAACATGGTGAAACCCCATCTCTACTAAAAATACAAAAATTAGCTGGGCATGGTGGTACATGCCTGTAGCCCCAGCTACTTGGGAGGCTGAGGTGAGAGAATCACTTAAACCCTGGAGGCGGAGGTTGCAGTGAGCCAAGAGCGTACCACTGCACTCTAGCTTTGGCAACAGAGTGAGACTGTCTCAAAAAAAAAAGAAAAACAAAGCAACAACTATGTTGTGTGATAAACACGTGCTTGCCGGCCCTCCAGGGTGTTGCCGCTGCCCAGCACCATGACCTGCATGGAACAGGCATTCCTGGGTCTGCATTCAGGGAACAGTTACTACGCACCTCCTACGAGCCAGGCCCCGTTCAAAGCACTGGACCCAAAGTGAACAGGACACACAAGACCCCACTGCCTTCAGGCTAGCTCAAGGTCATCAACTATGGCCCACAGGACAAATCCAGCCTGTTGTGTATTTTTTGTGGCTTCTTAAATAGCTTTATTGAATAGAATGTGCCTACCACACATTTCTGCTCTGTTTCTGTGAATGAAGTTTTAGTGGAACACAGGCATGTCCACTCATTTATGTAATGTCTCTGGCAGCTTTCTTGCTACAACAGCAGACTTCAGTAGTTGTGACAGAGACCATATGGCCTGCAAAGCCAAAAATATTTACCCTCTGCCCCTCAACAGAATATATTTGCCAACTCCTCATCTACTTAGGAGGGTGTGGATGCCCTGGACAAGCCCAGTCAGCCAACCAAGTATTGATCATTTCAGAGGGTCAAAGTGATATAAAGAAAATGACGCATGGTACTAGGATGGACGATGAGAGGGTAAACAGACGAGGCCCCTCGGAGGCGCTGACATGTGTGCTGAGGCTGGACACCCTCAGAAGGAGCCGACCGTGCTGAGATCTGAGGGAAGAGTGTTCAAGAAGGGAGCCATCACGTGCAAAGCCATCCAGTTGGAACAAGCCTGGTGTTTCAGTCAAAGCCCGGCAGGAAGTAAGTACATGGCACCATCAAAGGGGTTGATGGTGAGGTTTAATAGACCATTTACAGAGGAGCAAGGTGAAAAGAAACCAACAGGGGTGGTGAGGGATTCGGGGGCCGACAATTGTGGAAAGACTGTATTAGTCCATTTTGCATTGCTCATCAGGAATACCTGAGGCTGGGTAATTTATATGGAAGGGAGGTCTATTTGGTTCACAGTTCTGCAGACTGTGTAAGAAACGCGGTCCAGCACCTGCTTCTAGTGAAGCCTCAGAAAGCTTTCAGTCATGGCAGAAGGCATAGGGAACTGGCGTGCCACAGGCAAGAGAAGAAGGGCGGGCAGGGAGGGTGGAAGTGCCAGGCTCTTTTTAAGTAACCAGTTCTGGCATTAACTAATAGAGCAAGAACTCACTCATGACCAAGGGGGAGTGTGCTAAGCCATTCATGAGGGACCCACCTGTCCCCGTGACCCAATACTTCCCATCAGACACCACCTCTGACATTAGGAATCACATTTTAACGTAAGATTTGGAGGGAACAAACATCCAAACCGTATCAGATGCCCACCCTACGCTCCTTCAGGCCTGAAGGGTAAGGTAGACAGTGGCTACTGGAGCCCAGCATCAATTGGGCAGTGATGCCATGCCACTTAAAGAAGCTGCAGCCTCCAGCAGAGAGGAAGACGAGAGAGTAACTGCCCCAGCCTCAAGTCATTCCTGGCAGAGCTTCCCAGTGACCACATGGGCCAAAGCCAACCATAAGTCAGAGGTCGGGGAACCTCGTGATGGAGTCCACCAAGCTGCGCCTCGGGGCAAAGAAGAGAGTGGAAAGGGAAAAGGCTGGAAAGAAAATCCGAGGGGAAAACGCAGCCCATCTGGTATTCCCTGTCTATCCAAAGGTCAGAAAGGTGGTCAACATGGCTTCAAGGGCCATGAATTGAGATAGTATTATCAACCGCAGAACGTGACGAGGTATCAGACACTGGAAATCATTGCGGGACTGATAGAGGGAGGTGAAAATGAAAGATGAAATCATCACTGTATCTCTGTCAAAAATGTACTCGGGTGTGGGTTTTGATCAGCTGTAGCATGTCAGCAATCCTGAGAAAAATCAGGAAAGCAAGAAGAGGATGATTTGCATATCTCGAAATCACACATACAGTCGCTACTCCCGGCACAAGGCCAGAAGTGAAAGCAGTCAAGATCTCAATATTTCAGACCCAAAAGAGAAAGCTCCCACAGTCCAGACATTGATGCTATAATGCCATCAAGAAATGGGGGACAGCACTAACACTTCTGCCATGAAGTTACGTTTTTAAGTGCTCAGTAGTAGCTGTTATTAACACTTGATTTTATTTTGTACAAAATCTCCTTACTTTTTTCTAATCTTCCTTAAGATATAATTCACCCTTTTAAAGTGCATGTCCAGTGGTTTTTAGCATATTTGCAAGACTGTACAACAACAACAACAATTCTATGAAGAGATCATTTTCATCACCCCAAAAAGAAAACCTATATCCATTAGCAGTCACTCCCAACCACCCACACCCCAACCACGGCCCCTGACAACCACTAATCTCGTTTCTGTCTCTAGAAATTTGCTTATCCTAGATGTTTCACAGGAATGGAATGATATAATAACACCAAGTTATTTTTAAATCATTAGCACAAGACTATTTTTCTGGCTGTGACCTTCTAAAGTTGGTGGGCTAATTGGCAGAGCACATAAGCCTCTCTGCTATGTAACCAAGGGGATAGACTCAGAGGGCTGAAAGATCCTGAATCTAAACTAAAATGAAGATTCCTCATGTTAAAAACCTAACATCTACTCCTACCATGCCCCCTGACGCCCCTCAGCAACATGAATACAGTCAGAAAGTGGAGTGGAGGCAGTTCGTGGGGTCCAGCAGACCCAGCAATGGGGCAAACAGTGGGCATCCAGACCACCACCCAGGCCTCACCAGCATCATTTCCACACCTGGCAACATCAGAGTCACGGTGCTATTCCCTGCTGTGGCAAATCTCATCATTCCCACTTGGCCCTAGAACCATTTGTTAGAGACATCTGACTAGCCTGCGCTTTTGGAAAGGGACTTACTTAGAGTTCCCAGAGACAAGAGAGGTGAAGAATAGATTTTCAGTAAAGAAAATTGGTGCCTATGACTGGAAGTGGCTGCCTAGATGCACTGGATTCTAAGATTCTAGGGCTACAAAGAGTGCAGTGATTGATTAGTAATGTCTGCAAAAGCACGGGATAAGGGAGTAGCAGCAAAGGACCTTGTACTTCCTGTCCCTCTCTTAAGTGTTCACCAAGGCCACTGAGCCCACTACCCATGAGGTATGAGTTCTCCCAGTCCTACTGGGGATTTCCTTTCCTTTTTATATTTTTATTTCTAAATGTACTTATTTTTAATAGAGACAGGGTCTCCTTATGTTGCCCAGGCTGGTCTCAAACTTCTGGGCTCAAGTGATTCTCCTGCTTCGGCTCCCCAAAGTGTTAGGATTACAGGTGTGAGCTACCGTGCCCAGCCCCAGTGGGGATTTCTATTCTCCTACTTGTGAAATACACAGCCATGTCTCTATGCAGATGTGGTCCATGGAACCTACAGTCTCATAAAATCCTTTGGTGAAACTTCAGCAAAAGCTTTAGGGAGAAACGCCTGGTCCAAGATATCCGAAGTTGAAGCCTAGAAACAGAACAGCGAGAGTTCTCAAAATCATCTTGCATCTACTCAATACTGGGATTGCTAGTTACTGGGAATTAGTTCTTGAGAAGCAGCCCAACATACAGTGTGCTGAGCCATCGTCTCTGAAAGAATGGAAGGGTGAGGAATGAAGCCAACTCCCTACAATGCTCCACAGGCTATCCCTGGAACTAGGGATTAGGCAGAGAGATCAACTTGGCTGGGTATCGTCATACATCTGCAGGGGTGCCAGCCTTGCTGGGAGCCAAAGAAACCCTTTGTTAGACGGGTGTCCTCAGTAGAGGGCACATGGAACCTTCATTCCAGCTAATTGCTAAGATAATGCAGTTATGCACAAGATGTGCTTTCTACCCAAGCCTACACCATATTAATTCCAGAAGGGCTCATCTAAAACTAACAGGCAGGTGTGTTACAAATCTCATTCTCCGCCCATTCTCCATGATTGGAGAAATGATTCCACGCCACAGGCAAAGATCCTCGTTCTGAGTTGAGATCAAGTCAACAATTTACTGGGCACTAACTAGAGAAAGTGGGACAGAAGTCAATACTTAAACAGACAAGCACTGAGCTAAGGGTTCCCCCATTTCACTCAATCCCCATATCCGCATTTCACAAATAAGGAAACAGGCTCAAAGTTGCCTGAGGTCACACGGCAGGAAATGAGGGAGCAGGGTTCCACTCGGGCTACCCCGAGTCTCCGGTGCACGTTGCATGTTCTTTTCATCATGCCACGCTGTCCTTTTGGCCCACAGCCTGGGTGAGGCATCATATCAATGTTCAAGAAAAGAACTAATGTGAGCTTGGCCTGTGAGGCACTTATGAATCATTAGGCAAATGGACCACAAAATATGTGAGAATGCTCAAGCAGGACTACTGGGTGCCCACATCTGTGACAATTAAAACCGGCTGGGTGCACTGGCTCACGCCTGTTATCCCAGCACTTTGGGAGGCCGAGGTGGGTGGATCACTTGAGGTCAGGAGTTCGAGACCAGCCTGGCCAACATGGTGAACCCTCATCTCTACTAAAAATACAAAAATTAGCCGGGTGTGGTGGCGCACGTCTGTAATCCCAGCTACTCGGCAGGCTGAGGCAGGAGAATTACTTGAACCCTGGAGGCGGAGATTGCAGTAAGCCGAGATTGCGCCACTGCACTCCAGCCTGGGTGCCAGAGCGAGACCCTCTCTCAAAAAATAAAAATAAAAAAATTAAAAAAATTAAAAGTGCTCTACCTGGGAGGTAGAGGCTGCAGTGAGCCATGATGGCGCCACTGCAATCAAGCCTGGGCAACAGAGTGAGAACTGTCTCTAAAAAAAAAAAAGCAGCAGCAACGCTTTAACTCATGCACGGTCAGCTGGAGTTGGTCACTGTACCTAGCACCTGAGAACTTATACCAGATGCTGTGATGTAATGTGAATTATAATACAAGTCTGGGATGCTGGGAAAACACAAAGGATGAAGCACTGGAGGGAATCACGGCGCCTTCACAGAGGTGGTGACACTGCAGCTGGCTCCTGATGCATGAACAGAAGCCAGCCCTCGGGCAGACGGAGACAAGCACATGCAAAGGCCCAGAGGCACAAAGGGCTTTCAGAGAATGGCCCTGCACACTGTCTCCACTTCATAGTGTAGGGAATAGGGCACCACTCAAGCCCTCCCAGCAAGGAATTTGGGGTCAGGGACAGGAATTCAGTTCCTGGATTCTTCACTTACGAGCTCACATGAACTTGACCAAGATAGGAAACCTCCAGTCTCTGCTTTTTCATCTGAAAAATGCAGAAAATCAAGCCTGCTTCATAACCACGTTTCAAAGGCTCCAATCGTGTCAATGTAAAGGCATAAGACCCTTTACATGGTGCTACACAGTGGCCTGAGGTAAAAGGATAATACTGCAGAGCACTCTGGGAGAGCAGGACACCCAGGAAACGGCTGCTGTGAAACCTCCCGCCCTGGGCAATAAGAGAAGTTCCTTTAGGAGACATCATGACCCCACGTCCCCTGCCCTCGGCTCACCTCTCGCCCTCATGCTGTGGAGGGCCAGTGTGTGCACATCGCCTACTCACTCCCACCTCCATAACCATGAGGTCTGCCCTGTGCTGCCCTCAGGACCTTCTCCAGAGCCAGAGAAGGGGACCAGCCCTGCTGGATAGTGTGGAAGCAGGGTGGAGACAGCCAGCACCTTGAGGGGACAACCATCAGCCTATGGGGGGTGGATGTTGGTGGATGAATGCCCCATCCTTCCGAGGCGACTGCGAGGCATGTTCTCCACACTCCTCGGGGGACTCTCCGGCTGCCCACCTGCAGCCATCTCAAGAAATCCCCTTTCCTGACTGCCGTTCCTTCCCTTCTCACCCTCCGGCTCCCTCACTGTAGCTTCCTAGGATCAGCTCCCAGAGAAGCACCTAAATCCAAGCCCCTGACACAGGCTCTGCTCCCAGGAGAAACACGACTAAAACAGGGGCCTCCCTGCCCAGCCACCCGGCAGGCCCACCCCACAGAAGTGAAAATGCCCCCTGGTCCTTGGTCATGCATCTACACACACCCGAGCTCCAGGGGAGGGGGGCACGAGGAAACTCAGTGCCCAGAGGGACCATGCCCTGGGCTCCTGCACTCCCATTCTCCTGACGTTGGATAAACAGACAGCCCTGAGAATCAATTCATTCATTTGGCCAAGTCGGCTGGACAGCCATTTGCTAAGGACCTAGAGAGGCCTGCCTTGCAGATGAGGCCATAGAGGTAGAGAAACAAAACACGGCTCTCAGCACTTACAAAATCAGTTTTGAAGACAAACAGGGAAACCTTCCTGCACACCAGAGCCCCAGCGAGCTCCTGCCCCATATCCACCTTCATTGGGCTTCATGGTGCTCTCTGGGGGCAGGAAGAGGCAAGGAGGGAAACCCAGGCAACCTGCGCCCCTTCCTAAGACTCCAAGAGGGCTGGGCCAACAAGGCTCACGCCTGTAATCCCAGTACTTTGGGAGGCTGAGGTGGGCGGATCACCTGAGGTCAGGATGAGACCATCCTGGCCAACATGGCAAAACACCATCTCTACCAAACATACAAAAATTCACCGGGTGTGGTGGTGGGTGCCTGTAGTCCCAGCTACTCAGGAGACTGAGGCAGGAGAATCGCTTGAATCTGGGAGGCAGAGGTTGCAGTGAGCCAAGATCGCGCCTCTGCACTCCAGCCTGGGCGACAGAGCAAGACTCCATCTCAAAAATAAAATAAAATAGATTAGAAAGAGACAAGGGAGTTAACCAAGAAGCTCTCTGGGGGAAGAGGGTCTTGGTAGAGAGAAACGTTAGAGCCAAGGCTTCAAGGAGATGTGGGGGGGTGTGCGCCACGCACGTTAAGGAACAGCAAAGAGACCAATATGCCCAGAGCAGATGAACACGAGGAGGAGTCGGAGGAGCAGAGAGAGATGATGGGAGCACTGCATCATGTCAAGTCCTTTTATACCACTCACCAGCTTTGGCTTTACTTCGAAGGAAGTGGGGAGCCACTGCAGGATCTTGAGCAGAGGAGTGATCTCATGAGGATGGGCCCAGCCATCTCTAGCATGGGACCCTTCCTTGCAGCAGTGTCACTGGAACAAGACAGGCCCTGGGACTCACGATCACTTAGTGAACCCATGGTGGTTGTAGACTCTCCAGGAGGATGAACTGCAGAAGGTTCTGGGCCCTCCCTGCTCTCACACTCCCAGCTGCATCTACCCCTTTCATTTTCCATCTCGGCATGCCACCACCCTCTACTCAAACGCATCTCCAACTCCACAGTCTGCCCTCAAGAGGCAGCTAGCATAGAAAAGCGGCCTCTCATTTGGTCCCCAGTTATAGTTGGCTCAGTGTGTCTGTGGCTTTTCTAATGAAAACATCATTGCCCTGAGAAAACGGCCTGTAACTGAGGCAATGGAAAGAGTCCAGGGTCCTTTAACCAAGCCAAATCCCCTCCTCCACTTGTTAATGACCATGTCCCTGGCTCACCTCATCCCCGTGCTCTCAAGAAGAGAAACATTCTGTGGCTCTTCACGTGAGCTGCTCCTCCCAGTGGCTTGCTAAATTGCGCCTGTTCTTCTGAATCCACCGACTTAACACAGGATTTTTCTATCAGCTTAATACATAGAATATACCTGAGCACACTCAGCTGCATAATTACATTGTTACAAACCTTCTAACCAAATACATTTCCTCCTGGGATGGAGTTTTCTCTCCTGGTCTGCAGAGTAGCAACAAGAGCCAGAGTCCCCTGGGCGCGGAAGGGGTGGTGGGGCAACCAACGGGGGCAGGACAAGCAAGAAGTCCAGAACAAGGCATCCAGCAGAGGCAGCCACTGGCAGAAGGGCAAGGGGGGTGGGAGGCAGAATGAGAAGCCAAGCCTTGTTCCCGTGACATTCTTCATGCCTAAATGCTTGCTACTGTGGTCTCAATGTTTGTGTCCTCTCCCCACTGCCAAATTCATATGCTGAAATGCTAACCTCCAAGATGATGATATTAGGAGGTGCGGCATTTTAAAGAGCCTATGGTTATGAGGGTGGAGCCCTTTATGAATGGGATTCGTGCCTTTGTAAGAGAGGCCCCAGAGAGCAGCCTCACCTCTTCCACCATGTAAGGACACAGGGAGAAGGTGCCATCTATGAACCAGCAAACAGGCCCTCCCCAGATACCACATCTGCTGGCACCTTGATCTTGGACTTCCAGCCTCCACAACCATGAGAGATCTATTTGTTGTTTATAAGCCACCCAGTTTCTGGTACTTTTTGTTTTGTTATAGTAGCCCGGATGGACTAAGGCACCTGCCGGTCACCTGCTGTGGGTGAAAGACAGAGTTCAGGCCTGAGGATGAAGAGTTGGAGACGGGGGAAATGCCAGAACACCCTTTCTCATGGGATTCTGAGTCTAATAGGGGCGACAGACCCTAATCAGACACACACGTATGTAATTAGGAACCACAGCCAGTGCTGTGACAGGTAGAAAAGCCTGCCAGAATCTCCAAAAAAAACAGCCTGCTTCCACCTCAGGGGTGTCAGAGGGGAGAGGGAAGCCAGCTCCCACTGTGGGGGGTCTCAGAACGGGGGACAGCCTGCCCTAGAAAAGCCCTCAAGCCTGGAGGAGCAGTTTTCACCTCTAAAAATAGGTAAATGTGTTTTTTCTCCTTCTGTGGGCAATTACAGAAAGCCTGCTACCAAATTCTTCCCAAAATGCACTTCATTCCAGGGTTTTAGAATTCCCTTAAGGAAGAAAGGGAAAAAAGAGGTGGGGTCGGTGGGGAGGGAGAAGGAAAGAGAAGGAAGGTAGGGAGAGAGGGAAAACCCAAACTTCTAATTATTTGTATGTCAAACTCCATAAAAATAAAAGAGGACTTTACATCTAATTGTTCTTAATGCTTTAATAGAACATTCCCCAATAAAATACCTCCCAGCAGTTTAACTTTCAAAGCGGGAGGACACCGTCTCCATAATTCAAACTTGAAGAAGGTAGAAGAACAGAACTGGAACACATCAGACAAACTGCCTTCTGTTTTTCTTCAATTTAAAGCTCAACAATTTGTCTTCCTGTCACACCGGCTTGCTACATAAAACTTTCTGGAAAAAGCTGCATTCAAAAAGCTCACCATAAAGATTAGGAGGAGTGGCTGTGCACAGTGGTTCACTCCCATAATCCCAGCACTTTGGGAGGCTGAGATGGATGGATCACTTCAGGCCATGAGTTCGAGACCAGCCTGAGCAACATCCTGAAACCCCATCTCTACTAAAAAAAAAAAAAAAAATTAGCCAGGTGTGGTGGTGCACGCCTGTAATCCCAGCTACTTGGGAGGCTGAGGCAGGAGAATGTCTTGAACCCAGGAGGCAGAGGCTGCAGTGAGGTGAGGTCATGCCACTGCACTCCAGCCTGGGCAACAGAGCCAGAGGTTTGGTTTTTTGTTTTTTGTTTTTTGTTTTTTTTTTTGAGACAAAGATTCAGAGGGAGCGTGAGAGAAAGAAAAAACATGGGGGGATCTCCCCAGGGGCCTCCAGACTGTACACAAGACCGGCCAAGAGATCCAGAGTGGGTACCAACATGGAAGGCTCTGAATTAGACGATATTTTGGAAGATGTCATGACCCTCTGTACAGCTAAAAATAAAGGATGTGCCATTCATTCATTCAGAGACAGGGTCTTGCTCTGTTGCCCAGGCTGGAGTGCAGTGGCACAATCACAGCTCACTGCAACCTCGAACTCCTGGGCTCAAGCGATCTTCCTGCCTTGGCCTCCCAAAGCAATGGGATTATAGGCATGAGCCACAGTGCCCAGCTCTTTTTAAACAATTATTATCCTTGACTAAAAACAGCCAAGGCTGGGGCACAAAAGAAAGCTATAGTAATAGACACGACTACAGAGACACTCTGACAATCACCAAGTATAAAAACCACCCTAATGACCATGATGGATGGATGGCAGGGGACGTTCTAGCAGAGTCTGCATTCAAATTCCAGCCCTGCCACTGTGTGCGGGGTCCTGAGCAAGCTTCTTAGCCTGTCACCCTCTTGTGAACTGAGAACACAAAAGGACCTTGCTCACTGGCAACCACGACGATTAACTTAGCTGACCTATGTGAGACAGAACCATTACTGGTGTTCAGAAAACACCCGGAAAATGTAAAAAATAATAGAGCTATTATGTTTTGTCAATAATGAATTAGTGGCATCTGTTCCAGGGACCTGTGGTGTATGTACTGCGTTCATCTCTCAGCCTGACTGGTCAGCAAAGTTGCTACTAGTACAGGTCAGTCTTTTTCTGCAGGAAAATGGAAAGAGCCTCAGAAACACCGTGTCTCTCACTGGTTTGAAGATGGTGGTTTGCCCCATTTGATGGGTGAATCTGGGGTTCAGAGAAGGAAAGCAACGCGTTCCAGGTTACAGAGCTAAGATAGGGCAGGGTTTCCAAAGACCCCAATGCAAAGCCCAGGGCAGTTTCCATGAAGCCACACTGTCTCCTGCTCCCCACATGCCCATCTGAGGCCAAACCTTGAAATGACCATCTGCAGGTGTCCCATCTTCCCAATCTGTAAACCAGTTACCTGGTCTGGATGTGGGAGGTAATAATTCCAACATGTGCTTGGTACCACCTCTTAACAGAAAAGTATCACAGAAACCAAAGATTCTACGATGTGAATCTTTTCATGTGTATTATTGCATGCATTTTTTTTTTAAGATAGGGTCTTGCTTTGCTGCCCAGGCTGGAGTGCAACGGCACAGTCTCAGCTTACTGCAACCTTCACCTCGCGGGCCCAAGCAATCTTCCCACCTCAGCCTCCAAAGTAGCCGTGACTACAGGCGCATACCACCACACCTAGCTAATTTCTTTATATTTTTTGTAGAGATGCGGTTTCACCACATTGCCCAGGCTGGTCTCAAACTCCTGAGCTCAAGCAATCTGCCTGCCTCGGCCTCAGGATCACCTGAGGTCAGGAGTTTCAGACTAGTCTGGCCAACAGGCAAAACTTCATCTCTACTAAAAATACAAAAATTGGCCAGGCATGGTGATGTGCACCTGTAATCCCAGCTACACAGGAGGCTGAGGCAGGAGAATCACTTGAACCCGGGAGGCAGAGGTTGCAGTGAGACGAGATCGTGCCACTGCACTCCAGCCTGGGTGTCAGAGTGAGGCTCTGTCTCAAAAAACAAAACAAACAAACAAACAAAAAAACACAAATAAATGTAGAAGAGTAGGTTGTGTGAGAAAATGTAAAACCATAATGAGGAGGGGAAATGACTGAGGTGGAGGACCACCCTCTCTTCAGAGGAATTGAAAAGAAACCGTCCTGCAAAGATCTGAAGATCTGTGGGGTACGAGTCCCGGGCAGAACAAACAGTGAAGATGCTTAACAGGAAGCAGGCAGGCCCCGGTCAGATCACGCAGAACATGCAGGCCAGGGAAAGAAGGGTGGATATTCTTTTTTTTCTGAGTACAGTGGAGTGTTGTACACATAAGAATGGCATGAGCTGACTTAACACTTTGAAAAGTAAAATCAGAACCCACTCAAACAAAGCCACTGTAAACGACCATCAAGGAACTTTGAACTTAGATATTAAGAGACTGTTGCTAATTTTATTGTGTAATAGTGTGTGTGTGGTGATAATTTTTTTGTCTTACTGTAAGAGATTCATATATAAGCAAGTATTTATAGCTGATGTAACATCTAGGACTTGCTGTAAGTTGTTAAGCAAAAAACAAAGCAGAGAGTGTAACAGGCTCAGCAAAGCAAGAGTAATAACAAGTGAGTAACTGCGAAGACTGGGGGATGGGTACACAGGGGCTGTTACACTATTCCATCTATTTTTGTTCATGTTTGAAAAATTCCATAATTTAAAAATTTTTAAATAAAAAGCAGAAACAAACATATTAACATTTTGACTCTGTGGCCATACAGCAGACAGGGGAAAGGTATCTTTGCTGGGAAGGTCCTCTGAAAGCCAAGGTCACATCCCCAGTAACCATGAACTTTGGAGGAAAACAGGGGTCCTATCCGGCCTCATACCCTCCTCCATCTGAGCGCTTCTGTCTGTTAAATGACCGTATCTCTTGCCTGGCTGAGCAATTTCCAATTCAGATAAAAGAGCAAAAACAAATTAGCCCCAATCTGCACAAATGAACCCAAACCACAGGCTGTGACCTTGCTGGTGACCCAAAGACAACTTCCTCCTCACGGACTTGGGGCCTCCCGATACTGTGACCGTGGCAATTACAAAGGGATGCAGCTCACGCACACTATCTCAAGATGTGATCACTGGACAAAAATTAGCTCATTAGACGCTGTTCCTGGTCACAATTACCTGCCACAGGGCTCAGGTTGTTAAAGCTGTGATGCAGACTCACTCTTCAAAAGGTCTGCTCCTCAATGACTCAGGTTAACAAAGGCGGCACAATCTCACTGAAGACGCCAGTGCTGGTGAAGGCCTGGGTTAGGTCTGGCCTCGTACCTTGAGGAGCTAGGCAAATAATTCATTCACATCTTGTTTATCCATCCTTAACCCCTGGTAGCAAAGTCTACCGGGAAGACAGACTCTAATCCAAGAACCAAACAACTGGAATCATACTTATCATGGTTGATCTACCCAGTCTCTCTCTCTAGAAGCATTCACCCTGCTTTGGATCTGACCATCATCATCTCTCGCCTGAATAGCTCAAAGAACTTCCAGCCCCTCCGACCCTGGCCTCCTCCTATCCACTTCTCCACAATGCCCAGGAGGGGATTATGGCTCTGTCCCTCGAACAGATCTGATCAATTACTCCCCCTCCTTAAAGGCCTTCAATAGTTGCCCACTATCCACAGAACCGAGGCCAAACTCCTCATTGGGACCTTGGGAATCTGTTCCCAGGCCACCCTTGCAGAAACCCCACCCTCAATCGTTCCCCAAACGTACTCTGGACTCCAGAATTCCAGGATACAGCCACAGGGAGCAACCTGAAGCTTCCTTGACACAGCATCTTCCTTCATGCCTCTCCCCCTTGGCACAAACTGTTCTAACTGGAGTGCACTCTGGGAACTTCCAGAAGGATGTCTCTGTGATCCTTGAGTCCTGAGCACCTAGAAACCATACTTGACTGAGGCTGGTAAAGATCATAGGATGATATAGAACTGCCTTCATTTATTAGCTTCCTGTGTCTCAGACAGCAGCCCCACACTTCTTTACCTGCATTATGTAATTCAATCCTCACCAATACCCATGAGGTAGGTTCTATTATTTTTCCCATTTTCATGATTTTTAAACACGGAGGCTCACAGAGGTACAGTAACTTGCCCAAGGTCACAATGCTAGCAAGTGCTTACTGCAGGGATTAGAGTCAAGGTCTTTGTGAATCAAAAGGTCATTTGTTAATCACTATAGGGACAATCTGATCTACTGACGACTACAGAACAGAGCATATACTCCCTCATGACCCCGGGTAACAAAACAAGTGAATTTTCCTCATGAGAGATTACTATGTACCAGGCACTAAGCACAGACCACTACTTGCCTTCTGTTTTATTTGGAGTGACAATGTGCTCCACTAAAAAACAGAAATCACATTTCTCAGCATCCCTAGCAGAGTAAGTTCAGGCCAGTGAGAAGTAAGAGAAAGTGTTTGAGTGACTTGCGGTAACCTCTGTACGAGAAGTTGGCACACACTTTCTCCCCTTCTCCTGCTTTACCCTTCCTGCTGCCAAGAACACAGGTGTCAGGGCTGGGGCTCCAGCAGCCACTTTAGACCATGAAATGAAATCACCTTGGAAACATAAGCCAAACACAGCAGAACAACAACTTAGAAGTAACTGACAAATGCTCATTTATTCATTCAACAAACATCCACTGAGCTCTATTATGTGCCAGGCATTGTCCAGGCTCCTTGGAATAGATCTATCGGTGAACTAATGAGACGAAGGCAGGCCGGGCGTGGTGGCTCACACCTGTAATCCCAGCACTTTGGGAGGCTGAGGCAGGTGGATCACCTGAGGTCAGGAGTTCGAGACCAGCCTGACAAACATGGAGAAACCCTGTCTCTACTAAAAATACAAAAAAAAATTAGCTGAGCATGGTGCCACATGCCTGTAATCCCAGCTACTCAGGAGGTTGAGGCAGCAGAATCACTTGAACCCGGGAGGTGGAGGTTGCGGTGAGCCAAGATCGTGCCATTGTACTCCAGCCTGGGCAACAAGAGCGAGATGCCACCTCAGAAAAATAAAATAAAATAAAACAAGACAAAGGCTCCTGCCCTCATGAGGCTTAAAACTTAAGACCAAAAGGCAGTGATAAATCATGAATCTAAGAAGTGATGTATTAGAAAACAAGAAATGCTATGGAAATAAGAAAAAGTTAAGCAAAATAAGAGGGACTAATCATGCAGGGGAGGGGGAGATTGGACAAGAAAATCTGAGGTACAAATGAGTGAAAAACAAGAAAAACAAGATCTACTAAGATGTAGCTAACGTCAACTCCCTAACAAACTTGGGAAAGAGCCTTGCCAGATACAGAAAGAGAGGCAGAGACCATCTGTGGATTTAGTTCAGCCCTAACAGCTCCTTAGCTCACATTACCAGAAACAAGAGGGAATGTGCTCAAAGGCAAGCCTATCCCACGCTAGGTCGCCATTTTTAAGTGGCCTTTTCAACATGGATAACAAAGGGCATTTTGTAGCTCCATGGGTGGCATTCCAGGACCCCACCTCTCCACTTTAACCTGTGTGGCTCAGCTCTCAGGGAGCTCTCTCGGGTCTCAGAGAGCTTCCAAGTAAGAATGCATTTGAAGGAAAGTTCTTCTGCTTAAAATAAAACATTTTCATGATGGCTACTTGGTGGCTGGAGCTGAGCAGCAGCAGGTACGAGTCTCACACATCTTTGCTTCGGCTATGTTTGGCACCAGTACGAATTCAGCGAACTCTGGTTTGCTCAGTCACTAGCCTTGACAGTTGTCTCTCTTTAAACTGCATCGCTGCTGCTGCTGCCAAGAATATCTCCCCTCTGCCCAGCTTCCTGTTGTTCCCCTCCCAGGCTCCAAAATAAAAAGAAGTTGCTTGGCAGTGATGTCACATTGCCACTGTCACCGCCTGCAGGGCATTCACATCCTGGCTATATTTAAGACCCAGGCTTCATGTTCAGTGACATGGAAATTGCCACCTTGTGAACCGTACCGGAAAGGCAAGATTTGAAAAATTATTTCTACGAATAATCAGGCTGCAAATTCTGCCTCTCCGGAGGCAAAGAGGGAAAGTCAAGGGGGTTAAACTGAGCCACGGGCTGCGGCTCCTTGGATCGGCTACATCCAGCTGTTTCATTCCAACCATTTCTCGGAAGTAACTCAAACACCAGCATTTACTTAGTGGCCACACCTCTCTTCCCATTGTTCACCTTTCCTGGGCTCTTTTGGTATCCCTCAAAACCATTCTGCTATTTTTCTTTCTCTCTAGACACCTCTACCTACTTCTCATTAGAAAAGACAAGAAATGAAGCATTAATGAATGGGAAAAGCATTTCCCTCCCCGGTGAATAATTACCGTAACCTTTTCATAAGAGTTCTGTCATATTTATGGGTTTTGGTAATTTTTTTTTATTTCCTCCTGCTTCTGTCCTTTGATGGGGGAAAGCGATGGGCTGGAGCAACATTTCAGACACAACCTTCTCCCTTTTCCCTTAACAGCTGCATGTTTTTCACATCTTGATGAACTGCCCAAGTCTGTGTTTGGTGCAGATTTTTCAGGGAACATCTGGCATTGGGTACTAATGACTCTGACGCTCAACCATTCAACGCGGGCACGCGCTTCAAAACACAGATGTTCATGCAAATATACCTTGCTGCTTGCTCCCTAAAAAGTTGAGTTCGTCAACAAAACCTGAGTCTTTGATTGGATTCTAGAAGCATTAGAGAAAATAAACAAGCACATGGCTTTCTCCCTTGTACGTGATTGCTCTGAGATGCCACCAAGCTTCTGTTCCTCTCCCATTATGCTGTCTCTACCATTTTATATTTTAAAAAACTATCTAGGAAACCTATACTGGTTACAAAATTCTGAAAGGCTCATGAAGAAATTTATATGGCTTTCCACTGTTGGTCATGTTTGAGAAGGTGCTCCCATTATTTTAAATTTCAACATTAAAGCATTTGGCATTTCCATTCTCCCACCTTTGGGAGTCCCACATCATTAATCCCAAAAGAAAAACGAGCTGAGAAATCATTCATGCCAAGGATACCTTCACCTTCCACAGCCACAGATGCAGGAGCCAAGCAGTGATGAATGGTAGTAGAACTAGCTCCATTTCTGATGAGCAGGCCCTCCCACCTCAGCCTGCCGCCAAGAACTTGGGCCATGAAAACATTCATATCTCTTGGCTGGGTGCAGTGGCTCACACCTGTAATCTCAGCACTTTGGGAGGCCAAGGCGGGTGGATCACTTGAGGTCAAGAGTTCGAGACCAGCCTGGCCAACATGGCAAAACCCCATCTCTATTAAAAATACAAAAATTAGCTGGGCATGATGGTGCGTGCCTATAATCCCAGCTACTCGGGAGGCTGAGGCAGGAGAATCACTTGAACCTGGAAGGTGGGGGTTGCAGTGAGCTGAGATTGTGCCACTGCACTCTAGCCTGGGCAAGAGGGAAACACTCTGCCTTCAAAAAGAAAAAAAAAAAAAATCATATACTTTGCCCTGAGATCCCACTTGGGGAAATACACATTAAGGAAAGAAACGGACAGAGAAATACACACAGATACTGAGATAGTCACTGCAGCCTTTATCTATAAGCTCACACTGGAAGCAGCTGCAATGCAAATCGAGGTGGAAACCACCAAGTACCCTAAGGAATGCTACACAGCCGTTACAAATCACAGCTGGTCAGGCTCTCTCACTCACCGCTGTAGGGGTAAAAGAGAGGCCGCTTTCTTGGAAAGGATTTTAGTAACACAAGATCAAGAGCCTTTACAAACATGCTTACCTTCTAACATGGGAATTTCACTTTTTGGAATCTAGCTGAAGGAAATGATTTTTAAAAGGCGGAATAGGTTTATAAAAATACAAGTTCATAGAAATACTAATCCTACAAGGGAAAAAAATGGTTAAGAAAAATGATGTGAGAAACAAGGACATATCCAAACACAGAACTCCACAAAGCCATCAAGTGACATCCATGGAACTGAATAACATGAGACAATGTCTGTTGTTTACTGTATTATTGTAATAAAAAACTTTTCAAAGTAGACCCTCAATTTATAGATTCAGAATGACCTGAATTATATAAAATACATATATGCATAAAAATAAACTGGAATAAAATGCCCCATAAATAATAAATTCATTGATGGTAATTGTGTTCAGGTGATTTTCCTCTTTAAACTTTTCTGGTATTCCCGGACTTAAGAATTCTAACTTGCAAATTACTTTCATATGCAGGGGGGAAAAATACCCTAACTTAAGGGAAAAACCTTAAGGATTCGAACGTACACATTACATTTATGAACAGGGAAAAAAAATCTTGTATTTAAACATAATTTGAAATCTACATAGCAACAGAATAAAATAAACAGAATGTAAATTGCATGTACACAACAAACAGTGGTGTAACTATGTAAAAATATACTTAAGTGGACTAAGAATGGAAATAATTATCACGCTACAGTCATGGGATTTGGGACTCTTTTCCCCATTTTGAGTTGTTATGCTGCTTTCACAATTTAAAGGTAATTTTTTTTTTTTTTTAAGTATGAAAACAAGAGTTCCCTCAAGAAATCTCAGGTATGGCAGAATTCCATGGTAGAATCCCACTTGTGTATATCTTAATCTGAAACCATTCAGCTTTACATTGGGTGAGCAAACCAAGTTGCAGAACAGTGGGCGCACGTTGAAAGCTCAGAGGCAGATCCTTAAAAACCCACAAAGAGGCCGGGCGCAGCGGCTCACGCCTGTAATCCCAGCACTTTGGGAGGCCGAGGCGGGCGGATCACGAGGTCAGGAGATAGAGACCATCCTGGCTAACCCGGTGAAACCCCGTCTCTACTAAAAATACAAAAACTTTGCCGGGTGTGGTGGCAGGCGCCTGTAGTCCCAGCTACTGGGGAGGCTGAGGCAGGAGAATGGTGTGAATCCGGGAGGAGGAGCTTCCAGCGAGCAGAGATCGCGCCATTGCAGTCCAGCCTGGGTAACACAGCGAGACTCCGTCTCAAAAAAATAAATACCCACAAAGCAAGCCGTCTCAGTCTGTTTTGTGCTGCTATAACCGAATACCTGAGGCTGGGTAATTTATAATGAACAGAAATTTCTTTTCTCACAGTTCTGGAAGCTGGGAAGTCCACGATCAAGGGGCTGGCGTCTGGCGAGGACCTTTGCTGCGTCATCATAGGTCAGAAGGCAGTAACGGAAAAAGGAGCCCAGCTAGCCCTTTTATAACAGCATGAATCGCACCTCCCCTCCATGGGGGGTGGAGCGCTCATGGTCTAATCACCTCTCAGGTGGTACCACCTTTTTATACTGTTGCTTGGTAATTAAGTTTCAACATGAGTTTTAGAGGGACAACCTTCTAACCATAGCACAAACCTACATGTTGTTTATGGTTTACTTAAAAATAAAATCTAAAACAAAAATGACAAATGTTAGTAGTGCTAATTGTTGCAGTGGGTCATACTATTCTTTATATTTTTCAAACCAGCCAAGCAACAAAAAATTAGCTCCCAACTTGGTTCTGAGCTAAAAATCAGCCTTTCTAAGGTTTTCAATGAGCTTATCCGTTCAGATCATTGCTGGCATCCTCTCTTAAGTCCTTGCTACTTAAAATGTGTGGTCTAGGAACCAGCAGCATCAGTGTCACCTGGGAGCTTATTAGAACTCCAGGATAGCAGGCCCCACTCCAGACCTGCTCAATGAGAATTTAATCTCTAACCTGAGCCCCGGGTGTTTCGTGGGTACATTAAGGTTTGAGAAACTCTGCTCTAAGCCACCAGTTGTCAACCTTGACTGCACACTGGAATTACCTGAGAGTCTGGGCCTCAGCTCCAGAGATTCTGATTTAATTGGTCTGGAGGGCAGCCTGGACATAACCATTTTAAAAGCTCCCCAGGTGACTATGATGTTCAGCAAAGTTTAAGCAACATATTTCGCTCTTCAACCCAGAGAATTCTTTATTAGGAAGCTAGTTACATCTGAGCAACAGCAGGCTAGATTAACTGCAGAGAATGACTTTTTGCAGGCTTGAAATGGAGGCATAATTTACTTCCATGAAACCAACAGTAATCACCATGGCTGTCTGTTACTCAGTACTTACGCAGGGTATTCAATGTGCTTAACCCTTGACATGCAATCTCTCTTCATCCTCTCTCTAAGGGAGGGTCTGTTACCACCGTGGTTTTCTAGATAGGGAGCCTGAGAGGTAAAATGGCCATCTCAGATCCCACATCTAGGAGCGGTGGAAGCCCTTGCATGACACTAAGGACGAGCACCGCCTTAAATTAAGCAGCGTAGGTGCCTCACTTGTCTCACCCTTGCCCTAACCCTGAGAAGCAGGACTCAAGTCCACACCTGCCCCATACGACACTTCCTGCTCAGAGTAGCCCCACGAAAATGGAACTCCTGGAGCTGTCAGACTGAAGGTTAAAATCTTTGCTTGTGGCCGGCCAGGCGCAGTGGCTCATGCCTGTAATCCCAGCACTTTGGGAGGCCGAGGTGGACGGATCACCTGAGGTCGGGAGTTCGAGACCAGCCTGACCAACATGGAGAAACCCACCTCTACTAAAAATATAAAAATTAGCCGGGCATGGTGGCGCATGCCTGTAATCCCAGGTACTCAGGAGGCTGAGGCAGGAGAATCGCTTGCACCCAGGAGGCAGAGGTTGCAATGAGCTGAGATCGCACCACTGGACTCCAGCCTGGGCAACAAGAGCGAAACTCTGCCTCAAAAAAAAAAAAAATTTTCTTTGCTTGCATATCCTTCCCTTCAATTTCTAGCACCCACAGGACAGAATCAGCTGTATTGTGTTTCTCTCTGATTGACTAAGCTTCACACGGAACAGTAAATGTTTGAAGAGTGAATCAACAAATAAACAATATCGGCCAGAAGCGGTGGCTCAGGTCTGTAATCCCAGCACTTTGGGAGGCCGAGGCAGTGGTCACCTGAGGTCAGGAGTTTGAGATCAGCCTGGTCAACATGAAACCCCGTCTCTACTAAAAATACAAAAAAATTAGCCAGGCGTGGTGGCAGGCGCCTGTAATCCCAGCTACTTGGGAGGCTGAGCAGGAGAATCGCTTGAACCCGGGAGGCAGAGGTTGCAGTGATCTGAGATCGCCCCACTGCACTCCAGCCTGGGCAACAAGAACAAAACTCCGTCTCAAAAACAAACAAACAAACAAACAATATCAATCGTTCATCTTGACTGAATTTCATCAGTAGCATCAAACTGCAGGAAAACAGCTCCTCCTAAGCCATATTCCCTCTTGACTGACATGTGTATCTTGTACTCACCCCCAGCCCCCAACACCAGCCCCACCCACCCCATGCACTCAACGCTCCTTGGCTGCTCTGGGGTACATCATGAGACCAGCCAGCTGCTGACAAGCATGTGCTTAACAATGGCGAAGGGCACAACTCACTCAGCTCAGGAGACTCAGCCAAGGGAAAAAGCCAGCGACCTTGGGGAAGCAAGCTTCATGCCCAAGGAGAGGCGAGAGGTGGGAGAGCCAGAGTGGGTCACATATGCAGCAGGTGCTCAACAGTGGGTTCAGTGTGGACTGGATCCAGTCTCTAGACAAGGACTCAAAAAGATCGGGGCAACTGAAAGGGACCTTGCACACAAAATTCCAATACATTTGTAAATGGTCTTGAAAAAGAGAACACTTGGGAAAGAGCTAAAGCAGAGATTCTCACTGGGGGCCGTGGGGACAGTCTGGGTCATCACGAGGATGATGAGTGCTATTGTTGGAGGTGTTTGAACCATAACAGCTCCATCTGGAATAGGAGCTGGTTAAAATGAGGCTGAGACCCACTGAGCTGCATTCCCAGGAAGTGAAGCATTCCTAGTCACAGGATGAGATGGGAGGTCAGGAGGACTGGTGTCATTAGATACAGGTCACAAAGACCATGACGATAAAACAGGATGCTGTAAGGAAGCCAGCCAAAACCCAGCAAAACCAAGATGGTGATAAAAGTGACCTCTGGTCGTCCTCACTGCTCATTATGTGCTAATTAGAATGCATAAGCATGCTAAGGACATTCCCACCAGCACCATGACAGTTTACAAATGCCACGGCAATGTCCGTAAGTTATCCTACATGGTCTAAAAGTGGGAGGAACCGTCACTTCCAGGAAATCCTGCCCCGAGCCTGGAAAACTCATGAATAATCTGCCTTTTGTTTAGCATATAATCAAGAAATAACCATAAGTACTCTAAGTCAGTTGGTCCATGCCGCTGCTCTGTCTGCGGAGTAGCCCTTCTTTTGCTTCTTTACTTTCTCTAATAAACTTGCCTTCACTTTAAGCACTTGCCCTGAATTCTTTCTTGCACAAGATCCAACAACCCTCTCTTGGGATCTGAATCAAGACCCCTTTCCATTAGCACTACCAGCATTTACAGCATAGAGCCGAGGATACTAACTGTCCTGAAAGGCCAAGGCAGTACCACACAACCAAGATCAGCCTACTTCCTGCAACACTTCAATCGTCCTGTGGCCATTCATGTAGGCGGAAACCTTACTCATAATCTGAGCCTAGAAAGGAATGCCTTTCATATATACTGACTATGCCAGGTTTACTTTACGGTTCACCCACTCTCTGCTCTTTTTCTGGACTCCTTCTAAAGAATGACTTCTGATCTTCTTAACTTCTTAAAATCAAAACTCATCCATGAGAAGGAGGTGCAAGCACTTAGCGTCAGCATGTTTTCTAGCACAGTTGCGCCAGACCAATATGTACTGAAATCTATTTTGTATTATAAATTCCTTTCATTTCTCTTTCATATTAGAGTGTTATACTGATTTTTTAAATTACTTGTATAAGTAGGTTATATTCGCTATAAATTTCATTTCAGAAGGGGGCATTACCAAATATTTTTATTTAAAACAGATATTGAGTCTTCTAAGATCAAGTCCAAATATGCCAAAGTAGCTGGACCAGCGGTTTGCTAATAATGTCAGATTATATCAGACCGAAATATCTAGCCAAGGAAAAGCACAATGGAGAACACAGCACAGAGACCTTCGGGCTACCGCTTAGAATGGCTGAGCCCAGATTTCACCCACCAAGACAGGGTGCGCAAGACAGCTGGCACAAGAGTGACAGCACGGTAGTGTCACTCTGGAAAATGGACAGAATCCAAGCGTCACAAGCCCTCTGTGGAAGCAACCCACTGTCAGGGACATCTGCAGGCTGCACCTCACCGCATGCACCCCCAATCTGATGGGAGGAACATCCTGGTTTTCCTTTTAAGCAAACTCTCCTCCATCCTTGTTCCTGCTCCACGGAGTTCAGGTGAGGGAAAGCCAGCCACCCCCAGCTCCAGGGGGAATGGGACCCAGGCTTGGGCAGGAAAAGTAACACAGCTGGCCCGGGAAATGAGAGAGTGAATCCCAAGACTTCTCCAGAGCTACTGGAAAAAAGTCTTCTCCTCCCACTGGCATTGTTAAACTGATGGGATTTAGGCTGGGGCCCCTGGGGGCCCTCTTGTCACCACAAGAGAAGAGTTACCTAAGAATGAAGCCAAGACCGAGGGAAAGAGAGAGGAGACATGGAAAGTCATGGGGACTGCATGATATGCGTGATACCCCCTGAGAGCTTTGATCCAGCCCAGCAAAAAGCTAGCTCTTCTCCTGTAGGTTTAAGTTTCATGAGCGAATCAACTGCTCTTTTTCTTAGGCAGTTTAGGGTGGGTTTCTGTCACCTACTACTGACTCTAAGTGGTAAGATTCCTTTTCCTTTTTTTTTTTTTTTTTTTTTTTTGAGACAGGGTATCTCTCTGTCTCCCAGGCTGGAGTACAGTGGTACAATCTCAGCTCACTGCAGCCTTGACCTCCTGGGCTCAGGTGATTCTCCCACCTCAGCCTCCTGAGTAGCTGGGACCACAGGCATGCACCACCACGCACCGCTAATTTTTGTAATTTTTGTGTAGACAGGGTCTCACCGTGTTGCCCAGGCTGGTCTCCTGGGCTCAAGCTATCTGCCCACCTTGGCCTCCCAAAGGACTGGGATTATAGGCGTGAGCCACTGCACCTGGCCTCTATATGGTAAGATTTCAATGAATGGCTGAGGGGCTTCCAGAAAGCCCCAATTCCCAGAAAATGACTAAAAATACATCTTGGGGCAAACGACCATCCACAGGTCTAAAGCCCAGCCTAACTGGCTGCTTTGTGCCAAGAGAAGATGCCAACAGGAGGAGAACAATTAAGGTGCTGGAAGAATTGACATTTCTCAGTGACACTCATACCAAGTGACAGTCACTGGCCCCACGGTCCCTTCAATCCCTCATTTAGCCAATATGACTGAGCAATGCCAGGCACTGTGCTAGGTGCAAGGACGGGCCACTGCCCTCATGGATCGCACAGTCTAAAAGGGAAGACAGGCAGTGCGTGGATGACAACCCGGACTGTGACTGTCAGTAATAACGCTATTCAGGAATACCTACTCCCATGAAGCGTATCTCAGAGGGACCTGATCGGTCTCACGATCAGGCAGGAGATGCTGCACAAAGCCTTCCTCCCTTTTTTTTTTTTTTTTTTTTTTTTTTTTTAGAGTCTCGCTCTATCGCCCAGGCTCTGGAGTACAGTGGCCGATCTCAGCTCACCGCAGCCTCTGCCTCCTGGGCCCAAGTGATTCTCTTATTCTTCTGGAGTAGCTGGGATTACAGGTACACACCACAACACCCAGCTAATTTTTGTATTTTTGGTAGAGACAAGGTTTCACCAGGTTGTCCAGGCTGGCCTCTAACTCCTGACCTCAGTGATCCACCTACCTCGGCCTCCCAAAGTGTTGGGATTACAGGCGTGAGCCACCGTGCCTGACCAACAAAGCCTTCTGTATTCCTGTAGTCAGAAACAGAAAGCCCCACTCAAACTCTCTTGAACAAAAAAAGTTTACTCACCTACATACCTAGAAAGTCAAGAGGCAGCTCTGGTGCCTTTTGCCAGCAGCCTAGTGATAATACCATGTCCACTACAGCAACTCTTCTTCTAGTGAAAGAACCCCTCTCTTCCTCCCCTCCTCTCATCCATAAACACAGGCTTCCTAAATCAGGTAACAAAGCAAATGTTAATTTTTGAAAGACATGTAACAAAAACTGGGTCTTATTTCTGGTCTCTACTAAGCCTAAGAGCAAAGTTTTGTTTTATTTTACATTATGAATTTAAGATATTCCTCCAAAGCATGTTTCTTTTACCAAACAGAATATAATAATGTGGGCTTCATAAAACAGTGACAGGTTGGGCATGGTGGCTCACGCCTATAAGCCCAGCACTTTAGGAGGCCAAGGCAGGCAGATTACTTGAGGTCAGGAGTTCGAGACCAGCCTAGACAACATGGTGAAACCCCATCTCTACTAAAAATATACAAATGAGCTGGGCATGGTGGCACATGCCTGTAGTCCCAGCTCCTCAGGAGGCTGAGGCAGGAGAATTGCTTGAACCTGGGAAGCGGAGGTTGCAGTGAGCCGAGATCGCACCACTGCACTCCAGCCTGGGAGACAGAGTGAGACTCCACCTCAAAAAAAAAAAAAAAAAAAGAGTGACAAATTCTTTTTTTTTCAGTCTCGTGTACAATGCTGCCATCTTGGCCTGGGGACCTCATCTCAAGCAGTTTCCAAGACTCCAGAAGTGCTAGCATATGGATGGCAAATTCTTGGCAGGCTTGCTACCACATCCCCTTCCCATGGGCATGGCAGACATTGCTAATCAATAACAACACTCTTTTCTGTTGAGTCCTGACAGCACTCCAGTCCTTCTCAGCCAGAATCCCAGGCAGCGACTACCAGAGTTGGCAGCAGGATGAAGCCTACTGGCTTTTCCCGCCAGAGCAGGTGTTCTGAACTGGGGAGATAGCAATGAAACGGCCCACACCCTTGATTCCAAAGGCCATCCCTAGCCCAAGCTGGGCTGGAATTCAAGCCAGTATTCCCCATAATTCAAATCAGTATGCCTGACCTTCTCAATTCCCACCATTTGACTCTTGTGATAAAAATATAATCAGTGCCTTTGAATGGACACTGAAGAAATGTACTGTCCTTTTTTACAAAGGACATAGTCTTCATATTTCTCCAATGATTTAAAAGCAAAGGAAGGCAGAGGCTGACCCTCAGGGTGGAGTGTGAGATTTAAAGCCTTCATAGAAAGCCAATAAAGGTCGCCTGGGGTGCAGGACAGCATGATCTGAGCAGGGCTCCCAAGGCCATTCCAGGATGTACAGTACAGTTCTCAATCTCACATGCACAACACTGTCAAGGAAGTTCTCACTGCTCAGCAGCCCAGCAGGGACAAATAAACAAAGGGACACACACTGGGCAGGCAGGGCTGGAAAAATAACACCAGGAGGAGCTGAAGGTCAAGTGAAGGCCAGGGGCCAAGGGCTCTAAGATGCTCACTGCAGGGGAGGCTTGGACAAGGAAAGGGCCCAAGAGATTCTGGCCTCGCCTCAGCATCCCCAGCCACCTACAGCCAAGACACCAGCCAAGAAGAAGAAATTAGGTGACATTCACTGAGCGCTTACTGAGGGCCTGGAGCTATGCTGAGTGCTTAGGAGCCTCAGCTGATGTAACCGTCCCAACAATCCTAGGAAAAAATGCAAGAGACATGCTTTTGCTGCCCGCTGCTTGCCTTGGGGACCTGGTAAGACTGTCAATCATGGCCCTCTGCTGACTCTTAGCCATAACATGCCCGCTAAAAAGTCTTTCCTAGGCTGGGCACCGTGGCTCACGCCTGTAATACCAGCACTTTGGGAGGCTGAAGCAGGTGGATCATTTGAGGTCAGGAATTCAATAGCAGCCTGGCCAACATGGTGAAACCCCATCTCTACTAAAAATATAAAAATTAGCCAGGCGTGATGGCGGGCACCTGTAATCCCAGCTACTCAGGAGACTGAAGCAGGAGAATTGCTTGAACCCAGGAGGTGGAGGTTGCAGTGAGCTGAGATCACACCACTGCACTCTAGCCTGGGTGACAGAGCGAGACTCTGTCTCAAAACAACAACAACAATAACAACAAAAACCTTTCCTAAAATGTTATATACAGACATTAGGAAAGAGTCTCTTCCCTTTGGATCCTGTGCGAGTCTCAGTGCTACCAGAGGCCATCTTTGCTCTATGCAGAGGGCCTTCCTAAGCATGACACCAGTGCGCAGAGGGCGGCGCCAAGGGAAGATGGAGAGTGCACTGGTGTCATTGGGGGACCTGGGTCCCACAGTGCTTGAAGAAAGTGACCTGTCCTTGGATTTCCCAGCTACTGCAAGAAAAAAATCCCCTGGTGACCCAAGCTAATTTGGTGTGGGTTTCTGCCATCAAAGGCATGTTAGCATCAGTGGGGAAACTGAGAATTAAGAAGTTACCAAGTGGCAGAGCCAAGACCAGAATCACTGTGCTGTGCTGCTTCCCTAGGTAAGGGTCGGACACGGCCCTCCAAAGCCAGCAGTGACCGTGACGCATCAACAGGGTGCTTTATGCCACTGCACGGGAGGAAGGAGGGAGAGTGTTCCATGCCACCCCAGCCCCACTTTAAGTTTCTAAATAGTTAAAGAACCAGAGAGGCTCAGAAGCATGAAGAGAATGGCCCCGGCCATACCACTGACAACATGTTCATGTGAGTGCAGCAGAACTGCACAGAAGGAGGGAAAAGTCACAACAGGAGAGTAACCGCAAGGCTGGCCCCAGTGAGACACAAGAAGCGAAGTCTGCAGCGGCACTCTGAGTCACGACAGAAGAGTAACTGCGAGGCCGGTCCCAGTGACATACACGAAGGGAAGTCTGGAGCGGTGCTCTGAGAAGCAGTCCAAGGGGCTCCCCCCGAGGAACACTTTCTCCACCACCTTGGTGACTCTCAACCAACCAGAAGCCCCTTCCTGGACCTGGCAGGTTGATTGTTGAGATGACATGTCTACTTAGGTGCAGAGAAAATACACGTGCTCCAATCTCTAATAACCAAACAAGAGGCCTCTTCAGTCAGGACTCTTATGAGTATAATGGAGAAAAACCACCACAAATGGCTCAAGGAATGAAAGCAATTTATTGGCTCACATACATGAAAAGTCCAGAGGAAACACAGCTTCAGGAAAGACTGGATCCAGGAGCTCAAATGAGACTATCAGGAACTGTTGATTTCTCTCTCCCTCCATTTCTCCACCACATGGTTCTCACGTGGGGTTAGAATCTCCTCACAAAATAGCAAAGATAGCTGCCAACAAAATAGCAAAGAGAACTGGCTGGCACCATCCTCTCAAGAATGCAGTAACTGGCTCTTATCAGACCATCCTGGTCACATGCCCTCCTGTAAAGCCCTCATGGATGGAGCAACCCAACTGTCCAGGCCTGGGTGGGCTGCCATCCTCTGGAGCCCTGTAGGGGCAGAGGGCAGGGACAGCCCCATCAAACCACATGGACACAAAGGAAGGAGCAAAGATCCACCAAGGAAAATTGGGGGAGTGTGATGGTTAATTTTGCATATCCATGTGTGTGGGCCACCGGATGCCCAGATAGCTAGATCAACACAATTTCTCAGTGTGCCTGTGATGATGTTTCTGGAAGAGATTAGCATGTGAATTTGTGGACTGAGTGAAACAAATGGCCCTCACCAATGTGGGCAAGCATCATCCATTCCAAGCAGGGCCTGAGTAGAAGAAAAAGAAGGTGAGTTCTCTCCCTGCCTATGCTTGAGCTGGGACATGGCTCTTCCCCTGCCCTCGGCACTCCTGGCTCTCATGCCTTCAGACTCAGACTGGAACCTACACCACAGGTTCTCTGGCTCTTGGGCCTTTGAACTACACCATGAGCTTTTCTGGCTCTCCAGCCTGCAGAGGGCAGCTTGTGAGACTTCTTGGCCCCCATAATTATATGAGCCAATACCTTACGATAAACCCCTTTCTAGAGATATACATACATCCTATTGGTCTGTTTCTCTGGATGACCCTAACATTAATACAAGTAGTATCTGCCCCAGGAGGAAGCAGATACCTGATGAGTGTAGCAGGCAGCCTTCAAGGTGGCCTCAGTGACCCCTGCCTCCTGCTAGTCACACCACTGTGTGTTTCCCTCAACACTGAACCAAGGTTGACTGTGACTACAGAATATAGCAGAAGCAATCATGTGTCACCTCCAAGGCCAAGTTGTTAAAAACATGGTGGCTTCCATCTTGGGTGCGCTCTCTTCTCCTGCTCCTGGGTTACGCACCCTGGGAAGTCAGCTACTGTGTTGGGAGCAGCCCCACGGAGAGGCCCACGTGGCAACGAGCTGAAGCCTCCTGCCAACAGCCACAGGATGAAGCTTGCAAGTGGACCCTCCATCCCCAGTCAAGCCTTCAGATGACAGCAACTCTGGCCAACAGCTTGACTGCAACCTCATGAGAGACCCTGATGCCCTGGCTAAGCCATCCTCAGAGTCCTAATTCACAGAAATTGTGGGGAATCATAAATATTTGTTGTTCTCAGCAACCAAGTTTGAGGATAATTTGTTACACAGCAAGAGCTAACACTGCCATAATACGATGACAAGAATTGGAAAATGACCCCCCACAATAATTCAAGAACCCATTTACTTGCTTCCTTCAAAGCCACTTTTCCTCCTGTAAATGTGTGTCTTTTTTAACATATGTCTCATAGCTTGAGCTTTCTTAATTCAAAAGGAAACAAGGCAATCGATTATTTCAAGGAATGTGACTTACAGAGCCTTAATTGCAAATGATTATTATGCCTCTGCCTCAGGAACTCGCAGCTGCCCAGGGCCAAAAAGCACCAGGCTAGTTACATGACCTTGTTCTAGGAAAGCCAGTAATTCTTAGCAAAAGGAATGTGTAATCAAATGCTGGGTTTGCTCAGTGATGCTCAGTTTTACAACCATGAACTCAGAGCCAGTGAAACACACATATACACAAGCGCATACTTAGCATTCGAATATCTCACTTTTCTGAGTAGGAGATAGACTAGCTCCTAATTCTTTCTGCACTATCGCTGTTAAAATAGAACTTTTGATGAAGTAAGGTGCCATAATTATTATATTTAAGAAAAACGATAATGATAGTTAACATTTACTGAGTATTTATCAAGCACATTGAGCCAATACATGGTCTCTCGTTTTATTTATTCAACAAAACTCTATGAGGTAAAGAGTTTACTTATTACCATTTTAAAACTAAGGAAACATGCCAAGAGCAGTGGCTCATGCCTGTAATCCTAGCACTTCAGGAGGCCTAGGTGGGTAGATCACTTGAGCCCAGGAGTTTGAAACCAGCCTGGGCAACATGGCAAAACCCCGTCTGTACAAAAAGATACAAAAATTAGCTGGCTATGGTGGTGCATGCCTGTAGTCCCAGCTACTCAGAGGCTGAAGTGGGAGAATTGCTTGAGCCCAGGAGGCGGAGGATGCAGTGAGCTGAGATCGCATCACTGCACTCCAGCCTGGGTGACAGAGTGAGATACTATCTTAAAAAAAAAAAAAAAAAAAAAAAAAAACCCACACTAAGGAAACAGAAACAGAGAAGTTAAGTAATTCATCCAAGGTCACACAACTAGTAAGCAGGAGAGCCATGGTCTGACCCCGTCAGTACAAGGCAGGCACCTGGACCATAAAGCCCTAGCTGTATCCACCTGCACTGTGAAACCTGCACCTAAACACACACACACCTGAGGAAAGCATGGCGCCGGCGCAATGAGCCTCACCTTCCAGCCTGCGACACTCCACTGCCCTGCCCTGTGCCCCAGCAGCTACGGCATCCCCACCCCCAGGCAACAACTGCCCGAGCAAGCCACTGTCAGCCAACACTGACAGTTGCTTTTACTCTGGCCAGAAGCAAGAAGAAAGTTCTGACCACTGGCAGAGGTTAACTCTATCTGGAACATGTCAGCAATGGAATTTTTCAAAACTTACATACCCAGCTGATCGGTTTCCCTGCTTCTAGTTTTTCCTTTTGAAATACTGGTCTGTTTTACAGATATCTGTTCCTTCTGCCTACAGACTGCAAACTTTCAGACACCTTAAACTCTTAGCAACCCACTGCTTAAATAGGGATTATAAAACTGCCTGGTTAGGACATTGATTTTATCTACCCCATCTATGGGATAAAATTTTCCCAACAATTGTCATGCACTAAAACACGCTTCCTGTGGAATACACTTAAGACGCCTCACTCATGTCCACTGCCATATGCACCCTCACATCTTTTCCTCCTCATTCAGCCCCTTCAGCTAGATGAGATCATCCTCTCCATCCCTGAGATGAGGAAGCACATATGTGCAGAAGTTGAGCAATTCACCCAGAAACACACAATTTGCAAGTAATGATGCAAAGACTCAAGACTACGCTGACTGCTAATACAAGCCATTAAATGACACGGAGGCCAGGCATGGTGGCTCACGCCTGTAATCCAAGCACTTTGGAAGGCTGAGGCAGGAGGATCACCTGAGGTCAGGAGCTCAAGACCAGCCTGGCCAACATAGTGAAACCCCATCTCTACTAAAAATATAAAAAATTAGCCGGGCATAGTGGCGGGCACCTGTAATACCAGCTACTTGGGAGGTTGAGGCCGGAGAATCACCTGAACCCGGGAGGCAGAGGTTGCAGTGAGCCGAGATCATGCCACTGCACTCCAGCCTGGGCACGACAGGGCAAGAATCCATCCAAAAAAAAAAAAAAGACAGGGCATATAATTCTGTCTCTCTTTGCTGACTAAGAACCAGAACCTCTAAAGACTTCAGACTTTATTGTGAACATTAAATGCAATTATGCGGCAAAACTCTAGCATGGCCAGGCAAAAGGGTGGTCCAGGTGAGAAAATGCCGAACTAGGCACATTTTACACTATTTATAACAGTCATTAAACTGTCTTTGATGCTCTTGAGCTATCATTTTAAAATGTGACGAAAGGGGAAAAGCTCAAAGATTGGAAATCCAACATAGGATCATAGCGCCAACATTCAATAAGACATACAAAACAATTACATTAGAGCCATTCACAGCATCTAACAGCACAGAGAGGTAAATGCTGCTGCTATAAACTGACTTAACTCTGGGCTCCCTTGCACATCCACAAGACGTGTTTATCTCGTGGTCTTATTTTAAAGTAGATTTACAGAACAAGCAATAAACTGCTTATCTTTCCTAAAATGAGGACAAACTGGAAACAACCTGAATGCTAAATTGACCATATTAAATTCATCATTCCAATCTGGAATGGGCAATTTAATATGGCGGGTTCACTCAATCAAATACCACATCCAGGTACATAAAAATGGTTAACATGAGGCCTATATGGAAACAATAAAAGCTGCTTTTGCACTCCTAAGCAGTGCTAGAAGGTAGACTAAACAATCACAGGCATAGATTACATGTATAGTTAAAGAAAAATGTTAGTATATGAACAAATTCAGTAAAGATGCATGTAAGTTGGGATCTGGGGTGGTTTACTTTGCAGCTTTCTTTAATAGTATATAAACAAAGTGACAGAAAAGGAAATAAAATGGCTTTTAAATAAAAGGAGGCTCAACCATACTCTTAATTAGAGAAATGGTAATGAAAAATTTTCTGCCAGCACCATTTCCACCCCTGGCATTATCAGAGACCCAGAAGTTGGATCCCATGGCTGTGAGAGCACAGCTGCGTCGCAGCAGGCCCTCTCCCACACTGCTGCAGAACATGCGGCTCACACCCGTGCCAGGCGAGTTGATGGTCCCTGTCCGACTTACAAATGCGCTGCACTTTGACCCAGCAATCCTACTTCCAGGAATATTTCCAAAATATATACTCATACAGGAAAAAAACAACCAATGCAAAGGTTGTTCACTGTGGCATTATTAGTAGCAGCAAAAGACTGGAAACCATCTCGGTGCCTCGCTGTCAGCAGGCTGGTTAAACGAATTCTGATGCAGTCAGACAAGGAAATGTCAGGAGCTCTTAAAAAGCAGAGGGCAGCCCCACGCAGACCAACGAGAGCAATCTCTGAGATGTCAAGTGAATGCTGCATAGGACAGGCTACCACTTCACATTAAGGAAGAAAGAGAGGAGGAGAAGGGAAAGAAAAGGAAAAAAAGTATATGCACACCTATCTGCTTGTGTGTACAGGGAATATCTCTGGGAACAGTAACAATGACCCCCTCTAGGGAGCAAACTGGGTGGCTGGGATAAGAGAAGGGGACTTGCACAGGTTCACCTTTTGTATTTTGAACCACGTGCATATATACTATTTACTCAATGAAATAAGTTAAATTAAAATACACACTTTTTTTGCTTTAGTCGCTATCTTTTTTTTTTTTTTTTTTTTTTTTGAGACGGAGTCTCGCTCTGTCGCCCAGGCTGGAGTGCAGTGGCGTGATCTCAGCTCACTGCAAGCTCCACCTCCCAGGTTCACGCCATTCTCCTGCCTCAGCCTCCCGCGTAGCTGGGACTACAGGCGTCCGTCACCACTCCCGGCTAATTTTTGTATTTTTAGTAGAGACGGGGTTTCACCGTGTTAGCCAGGATGGTCTCGATCTCCTGACCTCGTGATCCACCCACCTCGGCCTCCCAAAGTGTTGGGATTACAGGTGTCAGCCATCATGCCCGGCTTTTTTTTTTTTTTAACTAAAAAGTCCAGGTGAACGTGTGCTCAGGTTTTTTTTTGTTGTTGTTTGGTTGGTTGTTGTTTGTTTTTGTTTTTGAGACAGAGTCTTGCTCTGTCACCCAGGCTGGAATGCAGTGGTGTGATTTCGGCTCACTGCAACCTCTGCCTCCCGGGTTCAAGCAATTCTCCTGCCTCAGCCTCCCAAGTAGCTGGGACTACAGGCACCCGCCACCACACCCAGCTAATTTTTTGTATTTTTAGTAGAGACGGGGTTTCACTGTGTTAGCCAGGATGGTCTCGATCTCCTGACCTTATGATCCACCCGCCTTGGCCTCCCAAAGTGCTGGGATTACAGGCATGAGCCACCGTGCCCGGCCCAGTATGCTCAGGTTTTAATGAAGCCCCCACGTGCTTACCTCTCCATCCCTCACCCTCTCCTACCTGGCCAGCGCCTGGACCTTCATGCCCTGCCGCTCCTCCTGTTCAGCCACCTTCCTTTTCAAGGTGTCCACCTCTTGCCGGAGCGCGGCTGAGTGCTCCATCTCACCGTCGAGCAGGTTTCGCAGTGATCTGGGAAGAGAGGGACCCATCTGTTCAGAAGCTGTCAACCCAGACCCCACTGAGCCCAGGACACAGTTCCTAACATAAGTCAAGTCCTAAGCCATGCGTTTTCCACAAGGCTCTGCATAAACCATAATTCAAGTCTATCTCATGTGAACTGGAGATAGCAAACTCTAATTGATAGCCTTAGAGTAAGAATTAAGGGACAGTCATCTATGGCCTGGGCTCCATGTCCCTGATTGCCTGCGAGCAGGCCAGCCTTCTGACAGCTTAAATCAAGGGAAAACAATGAGGTGAGCAAATTCCAGCCAAGTCCCTTTACAGATACCCCACTCAAAGGTGTAGCACATTACAATGAGACCATTTTGTCACAGCTACACCAGGTCAGAGATTTAACCAAGGAAAGGATGCCAGGAGAGGCCAAAACAATAATCTGAGGCATAAAAATAGAATATATACTCAGATTATCTCATAAACGTCTAGTCTCATTTCCACCTGTGCCTATAAAACACACTATGAGCCTGTTTCATTGCCAACTTCAGGTGAAACAAGCATATATAAAAAATATCTTATATCACTAAAGCATCTGAGATAGCAGAGATAGCATTTTACATTCCCAAGTTTGTTAACCCTCCAACAGGGGGCTGGCAGCCAGCACAGGATTCACCTGTGTATTTGTCATCCCTGGTCTTAAATAAAGGAGAAGACAGCAGGTCTTCTAGAAACCATCACCAGTGACCGCCTAGGAGAGAGCCAACCATGGTGCTGCTAACCATTTACTTCATTCTACCTGGCTGTTTCTGGAAAACAATTACCAACCATGGTACATCTACATACTAAATCCAGAGGACACTTGCCACGTGACATCAGGATATAAGCAAAAACAAGGCCGGGCAGGGTGGCTCACGCCTGTAATCCAGCACTTAGGGAGGCCAAGGCGGGTGGATCACTTGAGGTCAGGAGTTTGAGACCAGCCTGGCCAACATGATGAAACCCTATCTCTACTAAAAATACAAAAATTACTCAGGTGTGGTAGTACACACCTGTAATGCCAGCTATTCGGGGGGCTGAGGCAGGAGAATTGCTTGAACCCGGGAGGCAGAGGTTGCAGTGAGCCGAGATCACACCACTGCACTCCAGCCTGGGAGAAAGAACAAGACTCCGTCTCAAAAAAAAAAAAAAAAAAGAATATAATCAAAAACATCTGACCCCCACCACACTCTGATCATTCACTGAAATCTCCAAGACTTGTGTTCCTTGAGAGCTTTGAGGAAATTCCCCTCTTGGGGCCTGGGGCTCCCTGACAAAAACATGGTATAATTTTTCTTTTCTTTCTGGGAAGTACAAAAAAGTAACAGACAGTGACTATTGTTCTTCACAAGGTAAGACAAAATCTATGGCTTCTTCCAAGATAACAGCCCCAGCTGGAGCATGGACAAAGAATCCCTCAATGGCGCAAGCCCTCTATTGAAAGTTTATTCTACTTGGAAAATGGTGCGGTCTAAAGATTCCTTTTGAAGACATCCTCTTTTGTTTTAGAAATCATGTTTGTTTGCTTTTATATGTTTCCAGAAAGGACAAGAGAGAAGCTTGTCAAGCAGGACCAAAAATGAGGTTTGAAGGAGAATCATGACTGTGTGTAAAAGAGCGTGTGAGTAAGAAAGGGTGACGTGAACACACACCCCCCTCTCCCCACGTCCCAGGGAGGCAGTTGAATCATGCTTGCAGAAGTTCAGGGGGTAACTGCAGGTAAGCCCTCTATGACCACCCCACAGTCAAGATAAGTCAGATGGGAGCCAGAATTTCATCTTGCCCTAAGTATCCCTGATTTGGGCAAACTTTAAGATAAGTGCTCAGATGCCTGCAACATGGTAGATAGACAGGCCTTTGATTAATGATGACTAACAGCTGCCTAGAGGCCAGGCACAGTGGCTCACGTCTATAATCTTAGCACTTTGGGAGGCCAAGGTGGGCAGATTACTGAAGCTCAGAAGTTCAAGACCAGCCTAGGCAACCTGTCAAAACCCCAACTCTACTAAAAATACCAAAATTAGCCGGGCATGGTGGCATGCGCCTGTAGTCTCAGCCACTCAGAAGGCTGACGCTGGAGGATCACTTGAGCCCGGGAGGTGGAGGTTGCAGTGAGCAGAGATCGCGCCACTGCATTCCAGCCTGGGTGACAGAGCCAGAACTATCTCAAAAAAAAAAAAAAAAGACTGCCTAGGCTAAGGAGGTGATAATTAAAGGGTATAGGACTTCTTTCGGGGGTGATGAAATGTTCTAAAATTGACTGTGTTGATGTTAACTCCTGTGAATATAGTAAAAACTACTGAATTACACACTTCATTTATTTTTTTATTTTATTTTATTTTTTTTTTTTGAGACAGAGGCTCGCTCTGTCACCCAGGCTGGAGTGCAATGGCGTAATCTCGGCTCACTGCAACCTCCGCCTCCCGGGTTCAAGCAATTCTCCTGCCTCAGCCTCCTGAGTAGCTGGGATTACAGGCACGCAGCACCACGCCCAGCTAATTTTTGTATTTTTAGTAGAGACGGGGTTTCACCAAGGCTGGTCTTGAACTCCTGACCTTGTGATCCACCTGCCTTGGCCATACACTTTAAATGAGTGAATTATAGTGTATGTGAATTAAATATCAATAAAGGCTGTTTTTTAAAAAAGAATTAATGATCACTCTACCAAATTCTTAGCTTGTTCTATGAAGGTGCCATTATCATAAGGTTCTCACTTCTTTCTTACATATCAGGCAAAAGAGAGATACCACAGTAAAGAGAGATACCACAGTGGCATATCCCTGACGATAAGAAATAGCCAGTCACAATTTTTGCCAAGAAAGCAAAATGTCCCTCATCTGTTATATTCTGTCTTCCCCAGAGGCAGAATGTCAAAGAAAGAGGCTATTCCTCAAGCCTGAAAATCACGGTACCTGTTCTCCTCCTCCAGCTCATCCTTCCTGTTCATCATGGCCACAGTGGCCTGGCGCAGTTCACCTAAGGGAAGAAAACAAAGTCAAGATTAATTGGCAGGTCTTGCCTGTTACAGCATGCCCTCACCTCTCTGGATTATATGCTATTAAGGATGACTTGTCTAGATAAGTTCCCTTTTCCCTTTCAAAAATAACTCCTATAACAGTCTAAGAGACTCGGCTGATCAGGGTCCTGGATTTTAGAGCACAGTCTCTGAAGTCAGGTCCCAGGTTCAAATCCTGCCTCTGCAGCTCGGGCAAGTTAGCAACCCCCTCTGAGCACCACCTCCCTTATCTATAAAATGAGATCTTAACAGTTACTATCTCCTAGAAGTGTTGTAAGAATTCAGTAAGACAATATGTAAGTGAGATGCTTAGGAATGGTGCCCAGCACAGAATAGCATTTAGCAAGTACTACTGATCAGTATCACTACAAGTCTTTGCAGAAATGCAACAGCAGAAGATAGGAAGATGGAGATAAGGTAGCCGTATGGTTCACAAGCCCAAGTGGGTTAAACTGGGCATATTTTCAAGAGTTAGGGGATTTACTGAGCTCCTGTATACCTCAACCTTGAGAAATAAAAAAGATTTTTTAAATGATCTATGCCCTAGAGCAGCAGACTAGATAGTAGAATTTTCTGAAGTGTGAAACAAGATCACCACCGGCAATATGGGAAATCAGCCCCAGACAGCGATGTGGCATTTGGAAGAGCAGGTATCTGGGTTCTGGGCCTTGCAGGCATGGGAGAAGGGGGTCCCCAGTGCTGCTACTCAGACCTCATAGCTGAAAATGTTATATTCCAGGAGGAAATTCTAGGAGGAAAAAACTGTTTCCCAGGAAGTTTGAGAGACAGCAATGCTTGCCTGGCAAGTACTGCCTCAAGTAGCCTTAAGAGATGTAGGCCGGGCACGGTGGCTCATGCTTGCAGTCCCAACACTGTGGGAGACCAAGGTAGGAGTTCATTTGAGCCCAGGAGTTCAGGACCAGCCTGGTCGACATAGTGAGACCTCATCTCAAAAAAAAAAAAAAAAAAAAAAAAAAAAAAAAAAAAGAGAGATCTCAGCCACAAGCCCCCCTTGCAGGAGCCCAAATCACTGCATAGCAACCACCTGTGAGAAACAGAGGACGATGGATGCCGACCCGATCCACTGTATCACCCTAGCCTCACCCTTCCCTACCCTCCCAGGTCCCATACACCGTGCATCTCCAGCCTCTTGGACGAGGCACCTGTGTTTTTATCAACATCAAAATGACTGATATCACAAGTGCAGCCAAAGCAGTACTCTGGTAGTGGGAATCTTTTAAAAATCCATCATAGAAAGACGAGCTGTCAGACCTTCCGCCTTCCCCACACAGCTATGACATCATGTTCAGGTTAACGGTGGAGAAGAAAGAAAGGGACCGAGAGCTGGCATGCCCCCCAAAATGTTCTTTCAACGGGCTTGAACCTGAACACACATTCACTTTCGCTGCCTCATTGGCTGTTTTGTGACTCTTTTTGGGCAGTAAAGCTGGTAGGTAACATCGGGGTGATTTCCACAGATCAGGTAAATATTATACTTCGCCAAGTACGAGTGACACACACGAGCAGAGGAGCTCCCGAACATGTAATTTTCTCTCCTCTCCCCTGAGCCGCGCAGCCCATGATTTGTTTAGTCTCTATCATTGTGATTTCCTTCCTCTTTATGACCTGCCACAGCTCACATTTCGAGTGAAACAGAGCAGCGCTCCTGCACTGTGGCCTCTGCAGAGCCTGGCCATGCTGCGGGGTCCCCTCTCCTACCGCTGAAAGGCAAACAACCATCCATCTCAACATTGGTTCCTTGCTTGGCTTCAGAAGACAGAACCACAAAACCAGGCAAGAGCACAGGGGAATGTCAATTTCAACCAATGGAAACTGATCTAAGATAAAAAGCAGCATTGAAAATGCTGTGGACAGGATGGATTCATCCACAAATGCAGCTGAGCAAGGAACCATTTAGGAAGTAAGACACCAGATTTCAATGAATCTCTGCTCCTGTAATGTACTGAAATACATTTCTGGTACAATAATGTTTAAATATGTGAAATGAAGCAATAAAAACTACATAAGTATCTGAACAAACATATATGCCATCTTTCTTAACATGAAACAAAAGACCAACTCCGCTAAGGAAATAATAATTTTGCTATAGTATCTGCACATCAAGGGCACATCTAACACACACGCAAGAAAAAACTGGTCCATTGTTTGTGGAACTTTAAGCTCCTCAGGGCAGTAAACTGGCAGTGTAGAAAGAATATCAGTTTTTTTTTTTTTTTGAGACGGAGTCCCACTCTGTCACCCAGGATGGAGTGCAGTGGTATGATCTCGGCTCACTGCAATCTCTGCCTCCAGGGTTCAAGTGATTCTCCTGCCTCAGTCTCCCACGTACCTGAGATTACAGGCGCCTGCCACCACGCCTGGCTAATTTTTGTATTTTTAGTAGAGATGGGGTTTCACCATGTTGGCCAGGTTGGTCTTGAACTCCTGACCTCATGATCCACATGCCTCGGCCTCCCAAAGTGCTGGGATTACAGGCGTGAGCCCCCGCGCCCGGGCTTGAACACCAGTTTTCTAATCAGATCTACCTTTGAATATCATGTCCCTCACACTTCGGTTTGAGATCCCAGCAAATGATATCATCCTTGCTTCTCAGCTCCTTCCACTGGAAAAGGTTGCTGGTATCACCAACCTCATAGGATAAAGCAGGGACCAGTAAAGCTTTCCCCAAACACGGCCACACCCACCCACTTCTGTACTGTTCAAGTCTGCTTTGATGAGTTGTTTTGACAGAGACCATGGGGCCCACACAGCCTGAAATATCTACTGTCCAGCCCTTTCCAGAAAACATTTGCCAGCCCATCTTAGGAGAACATCGCAAGTTCTTCCCTCCATGCCCCACTCTCAGCCTTCTTCATTCAGGGCTGAAGGCAGCTCTGCAGCAGCTGTGACACTGTGCCAATCAGTTGGGGCCGCTGGCTGTACCCACACAGGACACTGCAGACGGAGAGAAACGGAACAGCAGGAGGGCCACTGCTGCCTCAGACTCCTTCTCTTTTTACGGCTGAATATTATTCCCCTGCATAGATGTATATGTATATGATATATATGTATTATGTATATGATGTATATGTATATGATATATATGTATATGATGTATATGTATATGTATGTACATGAGGATGTGAGAGAGATGGGTGATGTTGGCCAAAATGTACCTCTTATAATTTTCTGTTAGAAGATGAGTAAGTTCTGCAGATCTCATGACAGCAACGGGGACTCTGGCTAACAATACTATGGTACTGTTTACTTGAAATCTGAAGAGAGAGCAGACTTTGAGTGTCCTCATCACACACATTAACACAAAAAAATGTTCACTCGGGGAGGTGGCGTATATGTTCATCTGATTGTGGTAGTCATAACGAAATACAGAGATACATCAAATCATCATGTTGTATGCCCTGAATACATACAATTTTTGTCATATAGTTAAAATTTTTTAAAAATTAGGCTGGGCACGGTGGCTCATGCCTGTAATCCCAGCCCTTTGGAGGCTGAGGCAGGCAGATCACTTGAGGTCAGGAGTTCAAGACCAGCCTGGCCAACATGGTGAAACCTCATCTCTACTAAAAATACAAAAATTAGCTGGGTGTGGTGGCAGGCGCCTCTAATTCCAGCTACTTGGGAGGCTGAGGCGGGAGAATTGCTTGAACCTGGGAGGCAGAGATTGCAGTGAGCCGAGATTATGCCACCACACTCCAGTCTGGGTGACAGAGTGAGACTCCGCCTAGAAAAAAAATTTTTTTTAAATTATTAATAACAGAGATGATAGGCAATGAAAAAGTTGGAGCCCGGCCTCAGTGGTGCTATGTGAATATAAGGCTATATCTATGCCGAGGGTTCAGTCACCGCTTCCACCCTGCACACACCCACATCTCCACCTAGGCCCTCTCCTGAGCTCCAGACCCATGTCCTCTCTGCCGCTCCAGCCTCTGCCCATCTCCTTTGCTCCCCCTTGGTTAGACTCCAACCATACTGAACACACTCTCCTTCTCTCGTGCCTCTGTGTCTTGGCACAGGCTGTTTCCCAGTGTCTGGAAGGCCTGGCCCCCTCCCTCACTCCAGGTTGTCCTTCAAGCTTCTGCTTGGGGAGCGCCTTTTCTGAGCATCTGGGGCTTGCTGGCTATAGCAGTCGTGGGAGTCCGTGGGCCTGCCCTGTCTTACTCTTGCCTCCGCTCAGAGACTCAGCCTCCACAGGCCTCCAGTCCCACCCACCCCACTTGTAATCAGTGAGACCAAGGGTACCTACTGACTCAAACCAAGCCCATCATGTAGAGTCTTCCAGAAGTTCAGATGTGCCACAGGCTGACAAGAGACGCGAAGGAAGGTGGCGACAGAGGCATCTGGCCCAAGAGCAAAGAGTTCCAAGTCACTCCACCACGGTGACTGTGGAGACACACTGAAATAGTGACTTGCCGAAAGCCAAGTGCTCAAAAGACCAGTTTAATAAACCCATCCTGGCCGGGCACAGTGGCTCACGCCTGTGATGCCAGCACTTTGGGAGGCTGAGGCAGGCAGATCACTTCAGGTCAGGAGATGAAGACCATCCCAGCCAACATGGTGAAATCCCGTCTCTACTAAAAACACAAAAATTAGCCAGGCGTGATGGTGCGTGCCTGTAGTCCTGGGTACTCGGGAGGTTGAGGCAGGAGAATCACTTGAACCCGGGAGGCAGAGGTTGCAGGGAGGTGGAGGTTGCAGTGAGCCAAGATCGCGCCACTGCATTCCAGCCTGGCAACAGAGTGAGACTCCATCTCAAAAAATAAACAATAAATGAATAAATAAACAAACCCACCCTTAAATGAAACCCTAAACTGGGCCCAGGACCCCTGGCTGGAGGCTCCTCTGTCGCCATGTACAGAGGCCTGGACAGAGACAAATGCAGATGCAGCCACAAGGCAGAGGGCCACCAAAAAGGGGAGCCAGCAAAGCCCTTCAAGGCAAGCCCACTCAGCCACAGAGAAAGTGCCGAGTCTGGCAAAGCGGCAGGTGTTGGAAATGTCAAGCGCTACTACAGAGCCCTGTAGCCTAAGGTGACTCAGTGAACTCCTCATTCCTGCCTTCGTCTCCTGCTGCACCACCACAGCCAAGGCGGCTACCCAAGGGCCAGCGGGAGAAGTGCGGGCCGACCTGCAGTGACCGCATGGCCACAGGGAATAAAGCAGTCATGCACAAATGGCCATGCTGGCTTCTGCAGGACTCTCGGCTCCCAGGCTCTGGGGGAGCCCCTATGGGGTTCTGTGCCCTTGTGTTCTAAATTGGCATGGGTTCTGTGTCCTCACAGCCAAACAATCCAAGTAGAGTTCAGTGATTCCCATTGCTCTTCATATGCACCTCCACGAAAGCACACTGTCCCCTGGGCTAGAGGTGCCCATCTGCACCTCTGCCCACCAAAGCCCCACCCCCAAGCCTGTGGGTCACTTGAGTACCGGGGCCCCAGTGCCCAGCACAGAACACACGTGAGACCTGGTGAATGATCAAAGGTAAGATGCGTAAGTGAATTGATAAACAAATGAATGACTGACAGTCGCCCACTGCTAAAACGCCACCCTCAGCTCCAGGAACTGAGCATGGGATGAGCTGGACAGAAACGTCAACCACGTTAATCATAAGTTCAAGGCCTCGGCACAGAACACTAACCAGCAGGTTCACAGCTGTAATTTCTTGCCCCAGTGACAGAGATTCAGGCTCCCGTTGAGCTTTTTCCATTATGCATCTCGGGAATGCGACAGGCATGGGGAGGAGGGGACACGGTCCCATACATCATTACCATGACCTCAAACAGGACGAGCCTACAAAACCGTTCCCCTCCTTTCTCGGCAGTGACCACATGAATGCTCAATTTCAAAAACAACAGTGGAGCAGGGACCAGCCTCCAGTCCCCAGGGACCCAAACATAAACACAGACACACAGCCAGATGACGCACAGGCCCATTCACACAAATGATTACGGCCTCGGAGGCTGCTATATAAAGCAATGAAACAGTGACACCAAGGGAGGGGTGAGAGGCGTCTCTTCTTCAGCCACTAAAGGCCCCCAGGGGGGGAATTATCCTGAGACTCATTGATCTTCAACTGCCTTTTCAAAATTAAAAAGGGAAGAGACTGCTGACTGCGATGACTAGACAGGGTGACGTGTGGACGCATGTGTGCGCACACACACTCTCTCACATATATACATAGATCTGTGCAATAACTCCCTGGCTTTATATAGCATCTTTTTCCAAAGACCTCAAAGAGCCTTTACAAACACTCCCCTGCGGCCCATACTCAGCTATCTTTAAAGACAGAGCTCATGAGGGCACATGCACAAATAAAGAATGTTCCTCTACAGGGATGGACTTAACCTACATCATCATTTTTCAAACTTAACATCCTGCTTTTTATATCTTTGTCTGCCTACCCACTCCCTTTCCTTTTATCTCCAAAAGAAAGGATAAACTATATCGAGCTCTAAAATGTAACTTTTAAATTACTCAGGCCCATTCTAACTTTTCGTTCTGTTTCTCTCTCCTGCCACCCTCCTCCCCTAGCCCACCCAGAGTTTCTATTCTTTTCAATTTGTTAAGATAAAGGAGGAAAAAATGTCCCAAGACCCCTTCGCAGGGCTCAGATGGCCAGTGGTTACCACACACTGCCTGTTTCATACACACCCAGCAATGCGAGAGGCACCTGAAATACACGATCTCATGTAATTCTCACAAGGTTTCTGAGAAGCAAGCATGATTACACTTGCTGTCTGAATGAGGCAACAGAGACCAGGAGAAGGGAAGTGACTTGCCTCAGGCCACACAGCCAGGAAGTGGCCAGGCAAGGACCCACACCTGGTCCAGCTTGCTTGAAGGCCTGTCCCCCCAAGCGGGCAGTGCCAGGCCCAGCCCGGCTCCTGGGAGGCAGCGCACAGCCTCAGGACTCACACCAGTTCCCAGGGTGTGGCCTCTGGCAGTTCTCCCAGTCTTTCTCTGTCCTCTTTTGGAAAATCAAAAGTGTGATTAAATTCTGGCCCTTTCCAGTTTTAGAACTATGGTTTCTACATAATTATAATCTCAAAACAGAAAACACAAATGTGAGGCACTCATGGGAATGGGATGGAAAATGGAAGAAAGTCACAAGGTACAGAAGAAAAACCCCTTGCAAAATCTTGATAAGGTTCTAGATCTTTATTAACTTTTCCAGATTTGTAATTTTTTGGTTTTCTCTCTCTTGTTCATGTGCGCACTCTCAAACACAAACACACACAGTGAGCGTTTATAAAGATTTGTACTACGAATCCTTAAGGCAGGCATCCCAAAAGCGGATACAGACAGGGCCTCCAGGGAGCAAAGTCCTCACAGGGTACAGTGGGACGAGAGGACCCCGGCTAAGGAGCAGTCCCTGCCTCCAATCCACTGTCTATGCGGGGACATGGCTGCCACCAGTCCTGAGTTGTTGAGAGAAGCCAGGAGTCACATTTTTACACAGATCTGATTTTTAAACACTGTAAACTGAGGTTCTTACCACACAGGTCCAAGAGATCAAGCTGTGGATCACTATTGTGAGCCTCATGTCCTAAAGTATGAGTTCTGAGCACCAAGCAGCTTGGAAATGTCAAGGTAATTAGCACACATTTGCACCGCCATTTTTACAAAGCAGCATTCCACCCACATCAGTGAATGTCAGAAGTGTAGAGTTGGAAGGGGCCTGAGATGGGATCTAATGGAGGCAGACAGGGGACAGTGAATGGACACCCCAGAGGAACTCCCACAGCAGCCTCGAAGTGACTAAATCAGAGACCACAGACAGTCCGAGCATCCCTACCCTGCCTGTCCCACTCACAGAAGGCTAGAAAACACAGCACTCAGGTATGCGTGAATTTATTAGGAGCAGTAACTCAGGTGAGGGTCGAGGGTGTCTCTTAATTTTATACCTTTCCACATATATGTTCTCATTTCATATCAAGGCATCAAAAGGTGGTCTCTAGGGCGGGCACGGTGGCTCACACCTGTCATACCAACACTTTGGGAGGCCGAGGTGGGCGGATCACGTCAGGTCAGGAATTTGATACCAGGCCAACACAGTGAAATCCCATCTCTACTAAAAACACAAAAATCAGCCGGGCATGGTGGCAGGCACCTGTAATCCCAGCTACTCGGGAGGCTGAGGCAGGGGATGACTTGAACCCAGGAGACGGAGGTTGCAGTGAGCCGACATGGTGCCACTGCACTCCAGCCTGGGTGACAGAGCAAGACTCCATCTCATAAAAAAAAAAAAAAAAAAAAAAAGGTGGTCTGTATATCTACTATCTACAGTCTTCTTTTAAAAGGCATCATGAGCACTTTAGCTTTAAAGGAGTACTCACCAGAATTAAAAGCACAAAGTTGCAGAGGTTGCTTCCAGCAGTAGAAGCAATGGAACTAAGCGAAAGGCTTACTTGGCTAGTGAGAAGCGGGTGGGGAGCGGTGGCACAGCTGAAAGTTTTTTTTCTTTGTTTTTATTTTTGAGACAGAGTCTCGCTCTGTCGCCCAGGCTGAAGTACAGTGGTGGGATCTCGGCTCACTGCAACCTCCGCCTCCCGTGTTGAAGCAATCCTCCTGCCTCAGCCTCCCAAGGAGCTAGGACTACAGGCACATGCCACCACACCCGGCTAAGTTTTTTTGTATTTTTAGTAGGGACAGGGTTTCACTGTGTTAGCCAGGGTGGTCTCAATCTCCTGACCTTGTGATCCGCCCGCCTCAGCCTCTCAAAGTGCTGGGATTACAGCTGTGAGCCACCGTGCCCCGCCAAACTGAAGGTTTTTTAAAAATCATGTACTGAGGTACGATTCATATCACATAAAATTAACCATTTGAAAGTGAACAATTCAGTGGCCTTTAGTACGTTCAAAATGTTGTGCAACCATCACTACTATCCAGTTCTAGAACGTTTCTACCACGCCAAAGCAAAACCTCTTACCCATTAAGCAATTTCTTCCCATTTCATCCTCCTCCCTGGCAACCTCTGATCCACATTGCGTCTCTATGAATTTACGTACTCCAATGCTTCACAGAAACGGAATCATCTCTTATGTGGTCTTCTTTTTTAATAGAGTCTTTTTGCCTGGCTCCTTTGACTAAGCCTGTTTCCACGGTTCGTCCGCGTTGAAGCACGTATTGACCACGCCTGTTTCCACGGTTCGTCCGCATTGAAGCACGTATTGACCACGCCTGTTTCCACGGTTCGTCCGCACTGAAGCACGTATTGACCACGCCTGTTTCCACGGTTCGTCCGCATTGAAGCACGTATTGACCACGCCTGTTTCCACGGTTCGTCCGCGTTGAAGCACGTATTGACCACGCCTGTTTCCACGGTTCGTCCGCATTGAAGCACGTATTGACCATGCCTGTTTCCACGGTTCATCCGCGTTGAAGCACGTATTGACCGTGCCTGTTTCCATGGTTCGTCCGCACTGAAGCACGTATTGACCACGCCTGTTTCCATGGTTCGTCCGCACTGAAGCACGTATTGACCACGCCTGTTTCCATGGTTCGTCCGCATTGAAGCACGTATTGAACACGCCTGTTTCCATGGTTCGTCCGCACTGAAGCACGTATTGACCACGCCTGTTTCCATGGTTCATCCGCATTGAAGCACGTATTGACCACTCCTGTTTCCATGGTTCGTCCTCGTTGAAGCACGTATTGACCGTGCCTGTTTCCACGGTTCGTCCGCGTTGAAGCAGGTATTGACTAAGCCTGTTTCCATGGTTCGTCCTCGTTGAAGCACGTATTGACTAAGCCTGTTTCCACGGTTCGTCCGCGTTGAAGCAGGTATTGACTAAGCCTGTTTCCACGGTTCATCTGTGTTGAAGCATGTATTGACTAAGCCTGTTTCCACAGTTCATCCACGTTGAAGCATGTATCAGTGCCTCATTCCTTCTTTTTTTGAGAAGGAGTCTCACTCCGTGGCCCAGGCTGGAGTATGGTGGCGTGATCCTGGCTCACTGCAACCTCTGCCTCCCGGGTTCAAGTGATTCTCATGCCTCAGCCTCCCAAGTACCTGGGGCCACAAGTGCCCGCCACCACACCCGGCTAATTTTTGTATTTTTTAAGTAGAGATGACGTTCACCATGTTGGCCAGGCTGGTCTCAAACTCCTGACCTCAAGTGATCCACCCCGCCTTGGCCTCCCAAAGTGGTAAGATCACAGGCATGAGCCACTGCGCCCGGCCCCTCATTCCTTTTATAGCTGAATCATGTTCCACTGTATGGATATGCCACAATTTGTTAATCCATTCTTCAGATAATGGACATTTATACTGAGCTGTTTCCACCTTTTGGAGATTGTGATCATGTTGCCATCAACCTTTGTGCATAGTTACCTGTTTGAGTCTCTACTTTCAGTTCTTTTGGATGTGTACCTAGAAGTGGAATTACAGGGACATGCGGTAATTCCACTAACGTTTTAAGGATCCACCAAACTGTTTCCCACAATTAGGAGAGAGAGTTTTTCAAAATCACTATATTGCACTTACAGGAGAGTTTGGAAATTAGTATGGCAGATATCTTTGTCTCCATCACCTGGCACGGTCAATTTGGATTATTTCACCACAATGAATCCAAATATTGTTTAACACTAAATCCTTACTGATCCAGTTGAAAAAGCAGTTAGGGAGAGTGGGACGAGGGTGGAAAGGAAGACAGCTGCTCCCCTAAGAATACTCCTCTTGCGGGGTGCAGTGGAGGGCTTATCCATCAATTACACAAGAGGCTCACTCACTTCTCCGTCAGTGGGCAGAGAGCTGCAAGCGAGGTACACATGTGTTTCACAAAGAAAGGCCTCGAGGAGGAACATATTGCAGAAACCCGCCAAAGGACCAGGTTCAGGTGACAAGTGGAGTACAGGTGTTAATTAGATGGCTCCAGATAAATGTGAAACCGTGCATAGTGGAGCCTACCCATTCTTCACTGCAAAACACAAAATCAGTAGGTCTGCAAGAAGAGATGGCACATTCTGCAAAGATATTCACATGAGCTCTTGTGAATAACAGGCTGTTCTATGTGCCTTTACAGAGTGATTCCACTTAGTACCCAGCACCACACACACACACACACACACACACACACACACACACAAATCAAGGTGGAGCAACCCAGGGGCAAGGCCTGGGCTATACAGTAGAGGCAGCAAAAACTCCCCTGAATTTCTCTGGTCAGAGCATGTCTGACCCTGCTGTGTCCCATCCCTGCCTGGGGTTTCACTGGCCTGGCTCTCAAAGCTGCATGAGTCTATAAACCCTAGGGAGACTGAGAAACCCACTTTCTTCCTTCGGTACTTGTGGAGGAGAATCCAGTCCCTACCACAGATAGGATGGGATTCCCAGCCAAGAAGAAGACAACACCAGCAGCAGTGAAAGCAGCGAGGGGGGCTGAAGGAAAAAGCAACGGAGGGGGAGGGACGGACTTCAGCTTCTGCCAGGGGCAATTTTTCATCCACTGCCAACCTTGAAGGCTAGGTCTGGGCTTGACTGTACTAAAGGAACCAGCGAGTCCCTTATTTGATGGAACTGGTGGTGTCATCCCCCATTTCACAGATGGAAAGACCGAGAGAAGTTAAGTGTTCCTAATAGCAACTGCTAGCAGGGCACCAGCCGAGTGCCAGGCACAGGGTGAAACTATGTGTCAATTATCTCATTCGACCCTCCAAATCACGCCACGAAGCAGGTGTTTAGAATCAAACCCATTTTATAGATTAGGAAACTGAGACATATGAAGTGATTTGCCCTAAATTACAAAGGAATTATGATGCATTTGAGACCAGCCTGGCCAACATGCTGAAACCCCGTCTCTACTAAAAATACAAAAAAATTAGCCAGGCATGGTGGGGGGCACCTGTAATCCCAGCTACTCGGGAGGCTGAGGCAGGAGAATCGCTTGAACCCAGGAGGCGGAGGTTGCAGTGAGCTGAGATCATGCCACTGCACTCCAGCCTAGGCAGCAGAGCAAAACTCCGTCTCAAGAAGAACAAAAACAAAATTAAAAAAAAAAAAAGGAATGACGATACAGAACCGGGACTGAAACACGGGCCATCTGACACTGGAACCCATAACCACAGTGATACTCACTGTCTCCCGAATGGGATCTCAGAATGAGGAGGCCAGGGCTTCATGTTGGTTCTGCACAAATCAACATTCTCAAGACCATCATGTCATTTTAGAGACAGAGCCTCAACAGGATTGGGGCAAAGCCAGCATGGCCACAGGTCATGGACGTGTGCTTCTCTGCACCTCTCTCCTCCTAACAGAGCCCTTCAGGGGTAGACCTGAAAACCATCCAACCCTGGGATCCAGGGACGCCTACTTGCAGCTGTACCTCTGGATGCTGGAGTTAGGGGAACGATATTATTCCCTTATTTTACTTAAGCTGGCTTGAGCTGGTTTCTGTCCCTTGTAACCAAATGAGTCACAGCTCATATGCTATGTGGAACCTACACTGAGTTGGCACGGGAGGCAACGTGGCCAGCAAGGTGGGAGATATACAGGATGAGAAAAATGACATTATAAGCAAAGACATGTGATGTCACGGCAAGTAACAGACAAGGACTGTGGGCCCAGCCTCTAACTGGCATGGCATTTCAAACCCACTTTGGGTCTCAGATGTTACATCTACAAAATGCGGAGGTTACACAAGCTCATCTTCTAGAATCCTTCTAGCTCTCAGATGCTGTGATTCATCAGGAATAGCAGATGAGCCCTACCAGTTTCTGGCTCCTGCAAGTGAATGTGGCACATTAGCTGTCCTCGTCATCTGTTCCTGTCCGCTGGCCGCTCGCCGGCCAAATGCAACCAGCAGAGATATGACCCCGACCCGTCTAAAGCCCTGAGTCTGCCATGGCCCCTGGGGCTGCGAGGCCAACATCTGTTGTCACTGGCCTCATGCACAGTGGAGTGGTGGGGTTAACTGGTGGCAAGGAAGATTAATTGCATGCGAAATACTCATAAATAATGAGGATGCGGAGCTGCACAGCTTCCTTCCCCTTCAGGCTGTGGTATCATATGCACGGGCAATTCTCAAACAGACTCTCACACATAATCTGCAATTAATTAGATGCAGCCAGCCACTGAGAGGGTGCAGGCAGATCTCACACCCGGAGTGAATCTCACCAACTCTGCACCATCCTACTCTGCACCTGACACTTTGAGAAATAACCAGAACATCCTTAGACAGAACACAGGAGCCATGTAGTCAGGAGGGGCCAGGTTCCAGCCCGGCTCGGCGACTCTACCTCCCTTGCAGCCATGGATGTGTGGCTTGTCTGCTCTGAGGCTCAGTTTCCCCACCTCTGAAATGGGCATGACGGCACCTCCTGACAACCTCCCAAATTATGGAGGTGATTCAATGGGGAAAAGAGATTAGGCATCTGCAAAATGAAAGATGCCGTGCTAATGCCTGCCTAAGGAGTGACTGCTCAATCCACTTCCTCAGTCCTGGAGAGCAGGGAAGGGAAGCAGAGGATGCTGCCCAGTCTTGGAGTCAAGGCAAGCAAGGCCCAGAAATGCGGAGCAACAAGAGACACTCAGAGCATAACTGGACAAACACAATGGGAATCATGTGGATCTCCTGAGACTCAGAGTCCACCACGCTGTCCCAGGCAGCGTGGTTTCCATCAGGCCTCCTTCCAGGTGCTCCAATGAATCCAGTGCAGAGGTGATCTCTTAACATGTGGAATACAGGGGAAATATTCTCCATTCCATCCTCCTCCGGCAGGAAGAGAATGGCAATTATACATCCAGCTGTACCCAGTGCAGGTACCTGCACTTCTAAGCTAAGGACAGTAGGCTATTGAGGACCAGTGATGTTGGAGCAAAAATATAACTGGAAACTGAACAATCAGTGGGTTTTGACATTCAAGGATTTAGCACCCTTTCACTCGAAACTCACACTGAAAACCCAGCTCAGACAAGCTGTCTTGCCAGAAGAGACCTGGACCTCACGAGACAAAGCCACTTCTCCCGCTTGGGGCTGCTGTCGTCTTCGGCATTCACTTCACAGCCTCCCCAGCTAAATGGCGAGTCCCTTGTGAGCAGGATTCCACCCATGCCTTCTGCGTTTCCCTCACGCATGCAGCCTAGTACATTGCCTGATGGCAGCACCTTCATGAATACACGTGGATGGGACTAAATCAGCCCCAGATCTCCACCTCAGCAGCCACGCAGAGATGACACTGGAGGTGCCCGAAGTCTGCCCTGCCCCCTGTTTCTGAGTTGCCTCCTCACCAAGAACTGCCTTTGTTCTGATTCAAACTTAAGAGGGAGGGGAGGTAGGGGCAGGAGCACACTGCTGCTTCCAGAACAGAGCTCCAAACTTAAGGAAGCACCTGTGGCTCGTGACTGGGCACTCTCAGGACAGACTGGCAGCTGGCAGCTCCCCTTCCTCCACCCCGACCCTGTCTTCTACGAAGGGAGGTGAAGGTACAGTTGGGCAGTTGACCCAGCTTCACCCAGCAGTAAACTCCAAGAGCTCCCAGAGTTCAGCAGTCACATAGCTTTGGACCTTTGCAAACCACTGCAACCTCTGCGCACAACCTCTGTGTGCATCCTCTGCCAGCAGAGCCCTGGGAACGATGACCACGGGGTGGGTGTGTCTGCGGACGCCCTGCTCCGGAATGAAGACTGTGCATTTCACTGCTATGCAGTGAGTGCTTCCTAGACCCCCCACCACACACCCCATCTCAGATCTTCAGAGAAGCAGGCGACACGGATCTGGGGAAGCAACCCACACACACTCTCAAATCTCACCTCTCCGTACTCCCATGATTTTGCTTTACCCCAGCAGCCTCCTGAAGATCTCTCGCTCTCACTCAGGCTTTCCTAAACCATCTGAAATGACTCTCATGCCTCCTGCCACCTGCTACCCACACCATTCAGTCTAGGTGATCTCTCCATCACACTCAACTAAACAAGCTCTGCTGGGTGGCTATGCCCAAAGCCATTCCCAACCCATTCTCCTTGCTGCCTGCCATCTTGGAGGCTGGAAGCAGGCACTTGCTTTCCTTGCAGTGGGAAGGGGCCGGGAACCTCCCCACTGTGTCACTGAGACGTAAAGGGAAGTCTGCTAAGTGGACTCCTGCGCAGGGAGGGAAGGAGGAGCCTGCCTCAAGTCTCTGAGGTAAGAAGGAACTTGGCAAGTCTGAGGAACGGCTCAAAGGCCAGTGTGGCTGGCAAGTGACAAGCACAGGTCATGGAAGGCAAAGGGCAGCAGGGGTCACATCACGCAGGCTTTGCAGGCCACAGCAAAAACATGGATTTTGTGCTAAAGTGCAGAACGAGGCCACAGCAGGGTGCTGGGCAGGGAAGTGAGCTGACTGGTGCAGGGGTGGAAGGGTACAGGTGTGTGCATGCACCTGTCAAGATAAACCACCATCCTGCTGGGGTGCAGGGGCATGCAGCAGATCGCCTCAGTAGCCCTTGTGAACATGCCATTGTATTAAGACCTTGGCCCCCTCAGAAAAACACTGCTTTCTGGCCCACACGTGTAATCGCAGTACTTTGAGAAGCCAAGGTGGGAGGATCACTTGAGGCTAGGAGTTTGAGGCAACATAGCTCACTACAGACCCTATCTTTACAAAAAATAAGAAATTAGCCAGGCGTGGTAGCGTGCACCTGTGATCTCAGCTACTCTGAGCCAGGAGGGTCGCTTGAGCCCAGGAGTTTGAGGCTACAGTGGGCTATGATCGCACCACTGCACTCCAGCCTGGGCAACAGAGCAAGACCCTTTCTCAAAAAAAAAAAATTAAAAAAGAAAAACACCATTTTTTGTTAATAATCAGGTTTGTTTCCTCAGGCCACCACACTGTCTTAAAAGGGCTCAGGTCCACAGACTGTCAACAGAAAACTGGATGATACAACTGCTGTAGTCCAGAGGTTGGTTTAGATACCAAGGCATTGTGTGAAGTGACATTGACCACCCTGGAGCAGGGTGTTTTTAAAAGCCTGGGCGTTTGTCTCACCGCAAGCCCAACCACTAAGCCTTCAGAAACCAAAGGGAGTCAAGCAGCCCAGCCACCACACCTGCTCTTCCCTAGCAAAAGGCCGTCCCTTCCTCGTCACAGGGCTCAGCAGGCCAAAAGGTGGCCCTAAAAGCTGGACTCTTGCTTCTGTGTTCATCACAGTCTATGGTCTGAGTCATCTGTGCAAAACCCACTCACCTGGAGAAAAGGAAAAAGTCTGTTCTAAGTTCCACCTTCAGAGCTAGAAAATTAGTCTTTAATCAGACTAAGTGGGGAACGACATGCTGGGCTGCAGGAGACGTTAGACACATGGGAGGAAGGGCTGCCTCACCCCAGGAAATAAAGGATGCTTCCACCTCTCTCCTGCCTCAGGAGCTTCAGGGGAAAGTATCTCCAAGCAGGGATGCAGGAAGAGAGTCATCTGAGAGCCATTTGCAGCTTTAGACACGTGAGCTGCAGTTCTGAAACACCTCCCCGCAAGCTCAGCATCCAGTGACAGGTCCAGCTTAGGGTCGGAGCCTCCGTATTCACTTTGCCCAGTGCAGACGGCAGGACAGTGAGATCACACTCATTTTAAAGACGAGGGCCGGGCACGGTGGCTCACACTTATAATCCCAGCACTCTGAGAGGCCAAGGCGGGTGGATCACGAGGGCAGGAGTTCAAGACCAGCCTGGCCAACGTGGTGAAACTCTGTCTCTACTAAAAATACAAAAATTAGGTGGGCGTGGTAGTGCACACCTGTAATCCCAGATACTTGGGAGGCTGAGGCAGGAGAACTGCTTGAACCTGTGAGGCGGAGGTTGCAGTGAGCCAAGATTGCGCCACTGCACTCCAGCCTGGGTGACAGAGCGGGATTCCGTGTCAAAAAAAAAAAGATGAGGGCAATGGAAGCTCAACAGGTTAACCCTTGAGCCTTCTTGCAGGAGCTTTCCAGAGTCTGCACGGCTGGGCATCCCCTACTCACCATGTCCCTCCTTGCTCCAGATGACAGCAGCTTCGTGGTGCATGCATGAGGGTCCCGGATGTAGACAATTAGGACTAGTGCTGTAGTGAGGCCACTGACAGGGGGCTGCTGTGGTTTCAATGTTTGTCCCCTCGAAAACTCACAGTGAAATTTAAGCCCCAGTAGCAGTACTGAGACGTGGGGCCTTTAAGAGGTGACTGTGTCATGAGAGCTTGGCAATCATGAGTGTATTGAACCATTCATGCACTCATGGATGAATGAGTTAATGGATGCATGGGGTACCACGGGAGTGGGCCCATTTTTGGAGTGGTGGCTTTTTAAGAAGAGGAAGAGAGACCTGAGCTCACACACTCAGTCCCCTCCCCATCTGCTGCTCTATGCCAGTTCAGGACCCTGCAGAGAGTCCCCACCAGCAAGAAGGTCCTCACCAGATACAAACTCTCAACTCTAGACTTCTCAGCCTGCACAACTCTAAGAAATAAATTCCTTTTCTTTTTTTTTTTTTTTTTTTTTTTTTTTTGAGACAGCGCCTCACTCTATTGCCCAGGCTGGAGTGCAATGGCATGATCTGGGATCACTGCAACCTCTGCTCCCCAGGTTCAAGTGATTATCCTGCCTTAGCCTCCCAAGTAGCTGGGGTTACAGGAGCCTGTCACAGCACCCAGCTAATTTTTGTATTTTTAGTAGAGACGGGATTTTACCATCTTGGCCAGGCTGCTCTTGAACTCCTGCCGTGTGATCCACCTGCCTCGGCCTCCCAAAGTGCTGGGATTACAGGCGTGAGCCACTGTGCCCAGCCTCCTTTTCTTTATTAATTACCCAACTTCAAGTACTCTGTTATAAGCAACAGAAAACGAACAAGACAGGGACAGCTTCGTGTGTATGGATGGAGCAGAGGCTTCAGGGCTCAGGCTGGGTTCAAACCCTTGCACTGGCCACCACCAGCATAACTCTACGTAATGGACTGAACCTCCCTGATGGCCAGCTGTGGCATCGGGGCACAGGGACATGATCACTCAACTCACAGGGCTGTTGTAGGTATTAAGAGAGCTACAGGCTATGGAGGTTCCCGCATGCACACTGCCCAGATATAGTAGTCACCCAACAAGCTTGGATGCCTCTGACCCCTCTCCTAAAAGAGAAAACACAGCACCTCCAAGACTCAAAAGGTTCAAGTCTGGAGCCAGAACCAGCCTCCAGGTGCCGTGACACCTTCTGGTGCACCTGCTGACTTGGTTCTCCCATGGTCAAGTCCAGCCCAGTTGTCTTTTTCTCATGGAAGCCACTCACCATCATGGAGTCTCCCCCTGGCCTGGCATGGAACTTCCATAAGGAGGGCATCAGGCCTGGGGTCCCAGCCTCAAGAGCCAGGTGGCATTCTCCCCCACCTCAGTCCTGGCCCTTCCTAACCTCTACCATAGCTCATCAAAGAATGCCAGACAAGGCTAGTAAAAGTCAACTTCCTCTACCACTGGGAGGGCTTCTCCTACCCTAAAGATTGTCCAAAAAGAGCCTGGCCCATCTGCATCTCAGCTCGGGTAGCATAATTATCCTCCTTGGAACAGCAAAGAGCAATTGATGTCAAATGGAAAATCTCTATGGTTCAACATGGACCTTTCCCCTCCTTATTTTTCTAGCAACTCCTAATAAATTTCGAAGTCTCATTCCACTACCGTCAATCAATCTTTGGCCTTAAAAAAAAAAGCTCACAGCCTAATTCATTTCATAGCTTCAACAGTACCTAATTCTATCACTTAAAACACGATTGTTAATCAATCCCTGTGGCACACAGTTTCTTCATTCCTAATGAAGAATTCCTATGGACGGGTAGCAGAACACCTGCTTCTGGGCCTGGGGAGGATGTCTGAGAATGAAACTCCAGAACAAGCAGATGCCTGGACAGGGCAGGCAGTCATCACATCCACGGTGCCCACCACCCACTCGTCACCTCGATTCTCTTCTATCCACATAACCAGCAACTCCTCTTTTTTTTGTTTTTGTTTTTGTTTTTTGAGGCAGAGTCTCACTCTGTTGCCCAGGCCGGAATGAAGGAACGCATCTCAGCTCACTGCAACCTCTGTCTCCCAGGTTCAAGAGATTCTCCTGCCTCAGTCACCATGCCTGGCTAATTTTTGTATTTTTCAGTAGAGACGGGGTTTCGGCATGTTGGCCAGGCTGGTCTTGAACTCCTGACCTCAGGTGATCCTCCTGCCTCAACCTCCTACAGTGCTGGGATTACAAGCATCAGCCACCGCACCAGGTCTTAAATTCTTTCGAAGCAAAAACGTTTTAAAAAAAAAAAAAAAAAACCCACAGTGCTGTGGTCAGTCAGATTGGCCCGTGCTGTCTTCCACCTGGAGCAGATGCCAGCTGTCCCCACACCCATTTTCTTCTTCTGTAGTAACTGAAGCGCCTTGGCTGGCCAGGTGACCACTCAGAATAAAGACATCTCTCGCCTTCACGTGCAGCCTTGCAGCTGTGGCCGTTTAACTAATTCCAGCCAAGGTGAGGTTAATAGGAAGTGATGCAGGGCCATGTGCCGTGGCCCGCACCTGGAATCCCAGCACTCTGGGACGCCGAGGAGGGAGGATTGCTTTAGCCCAGGAGTTCAAGACCAGCCTGGGCAACACAGTGAGACCTCATCTCTACAAAAAAAATTTCAAAATTAGCTGGGCATGGTGACATGCACCTGTAGTCCCAGCTACTTGGGAGGCTAAAGTGGGAAGACTGCTTGAGTCCAGGAGTACAAGGCAGCAGGGAGCCATAATCGTGCCACTGCACTGCAGCCTGGGTGACAGAGTGAGACCCGGTCTCAAAAAAAAAAGGAAGCACTACTGGAAGTTGGGGGTATACCCTTAAATAAAAGGGGCGAGGCATGGTGGCTCACACGTGTACTCCCAGCACTTTCAGAGGCCAAGGCAGGAGAATCGCTTAAGCCCAGGAGTCATAGATAAGCCTAGGCAACACAGTGAGACCCTGTCTCTACCAAAAAAAAAAAATAGAAAAATGAGCCAGGCATGGTGGCACGTGCCTGTAGTCCCAGCTACTCAGGAGGCTGAGGCAGGAGGATCAATTGAGACCGGGAAGTGGATGCTGCCATAAGGTATCATCATTCCACTGCGCTGCAGCCTGGGTGACTGCAAGGCCCTGTCTGAAAAAGAAAAACAAGCAGCAGCAGAAAAGGAGGGGGCCGAGGAGGGGGCCTTATCTCCGCTCTGGCAGAAATGTGCATGTGATGGACACGTGGACAAGGGCAACATCTGAAATGTAATGGCACCACCAAGAAGAGTGGACTGGGCTTCAAACTGTCAAGTGGGAAGAAAGAAAATTCTACCTTGTCTAAACCAGTGTTGCTCAGGGTCTCTGTCACAGAAACCAGACAACAGCCCGCCTGACACACCACCGATGCAATTCCTGGCAAAGCCATTGACACATTAGGAGGGGAGCTTTTCAGTCCCTCCCTCAGCCCACACAGGGCAGGGGTGAGCAGATGAAACTCACAGAAGCCAAGTTTCTAGAGTCCCCGGTGAGAGCATTTCGTATCATTAAGCTGTGACAATCTTGCTTCAGCATCTCTCCCTCCTCCCTCGCGTTACTTAGATGGAAACGTTGGCTCTGTCCCTCCAGAGGAGCCACGGCTGAGGCTTATGAAGATGGATTAGTACAGACTCCTCCAGGAAGCAATCACTCTTCATCTCCTCTCATGCTGGGCCAGCCAGGACGCCCACCGCTGAGCTCGCTGGTAAATATGGTCGCAGTCCCCCACCCAACTTCTCCACTCATTCACCAAACTTAATATTCGCCCAAAAAGAGCTTTGCAGATCTCTTCTTTCCAAGCTAATCTCTCCACTCCAAGGACTGTGGCTCACCTGTGCAGCAGGACCACACACCGCACTGCTGGGCCTGAAGGCTTCTGGGGCAGGAGGAGAGAAGGGCTAGGAGACCCTGGAAACACAGCATTGTCTCTGTGTTTTGAGTTTTTCCATCACTAAAATGCATCACCTGAGTCACCAGTGCTACTTAGAAAAGAAGAAAATCACATATAGACTAATAAGGGTCACTCTTTAATAAAGATTTGTGGGTGGATTTTTTTTTTCCCAAAATGCACTTTAGAAATTAGATTCCTGGCCGGGTGTGGTGGCTCACGCCTGTAATCCCAGCACTTTGGGAGGCTGAAATAGGCAGATCACAAGGTCAGGTTTTTACCTGGCCAACATGGTAAAAACCCACCTCTATTAAAAGAAAAAAACAAAAAACTAGCTAGGTGTGGTGGTGTGTGCCTGTAATCCCAGCTACTCGGGTGGCTGAGGCACAAGAATCGCTTGAACCCAGGAGGCAGAGGTTGCAGTGAGCTGAGATCATGACCCTGCACTCCAGCCTAGCGACAGAGTGAGACAATGAAGGAAGGAAGGAAGGAAGGGAGGGAGGGAGGGAGGGAGGGAGGAAGGGAGGAAGGAAGGAAATAAATTAGACTCTCAGCACAGTCTGGCCTCATTTTTGGGTTAACTGTGACCCTCACCATTAAGAAACTGCTCACGGTGTTGCCTCATGCTCTGAAGACTGAGGCTGACTTCCCTGGAATTCCAAAGTAAGCCTCAATCTCCTTCCTATGTGGATGAGCAGGGACCCTGCAGAAGGAAGCATTAATAAAACCCGAGTGGATCTGCATTTGGAGCCAACTCTTCAAATCACACCGCCATTCCCAGCAGACATTCAGACCCAGCCCTAGAAGGCAAGTCTTTGACATTCTTTCCAGTTCGCTTTCTTCAGTACAATTTGTCTTTTGGATCTTATGTCTGGAAAGCAAAGAAAGTTCTGCATACAATGCACAACAATAAAGACAAGGGTTGCCAACTATTTTTAACAAAGATTTGCATGGATAAACATAACAAGAGGTTTCCAGTATTCACAGTGACAGGTACACCCACTATTTAAGGAAACTTCCAACTACACTTTATGAAAATAATGGCCCCAACCCACAGCTAATCCTGGGAATGATCCTGGAGATCTGGAGAACCTGAAGGTCAAAGAAAAAGTGGCAACAAGTTTCTTGGTTTGGGTTTTTTTTTTTTGTTTATTTGTTTGTTTGTTTGAGATGGAGTCTCGCTCTGTCACCCAGGCTGGAGTGCAGTGGTGCAATCTCAGCTCACTGCAACCTCTGCCTCCCGGGTTCAAGAGATTCTCCTGCCTCAGCCTCCTGTATAGCTGGGATTACAGGCATGCACCACCACGCCCAGCTAATTTTTGTATTTTTAGTAGAGATGGGGTTTCACCAAGTTGGCCAGGCTGGTCTCGAACTCCTGACCTCAGGTGATCTGCCCATCTCGGCCTCCCAAAGTGCTGGGATTACAGGCATGAGCCACCACACCTGGACACAAGTTTTTTAAAAGCGCTGACCTCAAAGAACCATAGCCTGGGTGATCTCTGTGCCTGATTTTTCTTGAGAAGATTCTCCTGGCAGCTCAGTACCCACAAGCATCAAACTATGCCTTGATTTTCAAACAACACACACAACTGCCAGATGGTATGGGATCAAGTGGTAGCCACCGTTTCAAGGAAACAAACTCTGACTTTTTCTGCTGCCTCATCTGGAATGCAGGCTTCCAATTCCAGGAAACTGAATCGAGTATAGGTCATTTTTGCAAGTGTAGTTCATCTTTTTTAGCAGCGAATTCTAGAAAGGTTCTAATCACATAATTAGGACTCTAGGAATGAAGAATAAATTGATGATTACAAAAACATCACAGAAGGATGATCATGGAGACAAGGAAACATTAAGAATACACTTTCCTTGTTTTTCTCTCGCAAAGTTGTTTAAGTTCCTTGTAGAGTCTGGATATTAGCCCTTTGTCAGATGGATAGATTGCAAAAATTTTCTCCCATTCTGTGGGTTGCCTGTTCACTCTGATGATAGTTTCTTTTGCTGTGCAGAAGCTCTGTAGTTTAATTAGATCCCATTTGTCAATTTTGGTTTTTGTTGCCATTTCTTTTGGTGTTTTAGTCATGAAGTCTTTGCCCATGCCTATGTCCTGAATGGTATTACCTAGGTTTTCTTCCAGAATTGTTATGGTTTTAGATCTTACATTTAAGTCTTTAATCCATCTTGAGTTAATTTTTGTATAAGGTGTAAGGAAGGGGTCCAGTTTCAGTTTTCTGAATATGGCTAGCCAGTTTTCCCAGCACCATTTATTAAATAGGGAATCCTTTCCCCATTGCTTATTTTGTCAGGTTTGTCAAAGATCATTTGTGGCATTATTTCTGAGGCCTCTGTTCTGTTCCACTGGTCTATATATCTGTTCTGGTACCAGTACCATGCTGCTTTGGTTACTGTAGCCTTGTAATACAGTTTGAAGTCAGGTAACATGAAGCCTCCAGCTTTGTTCTTTTTGCTTAGGATTAGCTTGGCTATATGGGCTCTTTTTTGGTTCCATATGAAATTTAAAGCAGTTTTTTTCTAATTCTGTGAAGAAAGTGCATGGTAGCTTGATGGGAATAGCATTGAATCTATAAATTACTTTAGGCAGTATGGCCATTTTCACAATATTGATTCTACCTATGCATGAGCATGGAATGTTTTTCCATTTGTTTGTATCCTCTCTTATTTCCTTGAGCAGTGGTTTGTAGTTCTCCTTGAAGAGGTCCTTCACATCCCTTGTAAGTTTTATTCCTAGGTATGTTATTTTCTTTGTAGCAATTATGAATGGGAGTTCACTCGTGATTTGGCTCTCTATTATTAGTGTATAGGAATGCTTGTGATTTTTGCACATTGATTTTATATCCAGAGACTTTACTGAAGTTGCTTATCAGCTTAAGGAGATCTTGGGCTGAGACAATGGGGTTTTCTAAATATACAATCATGTCATCTGCAAACAGAGACAATTTGACTTCTACTCTTCCTATCTGAATACCCTTTATTTCTTTTTCTTGCCTGATTGCTCTGGCCAGAATTTGCAATACTATGTTGAATAGGAGTGGCGAGAGAGGGCATCCTTGTCTTGTGCCGGTTTTCAAAGGGAATGCTTCCAGCTTTTGACAACCCCATCAAAAAGTGGGTGAAGGATATGAGCAGACACTTCTCCAAAGAAGACATTTATGTGGCCAACAAACATATGAAAAAAAGCTCATCATCACTGGCCATTAGAGAAATGCAAATCAAAACCACAATGAGATACCATCTCACGCCAGTTAGAATGGCGATCATTAAAAAGTCAGGAAACAACAGACACTGGAGAGGATGTGGAGTAATAGAAATGCTTTTACACTGTTAGTGGCAGTGTAAATTAGTTCAACCATTGTGGAAGACAGTGTGGCAATTCCTCAAGGATCTAGAACCAGAAATATCATTTGACCCAGCAATCCCATTACTGGGTATATACCCAAAGGTTTATAAATCATGCTACTATAAAGACACATGCACACGGATGTTTACTGCGGCACTATTCACAATAGCAAAGACTTAGAACCAACCCAAATGCCCATCAATGATAGACTGGATAAAGAAAATGCGGCACATATACACCATGGAATACTATGCAGCCATAAAAAAGGATGAGTTCGTGTTCTTTGCAGGGACATGGATGAAGCTGGAAACCATCATTCTCAGCAAATTATCACAAGGACAAAAGACCAAACACCGCATGTTCTCACTCATAGGTGGGAGTTGAACAATGAGAACACATGGACACAGGGAGGGGAACATCACACACTGGGGCCTGTCTGAGGGTAGGGGGCTAGGGGAGGGAGAACATTAGGAGAAATACCTAATGTAGATGACGGGCTGATGGGTGCAGCAAAAAACCGTGGCACAAGTATACCTATGTAATAAGCATGCACATTCTGCACATGGATCCCAGAACTTAAAGTATATTTAAATTAAAAAGATACTTTCCTTTTTCATTATTACCAAGAGACAGCTATGACTAAAACTACAGCTGCCAACATAAGATGATTAAAACTGGGGGTCAGGCCAGGCACAGCGACTCGTGCCAGCAATCCCAGCACTTTGGGAAGCCAAGGCAGGCAGATCACTTGAGGTCAGGAGTTCAAGATCAGCCTGGCCAACATGGTGAAACTCTGTCTCTAGTAAAAATACAAAAATTGGCCAGGCATGGTGGTGCATGCCTGTAATCCCAGCTACCCAGGAGGCTGAGGCAGGAAAATCGCTTGAACCCGGGAGGTGGAGGTTGCAGTGAGCCAAGATCACGCCACTGTACTCCAGCCTGGGCAACAGAGCGAGTCTCTGTCTCAAAAAAAAAAAAAAATAAAATTGGGGGTCAACCATTTAGTAGGAGGAAGAACAGAATGAGAGAGATGCTAAAGGTTCTGCAAGGCAAAAAAAAAAAAAAAGTTGGGGGGGGCCACAAAGGTACATTAGGACACCCAGATGAAGAAGAAAATAATGCAGAGCCCTGAGAAAGGAGAGAACAAAATAGGCTGCTCCCTTCAGCCCAGCAGGATGCTCAGGATGCGCACGCACAACCTCTACCTATTCCAGCAGGAAACTGGTAATGTCTAAAACGTGCCAATTCAAGAAATGGTGGTAGAAGAAGAGTGTCCCTCCAATGAAGTAACAGCTGAAAGACTGGAGAGGCACTCTTCGTGGCACTCTTCGTCCTGGGAATTGAGAAGAGATGGGCCATGGATGGGTGTTTTCACCGTGGGCAGGTGTTGCACTGATCGTTTCAATGTGGAGAAAACCCAAAGGTCATCCTCCTAATCAAAAAGTCCCCAGCCCTCCCCCAGGTGGCCAGCATCTGCTGCCTACATTGTGACCCCCACCTGCCAGCTGCCCTCCCTGCTGTCCCCCAGTCCACCCAGGGGCCAGATGACCTGTCTCACCACCTCTGCTCTAATGCCCCCAGCAGCACCCCTACTCACTCAGGGTGAAAGCTGAGGCCACCCCACCCACCCCATCCCCAACTTCTCTGCCTCATCTCCTCCTGCCCCAGCCACACCCAGCACCCCCACCCAGGGCCTCTGTCCTGGCCGTTCCCTCTGCCAAGCACACTCTTCCTTCCACATCCCCATGATCTCTTCCTCACTTTATTCAGGCCCCTACTCAAAAGTCACCTTGTCAGACAGGCCTCTGCAGACAGCCCGATCTGGACACAGCAGCCCCTCCAGCATGCACCGTCCTTCCTCTTGTCCATCTTTACTTTACCGTAGAGGACAGAGCCCCACCTGACATGTCTCTTCTGCTTATGGATTCCTAGAGCAGCGGGTTTCAACCAAGGGCAGTTTTACCTACCCCGCTCCCCTGGAGGACGCTGGGCACTGTCCACAGACACTTGCCTGTCACAACTGGTGGTGGTGCTACCAGCAACTAGTGCGTAGAGGCCAGAGACACCGCAAAATTTCCTACAATGCACAGGACAGCCAAGGATGATCCAATCCAAAGGTCGACAGTGCCGCAGTGGAGACACCCTGCCTAGAGCCAGCACAGCACCTGACACACAGCAGGCCTTTGTAAACATTTGGTGAATGAATGACTGAAGGATGAAAAGCCAGAAGGTATTGGGCTCACAGTTTAAGAGGTGGGCTTTGAAGTCCCATGCTCTCCCACCAAGGACTCCCTATGCTGGACAAGTTCCTCCATCGCTGAGCCTTGATTCTGCTCAATGAGAGAGAGGCGATAACAGTAGCCGCTGCATGGGGTCGCTGCAAGGACTAGACAGGGGAAATCCATGTCCAGTACTGAGCACAGTGCCTGCACACTGATCAAGTACCATCATCCCGGGTTCATCATGCCTAGCGCTCACAGGAGAGTGCCACTCCAGAGATGGATTTGCATTTAGGGTCCTTCCATCTCAGAGCCAGGCAGTCATGAGGGCACTGCACCACAGAGGGAGGTGGGCTAGCACCCCAGGAACATAGGCACAATAGGCATTCTGCTCCGTCCCTCAGCCCAGGGATCCACACTCCACGAATCAAAAGGGCACAGCAGGCTGGTGCAAGTCCTCCCAGATGCTGGTGGGAGTCTGAATACAAAAGGGTAGAGGGCATGGTCAGAACTGGGCTTCCTTCTGGAGGCCGACAGGACTCCACCCTCACCGGGAGTCCGGGCCAGAACGCTGTGGGGGACCCAAGAGCCAAGGGCAGAGCCGCCCTCAGACAGGCTGCATCTGCTCCTGTCCCTGGAGCCTCCCTGTTTAGGTCACTAAATACTGAGCTGCCAGCTGTCACCTAACTACCCAGGAACAATGCAGCACCAACTCACTGGCCCTTCCTCACACATACCCAACTCCCCTACGAGCTACACAACCCCATTCAAAAATCACGGTGCCTCTTCCTTCCTTCAGTGGAAGAGGAGATGGGAGGTTCGAGAAGAATCAGGGAGAAGGGCAGTACAAGAAAACGGAACCAAGGGCCCTGGGTTTAGTGCTGAGCTGACCACCTCGCAGACTCAGACACCACTCTCTACCTACTTTATTTTAGCCAATGTTCACAGCAAACATGTGAAAGACAGGTAATTAGTCCCATTCTGCAGAAGAGAAAACAGAACCTCAGCAAAGTCACCAGCCACAGCCATGTATCTAACAACAGCCTGAAACCTAAGTGTCTCTTTCCTCATGAAGTGCTCTGTGCTGGAGGGGAGCCACCAGTTCTCTGACCTCCCATTTTCACATGAAGTAGGTCCCCACTCCCCAGTTCCCACCCTCACTCTTTCTGTCCCGTACTCTCTGCTCCCACAATGCAGGGAGTGACCTGGCCCACTTGGGCCAGACAGGAGGCGCTCTTCCTCAGCTCAGCTCCTGTGGGTTCTCTCAGAGCCCACCCACCTGTTCACCTCCCCACAAGGTGTGCTCAGGAACTGCCCTGAGGGGGGTCTCTACCTCTGACTGTTAGACTCAGGGACGAGGTTTTGTAAGCCCACCTTCCCACAGGTTCAAAGCTCTGTTTTCCAACCAGCTTTACTGATGACAAAGCTAGCCTCTTGATCTTCACGTGTCTGTCTGTCTGGAGGAGGTGACGCCTAAGCTGTGTCTTACAGGATGAATAAGCACGACCCAGGCAAAAGAGGAGGAGAGGGGAGGGTGTCCCGGCAGACGGAAGAGCATGAAACTGAATCGGGCGCGCATGAAACTGAATCGTCTGCGCACATGAAACCGACGGTGTGTACAGACACCTGGAAGCAGCTGGGTGCTGCTGAAATGCAATGTAACGTCCCATCAAAGGGCACGCGGTGGCCACTGCAAGTGGGAGCTCCAGTATGCCCAACCCCCTATTCAACTGGGCAGCGACGTTCTTCCAGAAGGTGAACTCCAATGGTTAGAGTCCTGGACGGGGAGCAAGGTGGCTGATGTGGGAGTGGAAGAGAAATCCTTTACGGTATCCCATACGTACCTTTTGAGTTTTGTTCCATGTAAATATATACTTATGCAAAACAAAAATTTAAATACAAATTTTTAACATTAATATTTAAGGTCTAGGGCAGGAGGGAGAAGAGGAGGAGGAAAAGGAGTTGAAGGAGGGGGCAGGGGAAGGGTTAGAACTGCTGGGCTGCAACCAAAACGTAAGCACCCCGGCCACGTACTGAGCGTCCTCTGGGCCCAGCGTGTGCGGGCACTGCACATGGCAAGTGCTATTCACCTCCTTTTGGAAATAAGGAAACGGACAAAGTAAATGGCAAAGCCAGGACGTGAGCCCTTCATGTGGGACTGCAGGAGCCTGGGGTGCTCTCCTCCAGGGCGGTGCAGCTCCCCCAACTTTAATGAAGCAGCCCAGTCAGGCTACTCCTTCCCAATAAACTCACACCCAGCTGCCTCCCCACCACCCCCGCCTTCCAACTTTACAAACTGAGCTGTCCCAGCTCAAACAAAGCTGACATTTCAAACAAGTCTGACCGCGTCTCATCCCCTGAGCGAGAGGCCCATTTTGGATTGGCTCTGAATTGCATCAAACGGTTACATAAGCTGCTGCCTGGCCCAGCTGAGATAGCCGGCTAGAAACCTCCAGACCAAAAGTTGATCCTAGCTTAGAGTTCAGGGACAGCCCTTCCTGAAAGTCTGTAAACAAATTAAGAGTCTGAGCTGTTAGGGAGGTCAGGAGGAATGCAGCAGACCTCAAATAAAATGAACAAATGCTAAAAAAGACCAAAAAAAAAAATCATGTGTGGCCCAAACCAAGAGCACAGAAATGATACTGAGACCTTGTGTACTCACTGCAGCCTGGATCATTAACCACAGACAAGTGAGAGCCTGGTGAGGCAGGGAACAACCAGCCAGATGCGGGAAGTCGGCCTGAAATACAGCCCCTTCAAAATGCCCTCTGGCTTGGTGCAGGGTCTCCAGGTGAAGCTAAAACATATTCTTCCCGGAGTAAGAGCCTAGCTGTGCAACCCAGCTCCACCGGCCACTGGCTGTGTGATGCTGGCTAGGTTTATCTACCGCTAAGCACTCCCGTCTCCTCTGTGAAATGGGGATCACCGCAAGCTCTCACAGGATCGCAGACATGCGTGAGTTAACGGGTGACAAGGACAGACTCAGTACTCGGCAGCACCATCACCAATGCTTCCTCAAGGGCTTCATAATGGCGACAACAGCTCCTCAAGCCCATCCCGACATCCTGCAGTGCTTAGTGACGGAACCAGAGGTGCAGCCTGGAAGATCACTGTCAGCCCCCTTTGCACACTGCAGGGAGGTTCCCTTCTGGCCCAGCATCCCCATCTGTGCAAGACCTCCTGACCTCCCCTGCACCGAGCCCTTAACCTTTCCCTCCTGTGACCCTCTGGACCTCAGCCACCCTATCCTTGCTACATTCATCCTGCTGTCATCGGTTCCTCCTTCCCCTCCTGGGAGCAAGGAATCCAGGGTCTATATGAGTGACCAGCATCCAGCACTGGTCTTTTTCCAGGTAAGGAGTTGGGAGCTGTACTGCATAACCTAAAACTTCCATTAGGAATTTCCCACTTCACGGGGAACTCGTTCCCATGGGTGGATCGAGTGGCGGTTGTTCAGTGCCACAGATAACAAAGAGTACATCACTCCCACATGACCCCATTGCCTCCCGTTTTGCCCCATCCAATCATTCATCATTTCTTTATTACCATAAAACTCCACTAGAATGCTCTGTGGGCAGGGCCCATGTGAGAAGAGCTAACATCTCCTGAGTGCTGAGCGCAATGTCAAAGCACTCTCTGTGTATGAACTCATTTAGTCCTCACAACAGCCCATGGTGCTGGCACTCTTAAATCTGCATTATAATGATGGGGAAATTTTAACATGTGACACAGAGCTTGTGCATGGCCAAGCTGGATCCCCACCTCTGGCTCCTCAGCACCTAGAACTGCGCCCAGCACATGAGAGATGTTTGGTAAATGTTTGGTGAATGAATAAACAGATGATAAAGAAGTGAGGCATGTCTAAATGCCATCTGGAACCTTCCAATTACTAAGACACTAAGACAGTCACTGAAGGGCTAATACACAAAATTCAGTGGGAAGTTTCCCCTTTAAAGAAAGATGCCCAGCGTGAGGGATCTGTGTTGGCCACGTCACCTAGGTTCACTTCTCGGCAGTTAAGGGGCAGGGGGCTCAGACTGCAGCCGATTTAACGGCCACTGCCCCACCATCTCATCCTAAAATTTTATCATGAAGCCCTTAGCCAAGCAAGCAGCTGGCTGCGGGGCCTCGCATCTCTCTCTGATGTTACTACAGCACTCCTCAACTTCATTTCTGGAGCTGCCGAATGTTTGGAATTGTGTTGCTAGGCGATGAGCCAGAACGCCTCACTAGCGTTGAGAATCTCTTCCAATAATAGCCAAGAGGAAAAAAAAGGACCCCCTCAACACAGCCTATTGACAAGTAAGGATGTTTTTCTTGCCCTCTCTGCCCTGGCTCACAATCAAAAGCTCTAACAAATTAAAAGGAAACAAATGGGCCGGATGGTCTGGGCTCACCTGACTCTATCACCTTCACTCCCCAGCCCCAAAAAAAGGGGCAAGAAGGCAACAATCGGGATTCAAAAGCTGAATACCCACAGCTAATCAATTATATCTCATGAAAAGCAATGACACAGGGGAAATGTTTTCTGATGAGCTGCAAATTCCCTTTTAGAACAGGACCACAAAGTGACTGGCAATGCATGACTGTGCTATACTGATGGTGAACAGAAAGCTGCATGCATGCTTGATGTTTTTCAACTAGAAAAGACCACTGCTCTCAACACCACCACCACTCGCGACCTCACCACTGAAAGGGGTACCGCGCTGGACATGAAAAATTCAGATAACCACCACCCGCAGCTGCGGAAGGAAAGCGGCAGAGAAAAGACTAGGGCGCCCCCTGGTGGCTCCAATGTGGCTCTTCCTGAAATTGGCAGGAATAAAGCCTGAGCCGCTTTCTTGCAACCTCCAGCTCCCAAATAACCATATATTCAAACGAAATTAACTCAAGAGTAGAAACTTTGTTGTTAAAAAGGAGGTGAAGGGAGACAAGGCTGTTGTAAACACCAACAAATATCAACTGAATGAATTTTGATTAAGATCTAGTAAAGTAGTACCAGTGAGCTGGTTTCCGCAGCAGTGACGGTACTTCCGCAGCTACGGAGTCAGGATCACTTAGTCTGGTGCATTCCACAGGTCTGTATCATTATGCATCTACTGCCTTCCTAAATCATCATCTTCATTGCAGGAGTGATGGCACGAAAAAGCTCCCAAACATACACACACACATGCATGCGCACACACACAAACAAATGCTCCCTGGGATCTATCATTTTCTTTAGGCTCATTTTTTCCTAAGTTTCATTCCTTGACCTATGCAGGAGGCGAGAGGTTTTAAAAAAAAAGCCTAAGACAAAATACGGTTCCTGGAAAACGGCCCTGCTGCTTCCTTCTGTCTTGGGGTTTCTCAAGTACTGTCGTTTGGGACTAGATAATGCTGTGTTGGGAGGAGCTGTCCTGTTGGGAGGACCTGTCCTGTCCACCACAGGACGTTCAGCAGCATCCCTGGGCTCTACTTAGCAGATGCCGGAAGGACCCTCATCCCAGGTGTGACAACCATATATGTCCCAGACATGGCTAAATGTCCCCTGGGGGTTGCAATCACCCCCAGCTAAGAACCACCATCCTGCGTGATCACTTCCAATTTTCAGGCCTCATAGAAAGAGTAGCCTGGTTTATGTCCTCTTAACCAGAGGGAGGATTGAGGGGTAGATACCAGCTAAAGGGAACTTCAGGGCCTCTGCAGGAGGGATGGTTTCAGTAAGATGGAAAATCAGGTCAACCTATTTGCAGTTCAACAATAAGGCCCAGATGTTGTTTTCAGGAAGATTCGTCAGCAACGTACCCTTTGAGGGTGTTGTTAATGATCACACCTACCAGTTATTCAGTCTTTAAGATGCCAGATACTCTCTTGGATTTTTTTTCCAATTTTTCTTATCAAGGTATAATTTACATAGCATATAACACCCTTCGATAGCTCAGGTGGTAATTTACATAGTGTATCTTCTGAGTATCTTCCATCTGTTAGTTCATTTAATCCTCACAACTGTGTCAGAGGGGTACTATGATAGCCCCATTTTATAGACGAGAACGCTGAGGCACAGTTAGCTTAAATAACTTGCCCAGGTTCCCACTGCTAATACATGTAGGGATGTGCGTAAGAACACAGCCAGTGTAGCTGGTTTAACATCAGCAAGCAGAACAGTAAAAACAAAAATAATGATACCACGATTGCCAGTGTTGCCCCAGACACTATGTGCAATTACCACCTGCTAACTACCTGAAGTGTTTCGTGTTTCTTACTTTTTTCTAAAGCCTGGAACACTCTGAAGGAGAGTCGTGAAAGCAAAGGAACTTCTCCCCAGGAAAATCCACGTATGTGCACAAACACACAAGCACGATTTTGCACACAATTGCAAGAGGTATCTGAAATCTCTAAAACTATCTATGAGCCTCCAATGAGGTTCCCAGATACAACAGACACTTCATATAACTCCCAGGAATCCACCAAGGGGATAATATTACCACCATTTCAAGGACTGGGAAAACGAGTTCAGAGAAATTAAAGCATTTGCCCGGGGTCACATAGATCTTTCTCTTTAAGACACGGTCTCACTCTGTCACCCAGGCTGTGGTGCGATCAAGGCTCACAGTAGCCTACAACTCCTGGGTTCAAGAGATCCTCCTGCCTCAACCTTCCGAGTAGCTGGGATTACAGGCACGTGCCACCATGTCTGGCTTTTCTGTCTTCTTCTTTTGTAAAGAGAGGGGGTCTCACTATGTTGCCCAGGCTGGTTTTGAACTCCTGGCCTCAAGCAATCCTCCTGCCTTGTCCTCCCAAAGTGTTGGGATTACAGCCAGGAACCACTGCACGTAGCCACACAGCTCTTGAACAGCAGTGCTGTGGTCTGCCTGACCCATGTTCTTTCCATCCCAACACATTGCTTCTCAACTTGCCGTGATCACTGACATCAGGGCCCTACAAAACTAAAGGATGTGTAAAGTGCAGAAAGGATTTACATATCTAATATTCTAGTGGCTCTGATGATATACAGTGGCAATGTAAGGGCTGCTGGCCACTCAGAATTAAAACCTGAAGGTGACATTTGCCTTTCACAAAGACAGTTGTTGATTCACCTCTACAAACTCCATAAGACAGCATCTCAGCAAAACAGTCCACAGGGGTCTGGCACTCACACAAATACCATTCTGCCTCTTTCCAGCCCTCTTCCCACATCGGCCAACACCTGGCCTCGGGTATAAAAAGTTATGGGCCAAATGTCCAAGCCAGTGTGTTTACTGATACTGGCTTGCCTAGCCAAAAGCCATTCAAATTCACCTGAATGTCACCACATGTGTAAAGGAGACAGTAGGCAAGGGGGAAAGGAAGACACCTGTCTTTGGTATCAAAGAAACTAACGAGGTCAGGCAAGTCATGAGAAACTTCAGCAGAGTGGTTCTTTAATCACCGCAAATGAGAATGTGGATATTCTGGCTCCTTTCCCAGAACAGATGGTCAGCACCACAAAGAATCCTTGAGGGAAGCCTCCTCCACTTCATAGCTTGCGAAACTGAGGCACAGAGAGGTCAAGCGACCTACTACTCTCAGAGCCAGGATCAAAACCAAGTGTTCCCATTCACTGAGAGCAAATAGTTTGTAATGCATCATTCCACTACAACCAGCTGCATCTCCCTGACACAAGAGGAAAAAAGGTGAAAATCCACTCCCTTGAGCAACTCATATTACCAGGCCTTTACTGCATCCCGAGATAGAGACACAATGGTGATTATAACAGACTGGAGCCCGCCCTCTGGGAACTCGGTTTCAATTCATTCCTGCAGAATGCACTTTTAACTCTCCATGCTTGTTAGAACTAAAATAAACATTAGTTCCTTTGTTCCTTCCTTCCTTCCTTCCTTCTTTAAATGTCTCTTGAACAACTACTTGTCAGGCAGGATTTGGGGGAGGAGGAAAATGGCAATTAACTAGCAGACAAAGTGTGTCTACTCAGGGAGCTTGTATCCCAGTGGGGGCTACAGGAAAGAAACTAAAGAGGGGAGTGAGGTTACAGGGGGCTCTGAAACCTGAAGTCAGCAGCCAGGGAAGTGCTGCACTTGGGGGGATGGGATGAGATTGCCTGTGCTGCGCTCTTCTAGATGGACGGCCAGGGAAAGAGGGCCTCTTGCAGGAGCACCTCCGCCGAGTAGGGCTGCGAAAACAAAACACCATGGACCCGGTGCACTGTGAACGACAGGGACTGATTTTCTCACAGTTCTGGCAGCTGGAAGTCCAAGATCAAGGCACCGACAGATTCGGGATCTGGTGAGGGTCCTCTTCTTGGTTCACTGATGGCGCCTTCTTGCTGTGTCATCATTACATGGCAGAAAGGGTAAACAAGGTCTCTGGGGTCCCTTTTTTTTTTTTTTTTTTGAGAAGGATCTTGCTCTGTTGCCCAGGCTGGAGTGCAGTAGCATGATCTTGGCTCACCGCAGCCTCAAACTCCTGGGCTCACCTCAAAGTGGGCTCACTTCCAAGTAGCTGGGACAACAGGCACGCACCACCAAGTCTAATTTTTGTGTGTGTGTAGAGACAGGGTCTATCTGTGCTACTCAGGCTGGTCTCGAGTTCTGGGATCAAGCAATCCTCCTGCCTCAGCCTCCCAAAGTGCTGGGATTGCAGGCATAAGCCATGATACCCAACCTCTGGGGTCCCTTTTTTAAGGGCACTAATCCCACTCATGAGGGCTCCAGCCTCATGACCTAATCAACTCCCAAACGCCCACCTCCTAACACCATCACACTGGGGGTTAGGATTCCAACCTAGGAATTTTAGGGGCACACAAACATTCAGTCTATAGCAAAGGGGACATCCTGAGACCTGGGTGCTTTTCTCTGAAGGTGGGGCATTACACAAGCTTGTGGGTCTCCAGGAACGGCAAGGAGGGGGAGCGGGTGTGAACCCTGCCTCCACCACCCAATAGCAGTATGACCTTCAGCAAAGCCTCTCAGTTTCTTCAACTACAGAACAAGTCTAGCACTCCTATTTTACACGGATGCTATGAAGATTAAGCATTAGTGAAGGTAAAGCCTGGTTTATGGTAGGTAAAATGAATAAGAAAGTATTTGTATTATTACTATTTTCCAGGCGCTCTTTTTTCTTTTTCTTTCTTTTTTTTTTTTTTTTTTTTTTTTGAGATGAAGTCTCACTCTGTCGCCCACGCTGGAGTGCAGTGGTGTGATCTTGTCTCACTGCGACCTCCACTTCCTGGGTTCAAGTGATTCTCCTGCCTCAGCCTCTCGAGTAGCTGGGATTACAGGCATGCACCACCACACCTGGCTAATTTTTGTATTTTTAGTAGAGACAGGGTTTCACCATGTTGGCCAGGCTGGTCTTGAACTCCTGGCCTCAGGTGATTGATCTGCCTGCTTCAGCCTCCCAAAGTGCTGGGATTACAGGTGTGAGCCTCCATACCTGGCCTTCCAGGCACTCTTTGAAGGAAAATCTAGAATTGCCCCAGAAATAGGAATGAACTTACGGATGGATTTGATATGTGAAGACTGGCAGAGGCCATCTGGAGAGAAACCAGGATGGAAATGGGAAACCAGGCAGCATCCTAGAATTCAAACCCTAAACCCCGGGACTAGGGTTTGGAGCTGGCACTTGAACCCTTGGGGAGCTACCAAATGGGCTTAAAAATTGGTCCCAAGGGGGTCTCCAGATGTGACTTCAAGAGGAACTGGCCTCCCTGGAGCAACGCCACCACCTACCATCAATAACCGCGTGAGGCGGCACGGAACATTTACCCCCATTCCCTCCCACTGCCTCTGCATTCCTGCGCAAAGTCCTAACCCGGAAGAACTAGAGCCCCGCCGCTCCCCACCGTAAAAGCTTCCAGGTAGCTGAGAAGGCTCCAATCACAAAGGATGCCCGGTTCCACACTCAAGTCTAATGCCTTACTAAGCTAGTACGTTTGGACCTCAGAACACCCCTGAGACGCCGGTGAGAATGTCCTCATTTCACAAATGAGGACAGGGGACCAGAGAGTCTTTAAGGAAAAAAGAAAGAGAAATCTAGTTAGGAAGTGGTGGAGCTGAGGCTGGAAGCCAGGACTCTGATACCGGCCCGCGCACCGCCCCACCCCGCATCCTGGCTCCAGAACTCCCCGCTGGGACGCGTCTCTCCTGCTGCACCTAGCACAGCTCTATGACTCACGGGTGTTAGGGCACCGTGCTTAGGGCAGTGACAGGACTGTCAGCAGCCTGAGAGTATGGCCGCTAAGTCAACTCAGGACTCCCTACCCCGAGACACAGGGGAGCCCTCAGCACTGCCTGTACAAGGGAGGGCGGAGGGAAGGAGCAGTGAAGGACGGAAGGAACGCACTGCTGAGTGTGCTCTGCGTGGCAAGCAGGCTTCAGAGCCTGCTCTTCGCAAGAGGAAGTGAGTAAATCCTATCGCCCCTGCTTCAAGTCCTCCACTGGCTTCCCATTGTACGTGGGATAAAATCTACACGAGCCACCCTCTCCAGCATCCTCCAACTCACTCTCCCCCTCACTTCTGGCAGCGCAATGCCAGCGGTACCACCCGCCACCAAAACAGGCCAAACCCCCCATCCTGAGACCTCAGCCCCGCTGACATCTGAGAGAAGCCCTTTCCTGAAACATGCCTTAAAACAGGGCATAGGCTTTGCCTTTCTAATGCTTGCTGCTTGTCTTCCCCACAGTTCTGACAGCTTCTGAGGGCAGGACCTTTGCTTCTTGTTCATCAGTATATAAACCAAGAGTAGCAGTGTGGCGATCATATTATACTATGGACACTGGGCAGAAATAGTTGCAGGTTTTTTTCTATTGGGTTTTTTTAATTTTTTTATTTTATTTTTTGAGACGGTCTTGCTCTGTCACCCAGGCTGGAGTGCAGGGTCATAATCATTATTCACTAAAGCCTCGACCTCCTAGGCTCGAACAATCTTCCCACCTCAGCCTCCCAAGTAGCTGGAACTACAGGCAGATGCCAGGTGCCACCACCACACACTTTTTCTTTCTTTCTTTCTTTCTCTTTCTCTTTTCTCTCTCTCTCTCTCTTTTCTCTCTCTCTCTCTCTCCTCTCTTTCTTTCTTTCTTTTTGAGACAAAGTCTCACTCTGCCTCCTAGGCTGTAATGCAGTGGTATGATCTTGGCTCACTGTAGCCTCTGCCTCCCAGGTTTAAGCAATTCTCTGCCTCAGCCCCCTAGTACCTGGGACCACAGGTGCCCACCACTATGCCCAGCTAATTTTTGTACTGTCAGTAGAGATGGGGTTTCGCTGTGTTGGCCAGGCTGGTCTCGAACTCCTGACCTCAAGAGTAATCCGCCCGCCTCAGCCTCCCAAAGTGCTGGGATTATAGGCATGGGCCACTGCACCTGGCCAATTTTTAAATGTTTTTATTTGTAGAGGAAGGGTCTTGCTATGTTGCCCAGGCTGGTCTTGAACTCCTGCATTCGAGCCATCTTCCCACCTCAGCCTCCCAAAGTGCTGGGATTACAGGCGTGCGCCACTGCCCCGGCCATAAATTGTGTTTGAATGGAAAAAGGGATCCAGCAAACAGTAAAAGAACAGAAGAAAATACAAAGAAAGAAATCTCTCTTTTTTCTTCAAAAAGAAAAGCACTCCTGTCAACACTCGAAACGCCATTCCTCTGCCATTTTCACATAGCATGACCACAATGTCCTTACGCTCCCTGAGCCAAGCCTTCCCATATAAATGAGGGCTGGGGAGGGATAGCTAAAAATCCTTTCTAAGTATAAGAACAAGTGGGAACAGAGTCTATGTCTGTCAAACAGCACAAGTCAGCACCCATGTCCTAAAAGCACCCTGCAGAGCTTACAAGGGACACCTGGCAACGTGGCACCTCCCCCTAGCAACATGAAAACACCCACCCAACACCCGCCCCTGCTCTGACCCCGCAGAGCCGGTCCCGCTGCAGCCTTCTGCAGGTGCTGGATCAGCTGACCAGATCTGTTCCTGCCTCTCCTGTCTCTCTCTAGCTTTCTGCCTGGCCCAAACAGTGACACTGTGAGGCCTGCTGCAGAGACTGAGCTGGTGCCCTGCAGCCTCAGACACCCACGGCAGGACCTGTGTGGAGAGCACCCATCCTTCCCAGTCATGCAGCCTAGCCTAGAGACACAAGCAAAGCCAGAACGAGACAGGGCAGTGCTCATACCCCCCAAAGGACCATGGCCCCCTGCACAGGGTCTAGCCATGAGGACCCACTGCCCAACAGGTCCTCCTTCAAAAGCGTATTGCAGAGGCGGCAGCAGCTCCACCAGCAGGAATCAGGTTGCCAGCTTAGCCTATCGAACACAAAACACTGCTGCTTCCCAGCCACGTCAACCAGGAGGAAGAGGGAAAGAGGATACAGCTGGATATGGAAGCTGCAGCCCCAGAAGTTTGGCTGTGTGACTCTGAGCACTGTATTTGGCCTCTGCCTCAGTGACTTTCTCATCTGTACAATGGACCAGTAATGCCTGTACCTTCTGGGTTGCTGTAAAGCCCAGGATAACTTCAGAGAGGCATCTCGCATAATGACGGCTGCTTTACCATCTAATGAGTACTAATCATTACCTTAAATGTTTAAGAGGCAGGTCTTGCTCTGTTGCCCAGGCTGGGGTACAGTGTCATGATCACTGCTCAATGCAGCCTCGAACTCCTGGGCTCAAGCAATCCTCCTGCCTCATTCTCCCAAGAAGCTGAGTCCACAGACATGTGCCACCATGACCAGCTAATTTTTATTTACTTTATTAATCTGTTTATTTTGAGATAGAGTCTCACTCTGTTGCCCAGGCTGGAGTGCAGTGGCACGATCTCGGCTCATTGCAACCTCCGCCTCCTGGGTTCAAGCGATTCGCCTGCCTCCAAGCGATTCTCCTGCCTCAGCCTCCTGAGTAGCTGGGATTACAGGCACCCACCACCATACCCAGCTAATTGTTTTCTGTATGTTTAGTAGAGATGGGTTTCACTATGTTGGCCAGGCTGGTCTCAAACTCTTGACCTCAGGTGATCTACCCACCTCAGCCTCCCACAGTGCTGAGATTACAGACATGAGCCACCATGCCCGGCCCCGTAATCATTACTTACCACCAAGAATGCCTCTCATTCCACACTCATGAACCACATTTGTCTATCAGTTTTAAGTGTTATGATGGTTACCCTGCTTGTTATTAAAGCCTGCCAATAACAGAGCTGAAATATCGCAGCCAAAGGCAGAGACACGTGCTATTCCAGAAAGACCCAACTGCTCTGCATCTGTGTCAGCCTCCATTACTCTGGTTCACAATGTTTCTCTCTCACCCGCATCTTCTATTTGTACCTCCTGGTCCCCCAGATTGGGACCCATGGGACTATTTAATCCAAAATTTTATTGAAACATTGTTGCCGCAAATTAAGTTTTTTAAAAATGACAATAGTTAAATTAAACTGGTAAAAAGAAAATTTTTCTTCATTTTAAAATTTGGTGTTTGGCCAGGCATAGTAGGTCATGTCGTAACCCCCGCACTTTGAGAGGCTGAGGCGGGAGGATTATCTGAGACCAGGAGTTCAAGACCAGCCTAGGCAACATAGCAAGACTCCCATCTCTACAAAATAAGCATTAAAACACAGCCGGGCGGGGTGGCATGCACCTTCAGTCCCAGCTACTTGGGAAGCTGAGGCAGGAGGATCGCTTAAGCCCAGGAGTTCAAGGCTGCAGTAAGCCAGGAATGCACCACTGCACTCCAGCCTGGGCAACAGAGACCCTGCCTCCAAAAATAGTAATGATAAGCTTAAGGCTCTCAGACCTGGATGCCTACATATGACTAGTCCACTGCTGCTTGCCCTGGCTGGTGACAATGAAACGTGTCTCCTTAGGTAATGTAGAATTGGCAAGAGCGTGGCCAGGCGCGGTGGCTCACGCCTGTAATCCCAACACTTTGAGACGCCGAGGCGGGCAGATCACAAGGAAAGGAGATTGAGACCATCCTGGCTAACACAGTGAAATCCCGTCTCTACTAAAAATTACAAAAAATTAGCCAGGCGTGGTGGCGGGCGCCTGTAGTCCCAGCTACTTGGGAGGCTGAGGCAGGAGAATGGCGTGAGCCCGGGAGGCGGAGCTTGCACTGAGCCGAGATCACGCCACTGCCCTCCAGCCAGAGCGAGACTCCATCTCAAAAAAAAAAAAAAAAAAAAGAATTGGCAAGAGTGTAGGTTTTGGAGTAAGAACACCTGGGTCTCTCACAGATTCACCACTTACTATAGCTAGACACCATGTCTGGCACACAGTAGGTGCTCAGTAACTATCTGTTCTACTAGCCATGAGGCCTTGGGCAGGTACTTACCCTCCTAAGCCTCATTTTCTTATACAAAAGAGAATAATATAACCTACACCTCAGAAGGCTGCTGGGGGATTCAATGAGAAAACATAAATAAAAATGCTTCAGCACCATACATGGCATACAGTCAGTTTTACCAGAATATACTGTTACTTTTACTAGCTTCTATTTTGATAGATTATTATTCTAGTCAGAACTAGAATAATAAACAGACACATTTTATTAGAGAAGTAGGGTGGGGGCTGGGCACGGTGGCTCACGCCTATAATCCCACCACTTTGGGAGGCCGAGGCAGGAGGATCACCTGAAGTCAGGAGTTTGAGACCAGCCTAGCCAACATGGCAAAACCCCACCTCTACTAAAAATACAAAAATTAGCTGGGTGTGGTGGCGCGTGCCTTTAATCCCAGCTACTCCGAAGGCAGAGGCAGTAGAATCACTTGAACCTGGGAGGCGGAGGTTGCAGTGAGCCGAGATTACACCAGTGCATTCCAGCCTGGCCAACAGAGCGAGACGCCGTCCAAAAGGAAAGGGAAGAAGAGTGGAGAAGGAATATGGGGCCTCCAAAACAAATCAAATGCCACTCTCCTCGGACCTGCTGTGTTCTTAACAAGCCCATAGCATTCCAGAAGTTTGCTTTGAGGGTTTGTCAGGAACTGGTGGTAAGAGCTGACAGAAGAGGAGGCAGAAAAGCAAAGCCACTGGCCATGCGGGTGACTTCAGACAAGGGGAAAGGGCCCAGAGGGGACAGAAGACACTCACTGCCCTGGGGATTTCTTTTTTTTTTCTTTTTCTTTTTGAGACGGGTCTAGCCCTGTCACCCAGGCTGGAGTGCAGTGGTGTAATCATAACTCACTGCAGCCTTGACCTCCTGGGCTCAAAGAATCCTCCTGCCTCAGCCTCCCAATTAGCTGGGAATACAGGTACGCACCACCATATCCAGGTAATTTTTTTTATTTTTTATAGAGACAGAGTCTCACTATGTTGGCCTGGCTAGTCTCAAACTCCTGCCCTCAAGTGATCTGCCCACCTTGGCCTCCCAAAGTGCTGGGATTACAGGTGTGCGCCACTGCACCCGGCCTATTTATTGACTCTTAACTCTGATCCTGATGCTGTTCTAAGCACATCACAGTTATCTTCATGGCCGCCCATGATTTGGGTGTTGATCCTGTCACTCTATCTTGATAAGGACACGGTACTGAGGGGGCTGGGGCCACTCAGCTGGAACCTGAGCCCAGGCAGCTGAGCTTCCGAGTGTGCCCTCCCGGCCCTGAGGGCACATGGCCTCCCGAGAGCAACAGGCACAGCTGCAACTCCAACCCCAGGTACAGCTCCGTGTGCCCGAAACAAGAACTGGGAACCTACCTGCAGAAATGCAAGGCATCCCTGAGGCAGAATTATGGGTGTTTTAGTTTGCTCCAAACTGTCTTTACTGCTTTGCTAAATAATTAACTTTTTCACTTTGGAAAGCCGAGGTGGGCGGATCACAAGGTCAGGAGTTCGAGACCAGCCTGGCCAACATGGTGAAACCCTGCCTCTACTAAAAGTACAAAAATTAGCTGGGTGTGGTGGCGGGCATCTGTAATCCCAGCTACTCATGAGGCTGAGGCAGGAGAATAGCCTGAATCCGGGAGGCGGAGGTTTCAGTGACCCGAGATCGTGCCACTGCACTCCAGCCTGGGCGATAAGAGCAACACTCCGTCTCAAAAAAAAAAAAAAATTAACTTTTTCATAACAGGCTTTTGTATTTTCTGAAGTACCAGAGGGCCTTGCAGTAGGAGAACAATCATGTGGGTCTGGATACACCATCTTCTCTTCAGTAGTAAATAACCACAAGAATACAGTCCCTCTGAATGCCTCAGGACAAAACACCCTTTGCAATTTCAGAGATACCTGAGAGGGAAAGGTTGCTCGATAGAAGACTTCACAATTATCCGCAGGCACTGAGGATTAAATTACCTAGCTCTAGCTCAATTACAGTACAGAGGCAGCCACCTCCACAGATTATTACACGAAGCCAGGGAAGCCACTTGGCGGGATGTGAGTGAAGCATTCGCTGCTTTGTGGGGCAGAGCTGATGAGTTTCTTTGCCAAGCTCCTCTGGGGTTTCCAAGAGTCCAGTGACTGCTCTAGAGGAGAATCTCAGGTGCTTCACATGCAGCAATGGGATGCTCCATCTGAACTGGGACGGCATTTGCGACACTCACTCCTGGGACAACTCATGCTATGGACTGAATTGCATCCCTTCCCTAATGAACCAGTGGAAGACCTAACTCCCAATCGGAGTTTATATGGAGACAAGGCCTTAATGAGGTAATCAAAGTTAATAAGGTCATAAGCATGGGGCTCTGATCCCACAGGACCGGTGCCCTTATAAGAAGAGATAAGGGACACCAGGATGTGCCTGCAGAGGAAAGGCCACATAAGGACAGAGAGAAGGTGGCTGTCTGCAAGCCAAGGAAAGAGGCCTTACCAGAAATCAACCCTGCTGGCACCTTGATCTTGGTCTTTCAGCCTCCAGAACTGTAAGAAAATAAGTTTTGAGGGGTTTTTTTTTTTTTTGAGACATAGTCTTGCTCTGTCGCCCAGGCTGGAGTGCAGTGGTGCAATCTCAGCTCACTGCAGCCTTTGCCTCCCAGGTTCAAGCGATTCTCCTGCCTCTGCATCCCGAGTAGCCGAGATTACAGGTGCCAGCCACCACACCATGCTAATTTTTTGTATTTTTAGTAGAGACAGGGTTTCACCATGTTGGCCAGGCTGGTTTTGAACTCCTGACCTCAAGTGATTCCCCCCACCTCGGCCTCCCAAAGTGCTAGGATTACAGGCATGAGCCACCGTGCCCGGCCGAGAAAATAAGTTTTTGTTGTTGAAGCCACCCTATCTGTGGCCCCTTGTTATGGTAGCCCAAGCAAATACCCCGGACACCCAGACAGACCCACTCTTCTTACTCCTCTTGCATGTGACACAGGAGGTGATGGCAGGGTGGGAAAACACAAGTGAAAACCACCCTTCGCTCAAAATTTCTAGGATTCCTGACCCCTCATCTGTGCTGGATGACATCCAGGGTAGACAACAGCACTGTCCTTGAAGACTCCTAAAGGTACAGGCACCGCAGAAGACAGAAGCCCCTTGTCCCAGCCACCCACACACAATCCTAACCACAGACCACGTTTCTACCAAGTATCAAGGCTCAAATGCAGACATGGTGACATTTTTTTCTTCAGAGATTCAAGGTATAAGCTCTGGATATGTCCCAAACTTGCTCAAAATGCCAAATAATAAAATGATATAGTTTCTAAAAAATTGTCTGAGTCAAAACAAGAAAAACAATCTACGCCTCTGTCACTGGCCTAACTCGAGCATGTTTAAGGGCATGTATGTCATCACTGAAAATGCACAGGCAAGGCCAGTGACTTCCTCAAAGACAGAAAGCGGCTGAGGAAGGCCCAGACACCATGCTCTATGTGGACCTGAGACGCAGCTGACAAAGCAAACCGTGTTTATCTGAGATGCTGGGACCTCAGCCCCGGCCGCAGGAACTCTTGGGAAACAGAATGTCAGACACCTGCCAGGGCACACAGGGATGCCTGCAGCCCTACTTACGGTGCCTACAAAGGCTCGCAGGCATGATCTCGGGGCTGCTGTCCTTTAAAAAAAAAAAATGCCCATAAATCAAAACGCAGTGTTCTTTACAGTAGCTGTGCCTCACAGCCAGAGTCAAGTCTTGTCCATCTACACCACGGTGCCACCCACACAGAGACAGAATCATAGGTGCTGGGAAGCGATGTGGCGTTAGATCCCAGCAAGTCACAGGAGTGGCTTCTTTTCTCATCCTCAGTCCTCTCCATTACCATCAGTTCAGTAACAGGATAGCCTCAACACCTAATGTGACTCGCTGACACATCTCTTTGCCTTTGGCTTATAAAAATATATTTCTACTGTGTTTTCACCATCAAAATGTATTATCTTGGTCTTTCCTTCTTGCCTTTGCATAGGACCAAGGGAGAGCTACACTGACTACTCTGAGAACCTTAACTCGGACCCCAGGGATGTCACCAACAGCATGATCTTTGTGACCAAATCCAGCAATCAGAACTTCACCAAGGTTTTATCCCTAAATTTTTTTCCCCGAAATTTTTATTTTAGCTTTTTTTTTCTTTTCTTTTCTTTTCTTTTTTTTTTTTTTTTTTTTTGAGACAAAGAGTCTCGCTCTGGCACCCAGGCTGGAGTGCAGTGTCGCCATCTCGGCTCACTGCAACCTCCACCTCCCGGGGTTTAAGCAATTCTCTTGCCTCAGCCTCCCGAGTAGCTGGGATTACAGACATCTGCCACCACGCCTGGCTACAGAACTTCATTGTTGTCCTCAACTGAAGTCAAGCAGTCATCACTGAGTACAGAAGCTGTGATTTCTTGGTCAGTGGGGCCATAAAGAGCATCCTGATGGCAGGATGTGGCTGTTTGGTTTCAATCCCTACTTTTCCGGCACAATTCCCTTTTGGAGAAGCACTTCCAAAAGGGCTAGGTGCGGGGACTGCACCCAAATGGGCTTTCCTGCACTGCTGATCACCCCACTTCTGGTCTTGCTGGTGGTTACAGAGCTTCCCAGCAGTATGAAGACTGAGATACTTGCCACAGGCCGGGGCCAAAAAGAAGCAGCACTCATCTCTCTTTTGAACAACAAGAGTGGGTATCAATCGGAACCCAGGGCAGGCAACCACGCCAGGCACACTTAGTAATAGTTTCCTTCCACTGTCTTCATTTTACAGCGACCTGCTGGTTTCGTTAACTCATAGTGACTCTCCATTTACAGTAGTGAGATAAAGCTTCCTTTTTCAAAAAATAAAGGAATTCAATTTGTTTAAGTGCATCATTAAAAGTAAACTACAGTCTGGGCACGGTGGCTCACACCTGTAATCCCAGCACTTTGGGAGGCTGAGACCGGCAGATCATGAGGTCAGGAGTTCAAGACCAGCCCGGCCAACATGGCGAAACCCCATCTCTACTAAAAATACAAAAATTAGCCGGGCGTGGGCCTGTAATCCCAGCTACTTGGGAGGCTGACGCAGGAGAATCGCTTGAACCCAGGAGGTGGAGGTTGCAGTAAGCTGAGATCGTGCCATTGCACTCCAGCCTGGGAGACAAGAGCAAGACTCTGTCTCAAAAAAAAAAAAAAAAGTAAACTGTAGTAGGCCGGGCACGGTGGCTCATGCCTGTCATCCCAGCGCTTTGGAAGGCTGAGGCGGGTGGATCGCTTGATCCTAGGAGTTCAAGACCAGCCTGGACAGCATGGTGAGACCTCAACTCTACAAAAAAATAAATAAATAAAAATGAATAATAAAGTAAACTATAGGGTAAGTAACAGTACTGTGGTAAACAAAAGATTGACAGGTGAAAAGCAGCCAGCTACATACTCACCCACCCTGTGTCCCATGGACTGAGTGATCTATTAACACCTGCTCAGCGGAGTTCAGGGCTGAGCAGCGCCACAGTAAACCACACATGCTCACATACAAAAAGTGCGGCCAGCCGTTCCCACGCAGCAGCCTTACGGTGTCTGCTCACTTCCTGCTTCACCCTTGAATCAAAGAATGCTGGGTGCCTCCCAAACTCTTTCTTCCTTCCTTAGCAACAAAAACTAATTTCCTTTTTATCAAGAACAATTGCCCCCTCTGCAGCCAAGGGGGACCATGACATGAATGCTGGCCCAAGACACGAGTGGTATACTGTAAGCACCTTCTAGTGAAGGTCGGGGGAGCTTCAACGTTTTTGTACCAAGAGCCCATTTTGTAATCTAGGAATAACCATGGGCTCCTATTCAGGAAAATGTATTAAAATATATAAAACATACCATATCACAAAGGAAACCAATTACATCAAAATAGAATGATCATGATTGAAGAAAATACTATATTTCACCCAGAGCTAAATGAAAAACATTGTAATTTTTTTCCCTATCCAAGCTCAGGCCCCTGAATCCTATATGTAGAAATAGACGAAGTCTCTCTGCTCTCTCCTCCTTCCTGCCGCCTGGAATGAGAATGAAATGGCTGGAGCTAAAATGGCTATTTTGGTCTACAAGGCAAGACAGGAGGAGTCCCGGTCTCTGATGGCCGTGGAGCCACATACCAGCCCCAGCCCATCTACCTCTGGATAGAGAGAAATTTCCATCACATCTCCTTAACCACCGGAACTTCAAGAAGAGTAGGTCTGAATGGCTTTGTGTACAAAAAATAAACCAACTGTTGGTTTACATAGTGTCTGCTCACTTCCTGCTTCACCCTTGAATCAGAAAATGCTAGGTGCCTCCCAAACGCCTTCTTCCTTCCTTAGCAACAAAAGCTAATTTTTTTTTTTAATTGGGAACAAGTGCCCCCTCTGCCTCCAGGGGAGGCCATGGGACAAATGCTGGCTCAAGCCACCAGTGAGATACCAGGAGCACCCGTCAGTTTACATAACAGTTGGTTTATTCTTTGTTATACAAAGCCATTCAAACCTAGTCTTCCTTGCTATATCTCTAATACTTTTTCTAGGTAGTAAAGTTGGAAACAGTTGAAGCCTGATCATTAGCAAAGTTTAATCATCTTGGAGAGACATATTCTTCTTCACTTACAAAAATGAGTCCTTCAGAGTTACAAAGGAAATCCAACTAGAATAGGTCCTCTGTAGCTAACTGCATTATGGGAGGCAAACCCCAAAACCTGGAACCACAGAAGTCTACGGCAAGGCTGCTCCATCCTGAGGCACGCCCTTTAGCGCGCACACGCCCAAGCGCCACGCATTAACCACGGTTCTGGATATCCACAAGCACGTACCACACCTCCAGTCTACAACCAGGGACGTACACACCTGACGTGAACCCACAGTCACAGGGTTAGAAGCACAAAGGCACCGCCATGAGACGTGGGCCAGAAGTCATCCCAGAGCTGGTGGAGGGGGCTGCGAAAGTACTTACTAATTGTCATGGACTCTGGCACTGAGGCAGAAGGTAACAGGCTGCTCAGAGGACTTCCGTGGCCTGGAGAGCTGGCTTCCACACTAGGAAAAAGCAGGCAGGAGGAAGTTACACTCGGCCACTGAAAGTACACACCCTCACCATTCCAAAAACTAGCAGAGGTCGGTTTACTCCGGTACCTCTACTAGAAGGGATAGAGGCAGTCATTGGAAATTAGTCAGGCCTCGTTATCTGCAGATTCCGTATTTGGAAATTCATCTACGCACTAAAATTTATTTGTAACCCCAAAGTCAATACTTGAGGTGCTTTCACAATCATTCATGAACACGTGCAGAGGCCAATAATTTCACTCCCTAATGTGCATAATCTCAGCTGAAGTCGAACAGCTGGGACCTCAGATCTCACACCGTAAACAAGCATCCTCTTTGCTGTCTATTTACTGCCATGTTTTTAGCATTTTTTTTTCCACTTTTCTTTCTTTTGCGTGATCTCGGCTCACTGTAACCTCCACCTCCTGGGTTCAAGCGATTCTTGTGCCTCAGCCTCCCAAGTAGCTGGGATTACAGGCCCGCACCACCACACCCGACTAATTCTTGTATTTTTACTAGAAATGGGGTTTCGCCAAGTTGGCCAGACTGGTCTCAAAGTCCTGACCTCAAGTGATCCACCTGCCTCAGCCTCCCAAAGTGCTGGGATTACAGGCATGACCCACCACACCCGGCCTTTTTTTCCACTTGATTTTATTGTTTAAAATGTCCCCAAGCACAGTGCTGAAGTGGTACTGCCGACAGTTCCTAAGCACAGGAAGGCTGTGATGTGCCGTATGGAGATAATTTGTGAGTTAGAGATGCTTCATTCAGGCATGGCTTACAGTGCTGCTGGCTGTGAATTCAATGTTAATGAATCAACTGCATACATTAAACAAGGTGTCTTTAAACAGGAACAGACATAAAACCAGGTTATGTGTTGATCAGTTGATAAAAATGCTGTGACCAGGCCAGGTGTGGTGGCTCATGCCTGTAATCGCAATACTTTGGGAGGCCGAGGCGGGTGGATCACATGAGGTCAGGAGTTCGAGACCAGCCTGGCGAACATGGCAAAACCCCTTCTCTACTAAAAATACAAAAATTATCTGGGTGTGGTAGCACATGCCTGTAATCCCAGCTACTTGGGAGGCTGAGGCAGGAGAATCACTTCAACCCAGGAAACAGAGGTTGCAGTGAGCCAAGATCACGCCACTGCACTCCAGCCCCGGGCAAAAGAGCAACAGTTCATCTCAAAAACAAAATGTGTGACCAGAGCCTCAAAGCAACTTAACCATGTACTTCCCCTAGGAGCACTGGTTCAGTCTTCATAGCAACTTTATAGAATACAACTACTGGGAATAATAAGAATCAACTGTATGTTTACAAATAATTTACAACATGAAAAATAAAGTTTAGTGTCTTTGGTGAGAACAGCACGGTCATCACATGGTTAACAGAGATACACACACACACACACACACACACACACACACACACACACACCATGACTAGGAGGAAAAGTACCAAAACATCAACAACATAATGAAGTTGAGGGTTAAGACTGATTTTCTTTTTTCATTTACTGTTGCATTTTCCAATTTTTTTTTTTTTAAGACAGGTTCTCACTCCGTTAACTAGGCTGGAGTGCAGTGGTGCAATCTCAGCTCGCTGAAGGCTTGAACTCCTGGGTTCAAGTGATCTTCCCACATCAGTCTCCCAAGTAGCTGACACTACAGGCATGCACCACCACATCTGGATAATTTTTGTTGTTGTTTTATTTGTAAAGACAGGGTCTCACTTGCCCAGACTGGTGGTGTTGAACTCCCGGCCTCAAGTAATCCTCCCACCTTGGCCTCCCAAAGTGCTGAGATTACAGGCATGGGCCACCATGCCTAGTCACATTTTCTAAAATAAATAGCAAAAAAAGACTCCACCCCCTGGAAGGGTCTGGCAACACCAATTCCTTCTGACACTGAACTAACTGCGACAAGCTTCCTACAAGCAATGTCATTTTGAGAGAGCAGAACCCTTGACTGTTCCAGGTAAGACCATGGCATCTAATATGGTTTACGGTAGTCAGGAAGTTCCACTCTAGAGCTAGGTTTGAAAATAAGGATGTAATAGCACCCTGGGACCCCAAATTACAGCCAAGAGGAGAGACAGAAGAAGAAAACGGTAATAGCAGCAAGGATGGCAGTGGCATAAGACTTTGGTGTCCATTTCAGTTCTGCCACCAAGCATCCAGGGTCTCGCTTTGTCACCCAGGCTACATAAAAATGTTATGACCAGGCTGGGCGTGGTGGCTCACGCCTGGAATCCCAGCACTTTGGGAGGCCAAGGCAGGCGGATCACATGAGGTCAGGAGGTCGAGACCAGCCTAGCCAACATGGCGAAACTCCGTCTCTACTGAAAAATACAAAAATTAGCCGGGCATGGTGGTGGACATGTGTAATCCCAGGTACTTGGGAGGCTGAGGCAGGAGAATCACTTGAACCCAGGAGGCGGATGTTGCAGTGAGCCAAGATGGTGCCACTGCACTCCAGCCTGGGCGACAGAGTAAGACTGTCTCAAAAAAAAAAAAAAAAAGGGAGGAGCCAAGATGGCCGAATAGGAACAGCTCCAGTCTACAGCTCCCAGCGTGAGTGACGCAGAAGATGGGTGATTTCTGCATTTGCATCTGAGGCACTGGGTTCATCTCACTACGGAGTGCCAGACAGTGGGTGCAGCGCACCATGCACCAGCCAAAGCAGGGTGAGGCATTGCCTCACTCGGGAAGCGCAAGGGGTCAGGGAGTTCCCTTTCCTGTTCAAGGAAAGGGGTGACAGACGGCACCTGGAATATCGGGCCACTCCCACCCAAATACTGCGCTTTTCCGAAGGGCTTAGGAAACAGCGCGTGAGGAGATTATATCCCGCACCTGGCTCGGAGGGTCCTACACCCATGGAGTCTCGCTGATTGCTAGCACAGCAGTCTGAGATCAAACTGCAAGGCGGCAGCGAGGCTGGTGGAGGGGCACCCACCATTGCCCAGGCTCCCTTAGGTAAACAAAGCAGCCAGGAAGCTCGAACTGGGTGGAGCTCACCACAGCTCAAGGAGGCCTGCCTGCCTCTGTAGGCTCCACCTCTGGGGGCAGGGCACAGACAAACAAAAAGACAGCAGTAACCTCTGCAGACTTAAATGTCCCTGTCTGACAGCTTTGAGGAGAGCAGTAGTTCTCCCAGCACGCAGCTGGAAATCTGAGAACGGGCAGACTGCCTCCTCAAGTGGGTCCCTGACCCCTGACCCCTGAGCAGCCTAACTCGGAGGCATCCCCCAGTAGGGGCAGACTGACACCTCACACGGCTGGGTACTCCTCTGAGACAAAACTTCCAGAGGAACGATCAGACAGCAGCATTCGCGGATCACGAAAATCCCTGGTTCTGCAGACACCGCTGCTGATACCCATGCAAACAGGGTCTGGAGTGGACCTCTAGCAAACTCCAACAGACTGCAGCTGAGGGTCCTGTCTGTTAGAAGGAAAACTAACAAACAGAAAAGACATCCACACCAAAAACCCATCTGTACATCACCATCATCAAAGACCAAAAGTAGATGAAACCACAAAGATGGGGAAAAAACAGAGCAGAAAAACTGCAAACTCTAAAAAGCAGAGCACCTCTCCTCCTCCAAAGGAACACGGTTCCTCACCAGCAACGGAACAAAGCTGGACGGAGAATGACTTTGACGAGTTGAGAGAAGAAGGCTTCAGATGATCAAACTACTCTGAGCTACAGGAGGAAATTCAAACCAAAGGCAAAGAAGTTGAAAACTTTGAAAAAATTTAGACGAATGTATAACTAGAATAACCAATATAGAGAAGTGCTTAAAGGAGCTGATGGAGCTGAAAGCCAAGGCTCGACAACTAGGTGAAGAATGCAGAAGCCTCAGGAGCCGATGCGATCAACTGGAAGAAAGGGTATCAGTGATGGAAGATGAAATGAATGAAATGAAGTGAGAAGGGAATTTGAGAGAAAAAAGAATAAAAAGAAACGAACAAAGCCTCCAAGAAATATGGGACTATATGAAAAGACCAAATCTGCATCTGATTGGTGTACCTGAAAGTGACGGGGAGAATGGAACCAAGTTGGAAAACACTCTACAGGATATTATCCAGGAGAACGTCCCCAATCTAGCAAGGCAGGCCAACATTCAGATTCAGGAAATACAGAGAACGCCACAAAGATACTCCTGGAGAAGAGCAACTCCAAGACACATAATTGTCAGATTCACCAAAGTTGAAATGAAGGAAAAAATGTTAAGGGCAGCCAGAGAGAAAGGTCGGGTTACCCACAAAAGGAAGCCCATCAGACTAACAGTGGATCTCTCGACAGAAACTTTACAAGCCAGAAGAGAGTGGGGGCCAATATTCAACATTCTTAAAGAATTTTCAACCCAGAATTTCATATCCAGCCAAACTAAGCTTCATAAGTGAAGGAGAAATAAAATACTTTACAGACAAGCAAATGCTGAGAGATTTTGTCACCACCAGGCCTGCCCTAAAAGAGCTCCTGAAGGAGGCACTAAACATGGAAAGGCACAACCGGTACCAGCCACTGCAAAATCATGCCAAAATGTAAAGACCATCGAGACTAGAAAGAAACTGCATCAACTAACAAGCAAAATAACCAGCTAACATCATAATGACAGGATCAAATTCACACATAACAATATTAACTTTAAATGTAAATGGACTAAATGCTCCAATTAAAAGACACAGACTGGCAAATTGGATAAAGAGTCAAGACCCATCAGTGTGCTGTATTCAGGAAACCCATCTCACGTGCAGAGACACACATAGGCTCAAAATAAAAGGATGGAGGAAGAGCCACCAAGCAAATGGAAAACAAAAAAAAGGCAGGGGTTGCAATCCTAGTCTCTGATAAAAGAGACTTTAAACCAACAAAGATCAAAAGAGACAAAGAAGGCCATTACATAATGGTAAAGGGATCAATTCAACAAGAAGAGCTAACTATCCTAAATATATATGCACCCAATACAGGAGCACCCAGATTCATAAAGCAAGTCCTGAGTGACCTACAAAGAGACTTAGACTCCCACACAATAATAATGAGAGACTTTAACACCCCACTGTCAACATTAGACAGATCAACGAGACAGAAAGTCAACAAGGATACCCAGGAATTGAACTCAGCTCTGCACCAAGCAGATCTAATAGACATCTACAGAACTTTCCACCCCAAATCAACAGAATATATATTTTTTTCAGCACCACACCACATCTATTCCAAAATTGACCACATAGTTGGAAGTAAAGCTCTCCTCAGCAAATGTAAAAGAACAGAAATTATAACAGTCTCTCAGACCACAGTGCAATCAAACTAGAACTCAGGATTAAGAAACTCACTCAAAACCGCTCCACTACATGGAAACTGAACAACCCGCTCCTGAATGACTACTGGGTACATAACGAAATGAAGGCAGAAATAAAGATGTTCTTTGAAACCAACGAGAACAAAGACACAACATACCAGAATCTCTGGGACACATTTGAAGCAGTGTGTAGAGGGAAATTTATAGCACTAAATGCCCACAAGAGAAAGCAGGAAAGATCCAAAATTCACACCCTAACATCACAATTAAAAGAACTAGAAAAAAAGCAAGAGCAAACACATTCAAAAGCTAGCAGAAGGCAAGAAATAACTAAAATCAGAGCAGAACTGAAGGAAATAGAGACACAAAAAACCCTTCAAAAAATTAATGAATCCAGGAGCTGGTTTTTTGAAAGGATCAACAAAATTGATAGACCGTTAGCAAGACTAATAAAGAAAAAAAGAGAGAAGAATCAAATAGACGCAATAAAAAATGATAAAGGGGATATCACCACCGATCCCACAGAAATACAAACTACCATCAGAGTATACTACAAACACCTCTACGCAAATAAACTAGAAAATCTAGAAGAAATGGATAAATTCCTCGAAACATACACTCTCCCAAGACTAAACCAGGAAGAAGTTGAATCTCTGAATAGACCAATAACAGGATCTGAAATTGTGGCAATAATCAATAGCTTACCAACCAAAAAGAGTCCAGGACCAGATGGATTCACAGCCGAATTCTACGACAGGTACAAGGAGGAACTGGTACCATTCCTTCTGAAACTATTCCAATCAATAGAAAAAGAGGGAATCCTCCCTAACTCATTTTATGAGGCCAGCATCATCTTGATACCAAAGCCGGGCAGAGACACAACCAAAAAAGAGAATTTTAGACCAATATCCTTGATGAACATTGATGCAAAAATCCTCAATAAAATACTGGCAAACCGAATCCAGCAGCACATCAAAAAGCTTATCTACCATGATCGAGTGGGCTTCATCCCTGGGATGAAAGGCTGGTTCAACATACACAAATCAATAAATGTAATCCAGCATATAAACAGAACCAAAGACAAAAACCACATGATTATCTCAGTAGATGCAGAAAAGGCCTTTGACAAAATTCAACAACGCTTCATGCTAAAAACTCTCAATAAATTAGGTATTGATGGGACGTATCTCAAAATAATAAGAGCTATCTATGACAAACCCACAGCCAATATCATACTGAATGGGCAAAAACTGAAAGCATTCCCTTTGAAAACTGGCACAAGACAGGGATGCCTTCTCTCACAACTCCTATTCAACATAGTGTTGAAAGTTTTGGCCAGGGCAATTAGGCAGGAGAAGGAAATAAAGGGTATTCAGTTAGGAAAAGAGGAAGTCAAATTGTCCCTGTTTGCAGACGATGTGACTGTATATCTAGAAAACCCCATTGTCTCAGCCCAAAATCTCATTAAGCTGATAAGCAACTTCAGCAAAGTCTCAGGATACAAAATCAATGTACAAAAATCACAAGCATTCTTACACAACAATCACAGACAAACAGCCAAATCATGAGTGAACTCCCATTCACAATTGCTTCAAAGAGAATAAAATACTTACGAATCCAACTTACAAGGGACGTGAAGGACCTCTTCAAGGAGAACTACAAACCACTGCTCAATGAAATAAAAGAGTATACAAACGAATGGAAGAACATTCCATGCTCATGGGTAGGAAGAATCAATATCGTGAAAATGGCCATACTGCCCAAGGTAATTTATAGATTCAATGCCATCCCCATCAAGCTACCAATGACTTTCTTCACAAATTGGAAAAAAACTACTTTAAAGTTCATATGGAACCAAAAAAGAGGCCGCATTGCCAAGTCAATCCTAAGCCAAAAAGAACAAAGCTGGAGGCATCACGCTACCGGACTTCAAACTATACTACAAGGCTACAGTAACCAAAACAGCATGGTACTGGTACCAAAACAGAAATATAGATCAATGGAACAGAACAGAGCCCTCAGAAATAATGCCGCATACCTACAACTATCTGATCTTTGACAAACCTGAGAAAAACAAGCATTGGGGAAAGGATTCCCTATTTAATAAATGGTGCTGGGAAAACTGGCTAGCCATATGTAGAAAGCTGAAACTGGATCCCTTCCTTACACCTTATACAAAAATTAATTCAAGATGGATTAAAGACTTACATGTTAGACCTAAAACCATAAAAACCCTATAAGAAAACCTAGGCATTACCATTCAGAACATAGGCATGGGCAAGGACTTCATGTCTAAAACACCAAAAGCAATGGCAACAAAAGCCAAAATTGACAAATGGGATCTAATTAAACTAAAGAGCTTCTGCACAGCAAAAGAAACTACCATCAGAGTGAACAGGCAACCTACAGAATGGGAGAAAATTTTCGCAACCTACTCATCTGACAAAGGGCTAATATCCAGAATCTACAATGAACTCAAACAAATTTACAAGAAAAAAACAACCCCATCAAAAAGTGGGCAAAGGATATGAACAGACACTTCTCAAAAGAAGACATTTATGCAGCCAAAAGACACATGAAAAAATGCTCATCATCGCTGGCCATCAGAGAAATGCAAATCAAAACCACAATGAGATACCATCTCACACCAGTTAGAATGGCAATCATTAAAAAGTCAGGAAACAAAAGGTGCTGGATGTGGAGAAATAGGAACACTTTTACACTGTTGGTGGGACTGTAAACTAATTCAACCATTGTGGAAGTCAGTGTGGCGATTCCTCAGGGATCTAGAACTAGAAATACCATTTGACCCAGCCATCCCATTACTGGGTATATACCCAAAGGACTATAAATCATGCTGCTATAAAGACACATGCACACATATGTTTATTGTGGCACTATTCACAATAGCAAAGACTTGGAACCAACCCGAATGTCCAACAAAGATAGACTGGATTAAGAAAATGTGGCACATATACACCATGGAATACTATGCAGCCATAAAAAATGATGAGTTCATGTCCTTTGTAGGGACATGGATGAAACTGGAAATCATCATTCTCGGTAAACTATCGCAAGGACAAAAAACCAAACACCACATGTTCTCACTCATAGATAGGAATTGAACAATGAGAACACATGGACACAGGAAGGGGAACATCACACTCTGGGGACTGTTGTGGGGTGGGGGGAGGGGGGAGGGATAGCATTAGGAGATATAGCTAATGCTAAATGACGAGTTAATGGGTGCAGCACACCAGCATGGCACATGTATACATATGTAACTAACCTGAACATTGTGCACATGTACCCTAAAACTTAAATAATAAAAAAAAAGCATCCAACAACTTGGGAGAACTCAATTTCCCCTTGAGATACTTTATTTGAAAAAACAAAAAGAAAACCTATATAGTGCTTAATACATGCCAGACAGCATACTAAGCCCTTCACAAATACTATGTAATATCTAAATGGCTTAAATATACAACACTAGGATGGTCAAATCTTGTTATCAAATATCAACAAATATTTAAATTAAGAAAATAACAGGCCGGGCACGGTGGCCTGTAATCCCAGCACTTTGGGAGGCCGAGGCGGGCGGATCACGAGGTCAGGAGATCGAGACCACGGTGAAACCCCATCTCTACTGAAAATACAAAAAGTTAGCCGGGCGCAGTGGCGGGCGCCTGTAGTCCCAGCTACTCAGGAGGCTGAGGCAGGAGAATGGCGTGAACACAGCAGGCAGAGCTTGCGGTGAGCCGAGATTGCGCCACCGCACTCCAGCCTGGGCAACACAGCGAGACTGTCTCAAAAAGAAAAAAAGAAAATAACAATAGAGGAGGCACCCAGATATGCCCCAAAAGGTGTTGACATTCGTCATCTACCATCTCTTATACAGTCTCTCTGAGGCAGTAATGATCTAAGACCCTTGGCAACTGCATCTTCTGTGATGTAAAGACTAAATCTGCTCACATCAGTAATCCCAGCACTTTGGGAGGCCGAGGTGGGCAGATCACCTGAGGTCAGGAGTTGGAGACCAGCCTGGCCAACGTGGTGAAACCCTATCTCCACTAAAAATACAAAAAAATCAGCTAGGCATGGTGGTGTGTGCCTGTAATTCCAACTACTTGGGAGGCTCAGGCAAGAGAATCGCTTGATCTCGGGAGGCGGAGTTTGCAGTGAGCCGAGACTGCGCCACTGCACTCTAGCCTGGGCAACAGAACCGGGCTCCATCTCAAAAAAAAAGACTAAATCTGAACATAAATGTGAAGTAAACCCTTGCCCTTTAATCCTAGCAGGTGCACTCCTATCTTTAAAAAAGAATAAAATGCACAGCTGTGAATAGGATGTTTTAATGCCACAGGCAACTGGGTTTCTCAATATTAACCTGTACCGAAGTCCAGGATCTGGGAGAACGTGGTCCTCTGGTCCTGTCCCGTTCTCCAGGCTTCCGAGGGGGGCATCTGTGCAGAGAGAGCAATCACAGAAAGAGGTCACTTTTCTCACTACATGTTCTCCATAAGACAAAGACACAATGCAGACATTGGCTCATCTGCTACATCACTTGACTAAGAAATTTTTCTCCATCTCTCCTGCAAGCTGGATTTTAATCAGCTGTTTCCTGTTGTTCAGAGATAATCTCAGACTTGGCATCAGTCACTGTAGAAGCAGAAAGCCCTATACTTGGCCGGGCATGGCGGCTCACTCCTGTAATCCCAGCACTTTGGGAGGTGGATCACCTGAGGTCAGGAGTTCGAGACCGGCCTGGCCAACATGGTGAAACCCCATCTCTACTAAAAATACAAAAATTAGCTGGGCGTGTTGGTGCACGACTGTAATCCCAACTACTCGGGAGGCTGAGGCAGGAGAATCGCTTGAACCCTGGAGGTAGAGGTTGCAGTGAGCCGAGATCGTGCCATTGCACTCCAGCCTGGGCAACAAGAGCGAAGCTCCATTAAAAATTTTTTTTTAAAAGCCCTATACTTCCCCTTAACCTGTGACTTTTTTTTTTTTTTTTTTTTTGAGACAGGGTCTCACTGTGTCACCCAGGCTGAGATGGAGTGCAGTGGTGGTGTGTGATCACGGCTCACTGCAGCTTCAACCTCCCAGGCTCCAGTGGTCCTCCCACCTCAGCCTCTCAAGTACCTGGGAGGGACTACAGGTGTGTGCCACCATGCCGAGCTAATTTATTTTTTATTTTTTTTTGTAGAGATGGGGGTCCCACTATGTTGCCCAGGCTGGTCTCAAACTCCTGGGCTCAAGCAATCCTTCCGCCCTGGCCTCCCAAAGTGCTGGGATTACAGATGTGAGCAACTGTGCCTGGCCTGTGACATTTTCGACCTTGAGCCACCTGGAATTATGCATGAAGTCCATATTCAGAACCAGGGCCAGAAACCGGGTATAATGAATCAGCTTGCTGTTAAGACAAAACTGCTCCTGCTTGTAGTGCCTTGAATCAGACAGTAGAGGGCAGCATGGTCTAATTCCTGACAATGTCTGCGGCTTTCTAAAAAGGCCAATTTTCCCTGCATTAAGTGCATTTAGGAAAGGCATTCACAAGAGCTGGGGCCATAAGTAGTCTCTGGAACTAACGGGCTAGGGACCTGAACAATTTTCATAAATGCTCAAGTCTCCTTCCAGGAAAACATGCAAATCCATAAGCCTTGGGCTGCATGGTGACATTAAGGCCAGTATCACCCAGGAGAAACCTTGCTCACTCAAGAAACTTCTTGGGCCAGGCGCGGTGGCTCACGCCTGTAATCCCACCACTTTGGGAAGCCAAGGCAGGTGGATTACTTGAGGTCAGGAGTTCGAGACCAGCCTGGCTAACATGGCAAAACCCCGTCTCTACTAAAAATACAAAAATTAGCTGTGCGAGGTAGTGCACGCCTGTAATCCCAGCTACTTGGAAAACTGAGGTGGAAGAATTGCTTGAACCCAGAAGGTGGAGGTTGCAGTGAGCTGAGATTACGTCACTGCACTCCAGCCTGGGAGACAGAGTGAGACTCCGTCTCAAAAAGAGAAAAAGAAAAAGAAACTTATTAGTGAATGACCACTATGGAACCAGCCGTGCATCGGGGACAAGGAACATGGTGCTGGAGAGAGCACGCCTCGGTGCCTTCCTCATCCATCCTCCATGCCATTCCCTCCATCTTTGCTTGGCTTACTCAAGGTGCCCCAAGAACCCCCAGCTCTGTAGGGGCTGAACTTCAGGGAAACTTACCAGGAAAAAAAAAATTGTTTTAACCTTTTCTTCTACCTTGCTGTCTCCATCAAGTTATTTACTGACTCCAAATTCTCAAGAAGTTCAAGTCCACTTCCCCTCCCGCTTTTTTTAGAGGCAGGGTTTTCCTGTCACCCAGGCTGGAGAGCAGTGGCACGATTATAGCTCACTGCAGCCTCAAACTCCTGGACTCAAGAGAGCCTCCCACCTCAGCCTCCTGAGTAGCTAGGACTGCAGGCATGCACCCTCATGACTGGCCTGCTTATTTATTTATTTATTTATTTATTTATTTATTTATTTATTTATTTATTTATTTTAGAGACACGGTCTCACTATGTTGCCCAGACCAGTCTCAAACTCCTGGCCTCAAGCAATCCTCCTGCCTCAGACTCCCGAATGTTACATCTTAACGCATGTAAAACTCAATGAGAATGCTCAGTGAGGGTGGCATCAACTCACCCCATAACAGATCCTGGCTACCTCGGGCATTCATCCTCCCACCTGGTCAACTGGAATGGCCCAAGGAACCCCTCCCTCAGCCCCCACCCCACCATCCCCTCCTACTTGGCGCTCCCCTCTCTCAACCTTCCCAACACTAATCTCCGGCCCTCCTCCCCACCATCTTTTCTCTGATTCCTGAGTGAAGGTGGCCCTGAATCATGGCCCCAAGGCCCTCTGTCACCCTCGGCACATCTGGCAAGGTCTTGGCTACAGTTCTCACCTCCGTGAAGACGACAGTGCTCAAGCCCTCACCTCTAGCCCAGACCTGTCTTGAATCTCAGTCCCACATCTCTAACTGCCTTCTAGAAAACTCTACTGGGATACCCCGCTGTGCCTACCAACAGATCCTGACCCTCACAACCCCATCTTATGTCGCACTAGGCTGTAAGCTCACAAGAGCACGGCACCCACCCTCCATCCCATCACAGAGCCAGGGGGATCCAAGACTGCTCAGTGCCCCCAAAATGACCTCCTCCTCTTGGCTCACAAGTCGTGTCCACTGCCCCGTGGTCCAAAGGCTCCATACCATCTAAGAGGCCTTCTACAGCAGACGCCCCAGTTCCCTGTCATCCTTGCTAATCTAACTCATGCAGAGTCAGACTACATTCCCTGAAGCAAAGACAGGGACTCAACATGCAGAGTGGAAATCCACAGCTGGGGCAAAGGCATGGACCCACCCAGCCTTCAATGAGAGCGCTCAGTGAGGATACAATGTCCACACGGTCCCAGGTGATTGCCCACGGGCCCCTTCACGATGCACAACCGCGAATGGCTTGTACTTGTTGTGGGCCTGACGCTCTGGGGTGCACACAGCATAGACCGTCTCATCCTTAAGGCCCCCAAGACAGATACCATTATCTAATTTTACGGATGAGGAAATGGATCCCGAAAATTTAAGCAACTTGTTCAAGATCACAGAACTAACAAGTGCAAAGGTTTGAACCCTGGTCCGTCCAATGGCAGAGCTGAGCCTGTACCCACTTTAGCATACAGGCCTGCATCCAGTGATCCAGTGGGAAGACTGAATAAAGAAAACCAGGAACCCCAAACAGCACACAACCCGTATAAGCTGACTGGGAAGCACAACCAGGGCAGTGTCCGCCCAGCCACCGCAACACTGACAACCAAAACAGTAAAACTGCCCACTAAGAGCTAAGTGCTAAAACCAATCACATCAGATTATGGCAGAGCCACCACAGTCTGTCCTCAACCTCAACAAACAACTTCCAAGATCCAACGTGAGGACAAGGAGAAATAGAACTTTAGACTTGATGGGGAAACAAAGGGTTTGAGGACCCAAGGTTTCAAAGGAACCTAAGAAAGCCCTTGGAAATTGTGCATTTCCTAAAACCCAATACTAAACACAGGACCCTCAATGAAGGGATGAGCAGTCATATCACCTTGTACTGACAGGTGATTTTTCACCCGTTTACTATTCCCACTCAAAATAAACCTGGGTAGCTCTCCCTTCCTTGCAACTGGAAAGCAATGCTGGTGAATTTGCTTTGCTCAGGTATAGACACCACATACTCCCAGAGGAACCACGCATGGTCCCCAGTCCTCATTTGCTTGTCTGGGGTCTCCTCTTGCAACCTGGGGTGCTGTCCCCTTCTGTGAATGGCTCTGTCACCCAAGAAAAGCAACTCCAAAACTCCTCCCTAAACCACAGAGTTATCTCTTCCAAGATTCAAGAGAACTCCTTTCAGGGTTCCCCCTTCTTTGCTCCTTTCTCCCTCCCAACACTCAGCTGCAGAAAGCATCCTCTCCCAGCCAGTGCCTTTGCCTTCTCTAACTATCCCCACTGTCAGTGACTGCAAAGGCACCAGCGTGTTCAAAGATGACAAAAGTCTCCTAAGGTGAGGAGCCCTCCATGTGGGAAGTCTCCATTAAAAGACGAAGTGGCTCCAGAATGAGAGGGAATGTCAGAATATCTCTAAGGAAGGAAGATGTCCCTCAGAAGGGACAAAAGGCAGAAACAGAGCAAAAGGAATGGAGTCTCAGGAGAAATGGTGGCGGTGGCCACCTGGGCAGGCAGGCAGAGTCTTGGCACCAGTCGGCCCCACACCTCCCATGGAAATGGGGCATCAGGACAGAAGGGACTTGATGCAACCTGGCGTCCCAATCAGGCTACCCATTCCCCTGGCTCTGAGTCCAACATCCTGACACAGTCCTGGAATAATGTTTCTCCCTATGCCATGTCCTGCCCCTGTGCGCAGCCCCTGGGCTGTCCCAGCTCACAAGCCCCCTGACAGCATCGTTACTGCAGAGAAGGGAAATGCTGGCTGACGCCGGCACACGTCATCTCCAGAGAGTGCATTCGACATCAGCTGGAGCTCGGGTCCCATCAGCAGTGAGAAGATGGAGCTGACTCTGCGAGCTGACAGCCGGGTGTGGGACCACAGGAAATCTGCAAGGACTCTAGAGGCTGATGGGGAGCTACGTTCCCTGGACACACTTGCTACAGAAAGCCCAGAAGAGCAGGAAGAGCTCTGGGTTCTCTAAGACCAAAGCCCAACATGCACGAAAAAGGAGACCCGGATGTCTGATGGTTCAGGAGGCCCAGCTAAGCGGCAAAGGAGCTGACCCGGATGTCTGATGGTTCAGGGGGCCCAGCTAAGCGGCAAAGGAGCTGCCAAAACAATCAGACCACCTACTGCAAGCACCTCACGGTTCCACAATAATTCAAGAACCCAACTACAAGACCCCTCCATGGGGAACGGGACAAGGTGAGCAGGAAATTGATTCATGAGACAGAGCCTGTGAACACACATTCAAAACTCCCCAGGGGTCCTAGACACATCCTGGGACCACCTGCTCTCTCCCAGCCCCTGCCCCTCCTCAGATGACCTGCCTGCATCTACACTGCCGCTGAACAGGCATCAGCAAGGTCACCAACCCCGTAACCTTTGGCTATTTGGACCATGGATGGTCTAGAAATGCAGGACTTCGGTGGCCTGGCCTGCAAACATGAGCTAGGCCTACGAGATTGTCACTTTTAGGGGACCTCAACTGAGACCCATGAGAAATTCCAGTTGGTATGGAAGGTCATGTGACTGAGGCATGGTGTGGGCCAAGGAGGGCATGAGAATGAACAGGGAGCAAAGACGGACTAGAAAAGGCCGGGCACGGTGGCTCATGCCTATAATCCCAGCAACTGTGGGAGGCCAAGGAGGTGGATCACGTGAGGTCAGGAGTTTGAGATCAGTCTGGCCAACATGGCGAAACGCCATCTCTACTAAAAATACAAAAAGAATTTAGCCGGGCATGGTGGTGCATGCCTGTAATCCCAGCTAATCTGGAAGCTGAGGCAGGAGAATCACTTGAACCCAGAAGGCGGAGGTTGCAGTGAGCCAAGATCATGCCATTGCACTCCAGCCTGGGTGACAGAGTGAGACTCCACCTCAAAAAAAAAAAAAAAAAAAAAAAAAAGATGGACTAGGAAAAGAAGAGGTGGGCAGACCCCCATCAGGAAGTGGAGGGAGGCCACATAAGAAAGATGACAGCACCCCACCAAGTCAGGAAAGCCCCCTCCATGCCAACGCCCCAGCTCCTGGGCCATGGACAAGATGTCCCTGAAGCTCTCACCAGGGGCCTTGGCATGTGCCTGGCACCTTCCCCAGATTAACTCAAGGCGCCTTCACTGTGGATCTCAAAGGTAGCTGATATAATCACACCCCCCACTCTCACAGGACTGTGCTCAAGAGCAGATGAGTTCATCAGGGTCAGCCACACTGCAGTGCAGGGCTCCTTTGGCTTTGCAAATGCTGGCTCTCATTGTCACTGTCATCCCCATTTTCCAGATGAGGACACAGCAACTGACAGACAGGAAGCACTCAGCCTCATTTAACAGCCAGGAATGCTGACGCTCAGAGCAGTAATGCACTCAGGCTTACTCAACTTTCTAGAGCTAGTACTGCATCTGACTGGCCCCGTCCTGCTGCCAGTGACTGTCCCCGCCCTGCCTCTGTGCTTCAGCTAGTTTGAGTAGGTTTATGCTCCCTGCCAAGTGACAGGAAGAATCTACACCCCAGTTCAGAATTTCAACAGCTTCCTGAGTGATTAGTGGGCTCCAGTCATAATTTCCTAAATCTGGGCCCAGAGAAGGCACATTCACTTCCTAAGAAAACGAGGAGGCGCCTAAGAAGGTTGGGCCAAGTCTTCTCTGACCCAGCGGTGTTCTGAGGGCAGGGACAGCAACTGGGCACTTCTCTGAGCCAGATGCTGTGCCAGCTGCATTACACTGCACCCCACAGGCCAGCTGGGATCAACCACGTCCTCCCCATGACCTGCACTAAAGAAAACAATAACAAACCACACGGGCACGTGCTCAACCGTGTGGAATGGTGCAAAAATGCTTACCCATACCAGAGACATATTTATTTATTTATTTATTTATTTATTTATTTATTTATTTATTTTGAGACAGAGTCTCACTGTCACACAGGGTGGTGTACAGTGCCACGATATCGGCTCACTGCAACCTCCACCTCCCGGGTTCAAGCAATTCTCCTGCCTCAGCCTCGTGAGTAGCTGGGACTACAGGCACACACCACCATACCCAGCTAATTTTTGTATTTTTAGTAGAGACAGGGCTTCACCATGTTGGCCAGGCTGGTCTCAAACTCCTGACCTCAGGTGATCCACCCGCCTCGGCTTCACAAAGTGCTGGGATTACAGGCATGAGATATCGCACCCAGCCCAGAAACAGCTTTTAACCAAGCTACTTCCTGATCCCCAAGCACTTTTCTGCACAGGGTGGCAGGGCCTTTACAGACAGGGGTTCAGTTACCTTCTTGCATCTCCAAAGAGGCAAAATCGTGGTCACTATTTGTGGTCAGCTTTTAAACGACCAAGTTCAACGGGCCACTGGTAAGGGAGAAAAACAGGCCTGCAGGCCCTGGTGACTTGCCAGCTGGTTCAGCCCAACACTCACTCCACGGAGAGCACCTCAGGATACCCAGGTTCAGGGAGAGAAGCCAAGCCCTCTCTCACTTCTGCATCTCAGTGAGCTCCCCCTGGCCCTGAACCACACCCCGACTCCCGTGCCTCCCGGCTCCCATTCCTACCTGTCCAGGGAACTCAGACATTCCTGCTGGTTCTCGAAGCCAAAGCTCTTATTGGAGGAAAGGAGTAATCGGGAGACACCCACCTGCTGGGCTGTAGGAGCCCACGCCACTGACAGGGAAGAGGATGTCGGAGTCATTGTGCAGCACCTTCAGCGGAGCCCAGCTGTGCATCTGGGAGAGGCAGGTGTTCCCTTCCAGTGGCCTAAGGTGAAAGAATACAGCTGCAGGACAGGCCAAAGAGCCCACAGGCCGCATGACTCACCAACAAGCATCCACAGCACCCTCCTGAGAACTAACCAGGCCAAGGCAGGGCTGAGAACAGAAGGAGGTGTGGGCTGGGAGGTAGAGCGTGGAGTCCAGATCCAGACCTCTTGCATTTGTTCTCTCAACCAGTGTTTACTGAGCACCTATTATATGCCAGGCACTGTGCTCCCTACTGGTGGCAAAAGAGCCAGTGAATACTGTTGATCCTGCCCTGAGGGAGCCTGCAGTCTGTTGGGGGGCATGAACATGAACCAAATAATCCTGCAAGAAGCTGTAAATGGCATCTCAGATTGTGGAGAAAGCTCATTCCAGGAAGGTCATGGAAGGCTGCCTGGAAGAAGCAGGGCTTGAGGAGGGGAGCTGGAGGAAGCCCAAGCCACCGAGTGAAGAGGAGGGACAAAGGCTTGGGGAAGGGGACAGCACATGCATCACAGGCCATCTGCTCCACGTTCCGAAATGACAGCAGCCACCTGACCTAGGGCTAGCGTTGCTCCGCCTCGCTGCATCTGAGCCCCTCGTGGGTAAAAGGACAGAATCAGACCAGTCACGTCTGGGTCCCTTCCAAGAAAGGGAGTCGGCTCAATTATTAACCATGCTCATATGATCTGTTATACTGTCACCTTACCCACAAAGTACAAATCTCTAATGCGTGCCATCTTCGAAACGCCAGGCAGTGTGGTTGGGTTTGTTTGGGAGTAATTGCCCCTGCAGCACTTGCCTCTGAGCAATCAAGAAATGTTAATAAATACCTGGAGGTATTTTTGCAGTATAGCCGTCCCCCAGTATCTGCATTACATCTGTATCAACCGTTTCAAAAAACCCCTGCAAATCTGAGGATGCTCAAAGTCCCTTGTTTTGTTTTAGAGTTGGAGTCTTGCTCTGTTGTCCACACTGGAGTACAGTGGCACAATCATAGTTCACTGCAACCTTGAGCTCTTGGGATTTGGCAGAGCCTCCTGCCTCAGCATCCCGAGGAGTTTGGACTACAGGTGTGAGCCACCATACCCGGCTAATTTTTTGTTTTGTTTTGTTTTTTTGTGAAAACAGGGTCTCCCTATGTTGTCCAGGCTGGTCTCAAAATCCTAGCCTCAAGCGATCCTCCTGCTTCAGCCTCCCCAAGTGCTAGGATTACAGGCATAAGACACCTCGCCTAGCCTGAAGTCCCTGATGTAAAACGGTGTAGTATTTGCATAAGCACATCCTCCCACATATGTACTTTACATCATCTCTAGATTGCTTATGATACCTAATACAATCCAAATGCTATGTAAATAGTTGTTATACTGTATTTTTATTGTATTATTTTTATTGGTTTTTTTTTGGTAATATTTTTGATCCACAGTTGGTTGAAACCATAGATGCGGAACTCACGGATGCAGAGTCCATGGATGCAGAGAGCCAGCTGTACTGTAAGGTTTAAACATCATTCTGTATCTCAGTAGATAAAGAAGACCAAAGCAGATCATAATCATACCTACTTAAGAAGGGAAGTGCGGGGGCAGACAAAGGGAAGGGAGGCAAAAGAAGAAAAAGTGTGTGGCTTGTCCAAGGCCATCAGCACTAAGCAACAGAACCAAGGCTGTGGGACTGGAGCCCAGGTCTTCCAAACTCAAGTGCACCGAGTCGTCTCCTGCCCACAAGTGACATTACTTATATAGTTTGTCTTTATGTTAGAGCTACTCTAAAATCAACAAATATTTTCTGTAATAGACCAGAGAGTACATATTTCAGGCTTCATGACACAGTCTTCTTTCTTGGTGTCTCTTAATAACTCTTTAAAAATGTAACAACTGTTCACTGCTTGGGGGCGGGTTTGGTCCGCAGGCAGGGATTGCCAGCTCCTATTTTAGAGGCTTGTCAGGTAGAAGTCTCCTTTCAGCCCTCTCTAGCTTTTGGCCAGACATGTGGCACAGAGTGAGAAGCACAGGAGGAAATAATCCTAGCAGAATTTTGCAAGACAGATCATTCAACCATGCCCATACCACAATGAGGCTTTCAGACAGCAGGGTGGGGGCAAAAGAAGAGCCGCTCCCGCGACTGTCCTGGCAGGAGCCCAACCTGGGGGAGAACCAGATGACCTTGGCTGTGCCTCTGGAATCTGTCAAGAGGCGCCCTCCTGAGGCTCTGACCTGGCCACTGGTGACCACGGAGCCGGCACCCAGAGGTGGTCAGGGGCGCCCTTTCAGGAGAAGGCAGCAAAAGCAGACAGTCCTTTCTAGGCCACTCCACTGCCTCAGGGCAGGTGCGATGTTCTGCTGGTTTCTAAGATAATTCTTGACCCTTCCCCGCAACATATGCAAGTACAAGGTGAAGCCAGGCCCCAAGAGGATGAGGTTCCAAACCCGAGAAGTGAGCCCCAAGGACCACCGCCTCAAAATGAGTTACATTAAAGATTGCTGGCCAGGCCAGTGGCTCACATTTATAATTCCGGTACTTTGGGAGGCCGAGGCAGAAGGATCACTTGAGCCCAAGAGTTCGAGCCCTGTCTCTACAAAAAATTTAAAAATTAGCCAGGTATGGTATTGCACACCTGTAGACCCAGCTACTGGAGGGGCTGAGGTGGGAGGATCCCTTGAGCCTGGGAGGTCGAGGGCTGCAGTGAGCTGAGATCATACCACTTCCTCCAGCCTGGGCCACAGAGAAAAAAAAAAAAAAAAAAAAAAAAAAACCCAGGCCGGGTGCTGTGGCTCACACCTGTAATCCCAACACTTTGGGAGGCCGTGGCGGGTAGATCACCTGAGGTCAGGAGTTCAAGACCAGCCTGGCCAACATGGTGAAACCCCGTCTCTACTAAAAATACAAAACTTAGCAGGGCGTGGTGGTGGGTGCTTGTAATCCCAGCTACTTGGAAGGGTGAGGCAGGAGAATCACTTGAACTCGAGAGGCGGAGGTTGCAGTGAGCTGAGATCCCGCCACTGCACTCCAGCCTGGGTGACAGAGCGAGACTCCATCTCAAAAAAAAAAAAAAAACCAAAAACCAAAAAAAAAAACACCAGTGGGCCCCAAGGGCTACTGCCTCAAAATGAGTGACATTAAAGATTCCTGAAGCTGACACTGCCTCAGTATCTGGTGCCTTGATTGGCTTAAAACCACTCATTATTACAACTGTTGCTCCTCAGCAAGACAATTAACACACGTTATTTGAAAACTTAGAAAATGCCCAAAAGAAGAGAGAGAAAAAATAAACCACCCAACAGCCACATTATCCAAAACATTACTGTGTCAGACTCAGTTTCCCACATGTCTTTTTTTCTTTCCTGCTGTGCGGACTATTCTTTACACAGTTGTAATGAAGCAAAATGTTGAGTTTTTTATCTTGTTTTTTCCATTCAATATTAACTCATTAGGCCAGGCATGATGGCTCACACCTGTAATCCCAGCACTTTGGGAGGCCAAGGTGGGCAGATCACCTGAGGTCAGGAGTTTTGAGACCAGCCTGGCCAACATGGTGAAACCCCATCTCTACTAAAAATACAAAAAATTAACCGGGAGTGGTGGTGGTCACCTATAATCCCAGCTACTTGGGAGGCTGAGGCAGGAGAATCGCTTGAACACAGGAGGCAGGGATTGCAGTGAGCCAAGATTGTGCCACTGTACTCCAGCCTGAGTGACAGAGCGAGAACCCAGCTCAAAAAAAAATATATATATAAAATATATATATATATGTATATGTATGTATATATGTACTCATTAGCTCAGCTTCATAACACTAGACACTCTTAAACATCATTTGAGATGTTTGAGATCCTAAATGTTAAAATGTCAAGGCTTAAACTATAAAATCTTCTGCTGTTAACCGTCCCCCTGTGGCTGCACATTTAGGTCAACTCCAGTGTTCTGCTTCTCTGAATAAGAACTTTGGTATCTAGATGTAGCAACTTTTCCCTGAATCGAGGGTATGTTCTCTGGGCTGCTTCTCGCACTGGGACTGCTAAACCAAGTGGGATAAACATCCTTAAGTTCATGCCAGTTTGTCAAACTGCTTTCCCCCATGGCTATCAACTGCTCCCAGCTCAACTGCTTCCAGCTGTCTATGAGGTCAGCCCCTGTGCACCATCCCTGCAGCCTCATTCATCCCACAGACACCAAGTGGATGCTATGGGATGTGCCAGGAACTGAGGACTCACTGACAGCAAGATCTTTCCCTTCCACCAGGGCGCCAACCCAAGGTCTCCGCAAATATGATGGGCAAAATATGGAGTCTTGTTTCACTTTGCATTTGCTTAACTGCTAGTGAGATGCAGAATAGCGAGACACAGCATATGTTTGTAGTCCTTTCTGAATTATGTTTCCCCCTACTTCCCTACCGGTATCATAGAGCACATATAAAGTGATTTAAAAAGCCCCATCTGGGCCTGGCTCAGTGACCCATGCCTGTAATCCCAGCACTCAGGGAGGCCAACATAGGAGGATCACTTCAGGCCAGGAAATCAAGACCAACCTGAGCAATGCCTTGAGACCCCATTTCTATAAAAAATTAGCTGGGCGTGGTGGCATGTACCTATAGTCCTAGCTACTCAGGAGGCTGAGGCAGGGAGATCACTTGACACTAGGAGTTCCCTGAGTTGAGGGTGTGATCAGGCCACTGCACTCCAGCCTGGATGACAGAGCAAGACCTGTCTCAAAAAAACAAACAAAGAAACAAAACAAAACAAAAAAAGAACAAAAGAACAAAACCTGACCGTAATAAAAATACTATCCCTTGTAAAGAAAAATACAAAACGCAAAGCTAATACTTATGATAAATACAGAGGCAGAAGAAACAAGACTTCTTCAGACATCAAAGAATGGGTTAATGACCAGTAAACCAATGAGTAAGCCTAACTTTGACCAACAGAGGGTCTTAAAGACAACAGGGCAGCAGACTCTGCCAGACACTGTGGCAATCCACAGTGAGCTTCTCCTGGTCTGGCTGCATTCCCCTCACACATCTGCTGTGCACCAGCCCCCTCAACCTTCCCTGTGAACACTAGCTTAGAATCAAAATCAAAGCATTACTCAGCAGGCCATCCCATCACTCCGCTGTGTCTTCCCCAGGCTGCTCTGTGGAAGGGTCAGTCAAGATCCCTCTTAATGCCGGGGAGAGCTGTCCAGAGTCTGCAGGAGGCCCTCTGGCTTCAGAGGGCCCAGGCCAAGTGAAGGTCACCCTGCACTGTGTTGGGCATTTACACACAATGCTGGGGGCTGCCTTGGCTCACACACCAGCCTCACCCATGGGGCTACACTCAGTGGCATCAGCAAGCAGCATCTCCTCAAAGGCCCAGATTACAAAGTAAAGGCACATGGCCAGGTGCAGAGGCTCATGCCTGCAATCCCAGCACTTTGGGAGGCTGAAGCAGGTGGATCACTTGAGCTCAGGAGTTCAATACAGGCCTGGCCAACATGGTGAAACCCCATCTCTATTAAAAATACAAAAATTAGCCGGGTATAGTGGCACACTCCTGTAGTCCCACCTACTCTGGAGGCTGAGGCAGGAGAATCGCTTAAACCTGGGAGCAGAGGTTGCAGTGAACTGAGATCGCACCACTGCACTACAGCCGGGGCCATGGAGTAAGACTCTGTTCCAGAAAAAAAAGAATAAAGGCACTTGTGAGGGTTAATTGTATGTGTCAATTTTGCTGGGCCACAATACCCAGGTATTTGGTCAAACATTATTCTAGCTGTTTCTATTAGATGAGATTAACATTTAAATCAGTAGATTCTGGGTGAACCAGATTACGCTGCATAATGTGGGTGGGCTTCATGCAAGCAGTGCAAGGCCTCGATAGGAAAAAGACAGACCTTCCAAAGGAAGAAGAAATTCTGCCAGCAGATTGCCTCTGGACCTGAACTGCAACTCTTCCCTGGGTCTCCAGTCCACACACCTAACCTGTGGATTTTGGACTTCCCAGCCCCACAATCACATGAGCCAATTCCTTAAAATAAATCAAGATAAGACCAGGCGTGGTGGCTCATGCCTGTAATCCCAGCACTCTGGGAGGCTGAGGTGGGTGGATCATTTGAGGTCAGGAGTTTGAGACCAGCCTGGCCAACAGGGTAAAACCCCATCTCTACTAAAATCACAAAAGTTAGCGGGGTGTGGTAGGTACCTGTAATCCCAGCTACTCGAGAGGCTGAGACACAAGAATCACTTAAACCCAGGAGACAAAGGTTGCAGTGAGCTGAGATCGTGCCACCGTACTCCAGCCTAGGTGACAAAGCAAGACTCCATCTCAGAAAAAAAAAAAAAAGAAAGGAAACAGAGACACAGAAACAGAGATAGAAATGGAGTTAGAGGTACAGATAGAGGTAGAAATTGAGAAAAAATAGAGCAGGACAGAGAAGGAACTACACACATCCACACACAGAACGTCCGCCTCAGCCCCACCACACTGGTTCTGTTTCTCTAGAAAGCCCTGAATAACACAGCAGGTCACAAGACTTGGATGCCAGGTACAAAAACATTCATACCCTATGAGCAAGAACAAGGCTGCTGAAAAGCTGCCCTAACAAACAGTTCACTCGTAGGAAAAAAATCTTGCGTGTGAAAATATTCATTTGAGATCCGCTGATAACAAAAAGCAAAAACAAAAACCATCAGCATAAATACCCAACAAAAGGGGAAACATTTCACAAGTCATAATATGTTGATCTGACTGAAAGGCAACTGCGTTAGCCACGGTTCTGCGGAGAAATGGAACCAAGGGGTGTGTGCCTGAAGAGAGAGAGACAGAGAGATACAAATACAGGTTTATATTGAGGAACTGCTCCACACAACTGCAGGGACCAAGAAGTCCCATGATCCGCAGTCCACAAGCTGAAGACCCAGGAAAGCTGGGGGTGTGGTGAAGTCCAAGTCTGAAGCCTGAGAACCAGGAGAGCAGATAGTGGGAGTCCCTGGCCCAGGGCCGAAAAGCCATGTTCCAGCTGAAGCTAGCAGGCGGAAAGGAAAGAATCCCTCCCTGCCTTCACTTGTTGTTCTGTTCAGGCCTTCAATGGATTGGATGAGGTCCACCCACACTGGGGAGGGCTATCGCCTTTACTGAGTCCACCAATTCAAACACTTCCCTCACCCAGAAACATCCCCACTGATCCACCCAGAAGCAGAATATTCAATCTGGGCATCCCACAGCCCAGTTAAGTTGACACACAAAATTAACCATTACATCAACAAATCAATATTCATAATTAAGTAGAAACATGAAAAACATTTGACAGAATAGCTGGGCACAGTGGCTCATGCCTGTAATCCCAGCACTTTGGGAGGCCAAGGCGGGCAGATCACGAGATCAGGAGTTTGAGACCATCCCGGCTAACAGGGTGAAACCCTGTCTCTACTAAAAATACAAAAATTAGCCGGGCGTGGTGGCGGACGCTTGCAGTCCCAGCTACTCGGGAGGCTGAGGCAGGAGAATGGCATGAACCCGGGAGGCGGAGTTTGCAGTGAGCCGAGATCACGCCACTGCACCCCAGCCTGGGCGACAGAGCAAGACTCTGTCTCAAAAAAAAAAAACAAAAACTGACAATATAAGCTTTGGATTACAGCATACCTGAATCCAAATCTCAATTTAGCCAATGGCTTTCACAAATCTTGCCTCCCTATGGAATCCTGTTCTTCTGTCTGTAAAATGGAGGTGATACCCATGAACCTCATAGGGCTGCTAGACGTCTTACAATATAGGGTATAAATCATCTGCAGCACCTGGCATATCTCAGATGATCAATAAGGTAACACTACTAGTACAAGCATCCATGCAGATGAGGACTAGAGTAAAAATAAAAAACAATAATAGGCACAGTCTCATCAGAAAAAAAAAAAAAACCCTAATATTGTAACAACATGAAAACAAAAATCTTAGGGCTAAGGGTATACTGCAGCCTAAACAATACCATAAGATTTAGGTCAGATAGAAAGATACATTTCTGTATATTCATTTTATACTTTTTATTTTTTTGTAGAGACAGAGTCTTGCTGTGTTGCCCAGGCTGGTATCAAACTCCTGGCCTTAAGGAATCCTCCCAACTCAGCCTCCCAAAGTGCCGGGATTACAGGCATGAACCACTGCACCTGGCCTCATTTTACACTTTAATGGACTGGATTTTGCAGTAGTCATGATTAGGAGGGCACTGCGCACCACAAAGCCTAAGAGGTAACTAGCTTATTTGGGGTATTTGGGGGACTTTTTTTTTTTTTTTTTTTTTGAGAAGGACCTTCTCTCTTGTTGCCCAGGCTGGAGTGCAATGGCATCATCTTGGCTCCGCCTCTCATATTCAAGCGATTCTCCTGCCTCAGCATCCCAAGTATCTGGAGTTACAGGCATGCACCACCATGCCTGGCTAATTTTGTATTTTTTTATACGTAGAGAAGGGGTTTCACCATGTTGGTCAGGCTGGTCTAGAACTCCTGACCTCAGGTGATCCACCCACCTTGGTGTCCCAAAGTGCTGGGATTACAGGTGTGAGCCACTGCGCCTGGCCAACTCCACTGTTAAGGCAGCAGGTGCAGGCAAGTTACGGCTATTCACACCCCTGCAGATAAACACAGAAGTCACCATACCACAACTATTCTCCTAACGCTGCCTTCGTCCTGAGCTTCCTGTGCTAGTGGCAAGTCAGATGCAAGGAAAATCCAGAGTAAAAATAAAAAACAATAACAGGCACAGTCTCATCAGACTGTGAAACCCTGTGAACCCTGTGAAATGAAAATGACAGATGTATGTATAAAGCAAGAATTTCAAGGCACACATTCTGACATTAACTTTGTATTAAGTGCCCTCAAATGTACTCCTTTCCCCTCTTTCAGTTCTCAGGGGAAGAGCAAATAATACTCCTTCCAAATAACACTCCTAAATCAACACCTGAAGAATGAATGATACCCTGGGCAAATATAAAGCTTGCAGACCTATTTTACCCAATACCATAGAAAGAGAAAACAGTGAACTTAACCCCCTCATTAAAAGTGCAAGGGAAGGCTGGGCGTGGTGGCTCATGCCTGTAAACCTAGCAATTTGGGAGGCCAAGGCAGGCAGATCACTTGAGGTCAGGAGTTTGAGACCAGCCTGGCCAATATGGTGAAACCCCATCTCTACTAAAAATACAAAAATTAGCTGGGTGTGGTGACAGGTGCCTGTAATCCCAGCTACTCGGGAGGCTGAGGCAGGAGAATAGCTTGAACCCGGGAGGTGGAGGTTGCAGTGAGCTGAGATCACGCCACGGCACTCCAGCCTGGGGGACGGTGAGACTCCACCTTACACACAAACTTACTTCTCGGGCGACTCCGAGTGGCCCCTGTGCTTCCTTCCTGATGAGTTTCCATACACGTCATCTTCGTTTTCATCCACATCTTCATCATCGATGCTTTTCACATCAAGCTTCTGGTACCCAAACTCCCCGTTCAAAGACAGGGAATCAATTTTCCATGAGTTGCTGCTCTGACTTCCATTGGAGTTAGGCCCGAAGGGGCTTTCAAAGGCGGACATGATATTGACAGAGGAGCGGTCGGAGTTGTCCTCTGAGCTCTCCCCTGCCCCAGGTGTCTTTTTAAACACGTCCCCAGAGTTCTGCTCATCTTCCTCATCATCAAATGAGATTATGTTGGTCACTTTCTTTTTCTTCTTCCGCTCCTTTTTGCATTTGGCATCTGGCAAAAAAAAAAAAAAAGATACAGTATAAGAAAAAGGAGGCAAGACAAAAGGATGATGGAACCAACTCACCTCCAGGTTATGGAAAATACTATTCGAGTGAGAAATACACTGTAACATGAATTCAGACTTTTTAAAATCCTCAGTGAAAATCTGTGTACAGAAGATTGAGCAGAATGGACGCAGGCCTCTGCCTCTGATTTAAATAAACACACCACAGAGCACATCTTGAAACTGTTCCTTCTAAGCAGTCACTTTGATGCGAAGGATGCTACCATTACCAAAATGATCTTCAATGCTTCACTTTGGAAAATATTCTCATAGCTGGTAGATGAGACCAGGAGAACCAGCTGGGGGGTGTAGTCAAGGGTTGAGCAGCCTCAAACTCCTGCCATTCCTGTGCAATGCCCCTTTGCAATGGATCTTTGTGGCTCCTCCCAGCCAGAGGTGATGTCTATTTCTGCACCCTCTTGAATCTGGCTGGCGTAGTGCTCTGCTTTTTTTTTTTTTTTTAAGAGTTGGGGCATCTCGCTCTATTGCCCAGGCTGGAGTACAATGGTGCAATCATAGCTCACTGTAACCTCAAATTCCTGGGATCAAACAATCCTCTGCCCTCAGCCTCCTGAGTAGCTGGGACTACAGGTGCATGCCACAACACCCAGCTAATTTTATTATTATTTGTAGAGATGAGGTCTTGCTGTGCTGCCCAGGCTAGTCTCAAAACTCCTGGCCTCAAGCAATACTCCCACCTCAGCCTCCTAAATTGCTGGGATTATAGGCATGAGCCACCATGCCCTGCTTCTACCAAAAGAATGTGGCAGAAAGGGCCGGGCGCGGTGGCTCACGCCTATAATCCCAGCACTTTGGGAGGTCAAGGCGGGTGGATCACCTGAGGTCAGGAGTTCAAGACCAGCCTGGCAAACATGGTGAAACCCCGTCTGTATTAAAAATACAAAAAAAAAAAAAATTAGTTGGGCGTGGTGGCAGGTGCCTGTAATCCCAGCTACTTGGGAGGCTGAGGCAGGAGAATTTCTTGAACACGGGAGGCAGAGGTTGCAGTGAGCCAAGATTGCGCCATTGCACTCCAGTCTGGGTGACAGAGCGAGACTCTTTCTCCAAAAAAAAAAAGTGGCAGAAATAACACTGTGTGAGTTCTAGTAGCTAGGTGTTAAAAGGTCTCAGCTTTGCCTTTGCTTTCCTGGACAGTGGCCCTGACCCCATATATAAAGAAGCCAGTTCAGCCGACTGGAGGATGAGAGGCTATGAGTAGAACCCGAGCTGCCCCAGCACTGATTCCAGACACGTGGATGGGGCCATCTTGGATCTTCCAATCTAACCACCAGCTCCCATGAGTGAGCCGAAAGAGCCCAGCAGAAGAGCCACCATGCCAACCCACACAAAAAAGTAACGAACTGCAGTGGTTTTAAGCCGCTACATTTTTAAATCACTTGTTATATAGCAAATGTTAACTGAAAAAGAAATCAAGCTTGCCTTAGTGACCAGCACTCACAGAAGACACTTTGTGCCCCTATTTTAATCATCACACTTGGATGTAAGACACTTTGAGCCAATTCCAAAAATCCAATCTGTCTAAACCAATGTGTGATGCGGTGAGGCCTCACTGGTATAGCACAACTCTGAGATCACCTCAAAAGCAGAGTTCCAAAAATGGGTGGAACTTCTACTCCTGTGGGTGTAGAAATTTCAGTGTCTGTTACACAAAGCTGTCAACAGCCCTATCTTCTACAAGGTTCGTGCAGGGTCTCTGCTGGAGAAGCACAGGGCAAGACAGACAAGGCCACTGTGTACCAAAGACACCATGGGACTCTACACTTTCACCATGAATAATTCCAAAGGGATGGCCACAGTTACTGCCTTGTTTCAGAGATTTGAGAATACTAAGTACTTAAGCCCAAAATTTCCAATTTCAACCAGGTGCAGTGGCTCACACTTGTAATCCCAGCACTTTGGGAGGCCAAGGCAGGAGGATCACTTGAGGCCAGGAGTTCAAGACCAGCCTGGGCAACATGGCAAGACCCTGTCTCTACATATATACACATACATACTACAACAAAATTTCCAATTTTGCTGTAGTAACATCTTAATGTCCCAAAGGAATCAAAGGGTATTGAAAACTTCTCACCAAATTAATCTTAACTGAATCAACTTTCTTTTTTTATATTTAATTTTTTAATTAAAATTTTTTAAAAACAGGCTGGGCACAGTGGCTCACGCCTGTAATCCTAGCACTTTGAGAGGCCAGGGCGGGCAGATCACCTGAGGTCAGGAGTTCAAGACCAGCCTGGCCAACATGGGGAAACCCTGTCTCTGCTAAAAATACAAAAAGAAACCACGCATGTTGGCACATGCCTATAGTCCCACCTACTCAGAAGGTTGAGGCAGGAGAATTGCTTGAACCCGGGAAGTGGAGGTTGCAGTGAGCTGAGATCATGCCACTGCACTCCAACCCGGGCAATAGAGTGAGACTCTGTCTCAAAAAAAAAAAAAAAAAGTTAAAAAATTGAGACAGGGTCTCACTGCATTGCCCAGGCTGGTCTAGAACCCTTGAACTCAAGCGATCCTCCTGCCTCGGCCTCCCAAAGTGCTAGGATTATAGGCATGAGCCACCACGACCGGCCTGAATCAACTCTTTTGCTTCCCCAGAGCCTAGAGTCAAACCTGACAACTCCTCTCTTTCCTGAGGCCTTAAATGCCATCCCCAGTCAGAGGCAAGACCAATGGCAGATGTTCCCCATAGCAGTCTATGCTTGGCTTTCATCCCTTTTATCCTAAGGATCATAAATTATATATTTTGTCATGAACTACCCACCCACACCCATCCCAAAGGAGACTGCAGGCTACCTGCTGGTAATCTGTCTTTCCTATTCGGCTCACCGCCTAACACACAGAATACGATGAAGGAACAAATAAAGGAATTAATGAATGAGGATCAACGTCATCTGGCTCCCGGTGTCTCTCACACTCTCACTTTCCGTTTGCTATGGTTGAGCTGTTCATTTTTCCACCCGGCAATTCTCGCATCTAGGTAAGGCCGTCAGAGCCCTTTCAGAGTGAATGAGGATGAGAAACAGAAACACAAATGGAAAACGCAAGTGCACTGGACTCCATTCCCCTTGGAATGACTTTCAGATGACAAGATATGTCCACCCCATCCGCCACATTCTGATTCCCTCTGCTCCGCCTCGAGCACCCGTTCCCACTCACCAGCACTGACATTCCTGGACACGACAGGCAAGGGGTCGGTCTCCTGTTCAGGTTTGATGAGGATGGAGACGGCAGAGGAGGCTGTGATCTCCCTGAACAGGCTGCTCACTCCTTGCGTGGACTCCTTCAGCAAGGAGGTCACGTTCTGCGTTGACTCCTTTAAGAGGTCTGAAACGGTGGGAGCAAACTTACTCTGCCCGTTCAAATCCTTGTTGTCGATGTTAATCGCAAAGAGTATGGAGTTCAGACCTGCCCAAAAAAAGGGAAAAGTCTGGAGTGCTTGCTGATGGGCAGTCATACCAGCAACAAGAGAAGACAGCTGCAGACAACAGAGTACAGAAGAGGAGGCACGTTGATCTTAAATAGGTATAAAAATACCTCCCATGCGGACGTTGCAGGGAGCGAAAATCGCGCCACTGCACTCCAGCCTGGGTGACAAAGCAAGACTCTGCCTCAAAAAAAAAAAAAACCTCCCATGAAACTGGGGTCAGCAGACATCCGTTATCATGGGAGTTGAGTCATGCCACGTTCTCTCCCTAACAGCCAGGAAAATGAATATGAATAAGAGGTCAACTGGGAGGAGGTAAAGGCACAAGTTCCGGGATCAGGCTGCCTGGGAGTGAATCCCGGCACTGCCACCTACTAGCTACAAGACCTTGATCCAGGCTGGGCACGGTGGCTCACACCTGTAATCCCGGCACTTTGGAAGGCTGAGACAGGTGGATCACCTGAGGTCAGGAGTTCGAGACCAGCCTGACCAACATGGAGAAACCCCATATCTACTAAAAATACAAAATTAGCCAGGCGTGTTGGTGCATGCCTATAATCCCAGCTACTCGGGAGGCTGCAGCAGGAGAATCGCTTGAACCCAGGAGGCAGAGGTTGTGGTGAGCCAAGATCCTGCCATTGCACTCCAGCCTGGGCAACGAGAGTGAAACTCCGTCTCAAAAAAAAAAAAAAAAAAAAAAAGACCTTGGTCCAGCAACTTAGCATCTCCCTGTACTCCAGTCACCTTATCTGTAAGATGGGGACAATATTATCTTCCTCACAGGATTGTAAGTATTAAAGGCAATCACTCACAAAACACTCAGCTCCATAAACCATCAAATGTGCACTGGTTAACATCATCATCATTACTGTGGACAGAAACTTACACTTGGCATCTTATGATCTACAAAGGAAATTATGGTCAAATTCTTTTTCTCATCAATGGACAGGACTAACAACCCCAGATATTTGAGATTTAGTATAAATTTTCAAGGAAAAACAAAAAGGAGGCAACAAAAAACTTGGAAAGAGGAAGCAAGTTGCCCACTTCAGTCCGGCTGATTCCACCTTTCACACTTTGAGTCAAAGGGCGAACAACGTAACAGTCCACCGACTAACATCAACCCAGGGTCTCTCCATGTTGACTCGTCATGTGTGCGACTCCTGATCTCACATGATTCTCTCACAGCCCCATGAAGATGACTGCTGAGACAGCATGATTCCCACCTCACAGAGAGGAAAGAAAAGGCAGCAAAGCTTACGGCATCTGCCCAGGTCACCAGGTAGCAAGGGGTAAAGCCAGGATTCAAAGGTAGGTCTCCCACCTCCAATTCCCCGCAATGTATATTACATCTCCAAAGCCCAACTAAAAACCTTCAAATCTTCACTTTCTCTGCCAGGGTCTCCCATTCTAGATAAATGGACCCAACACTGTGGTCGGGCACGGTGGCTCACACCTGCAATCCCAATGCTTTGGGAGGCCAAGGCGGGTGGATCACTTGAGCCCAGGATTTCGAGACCGGCCTGACCAACATAGTGAAACTCTATCTCTATTAAAATACAAAAATTAGCTGGTCATGGTGGCAGGCGCCCGTAATCCCAGCTTCTCGGAAGGTTGAGACAGGAAAATGACTTGAACCCAGGAGGCGGAGGTTGCAGTGAGCCGAGGTTGCATCACTGCACTCCAGCCTGGGCAACAGAGTGAGGCTCTCTCTTTAAAGGAATACAAATTAAAAAACCAACATTCAGTCCTAGTAAAAGAAGGACAGCAGCAAGTGACTCATTGAGTTGTTGAGGGACAGAAGAATCACAACACTCCATGGCGCTGTGGAACTGCCCCAAGGCAGCCCCTCTGCCAAGTGTCACAAGGCCCTGCACCCTGGTCTGGGCCAGGCTTACCTGCTGCCATGGTAGGAAGCATACTGGACCTTTCTTCATCCATCACAAAAGACCAGTCTTCATAAAAAGTGCTGCAGATTGAAAGAGAAAAGGAAATCGTTCTTAGCAGTGGTTCTCTGTGTCCATTAACCAGGAAATTCCATTAGACGGCTCCCTGGAAGATCTGCACCTGGTCACCCCAAGAGGGATATGATTTGTCTGAGGTCTCTGCTGGTTTACAGCTTCTGGTTACAAACAGAAGACTGAACACTTACATCCTACAACTTCCTCACTGGTCCCCCTGCCGACCCTCAGCTTTAGAGTACTAAAATAGACATGATATGTCAATGTATTTATAAAGCAGCAAAGTAGAAGGGAGCTGTCAGGTGGGTGACTTCCACTCAAGCAACGTCCCCAAGAGACAGACAGGAAATCCAAGCCTGCCAACAGGGCTCGCCTGATTTGCCTAATACAAGAAGAGACCATTTCAGACAGAAATTACAGAGCCTCTACGGCTTCATCAACCAGGGCATTTAATATAATGCCTGCCTTGGCCAGGCACGGTGGCTCACACCTGTAATCCCAGCACTTTAGGAGGCCAGGGGGGAGGATCACTTGAGGTCAGGAGTTCAAGACCAGCCTGGCCAACACAGTGAAACCCCATCTCTACTAAAAATATAAAAAATTAGCCAGGCATGGTGGCAGGCGCTTGTAATCCCAGCTACTCGGGAGGCTGAGGCAGGAGAATCGCTTGAACCTGGAGGCTTGGTGAGCAGAGATCGCGCCACTGTACTCCAGCTTGGGCGAAAGAGCAAGACTCCACCTCAAAATAATAATAATAATAATAATAATAATAATAATAATATAATGCCTGCCTAGGTTACAGACCTGAAAGCCCACATTATCCTTGGAAAAGGCTAGGAGGCTAAAAATGCCCCACAAATATAGATGGCAGTTGGGGTAGGGGTGTCAAGGAAGCCTACAGGGCCTGTCCAAGGTCATCTGGCCAATAAATGGTCCAGCCAGGGCTTAAAAGCAGGTCTCCCGAGTCCAACTTGCAAGCTCTCTCTGTCTTCCTGTTAAGTAATGGCAACCAAAAATCCCCAATGCCATAACTTCCCCGCCAGGTCATTGAATTCTAAATTAATCAAGGAAAAAGTCAATTTCGCTAAAGCAAAGTCAGGGATACATGACCTGTAGTTGAGTGAGAGACTGGAAAAATTAGCCACTGAAGTGACTGAATACAACTAACAGAAAGAAAGAAGAGGCGCATTTCCAATATACTTCCCCAGAAAATGTTAGTAGACGTACAAACCACATGCTCAAGCTGACATTCTGACTGCACCTGATTCCTAAAATCATAATCCTTTAAAAATCTGAGCCTGTTTTCGTGCATCTAAATGAATGTGTTTTCCCAACATCCAGCTGGGGAAGTGGCTGGTGATCCAGGTAAGGTCAACTGTGATTCTTACCTGCTGGACTCATTTCTTCTTGTTGGTCACTTCAACTTTGAGACTGAGTATGTAACTCTGAACTACCCGTAAATAATATGCTGGAAGGAGCTTCACAGAAATTCACTTCGAAAAAAAGGAGTAGGCCAGACACAGTAACTCACGCCTGTAATCCCAGCACGTCGGGAGGCCGAGGCGGGAGGATCACGAGGTCAGGAGATCAAGAAGACCACCCTGGCTAACACAGTGAAGCCCCGTCTCTACTAAAAATACAAAAAATTAACCAGGCATGGTGGCAGGCGCTGGCAGACCCAGCTACTCGGGAGGCTGAGGCAGGAGAATCGCTTGAAGCCGGGAGGCAGAGGTTACAGTGAGCCAAGGTCGCGCCACTACACTCCAGCCTAGGCAAAAAAGCGAGACTTCTTCTCAAAAAAAAGGAAAGAAAGAAACAGGAGTGTGTTTTCCTTAACTAAAGCTGGTTAATGCCCTAGAGATCCAGACATTCTCAGCCTCCGAACTCTGACCGTGAGCAGTACACAGGTGTCATCAGTGTCAGTCCTCCTGGTTCCCAAGCACTCCCATTTTGGACCCATAGAGTCTTGCCATACAATTGAACAAGGAGCCACAGGCAACAGAGAACTTTAAGAGTATTTTTAAGAGCCCCAGTGCACAATCCCAGAAGATCTGAGACATTACCAGTAGAGAGGTGACCACAGCAGTAGATAAAGCAGAAGAGGAGACCTGAACTAGGGAACACAGGGCAAGACATAAAATCAAGGGAACATGCCACACTACTCACAAACTGCCCACTTACGGAATTCAGTGAAATTTCACTGTTGACGATCTGGGCGTTGCTGATGGGGAAGTTACTTAAGGAACCAGAACAGGATTCGTCAGTGTCGCTCCGTATCACTCAAGGACACAAAACAACATGTCTAGTCCACCATTCTCAGAGCAAAACTAATGGCCATGGCCAGCCACAGTGGCTCACGCCTGTAACCCCAGGACTTTGGGAGGCCTAGGCGGGCAGATCACCTGAGGTCTGGAGTTCAAGACCAGCCTGGCCAACATGATTAAACCCCGTACCCACTAAAAATACAAAAAATTAGCTGAGTATGGTGGCACAGGCCTGTAATCCCAGCTACTCAGGAGGCTGAGGCAGGAGAATCGCTCGAACTAGGAGACGGAGGTTGCAGTGAGCCCAGATAGCATCAGTGCACTCCAGCCTGGGCAAAAGAGTGAGGCTCCGTCTCAAAAACAAACAAACAAACAACAACAAAAAAAATGACTTCCTTCCCCAATGTAAAATTTCCATGTTTTTTTCAGTTTGGGATTGAATGAATTCAAGAATCCCAAATTAAAATTCTGCACCTGGCATGGTAGCTCATACCTGTAATCCCAGCACTTTGGGAGGCTGAGGTGGGAAGATTACTTGAACCTAGGAGTTCGAGACCAGCCTGGGCAACACACTGAGACCCCATCGCTACAAAAAAATTTTTTAAATTAGCCAGGCATGGTGGCGTACGCTTAGGGTCCTAGCTGCTCAGGAGGCTAAGGTGGGAGGATTGCTTGAGCCAGGGAGGTCCAGGCTGCAAAGACCCATGTTCATGCCACTGCACTCCAACTTGGGCAACAAAGCAAGACCCTGTCTTTAAAAAAAAAAAAAAAATCCAGAAAGTGAAGAGGAAGCTATGTCCTAAGACAACAGCTCTCTCCACATCCAAGCTGGCTGTATGCAAGTGCCATGCCGAGCCCTTTACAGGCAGTCTCTCAATGATTCTCCCCCAAGTTTCTCCACAGCTCAGCAGAACACTCCGGAGCTGTCAGAGGGAGGCCCACTTCCCCCAGATCGGGGAACTAGGATGAAAATCCAGGTGGTCTGATTCCAGACTCCAAGATCTTCACCTCTTGCTCCATCCCATCCCAGTTCGCATCCCGGCCACGTACCTCAGCCTGCAGCGGTCGGCCAGGAGCATGTGCAGGTAGCGCTCCAGGGAGTGTTCGTTGAGGGCACAGCGCAGCCAGGCGCGACCCCGGCCCACGTCTGAGGCGATGTGGCGCAGGGAGTAGAAGCGCTGCAGCTCGTGCTTGTTGAGGACCTCCTTCACGTAGTACCAGAACACGGGCTCTACGGAGAGAGGGCACAGGCGCCTGGCACTCGGCCTGGGGCACTCAGCACTGGGAGAGGAACACACAAAGCCTCTAGGCGAAGTTGGAGATTGTAACAGAGTATCCCCTTAGCATGGAAAAGGTAGGAGATAACACCAAAGACATGGAATCAACCCAGATACCCATCAATAGTGGACTGGATAAACAAAATGTGGTACATTTACACAATGGAATACTATGCAGCCATGAAAAAGAACAAAATTGTGTCCTATGCAGCAACATGGATGACTGGAGGCCATTATCCTAAGCGAATTACACAGAAATAGAAAACGAAATATTGGATAGTCTCACTTATAAATGGAAGCTCAACCCTGGGTACACACAGACATAAAGATGGCAAACAACAGACACTGGGGGCTGCTAGAGAGAGTAGAGAGGGAGGAGAGCACAGACGGAAAAACTACCTACCAGGTACTATGTTCACTGCCTGGGAGATGGGTTCAATCGTGCCCTAAACCTCGGCATCACGCAATGTACCCAGGTAACAAACCTGCACATGTACCCGCTGAATCTAAAATAAAAATTGAAGCTGGGAACGGTGGCTCATGCCTGTAATCCCAGCACTTGGGAGGCTGATGTGGTGGATCACTTGAGGCTAGGAGTTCAAGACCAGCCTGGCCAACACAGTAAAACCCCATCTCTACTAAAAATGCAAAAATTAGCTGGGTATGGTGGCGCACACCTGTAATCCCACCTACCGGGCAGGCTGAGGCAGGAGAATCACTTAAACCCAGGAGGCGGAGGTTGCAGTGAGCTGAGATTGCACCACTGCACTCCGGCCTGGTGGCAGAACAAGACTCAGCCTCAAAAACAATAATGAAATAAGAAAAAAAGGTGGGAGATACAGAAGAGTATATCAAAAATAAAAATGACTCTAAAACCTCTCATCCAGAAAAGACCAATATTGACATTTTCAAGAGTTTTCAGTCTTTTTTACTGCACTTTTCTTTTTTATAAAAAAATCAACATTTGCTGTAGGCTGAATTATAATCCTCAAACATATCGACGTCCTAAGCTCCAGAATTCTCTGAATATTACCTTATATAGTAAAAGAGTCTATGCAACTGTGTTAGGATCTGGAAATTGGGAGGTTATCTTGCATAATCCCTGCGAGGCTGACGTAATCACAAGATCTTCATAAGAGGCAGGCAGAGAGAAACTTGACACAGAAGAGGAGGACATGATGTGGCCAGAGAAGCAAAGACTAGAATGGGGCAGCCATAGCCAAGGAAGGTGGGCAGCGAGCAGACTCTGGAAGGGCCAGAAACGGATTCAGCCCTGAAGCCTCTGGAAGGAAGCAGCCCTGCTGTCACCTTGACTTTAGCCCAGTGAAACTGATTGGGGACTTCTGACCTCCAGAACTGTGGGAGAATAAATTATAGTGTTTAAAAGCCAACAACTGTGTATTAATTTGTTACAGCAGCCAGAAGAAAAGAACACATCAGGCCAGGCACGGTGGCCCATATCTGTAATCTCAGCACTCCGGGAGGCCGATGCGAGCGGATCATCTGAGGTCAGGGGTTCGAGATCAGCCTGGCCAACATGCTGAAACCCCATCTCTACTAAAAATACAATAATGAGCCAGGCATGGTGGCAGGCACCTGTAATCCCAGCTACACGGGAGGCTGAGGCAGGAGAATCATTTGAACCCGGTAGGCAGAAGGTGCAATGAGCCAAGATCGCACCACTGTACTCCAGCCTGGGCGACAGAGCAAAACTCTATCTCAAAAAAAACAAAACAAAAAAAACAGGATGGCGCGGTAGCTCACCCCTGTAATCCAAGCACTTTGGGAGGCCAAGGCAGGCAGATCACGAGGTCAAGAGATGACCATCCTGGCCAAAATGGTGAAACCCTGTCTCTACTAAAAATACAAAAAAGCTGGGTGTGGTGGCGCACGCCTGTAGTCCCAGCTACTTGGGAGGCTGAGGCAGGAGAATCGCTTGAACCCAGGAGACGGAGGTTGCAGAGAGCCGAGATCACGCCACAACACTCCACTCTGTCTCAAAAAATAAATAAATAAAACCACATCATATTGTATGAGTGTATATGCATACATATTTATATGTGTAATTTTGTATCCTGATTCATTTATTTTCTTGTCTAGAGCATGAACATTTTCCTATTACAATTAAAAGTCTTTCAAAGATGATTTTTGATGGCTTTCCAGTAAAACATAACTATTTCCCTACTACTAAGGGCATGGCACATGGCCAACTTTCCCTCTGTACAGTAAAGAACACCCCTATACATAAATAATTGTCCTCATTCCTAGTTCCTTACGAAAGATTTCCACATGTCGAATTACTCAGTCTGAGGATAGGAACAGATTTAAGGCGTTATGGGAAACCTAAGAAAGTTTGTTTTTATCCATAAGACAGTCATTCCTACAACTACTTGTATCTCCTCACATCCCACTACTTTTTATCCACATGTACACAGATTTTTAAAATTTGTTATATACATTTTAAATTAATTATTATTTATTTATTTTTGAGACAGGGCCTCTCCCTCTGTCACCCAGGCTGGACAGCTCACTGCAGCCTCAACGTCCTGGGCTCAAGTGATCCTCCTGTCTCAGCCTCCCGAGTAGCTGAGACACAGGCACGCACCCCCATGCCCAGCTAACTTTTTAATTTTTATTTATTTGTAGAGATGAGGTTCTGCTATGTTGTGCAGGCTGGCAGGCTGGTACCAAACTCCTGGCTTCAAGCGATCCTCTTGCCTGAGATTCCCAAAATGCTAGGATTACAGTCGGGAGCCACCATGCCCAACCCCAGATATTTTCATAGTTGTAATGCTAGTGTATACATAATTTTGTGATCAATTTTCTTCACTTAACATTGCCTCTTTAACATTTTTTCATGCTGGCAGTAATAATAACAGCAGCAACAGCAACTACTATTTACTGAGCATTAACTATGCACCAGCTATTGCAGTAAACACTTTACATCTGACATCATCACAACCAAGGCCATCGCCATGTGAAAGACAAGGTCTGAAGCCAGGACAAGTGAAGCGACTCGCCCAGCAACACAGTTAGTAAACAGTATGGCAGAAAGGGACCCCAGAGCTCACTGCAAACCACTAAATCACACTGCCCTGCAAAATGAGGGGACTTGGCCTTCTTCAAAATGATCACGTTCACAACTGTTTAATATTCCAAGTAGGGGAAGCTGAGTCTTTACAGTCAGACCTGGCTTCCAATCTAGGACCTAAACAGGCTCACAGTCCCCTCTGAAATGTGACAAAGGCTTTGAACCTGCCTTCCAGAAGGAGGCAAGTACACCCATCTCCAGAAACTGCATGGCAGGCTAGTTAAATTCACTCTAATGTTTCAATTCAACTTCACTAGGATCCACTGCATTCTTCCTGGGAGCTGTGAACCGAACTAGGCTATGTGTCACCAGCTAGAGACAACAAGAACTCGTCCCTAAGGGGCTTCCAGTCTAGCAGGCAGGACAACAGAGAAAAAGTCCATTCAACCAAATGACCTTGAGCAAGTCACTCAACCATGCTAAGCCTGAAAATCCTCTCCCATAAAATCAACACAAAAGTGCAGAATCGCCCAGGGTTACTGGGGTAACTAGAAAGGGAAGGAAAGCACCGAGCACAGTGCCCAGTCCATGATGACCAATCAGCATTTGCTTAATAATTAATTCCCTTCATAGCAGAGGGCATTCGCGTGGGTTCCTTTTTGTGTTAGCAGCATCTAAATGTATACATCTGTATGAGTGTGCATAAGTATTTGTGGATCAAGCCAATCACTGGGATCATTTAGAATAAACTTCCCAGGAATAACAAAAACCAGCAAGAGGGCAGGTCCCTCGAGACTATCTTGTGTCTCAATCCCTAAATGTCAAAGTAATCCACTTCCCAAGCTCATCCGATCAGTCTACTCCACACAACTGTACAAAACAGCCTTCCTTCCATTCTCCGCCTCACTCAAGAAACCAGGACGGGGAATCTGGCGACAACAACACCCTGGGCCAGCTGGCCAACAACGTATTTCGAAATACCCCAGACCATTGTCGGTACGTCCATCACATTTCCAGTCAAGTGACTCTCACCTGCAGCCTGTCTTGAAAAATGCAGTCACCTCCCTCCGACCTTGAATCTACATGAACGCTTTAAAGTGTGTTTTCACCTTTCAATTCTGCAAATTGCTTACTGCTACAGAATCCTTTTAAAGCTAGTCAGGGTGATGCTGATGATGATAAGAATTATCCCAGCAGGGTTCCGCTTCCACTGCCAGAATTAATGTGGTCTATTTAAAGCGCAGCTCACCTGCCAATTAGCGCCTGCGGTGTCCGTAATTTAATTTAGGGATATACACTGATCTGCTTTGAAACATGGGGTTAAGTCAAAAAGCGGGCAAGGGCTTCTGGTTCTCCAAACACCTGAAAGCCGAATGCCAACAAGAACAAGTGCCAGGAAGGGGTGTTGAGAAGAGCTGCCCCGGGGCACCTGTTAACAGAGGACACTAACAGCACCAGGCTTTTGGGAAAGTTTCTATCAAGCCTTAACTATCACCGATGCCCAAGACTTGGGGACCACAAGGAAGACAAAAACCTTGTCCCAAATTCTAGTTCAGGCACTGTGTGACCTTGGGAAACTTATTTTGTCCTCTACTTTCTTCATCTGTACAGTGGGGAGAACAGTACCTACGTGTATGGATTGCTATGAGGGAAAAATGAGAAATAGGAATACATGTAAAGTGTATCCAATAAATGCAGTGAATAAATGTTAGCCATAGTTATTAACATACCTGGCATATAATTGGTGCTCAATGAAAACCAGCTATTAATATCACTACTACACGTGCACCAAACAGCATTCCTTTTCCTTGTTTGGGGTTTTTTTTGTTTTGTTTTGTTTTGTTTTGTTTTTGAGGGGCGGGGTGGGGACAAGGTCTCACTCTGTCGCCCAGGCTAGAGCACAGTGGCACAATCATAGTTTACTGCAGTCTTGAACTCCTGGGCTCAAGCGATCTTCCCATCTCAGGCTCATGAGTAGCTGGGACTACAGGTGTACACCACCATACACGGCTAATTTTTTTTTTTTTTCTGTAGAGACGAGGGTCTTACTATGTTACTCAAGCTGGTCTTGAACTCCTAGAATCAAATGATCATCCAGCATCGGCCTCCCAAAGCACTGGGATTACAGGCGTAAACCACTGAGCCTGGTCCCTTTCCCTTTCTTCTAGTAAGAGCACCCCGCTTTCCTACGGGAAACACATTCCACTGGGATCCTTCAGCACTATCCTAACCTCCCCCTACTGCAGGGGTGGACAGCTAACCCAGGGCAGGCAATTAACTGGCCGGAACCATGGCATATGCAACTTTCGTTTTTTTTAATATTACATAAAAATAGTATTTATCTTGATTGATAAGTTTTTTGGTACCGCCTTCAATTTTGTGGCCAAAGTGAGTGTCTCACTAACCTCACCCCAGTCTCAGCCCTGGACCACAGGGTCTCTTCGCACAAGTTCTACCAGAGCCACCAGAAAAGAGGCCTTGTCTCCTCCAGGAGCTGAGGTCAGCAAACAATGGCCTGGGAGTCAAATTTGGCCTCCAAACTGTTTTTATAAGCATGGTGTTCCTGGAACGCAGCCACACCCATTTGCTCCCATATGGTCTGTGGCTGAGTTTCTGCTCCAGTGGCAGAGCTGAGTCACTGCGATAGAGATCGCATGGCTCACAAACCCTATAATATGACCCGTAAGGAGGGAGTGTGCCGACCCCGTTCTAGAAGTAGGATCTCTCATCATCCTGGAAACCTGGAGCTACTTGGGGCCATTTTCCACCCCATAATGTAGCGAGACCCCACCCGGAAAGACACCCAACCACAGAGAAGCGGTGGTGAGGGACGACAGATGGAGACAGATTTGGGAGAAGGCAGACCCCCTTAATCCAGCTCAACTCCAAGATGATTTCTTAATTACTTGAGTCAATAAATAAATGTCCTTCATCTTTTTTTTCTTAAATCAATCTAAAGAATTTTCTATCATTTGCAACCACAGGAAATAACGCAGTGAGACAGGGCATGTTCTTCAGTCATCTGACAATCATCTATAGAAGACCAAGAACACACCAGGTGCTGAGCAACACCTGTGCTCCACAGCCATGCGGGGTGAGGGGTGTCTCATCAATGTGACAACACTGCCCCAAAACAAACAAAGCATTGCTCAACAACAACAACAACAAAAACAAAAACAGAAAACCCGCTGGGCGCGGTGGCTCACGCCTGTAATCCCAGCACTTTGGGAGGCCGAGGCAGGTGGATCACGAGGTCAGGAGATCGAGACCATCCTGGCTAACACGGTGAAACCCCATCTCTACTAAAAATACAAAAAATTAGCTGGGCGTGGTGGCGGGCACCTGTAGTCCCAGCTACTTGGGAGGCAGAGGCAGAAGAATGGCGTGAATCCGGGAGGCGGAGCTGGCAGTGAGCCGAGATGGTGCCACTGCACTCCAGCCTGGGCAACAGAGCAAGACTCTGTCTCAAAAAAAAAAAAAAAAAAGAAAGAAAGAAAAACACAGAAAACCCAAGACCAGCCTGGGCAACATAGTAAGAACCCATCTCTAAAAAAAGGAAACAGAAAACCCAACTACAAGGAGCCGAGTGTGGCGGCACACACCTGTCGTCCCAGCTACTTGGGAGGCGGAAGCAGGAAGATGGCTGGACCCCAGGAGTTTGAGGCTGTAGTGAGCTATGATTGCACCACTGCACTCCAGCCTAGTTAACAGAGCAAGGCCCTGTCTCTAAAAACAAAACAAAAAGAAAAAAACCCACACACAAAGAAAATCCAACCCCACGGAGCTGGGCTAGTCTGGAAATAGGCCAGTGATAGATACAAAGGCTATGTCAGGCCAAAATCTCCAACCTTTTGAACTCGCTGTCCCAGAGGACTGTCCTAACTCTGGACATCTCATTTACAATTGAGCAGGAAGAAAGGGAACGGGATGAAGCCAGCTTTATCACCCCTTTTACCAGGAAAGAACAAGTAATCCCAGAAAATCACAAGGGAGCAGAGAAAGCAAAGAACAAAACTCAAAACTGGCTTAATCCCTCACCGAGATAAAGGACTACATACCACAGCCTCAAGCAAAATCTGGGTTCTATCAAAGCCAAAGAAGACAGAGGGATGAATGTGAGGGCACACTCTAACAGAATCAGCCACACATGGTATCAGCCATGCCAGGAACAAAGGTAAACCAAGTTCACTCATGTGCCAGCCTGAGAACTCAGTGAATACAAGTGCTCCCAAATCTGTCACATCCCAAACTGAACCAGCCTGACCACAAGGCACAAATGGATTGGCAGAGCAGAGTGCCAACAAGGGGCTGAGCTCTGTCACTCTACCAACTTCCATCTAGCCGCAAGAGTGCCTTCCAGAACCAGGGCTCAGCATAATACACCCACATCCTACAAGAGTTTACAGCATACCACCTCCTTTATTAAAGAGTAGGAAATAAATTAACCAGGCATGGTGGCGTGCATGTGCAGTCCCAGCTACTTGAGAGGCCGAAGTAGGAGGATCGCTTGAGCCAGGAAGTTCAAGGCTGCAGAGAGCCATGATTGCACCACTGCACTCTAGCCTGGCAACAGAGCAAGACCCTGTCTCTTATTTAAAAAAAAAAAAAAAAAAAAGGGAAATTTCTAAGACGGACTTCTAAAGCTTGTATCTCACTTCCTTTTAGGGGCATACGCCATCATGAGCTGAAGAGTCATTTACATTCTGAAAGGAGCAAAGCAAAGGACCCACGGAACTCAGGCTGGATAACTGTGATCTAAAAACTGACAACTCAGAGGCCAAACTGAGTCTTTTTTACCTTTTTTTTTTTGAGGTGGAGTCTTGCTCTGTCGCCCAGGCTGGAGTGCCAGGGCACGGTCTCGGCTCACTGAATCCTCCGCCTCCTGGATTCAAGGAATTCTCCTGCCTCAGCCTCCCAAGTAGCTGGAATTACAGGTGCCTACCACCATGCCCAGCTAATTTTTGTATTTTTAATGGAGACAGGGTTTCACCATGTTGGCCAGGCTGGTCTCGAACTCCAGACCTCAAGTGATCCACCCACCTCGGCCTCCCAAAGTGCTGGGATTACAAGCCTGAGTCTTAATTTATGAGACATCAGGATTAAACACCTTTGAAACAGGCAGAGGTCACATTCGGCCAATAGGTATCAGTCCAGCTCCACTAGATCTTAACATGCTGAGACACATTCATACCCCTTAGTAAATAGCCACTGGCCCAAGTCCATGCCACCCTGGGTGTCAAGAACCCACCCCTGAGGGACCCTGTGGACATGCCCATGATCCAGTGACCCAGGATAACACACAGCCCAACGGGTACAGCACCCTGGCTTCTGACTTCCTCCCTAAAGCCAGCTTCTTTCTGCCAGTTGTCAACCACTTTTTTCACCTTGAATGGAGCTCTGCATTTTCTCTGCACCTTTAGCAGACATCCTTCCAAGGCTTCCCTTACCAAAAGCAGCTGATTGGCACGTGCATGAATACAAAAGAAAATCACCAACAGGGAACCGAAAGCAGGGATGGGCGAGTGAGGAACTGGACTTCCCCTCACCATCAAAAGGATGGACCCAGGGCTCCCCTGGCACATGCAGCTTCCTCCAAAATTAATTTTCTACAGAAATGAAATTGTTGCCCAAGGTGACCCAATGAAGCAAAATACAAATTCTGCTTTGAGTGCAATCAACCATTTTCAAAAATCCCCACTGAAGATCAAGGAAGTCGGTCTCTCTCATTTTACAGTTATGGGTATATTACCACCGCTTCCCACTGACTGAAGATGCGTACAGACCACTGAGAGTAGGGGTTTGGCTTCCTGGGAAAATGAGCAGCATGTTCTGAAGTCAGGGTCTTCAAGTGGTTATTTTGAATGCAGTCCTTTGGTGGCATCTACTGTGTAGGTGGCCAGGTATCTTGCAAGACACTAGAGCTACAAGGATGAGCCTGTAATCCTAACACTTTGGGAGGCCAAGGCAGGCGGATCACCTGAAGTCAGTAGTTCGAGACCAGCCTGCCCAATATGATGAAACCCCGTCTCTACTAAAAATATAAAACTTAACCAGGCATGGTGATGTGCACCTGTAATCGCAGCTACTCAGGAGGCTGAAGCAGGAGAAACACTTGAACCCAGGAGGCATAGGCTGCAGTGGGCCAAGATTGCACCACTGCACTCCAGCATGGGCAACAGATCAGACTCCATCTCAAAAAAAAAAAAAAAGAAAAAAGAAAACGGGTAGTTCCATACATAGGTTTGATGGAAGAAGAACTCAGGACTATAGGAGGGGCACAGTCCAGGTGAACCATGTAGGGAGCTCATGAATGGCTTTTTGAAAACAATTCTGAAACTTCAGAAGAGAAGAGAACAAAACCACATGAGACACCATTTCCACCCATTAGGATGGCAATTATGAAAACAGAAAAAAGGAGGCCAGGCACGGTGGCTCAGGCCTGTAATCCCAGCACTTTGGGAGGCCAAGGTGGGAGGATCACTTAGGGCAAGGAATTTGAGACCAGCCTGGGCAAGATAGTAAGATACTGTCCCTACAAAAAAATAATAAAATTACTATACATACATATATATATATGAAAAAAGGGGGTGGTAATCACTCTCTGGTTCTCCCCATGTATACAATTAAAGCTATATACCTTTTCTCTAATTTAAAAAGCCAGCATTGGCCGGGCACAGTGGCTCGCACCTGTACTTCCAGCACTTTGGGAGGCCAAGGCGGGCAGATCACTTGAGGCCAGGAGCTCGAGACCAGCCTGGCCAACGTGGTGAAACCCTGCCTCTACTAAAAATACAAAAATTAGCCAGGCATGGTGGCGCACGCCTGTAATCCCAGCTACTTGGGAAACTGAGGCAGGAGAATCACTTGAACCTGGGGGGTGGAGGCTACAGTGAGCCAAGATCACACTCCAGCCTGGGTGACAAAGTGAGATTCTATCTCACAAAATAAATAAAAACCCAACACTGGCAAGGCTATGGAGTTGGCAAGGATGTGGAAGGATGGTGGAGAAAATGGATCTCGTGTGCATTGCTAGTGGGAATGCAACAGGGTATAGCCTCTATGGAAAACCCTCTGATGGTTTCTAAAAAATAATTAAACATAGAATTATCATATGATCCAACATTGTCCTTCTGGGTGTATGCCCCAAAAGAACTAAAAGTGGAAAAAACAAGTATTTGTATCTTCATATTCACAGCAGTACCATTCACAATAGCCCATAAGTGGAAGACACCCAACTGTCATGGGAATAAACAAAATATGGGCTCTACATACCCTCAAAAATATTGTTCAGCCTTTAAAAAGAAGAAAATTCTGGGCCAGGCGCGGTTGCTCATGCCTGTAATCACAGCACTTTGGGAGGCCGAGGTGGGTGGATCACAAGGTCAGGGGTTCGAGACCAGCCTGGCCAACATAGTGAAACCACGTATCTACTAAAAATACAAAAATTAGCCGGGCATGGTGGCATGTGCCTATAATCTCAGCTACTTGGGAGGCTGAGGCAGGAGAATCGCTTGAACCCAGGAGGCGGAGGTTGTGGTGAGCTGAGATAGCGCTACTTACTGTACTCCAGCAAACTGGGCAACAGAGCAAGGCTCCATCAAAAAAAAAAAAAAAAAGAAGAAGAAGAAGAAGGAAATTCTGACACATACTACAACACGGACGATCCTTGAAGATGTTATGCTAAATAAAGCCAGACAAAAAAGAACAAATATTGCATGATTCCATTGGTACAAGGAACCTAAAGTAGTAGAATGCACTGAGGCAGAAAGTAGAATGCTGGCTGCCAGGGACAGGGGTGTGGAGGGAGTGAGTGTTAGTGTTTAACAAGTACACAGTTTTGGTTTGTAAAAATGGAAAGGTTCTGAGATGAATGGTGGTAATGATTACTGTATGACATGTGAATGTACATTAAGTACACTTACACTGAATTGTACACTTCAAATGGCTGAAATGGTAAATTTCATTATGTATATTTTACCAATTTTTTTTTTGTTCGTTTTGCTTTGTTTTGTTTTGAGATGGAGTCTCACTCTGTTGCCCAGGCTGGAGTGCAGTGGCGCGATCTCGGCTCACTGCAAGCTCCGCCTCCCGGGTTCACACCATTCTCCTGCCTCAGCCTCCCAAGTAGCTGGGACTATAGGCACCTGCCACCACGCCTGGCTAATTTTTTGTATTTTTAGTAGAAATGGGTTTCACCGTGTTAGCTAGGATGGTCTCGATTTCCTGACCTCATGATCCGCCCGCCTCAGCCTCCCAAAGTGCTGGGATTACAGGCATGAGCCACCACGCCCGGCCATATTTTTTTTTTAAGAGAGAATAGAAGTTTCGCCAGTAGGAGCTTGGGTGAGAGCTGGGGAAGGAAGGAAGGTAGCAGAAGGGAAAGAACTGCCAGACTTGAAGAGTTTCAAGACAACAGAAACTAGGAGAGCTGTTCAAAATACAGGATTGGGCCAGGAACAGTGGCTAACGCCTGTAATCCCAGCACTTTGGGAGGCTGAGGCAGGTGGATCACATGAGGCCAGGAGTTCGAGACCAGCCTAGCCAACATGAGGAAACCCCATCTCTACCAAAAATACAAAAATTAGGCAGCGTGGTGGTACACACCTGTAGTGCCAGCTACTCAGGAGGCCAAGACACGAGAATCACCTGAACCCAGAAGGCAGAGGCTGCAGTGAGCCGAGATCGCACCACTGCACTCTAGCCTGGGCGACAGAGCAAGACATTGTCTCAGAAAAAAAAAAAATACAGAACTGAATCATCTAAATTACTGAGAGGCACCAAGCAAAGCACAGGCAGCGGCACTGAAGGCCCTGCCCCACACAGGATCTGGCATTAGTGCTTCAGCTGCTGAATTATGGAGAGGTCTCAAGAGTCCCAAGGCAGGGGCGTGGCAGGAGGGGAGCTTGTGGGACTCAGGCCATCATTTATTTGCAAACTGGATGAAAGAGTTGTGATGTCAGACCTGCCGCTGCCTGTCAGCCCTGGCATACAGCACGGCATAAGAGGTAGAACAGAGACAGATACAGCCAGTAGGGAAGAGAGCCCAAGAAGCCAGATCACGCACTGGATACTTTGTCCCGATTCTACAAGAGACCCACAGAAGAGCTTTAAGTTAGTGGGGTTACGGGGAATAAGTGGGGGAGTGGGATGGTCATTAAAGAAGACCACTCCATGATGTGCAAAGTGGGTCAGAGCTGATCAAGACTGAAGGCAGGAAAACACAAGTCGGGGAGAAAGAAGAGAATTCACTGAGGATGGAGGAACCGCGAGTGGCTCAGGGACCCATGTGAGAGACAGAAAACAATGCTCTTTGTGGGACTGGTTTTGGGGCAGAGAAGAGGGAGAAGGAGAAGGCTGGGAGGAAGCCCAAGAGCTGTCCAGGGGACCTGGGTAAAAGGCAGAGCCATTTACTAAGCAAGAAACACAGGAACACATATGGATGAAGATCAGAATTCAGTTTTGGAGACTGACAAGCCCGTGCTGTACGCCAAATAGAGACATTCATGAGACAGAGTTCAAGGAAGTGCTCTGGGCTGCGGGTATGACTAAGAATAACAGGCACATACAGAGCAACTTCACCAAGGAATCCAAACAGTATGCATAGAAACAAGAGCCAACAATGAATCCAAGGATGAATAATATTTGAGGGTATGGAAGTGATATGCCAACAAGGATCAGAAAAGAAGAAGAAAGTGTGCCAAGAGGCTATGGCATCGCAGAAAGCAAGGGAAGGCAGTGTTTCAAAGTCAGATCCTCATTGCCCAAGGCTGCCGAACAGACAGGGAAGATTAGACTTCAATTTTACAGGCAGCTCAGCAACAGTAACTGTGTCTCTGGTATATTCTGAATGGCCCCGATCACCTTGTAATTGACTGCCAACCTATAACCTGACGATGATATATCAGTGATTAAAAGAACATCAAATTCCAGCCAGGCGTGGTGGCTCATGCCTGTAATCCCAGCACTTTGGGAGGTCGAGGCGGGCAGATTACCTGAAGTCAGGAGTTCGAGACCAGCCTGGCCAACATGGTGAAACTCCATCTCTACTAAAAATACAAAAATTAGCCAGACATGGTGGCACACACCTATAGTCCCAGCTACTCAGGTGGCTGAGGCTGGAGAATCACTTGCACCTGGGAGGCAGAGGTTGCAGTGAGCTGAGATCATGCCACTGCACTCCAGACTGGGCAACAGAGTGAGGCTCCATCTAAAAAAAAAAAAAAAAATCAAATTCCAAGGTCATGCCATCAAATGCATCAAACGCCAATAACGGCAGTGGTTCTTTCTCCTTTCCCAAGTGGAATGGAAAATAATTCATTTCTCCATACTGTATTCTGTACTGGCTACTTGGGTTTCCAGTGGCTACAAAGACAGCAAGCCAAGTCTGTGTAGAGCTCTGGGTCACTTTTCATTAATTTTTGCTTTGTTCCTCAAAAATTAATCACTTTCCCTGTAGCAAGCTGGAGTGATCCTGGTATATGGTACCTCAGGAACCATGAAATACAGTACTGCACGCAATGAATAATGCCCTTCCTTCCAACCAAGATGTATTTGTTTAGTGAACATAATTTTATTGAACAACTGTGTGTTTATTGAACAACTCATTTCTACAAATGAGTAACTGGTGAAATAAACAAGAAACAAAGATCTAGGAGCCTCTCTGAACTTACCCTAGCCCCGGGAGACTGCCCAAAGAAAGAAAAAAAAAAAAAGCAAACATCTGTTGAAAGTGATTACACATTCTAGGCATGTATCAAAATATCACAAGTACCAAGGCCAGGCGCAGTGGCTTACACGTATAATCCCAGCACTCTGGAAGGCCGAAGTGAGCAGATCACAAGGTCAGGAGTTCGAGACCAGCCTGGCCAACATGGTGAAACCTGTCTCTACTAAAAATACAAAAACTAGCCAGGCATGGTGGTGGGCACCTGTAATCCCAGCTACTCGGGAGGCTCAGGCAGGAGAATCGCCTGAACCCAGGAAGCGGAGGTTGCATTGAGCCAAGACGGTGCCATTGCACTCCAGCCTGGGCGACAAGAGCAAGACTCCATCTCAATAAAAAATAAAAAATCACAGGTACCCCATACATATGTACAAATATTATGTACCAATAAAATAATTTTAATAATAATTTTTTTAAAAAAAAGAACTGTTGGAGCCAGGCACAGTGTCTCACATTTGTAATCCCAGCTAGTTGGCAGGCTGAGGTGGGAAGATCACTTGAGCCTAGGAGTTTGAGACCAGCCTGGCCAACAGAACAAGATCTCTGTCTCTATAAAAGTTTAAAAACCAGCCGGGCATGGTGGTGCAAGCCTGCAATCCTAGCTATTTCAGAGGCTCAGGCAAGGGGATCACTTGAGCCTAGTAGTTCCAGGCTTTGGTGAGCCATGATCACACCACTGCACTTCAGCCTGGGCAACAGAGCAAGACCCCAACTCTAAAAAATAAATAAGTAAATAAATAAAAAGATCTATTGAAGGGTTGAGAAAAAAGAAAGGATGATACAGCAACATGAAGGAGAGGGAAAGACTAAGGATTATGTTAGCAGAGAATTTCCACACACCGCCACCAAATGCAACAAGGTCCAACTTTTGGCTGTGAAAGGGGAACCAGCCAAAGACAGCACATTTTACTCAGCAACGACACTGACATAGTGATAAGAAAGATTCCGGGATTCCCAGCAGCAGCCGTGGTCAGGGCTGGAACTGAAAGCTCAGGGGAGGAGGAGACCACAGGACATTTGTTACATGACATGATCCACTTCAAGGTTCAGCTCCAAAGCAGATCACTATGAACAGTTTCCTCATCTGTACAGTGGCAGTAATAACAGTCCCTACTACTCACAGGGCTATCGAACTGAATGAGTTAATTTACATCAAAGTGCAAGTCTTGCACTAAGTACTAAGCATTAATAGTTATTATTTAGCATTATGCTTGTCACTCACATGGAAATGTTTTTCCAACATTAAATTGGATGATAACAGAACCTCTGGGGTTTCTGTTGCTGGTATGGAAGACATTAATTATGAAATGCCATGCTATCCTCAGGCATCAAATTAAAACAGATTATTAATTTCCCAGCAACTGGCACGCCACAGTGGTGAAATAAACCAGTGTGCTACAGGTCCCCGAACCCAGAGGAGACTGTACCATGTGGCTCTGAGAATTCTGCACAAAAGATGACTTCATTTAAATTAAGATGCCAGACAACACCATTACGTTTTGACTACTATTAAGACATGGATTTCTGTGCCCATACACCACCCCACCAAGTCCCACGCGATCACTGCCCTGCCCACTATTAAAAAATAAATAAAAAGAAAAAGAGCAGAAGGAAGACAAGCTCCTCCAAGCTACAGCCAGGCAGAGCAGTACCTGTTTCGGTTTTGCTGGCAAAGCCCGCTGCCTGCTTGATCGCTGCCGCTGTGAGTGCCAATCCTCGACTCCTCTTCAAGCCATGCTGCAGGACGGCTTCAAACTGGGCACACAGACAGGTGACCCTGTGAGAAAACCAATGACTCATCAGTCCCCCCAGAAAAGGGAGTAGCAACTAGGGCGGCCCCAGCATCTCCAGGAAGTGAGTAAGCCGCCAGGTGTAAACCTCAGCGTGAAGGCAGACAGGAGACACCTGGATGTGCAGGCTTGGTAACTGACCTGCGCCACTCCACACACCTCCCGTGTTGATGTTCATTTCACAGAGCTCAGGATGCCCAGCACAGTCTACCCATATGCATCAGACTGGCACAGTAACAATTCACAAGGAACATGGGAACAGGGACGGGTGCCAGCTGGCGGGGGTGCAGAGGGGGGAAAAGTTAAAAACCAATCAGTTCAGTGTGGGGAGCGGTTGGATGTTAATTGCATCCAATTCACAAGTTTTAACTCTAATTCATATTACATGTAGTTTAAGGAACAAGATTATGTTTTTGGAGACTGAATTCACCAGGCTGCCAAATTGGAAACATTGTGTAATTTCATGGCCTGTTACATGCTCTAAAAAGAATATATGAATTCTGATTCTCATTCTTTATATAAGAGATTACATGCTCTAAAGAGATTATATGAGATTACATGCTCTAAAAATAATAATAATATGAATTCTGATTCTTGTTCTTTATTCTGTTGTAAGAGAATACATTGTGAACTCAGATTGTGAGTTGATGGAATTTTCAATTAAGTTACAATTACTGTGCATTTAATTGAATTTGTTTCTCAATAACCAAAGAAATAGGAGATTCAGGAACAAAGAGATGAGGTCACAGCAACTGCACTTGATCTTAGCAATCTTCTCAGGGCTCCTGAGCCTCTGCCCAACTGGGTCTGTGGACTTCTGAGCCCTTTCCATTCATTCATACAACAAAAGTTAAGAAATTCTGAATGTCTCCCACATGCCAGGCACTGTTCTAGGCTCTGAGGAGATGACAGTGAGAGTGAGACAGGCACGGTTTCTGCCTCACTCATGTGCATGTTTCTAGCAAAGGGAGGTACACAAATAAGTTAACCAGACCATTTCAGTTAATCAGAACTTAGAAGAAAATAAGACAGGATGAGATGGCAGGTGGCGATGGGGCAAGGACAGGCTTAGATTCTGTGGGCTGAATGAAGGTGGCCTTGGAATTACGAGCTGGATATGACAAGGGCAGCAGGCTGGAAAGACAGGCCCAGTGCAAAGGCCTTGAGGCCACCACCATCCGGCTCAGCCTTGCCTGGCCTCGGGCATTTGCTGCTCCACCCATCCCGACACCCATGGTAACAATACTCCAGGTGTTTATCACTCTGTGGGTAGTAAAATATTTTCATACCCATTATTTTACTCTTCTCATCAACACTTTAATATAGATGAGGCACGTACTATTATCTCCATTTTACACTTGAAGAAGCTGAGGCTGACATTTACGTGACCTCCTGAAAACTGCATAAAAAGCAGTGACATCTGTACCTGAACTCCATCCTCGCAAGCTGATCCAATGTAGTTTCCTCCATCCCCCATATCATCACGAAAAACATCCTTTATTCTAAGATAAAAGTCCTCTGGCTACCTTACTCAATCTTTACTCGTCATTCTGTCTACACTACACACCCCTAACACAGCATCAGCAAATCCACAGCATTCATGCCTTTCCACTGTATTCGGTGCCCATGACAGACATCACTAATCGATCCCAGCATTGTAGGCCACCACTGGCAAATGACCAAAGCTGGCCCTGCACAGAAGGGAGCCTATTAGGCATCACAAATCTAATACTTCCCCTCAACCATACTGCTTGGTTTTCACCTTCTATCTTATCTTTGCTGGATTCCTGGCACCTAGCTCAGCACCTGGTATATAATGTGTGTTCCACAAATCTTTTTCCAGTGGGTAGGTAAATCAATGATTAACCTTGAACCAGAGATCCCAGAATACTCCCCCACATTGAAACAAACCTCTTTGCTGGGCAGATATCACTCTTAATTATTATAGATGTGCATACGTTAGTCTCTGTACACACAGGCACTTTTTTTTTTTTTTTTTTTTTTGAGATGGAGTTTTGCTCTTGTTGCCCAGGCTGGAGTGCAATGGCACAATCTCGGCTCACTGCAACGTCCACCTCCCAGGTCCAAGCGATTCTCCTGCCTCAGCCTCCCATGTAGCTGGGAATACAGGCGCCTGCCACCATGCCTGGCTAATGTTTGTATTTTTAGTAGAGATGGGGTTTCACCATGTCGGCCAGGCTGGTCTCCAACTCCTGAACTCAGGTGATCTGCCCGCCTTGGCCTCCCAAAGTGCTGGGATTACAGGAATGAACCATTGCACCCAGCCTCATAAGCACATATTTTAAGGCTTCCTGAAAGCTGGGACGTCCACCAAAACTCTCTAAATACCACAGAAACCAAAACCATGGCACATAGCAACAATGACCTAGATCAGGGGTCTGTCTCAGAGAGAAAAAAACAAAAACAAAAACAAAAAAACTCTGGGGTATGTTGAGAGTTCTCTGTAATTAACCAAAGCCTCTATCTTTAAAAGAATCTTCTGCAAATACAGCAATCAACTCAACAATTGCTATTAGTTTGCTTGGTTCCAATGCACAAGTCAATAACTGCCCAGCCAGCTCTAGATAAAACCAGGGCCCTAAGAGGAATGGAATGCAGGCGAACTGCACAAATCCAGTCCCCAAGGTTTGGGTTACATCATCAGTACTGTGTCACAGAGGCACACAGGTCACAACTAACCTAACACTGCACGAATACCCAGGTGGATGCTAGTCTTTTAATTAGATCACTATGATGCCTTCCTCGCCAAAGGCCGTTCTACTTAACACCCTCCCCATATGCCCTTTCCACCTCCAGTTTGGATCTGAGCACGTATCTACTGGTCATTCAAGGCAGATCTCGACTGGGTGCGGTGGCTCACACTTATAATCTCAGCACTTTGGCAGGCCAAGGCGGGTGGATCACCTGGGGTCAGGAGTTCAAGACCAGCCTGGCCAACATGGTGAAACCCCATTTCTACTAAAAAAATATATATATAAAATGAGCTGGGTGTGGCGGCACATGCTTATAATCCCAGCTACTCTGGAGGCTGAGGCAGGAGCATCACATGAATCCGGGAGGCGGAGGTTGCCGTGAGCCGAGATCGTGCCATTATATTCCTGCCTGGGCAACAAGAGCGAAACTCAGTCTCAAAAGAAAAAAAAAAAAAAAGACTTAGCTCACGTATTCCCTCCTCCAGGAAGCCTTCCTGAATGTTTCCTCATTCTGAGCTTCTTTGTACTGCAGCGCTCGCCACTCTCTGTTAATGGTCTGATTTCCAGGGCTGCCTGCTCTTGCTAACTGTGAGCTCCCGTGCACTTAGCACCATGCCTGGTTGCTACAGAGAATGTGACCGACATGGTCTCTCCAGTCAGGGAACTCAAGATCATGAACCTGATGTACATTTTGGTGGGAGATGCATCTCAGGAGATTTCGTATAAACGGTCATTTGAATCCAGGTGAGTTAAAACTAGTGAATCAAGTAGAGCACACCTGTCCAAGCACAGGAATCTACTCTTTAGCTTCTGGTGGACACATCTTGGAAGCACTATGTCATACACGAGGTCACACTAAGGCTTTCCACTGCTTCCCATCTTATATGGGAAGTTAATTAAGTTAATGAACCATCTTATATGGGAAGCAGTAGATGATAATTCCCACGAAATGAAAGGAGCACTAGCTTTAGTAGAGTTCTTTCTTTTCTTTTCTTTTCTTTTCTTTTTTTTTTTTGAGACAGGGTCTTGCTCTGTTACCCAGGCTGGAGTGCGGTGGTGTGATCATAGCTCACTGCAGCCTCAATCTCCCAGGCTCAAACGATCCTCCCACCTCAGCCTACCAAGTAACTGAGACTACAGGCATGCACTACCATGCGCAGCTACTTTTTTTTTTTTTTTTTTTTTGAGACAGAGTCTCACTTTGTTGAGAGGGCTGGGGGGTTCCCAGAATACTCTCTACTGCAGACACTCTGGCTTCACTGGAGAGGTCAGCTGCCTCCTTGCCATTTTATCACACCAAACTTCCATTCCAAGTTAATGAACTAGGAATATTATTTTAAATAAGTGGGTCACTTAACAACAGTGAATATTTTAATTTTTTAAAAAGCACCAGTCAGGTGGGGTGCAGTAGCTCACACCTATAATACCAGCACTTTGGGAGGCCAAGGCAGGTAGATCACTTGAGGTCAGGAGTTCGAGACCAGCCTGGCCAACAGGGTGAAATCTCAACTCTACTAAAAACAGAAAAATTCACTGGGCGTTACAGCAGGCACCTGTAATTCCAGCTACTGGGAAGGCTGGAGCAGGAGAATTCCTTGGACCCAGGGGGCATAGGTTGCAGTGAGCTGAGATCACATCACTGCACTCCAGCTTGGGCAACAGAGAGAGACTTGGTCTCAAAAAAAAAAAAAAAAAAAGGAATAAGGTACTGATCCATGCTACAACATGGAAGAACATTGAAAATACTATGCTAGAGGAAGGAAGCCACATCCAAAACACCACACACTGTATGATTCCATGAAACGGCTAAGAAGGGTAAATACAGACAGTCCTTAACATAACCATGGTTCAATTTATGACTTTTTGACTCTACAATAGGATTATCAGGACATAACCCCATCATAAGTCAAGGAACATTTGGATATAGAAACAGAAAGTCATTTAATCAGTGGTTCTCTAAGGCTGGAGTTGAAATTAGGGATTAAGTGTTAACTAGCACAAGGGAATTTGGGGGGATAATGGAAATGCTCTAAAACTGAATTGTGATCGATGGTTACACAACACTATAAATTTATTAAAAAGCACAAAAATTGGCTGGGCGTTGTGGCTCATGCCTGTAATCCCAACACTTTGGGAGGCTGAGGTGGGCAGATCACCTGAGGTCAGGAGTTCAAGACCAACCTGGCCAACATGGCAAAACTCCATTTCTACTAAAAATACAAAAATTAGCTGGGTGTGGTGGCAGGCTCCTGTAATCCCAGCTACTCCAGAGGCTGAGGCTGGAGAATCGCTTGAACCCGGGAGGCGGAGGTCGCAGTGAGCTGAGATTGTGCCACTGTACTCCAGCCTGAGCAACAAGAGCGAAACTCTGCCTCAAAGAAAAAAAAAAAGCACAAAAATCACTGAATTGAAAAAAAAAAATCACTGAATTGTATACTTACAATTTTAACGGTATATAAACTAGACCTCAATAAAGCTGTTTAAAAAAAAAAAAAAAAAAACTTCCCCCCAGGTGCTCAGTAAAAGTCTGATAAAGCAGCAAAAGAGTTGTGAATGGAAAATGAAGTAACTTCCTCCTGCTGCATTTGAAACTGTCCACCAAGACCAGCAGACCTGGACACTGCACCAGCTCAACTAGTTTTCTGTGAAGATTCAGCAAGCATTTGTTTTCATGAGCTTTGTCCTATCTTTTTTTTTTTTTTGAGATGGAGCCTCGCTCTGTTCCCCAGGCTGGAGTGCAGTGACGTGATCTCGGCTCACTGTAACCTCTGCCACCCACGTTCGAGATTATCCTGCCTCAAGCCTCTGGAGTAGCTGGGATTACAGCCACGGGCCACCACGTCCGGCCATTTTTTGTGTGTATTTTTAGTAGAGCCAGGGTTTCACCATGTTGGCCAGGCTGATCTCAAACTGCTGACCTCAAGTGATCCGCCTACCTTGGCCCCCCAAAGTGCTAGGATTACAGAAGTGAGACACCAAGCCCAGCCTGTCCTATATTTCAAGACTGCTTAATCTGCACACGAATCTATTAAAAGATTCCTAAGAATCCTATACTTTTGCATGGCAATCATTAAAACAACAGGATCAGCCATGAATGCTGCATTTTTATAAACTGCATCAAATTAACCTTGTGACAGAAAGACCTATTTACTTGATTTTTTTTTTTTGAGTCAGAGTCTCGCTCTGTTGCCCAAAATGGAGTGCAGTGGCGCGATCTCCGCTCACTGCAACCTCTGTCTCCTGGGTTCAAGCAATTGTCCTGCCTCAGCCTCCCAAGGAGCTGGGATTACAGGTGTGCACCACCATGCCCAGCTAATATTTTTATATTTTTTGTAGAGATGGGGTTTCACTGTGTTGGCCAGGCTGGTCTCGAACTCCTGAATTGTGATCCGCCTGCCTCAGCCTCCCAAAGTGCTGGGATTCCAGGCATGAACCACCACAACCGGCAATTCTTTTACTATGTTACAGCTTTACTGGAGCCTTTTTGAGAAAACCAACTACAATCATGAAAATGGACTGGATTATCGTCATTTGTAAAATTCCAATGTTAGCTGGAATGGAGTCTGCTGTACCAGTGAAAATCAGTCAATCAACAGTATGAGCCATATCTCAGATTTAAGACAGTAAGAACAAGGCCATTACATGACAATCATTTGAAATGGGCCATGAGGCTGGGCTCAGTGGCTCACGCCTGTAATCCCAGCACTTTGGGAGGCCGAGATGGGAGGATCACCTGAGGTCAGGAGTTCCAGACCAGCCTGGCCAACATGGCAAAACCCCATCTCTACTAAAAATACAAAAATTAGCTGAGCATGGTGGCGAGTGCCTGTAATCCCAGCTACTCAGGTGGCTGAGACAGGAGAATCGCTTGAACCCAGGAGGGGGAGGTTGCAGTGAGCCGAGATGGCACCACTGCACTCCAGCCTGGGGGACAGAGCGAGACTCCATCTCAAAAAAAAAAAAAAATGAGCCATGAGCTATATTTATGTTTAATTAATTTTCAAAAAGGTTCACATGCTTAATCCATGAATTTCAGGAGCAGAAATCAATCCTAGACTATAATCTACAAATCAGATAAAAATCTAAGAACAGGTGGGGCGCAGTTGCTCACACCTGCAATCCCAGCAATTTGGGAGGCCGAGGTGGGCAGATCACTTGAGGCCAGGAGTTTGAAACCAGCCTGGGCAACAAAGCAAAACCTCATCTCTATTCTAAAAAATAAATAAATAAATAATTTTTTTAAAGCGTTAAGATTACAGGCACAGTGGCCTGAAACCCTATCTCTACAAAAAATAAAAAAATTAGCCCTGGGTGTGGTTGCGCATGCCTGTAGTCCCAGCTACTCAGGAAGCTGAGACAGAAGGGTTGCTTGAGCCCAGGAAGCGGAGGCTACAGTGAGCCGGGATCGCACCACTGCACTTTAGCATGGGTGACAGAACAAGACCTTGTCTTAAAAAAAAAAAAAGTTTAGAAACTGCCTAAATATTTAACACTTGGGGAACTGGTTAGATAAACAATAGCTATTTAGGTCTTTAAAATATTTACCAAGAGCTTATACTGATAAGTCAATATCTTTATAACATAAGATGAAAAATAAGCAGGATAGGTAACTGTATGTTAAGTATGGTCTCAGTTATGCTTGAAAAATACAATACAGGCCAGGTGCAGTGGCTCATGCCTGTAATCCCAGTGCTTTGGGAGGCCAAGGCAGGCAGATCACCTGAGGTCAGGAGTTTGAGACCAGCCTGGCTAAAATGGTGAAATCCCGTTTCTACTAAAAATACAAAAAAAAGTCGGGTGTGGTGGTACGTGCCTGTAATCCCAGCTACTTGGGAGGCTGAGCCAAGAGAATCGCTTGAACCCGGGAGGCAGAGGTTTGCAGTGAGCCAAGATCACGCCACTGCACTCCAGCTTGGGCAACAAGAGCAAAACTCCGTCTCAAAAAAAAAAAAAAATTATATATCTATATCTATCTATCTATCTATCTATCTATCTATCTATATATATATATTTACATATATAACAATTCCAAAGGGAATTATGTAAAAAAATTAAGAGCCACTTGGTGAAAGATTTACTGGTCATAGTTGCCAGGCGCGGTGGCTCACTCTTGTAATCCCAGCACTTTGGGAGGCCGAGGCGGGCAGATCACGAGGTCAAGAGATCAAGACCATTCTGGCTAACACAGTGAAACCCTGTCTCCACTAAAAATACAAAAAAGTAGCCGGGCATGGTGGCGGGCCTGTAGTCCCAGCTACTCGGGAGGCTGAAGCAGGAGAATGGCGTGAACCTGGGAGGCGGAGCTTGCCGTGAGCCGAGATAGTGCCACTGCACTCCAGCCTGGGTGACAGAGCGAGACTCCATCGCAAAAAAACAAAAAGCATTACTGGTCATGGTTTTCTTGCTTTCATACTTTTCTGAACCTAACTCATTTGCTAAAACAAGCATTTAAAAAAGTATTCGGGCTTCAAGAACCAGAAATATTATTGCCTTGAACTACAGATAAGGAATGAAGAAATATGGTTTAAAGGTTATGGTGAGGAAAAATCATGCAATTATTTAAAATGCTTATAGAAAACTTGGATATAGCATTTTTTAAAAGGTTAGATTGTAATATTAAATAAAAAAAAACAGATCTACAAAAAGATTTAAATCTTTCTAACCCACAAATGTAAAAACACTGCAATAAAAGATAATATACCCCAGGCCGGGCTCAGTGGCTCACACCTGTAATCCCAGCTCTTACGGAGGCATCGGCAGGAGAACAGCTTGAGCCCAGGAGTTCGAGACCTGCATGGGCAATATCGCGAGACCGCATTCTCCACAAAAAGGAAAAAAAAAAAAAAGACAAAAAAAAGTGTAAAAGATAATATACCCCACAAATTTGCACAAAGAAAAACAAAGACACCATAACATTAAAAGTTGACTTTAGGTAGACAAAACTAGAGGAGAGGAACTTGATGCATAACAGTAACAAAAATAAAATATATCTTTCTTTTTTTTTTTTCTTGAGACAGAGTCTCACTCTGTCACCCAGGCTGAAGTGCAGTGACACGATCTCGGCTCACTGCAACCTGCGCCTCCCAGGTTCAAGTGATTCTCCTGCTTCAGCCTCCCGAGTGGCTGGGATTACAGGTGCCCACCACCACGCCCGGCTGATTTTTTTTTTTTTAATTTTTAGTAGACATGGGGTTTTACCATCTTGGCCAGGGTGGTCTCAAACTCCTGACCTCGTGATCCACCTGCCTTGGCCTCCCAAAGTGCTAGGACTACAGGTGTGAACCACCACGCCCAGCCAAAATAAATCATTTTTAAAAATAAATAGGCAAGCCCTATATGAAGAAAAACATAAAATTTTGTTAAACGGCATAAAGATCAAACAGATAAAAAGAAACACCATTTTCCTGAATGGGAAGACTTATTAAACTCAAAACATCAATTTTTCCCAAATTAATGTACAAACTTAATACAATTCCAATAACAAATGCAGGAAGGACTTGGCACCCCTTGTTCTGGGGTACAGGCCAGGCGTGGTGGCAGGTACCTGTAATCCCAGCTACCTGGGAGGCTGAGGCAGGAGAATCACTTGAACCCGGGATGCTGGGGTTGCAGTGAGCCAAGATCGCGCCATTGCACTCCTGCCTGGGTGACGAGAGAGACTTCGTCTCAAAAAAAAGAACAAAACAAAAGAAAGCCCCCCCACCCAAAAAAAATCCTAATACATATGGAAGCATTTTATCTATAATAATGGTAGCACTTCAGTCAGATGGGCAGAATGGGCTGCTTAACCAATGTCGTTAACACAAAGGATCATGCAGCTGAAAAAAAAATAAGGATAAATTCCTGTCTCATAAGGATAAATTCCTAATGCAAACCACAGACAGAATGAAATTCCAGATGGGTCAAGATCAAAGAAAAATGTTAAGTGTAAAAAATGAAAACGTTTACAGTAAAAATAACTGAGAAAAATACTGAAGAATCTGAGGATAAGATGCAGTACTCGAAAACCAAAACATTTTAAGGTTCACAGAATTAATTACATAAAATTTGTAAATGTCTACATGGCAAAAAGATACCATAAATACAGTGAAACAATAACTAAAGTGACAGATGAGAAAATATTAACAGAACATATAGCTGAAAAAATTAATATTCACAAAAACTCTGTTTCTACAAATGGATAAGACAAGCAACTCAAAAAATAAAAAGCACAGAAGGTGAAGAAATCAACCACAAAAGGGTGAAATACAGTTGGCCAATAAATATAAGAAAAGATACTCAATCTCACTAATAGCCCAAGAAAGTATAGTAACACTGAGGCCCAGGTTAGGACTAAGGACTTCAAAAGCAATCATAGTGCTAGCAAGAGCATGGGGAAATAGGTATTGCCAATAGGAATAGAAATATGAATTGCTATACCTTTCTGCAAAGACATCAGGCAGTATAATTTTTGTTGCTGTTGTTGAGATAGGGTCTCATTCTGTCACCCACACTGGAGTGCAGTGGCAAAATCATGGCTCACCGCAGTCTCGACCTCCCGGGTCCCAGTGATCTTCCACCTCAGCCTCCCAAGTAGCTGAGACCACAGGCGCTACCACGGTCAGTTAATTTTTTTAATTTTTTTTTTTGTAAAGACAGGGGTCTCACTATGTTGCCCAGGCTGGTCTGTAACTCCTGGGCTTAAGCAATCCTCCTGCCCTGGCCTCCCAAAGTGCTAGAATTATAGGTATGAGCCACTGTGTTCGGCCAGTATAATTTTTTTTAAGGTGCATAACCCTTTGACCCAGCAATCCCACTTCTAGGAAATCACCCTATAAAAATAAAAGCCCTAACAGCAAGAAAATGAACAAGAAATGAACAGACAGCTCACCAAAAGGGATATGCAGATGGCCAACAAGCACAGGAAAAGATGTCCAACATCATTAGTCATTAGGGAAATGCAAATTCAAACCACAATAAGACACAACTACACACCTATCAGAATGGCTAAAATACAAAGTCATGACAAAATCAAATGCTAGCAAGGACACAGAGAAACTGGATCACTGCCACACTACTGGTGGGAACGCAAAATGGTACAGCCGCTCTAGATAAAACTAACTATGCAAATACCATACAACCTAGCAATGACACTCTTGTGCCAGTGAAATTATTGTTGGCAAGAAAGAAAAAGGTAGACTTATGAACTACTGGTAGAAATGTTTCGAAAGCCAGAGGCTGCTCTCTGACTCAGCAACCCAACTCCTGGAAACCTATACCAGAAATATAAAATCCTCAGTATATTAAAAAAAAAATGATGCTTAAGAATGTCTATTGCTTCATTGTCCATCATAGTAAAAATCAGAAACAAAGTCAGTATTCCACAGGCAACTGTTTGTACATCTGCAACATGCAATGCAATGTAGCCTTTTAAAAAGAATTATTAGCCGGGCGGGGGCAGTGGCTCCCACCTGCAATCCCAGCACTTTGGGAGGCCAAGGTGGGCAGATCACTTGAGGTCAGGAATTTGAGACCAGCCTGGCCAACATGGTGAAATCCCGTCTCTAATAAAAACACAAAAATTAGCCGGGCGTGGTGGCGGGCGCCTGTAATCCCAGCTACTCAGGAGGCTGAGACAGGAGAATTGCTTGAACCTGGGAAGTGGAGGTTGCAGTGAGCCAAGATTGCACCACTGCACTTCAGCCTGGGTGACAGAGCGACATTCTGTCCCAAAAAAAATAAATAAATAAAAAGAATCATTAGAACTATAACTTGGAGGCTGGGCACAGTGGCTCAGGCGCCTGTAATCCTAGCACTTTGGGAGGCCAAGGTGGGCAGATCACGAGGTCAGGAGATCGAGACCATCCTGGCTAACACGGTGAAACCCTATCTCTACTAAAAATACAAAAAGTTAGCCGGGCACGGTGGCGGGCGCGTGTAGTCCCAGCTACTCAGGAGGCTGAGACAGGAGAATGGTGTGAACCCGGGAGGCGGAGCTTGCACTGAGCCAAGATCGCATCACTGCACTCCAGCCTGGGCGACAGAGCAAGACTCCGTCTCGGAAAAAAAAAAAAAAGACCAGGCACGGTGGCTCACGCCTATAATCCCAGCACTTTGGGAGGCTGAGGCGGGCAGATCACGAGGTCAGGAGATCAAGACCATCCTGGCCAACATAGGGAAACTACATCTCTACTAAAATACAAAAATTAGCCAGGCATGGTGGTGCGTGCCTGTAATCCCAGCTACTCCGGACGCTGAGGCAGGAGAATCACTTGAACCAGAGAGTTTCAGTGAGCTGAGATCGCACTACAGCACTCCAATCTGGCGACAGAGTGAGACACCATCTCCAAAAAATATAAAAAATTAAAAAAAAAGAACTATAACTTGGAAATGTTTCAGTGCAGGAGTACCAAGATAAAAAATAAAAATGCACAGCATTATGTATGATTCTATTTTTGTAAAACAATGGCAATAAGGCTACATATATGTGTATATATACATGGCTATTTTATCTGTAAATAATTGTGTACGCATGGAAAAATATAGAACAAATAATTCTTGGTCATTAACATAAGCAACCCAAAGGGAAGGAAAACATACAGGACAGAAAAAACGGGACCCTCCCCCTCTCCCCCAAAAAAAATAGTTGACCAAAAAGTAAAAAGAAAAAAATTCATGCTTTGCAACAGTGATAACTCACAAGGCAGCAGTTTTCAAGGTACCATAAGTGTGAAGGTTTGAGAATAGCAGAAAGGTACATACAAATAATCAAATTAATCTTTGTACAGAGGAACCAGAAAATGGAAAAATAACCTATCTTTAAATGGTAAATCATAATTTCTGATGATTTTCTTTTTCTTTTCTTTTTTTTTTTTTTTTTTGAGACGGAGCTTCATTCTTGTTGCCCAGGCTGGAGTACAATGGCATGATCTCGGCTCACCACAACCTCTGGCTCCCAGGTTCAAGCAATTCTTCTGCCTCAGCCTCCTGAGAAGCTAGGATTACAGGCATGCACCACCACGCCCAACTAATTTTGTATTTTTAGTAGAGACAGGGTTTCTCTATGTTGGTCAGGCGGGTCTCCAACTCCTGACCTCAGGTGATCTGTGCTCCTCGGCCTTCCAAAGTGCTTGGATTACAAGCATGAGCCACCGCGCCCGGCTCTGATAATTTCCAAATGTTACTAATATAAACAATAATTGTCCTCCCTGGTATAGACAGATCTCCAACTCTTGGTCTAGATGCAAATGCTGCCTGGATACTCTTGGCGGATGAGGAATGACAAAATCAGGAACAGGTGCTGGCACTGAGAAGGAATCTGCTGCAGGAGCCAGTAAATCAAAACGGAAAAAGAGAATGGAGAAAAACAAGAGCCCCTGGATGCAGGCGTGAATAAATGAGACACGAGAAATCACATGAAGCCAATAGTCAATGGGATCTCCAAGTCTGGTCAAAGTCCACAGCCTGAGAGAACAAAAAATTCAAACCAAAAGCTTGCTTTAAAAAAATAAAAACTCAGCCAGGCACAGTGGCATGCACCTGGAGTCTCAGCTATTTGGGAGTTTGAGGAGGGAGGATCACTTGAGGCCAGGAGTTCAAAGCCAGCCTGGGCAATATAACAAGACCCGTCTTTAAAAACATTTTCTTAATAAATAAAAATAAAGGCCAGGCACGGTGGCTTATGCCTGTAATCCTAGCACTTTGGGGGGCCGAAGCGGGTAGATTGCCTGAGCTCAGGAGTTCAAGACCAGCCTGGGCAACACGGTGAAACCCATCTCTACTAAAATACAAAACAAAAAAAATTAGCCGGGTATGGCGGCATGTACCTGTAATCCCAGCTACTCGGGAGGCTGAGACAGGAGAATCACTTGAACCTGGGAGGCAGAGGTTGCAGTGAGCCAAGATTATGCCACTGCACTCCAGGCTGGGCAACACAGCGGGACTCCATCACAAAATTAAATACATAAATAATAAATAAATAAAAATAAATAATTTAAAAACCAATATATATTTCTTTTCATTCCTGCTTTCTGGCCAGCAGTGCATGAGACCACCCTTTTCTCCTCTCTCGATATATATATATATATATATATATATATATATATATATATATTTTTTTTTTTTTCCCCCAGTAGAGACAGGGTTTCACTATGTTGGCCAGGCTGGTCTCGAACTCCTGGCCTCAAGCAATCTGTCCCCCACTCAGCCTCCCAAAGTGCTGGGATTACAGGCGTGAACCACCGTGCCTGGCCACTAACAATAATCTTGACTGTTGTTTTGAGGTTTTGTCAGTCTGATGGGTGAAAAGTAGGCAGCTCACTGTTGCTTTAATTTGCATTTCCTTGACTACTAGTGAATTTCGGTGTCTTTATTTTCCTAATATATGTTTGCTGGCTATTTGGCTTTGCTGTTTTATGCAAAGCTTCCATGGTAGAGCCATGACATTATTTCTCAACCTCCACATCTGGGTAATCACTGAATCTCATCAAGGCTCAGTCCCAAACCTCAATCCTTCTGTCTCTTCCCCAGTCCCTGCTTCACTCTGCCCTCCAACCCCGGTTCTCCCAGATTCCATCTCACCCCACCCACCTCCACTCCTCCACCCACCCCAACCCATGCATCCTGGGCAGAAGCTATCTACCTGAAATGCAAATGTGACTTTGTCATTTTCTTTCTTTTTTCCCAATTGGTACCATACTACGCTGTAGGTACACAGTACATGACACGATTTTAGGGAAACCCAGATAAACATTTATGTGTGTCAGGAAAAAATATAACCAGCACCAGACCAGAGTAGACAGTGCCTTGGAATTCCACCTCAAGCCAACCTCTGGCTCAGATGGAACATAGAAATGGCAAAAATGGTGAAAATGGTACACAATGGCCTAAGTTTAAGAAATAATGCCCTGCCAGGCACGGTGGCTCACGCCTGTAATCCCAGCACTTTGGGAGGCCGAGGCGGGCAGATCACGAGGTCAGGAGTTTAAGACCAGCCTGGCCAACATGGTGAAACCTCATCTCCACGAGAAATACAAACATTAGCCAGGCATGGGGGCAGGCGCCTGTAGTCCCAGCTACTCGGGAGGCTGAGGCAGGAGAATCACTTGAACGTGGGAGGCGGAGGTTGCAGTGAGCCAAGACTGCACCACTGTACTCCAGCCTGGACAACAAAAGCAAAACTCTGTCTCAAAAATAAAAAATAAACAAAAGAAATACTGCCCTAACTGATGGCATTCCAATACTTCCCTGTGATAGCAGAGAAGAACCTGCTGACTTTCCAACTGATCTCCCAAACCAAACAACACTCATTCATGCACCCCACCACTTTGCCCCACATCCCTGCACTTTCACATCTGCTATTCCCTCTGCCTAAAATTCCTATCCCACCTATTTGACCGCTAACAACCCTGCTGTCGCCCTATGACAACTAATATTTATTACAGGTCACCATAATTGCCCACAATTTACATGTCCAACTCCCAGATTCAGTTTTGAATTTCTTGAAGACAGCAACCATCTCATCCAATTTGCATCGCCAATGCCAACATAGTACTCTATAAATAAATACCTGTTGAATGAAGGAATTAATGAGGCAATCCCTCCAACCTTCAGTTACTAGTAATTGTCAAAAAACACAGGTATGTCTAGTCATACAAAAAAAAGTTTTGAGTTTATTACGTTTTAACTGGGTGTACCAAGCAAATATTATTACAGCTAATCCTGACTATAACCCTAGCAAGTGAGTATCATTATTATTATCTGATTTTCCAGATGGTGCATGCGAGGTTTAAAGGAGCTAAGTCAGTCCAAAATTACACAGCTGGTAACTGGTGATTTGTGGCTGAAGGAGGCATGAAGGTAAGTATATCTGACACCAAAGCTCACACCCCATGCTCACCACCTCTCTCCACTGTCAGGTTCATGACGAAGATGACGGTGCTAACATAATGTTTATTATGGCCTAGGCAGTATTTCTCAACAACTATCAATATAAGTAAGACAAATATTAATTTAAATTTAGATATAAAAATAGGTTCAGGGCCAGGCATAGTGACTCACGCCTATAATCCCAGCACTTTGGGAGGCCAAGAAGGGTGGATCACCTGAGGTTAGGAGTTTGAGAACAGCCTGGCCAACATGGTTAAACCCCGTCTCTACTAAAAACACAAAAATTAGCTGGGTGTGGTGACACACCCCTAAAATCCCAGCTACTCGGAGGCTGAGGCACAAGAATCGCTAGAACCTGGGAGGCAGAGGTTGCAGTGAGCCAAGATCACGCCACTGCACTCCAGCCTGGGCGACAGAGTGCGATCCTGTCTCAAAAAAAAAAAAATCAGATATAAAAATGGGCTTAGATTTGTTAAACGTCCTGGAGGTTCCCCATTGCTAGAAATAATCTTTTTTCAAAAAAAAAAAAAAAAAAACCCCAAGCAATTCATTTAATCAAGCAGTAAAATAAAAGAGTATGCAATATGGACTGTCTACTACAGAGCCTCAAAGTGGAAATAAAGTACTTGGGGTAAGGGAGGGGGAGAGTCCAATTAATGAACCCCAGGATTTTTGGTCAGGATGACAAGAATCGTAACATCCAGTCAACACCTCAAACTAGTTAGAGGCTGGTAAGAAACTTGTGATGCAGGGAACATAAAAATCACATGACAAACATTCAGAGATATTTAAAAGAGAAAAAAAAGCCTGAAAAAGCCATTCCGTTTCGTAAGTCCTCTGGGGGATACACGTGACAGTTTTCAACTGCATTAAGAATAACATCAGGAACAACAAAGGGCAGCTGGTTTTGGTTTTTAGCTTCCTGAAAAGTCCAAAACTGATTCTAATTCCTCAAAAGGTTAAAAAAAAAAAAATCACCAAAACAAATCATTCTTTTCTGCATGCTTTGAAAGGAGAAGAAATGCTCTCCTATGATTTCTTCTGACAGTCACCTGAAAGTTCATTAAAAAGAGCAATTTCTTGTTTGTTTGTTTGTTTGTTTTGAGACGAGGTCTCACATCGCCCAGGCTAGAGTGCAATGGCGGGTTGATGACTCACTGCAGCCTCGACCTCCTAGGCTCAAGTGATCCTCCCGCTTCAGCCTCTTGAGTAGCTGAGACCACAGGCCTGCACCACCGCACCTGGCTAGCTAATTTTTGGTTTTTTTGTAGACATGGGGTTTCGCCATGTTGGCCAGGCTGGTCTCGAACTCCTGGGATCAAGTGATCCTCCCACCTTGGCCTCTCAAAGGGCTTGAGATTACAAGTGCGGGCCACTGCACCTGGCCATAATTAACAACTTCTAAATGCAGATGAATACCTGAAGCCAACTCACTGCCACCCATATGGCAAAGAGATCCAGTGTGTGAGTGTGTGGTAAATGTCTACCAAGTGTCAAAACACCTTACATATCCTTATAATGAAAATCACAACAGCTAACAATTACTGGAAACTTACTACCTGCCAGGCAATGTTTTAAGGGTTGCACATGAACTGACTCATAACAACCCTCTGAAGTGAATACCATTATACTACCCATTTCAGAGTTGAGGATATTGAGGTGCAAGAAAGAAACTTGCCCAAAATCGCAACACAACCCAGAACTGGCAAACCCAGGATTCAAATGCCAAGCTCCAAAGCCCATGCTGATTCCACTGCCCCCGTTAGCATTCCTGTTCATAATTTGAAGGGAAAACTTCCAGATCACGTCCTCTGATTCCGTATGGGACAAAGACGCCTTGGCGGAACAATCACGTTTCTAGTCTTTGAGGTAACTTCTAGGGCCTACAAAGCTCCTGGGCCATTATTTCTAGAGGGCAAAATATTCCAAAGATATCTTAAAGCTTCTTCACAGGCCAGTCTGACTGAAAGAACATGGAATAATTTCAATGAACCATAAGAACGAGTCTTTGTTCCTAGAGAAAAACAGAGCTAGAAAACACCACCAACAAAGAGAAGCGCGCATTTCAGAGCCCAGCGGCTGCCACCACTTCCTCCTGGGGAGGCTTCTCAGGACTCCATCTGAAGGAAAAAACAAGTCTCGCCTGCATTTCCCCTAATGTCAATACTGTTTTATGTTCCATGTGAAGATGGCAGCATCTCACGGTGTCCGTCTCTCACAAGATCAAATATACATATATATATATACACACACACACACACACACATATATACACACACACATATAAAAATATATATATACATGTATACATATATATATCTCTCACACACATACCCACACACACATACAAAAACATGCTCACACACATCCACCTTGGATTTTGTATTTTGGCAAAATACGGTGCACCATTTAGGCTCCCAAATCCAGCAATGGTCTGCTCTGTCCTGCTAGCACTGTCTCTACTCGAAACATTACTCATCCACCAACACCTTGGCAGCTTTTTTTCGGTGTAAGGATATGTACTATTATTTACTTATTTGTCTTGAATTTGACTCACTTTGTTCAGTTACATACACCTGTTTAAAAATTATTTTAAAATTTAAAAAATGGAAAGCTCCATCACAGTTGTAAATGGTAAACTAGCATCATATGACATAAAAACAGTAGCCTTAAAACTAAACATAGGCCGGGCGCAGTGGCTCATGCCTGTAATCCCACCAGTTTGGGAGGCTGAGGCAGGTGGATCACTTGAGGTCAGGTGTTTAAGACCAGCCTGACCAACATAGTGAAACCCCGTCTCTACTAAAAATACAAAAATTACCCAGGCCTGGAGGCGCGCACCTATAGTCCCAGCTACTAGGGAGGCTGAGTCAAGAGAATCGCTTGAACCCGGGAGGTGGAGGTTGCAGTGAACTGAGATTGCGCCACTGTACTCCAGCCTGTGCGACAGAGCAAGGCTCCATCTCAAGTTAAAAAAGAAAAAAAAAAAAAAAACTAAATACAATTAATGTAATAAATTTTGACTCTCTGCCATGGCCAGAGGACGGCTCTGAGCCTGATATCTGCACACTCTTTTAAAAAAGAGAGGCATACGAAAAACATATTGTTTTTAACTATTTTGAACAAGCTGTCATTTTTGTAAGTCAAAAATGATCCAGGCCGGGTGCGGTGGCTCATGCCTGTAATCCCAGCACTTTGGGAGGCCGAGGCGGGAGGATCACCTGAGGTCGGGAGTTCAGGTCCAGCCTGACCAACATGGAGAAATACTGTCTCTACTAAAAATACAAAATTAGCCAGGCATGGTGGTACACACCTGTAATCCCAGCTACCTGGAAGGCCGAGGCAAGAGAATCGCTTGAACCCAGGAGGCAGAGGTTGCGGTGAGCCAAGATCGCGCCATTGCAGTCCAGCCTGGGCAACAAGAGCGAAACTCCATCTCAAAAAAAGAAAAAAAAATTTCCTTGAAAAAGTAGCGAAAAGCAGGCCAGGCGCAGTGGCTCACGCCTGTAATCCCAGCACTTTGGGAGGCCGAGGCGGGCGGATCACAAGGTCAGGAGATCAAAACTATCCTGGCTAACACGGTGAAACCCCATCTCTACTAAAAATACAAACAAATTAGCTGGGCATGGTGGCGGGCGTCTGTAGTCCCAGCTACATGGGAGGCTGAGGCAGGAGAACAGCGTGAACCTGGGAGGCAGAGCTTGCAGGGAGCCGAGATAGCGCCACTGCACTCCGGCCTGGGTGACAGAGCGAGACTCCATCTCAAAAAAAGAAAGAAAAAGTAGTGAAAAGCTTTAAAAACAAAAGGAGAAAAAGGGCAGATGGCTGGATCAGAGAGCAGGGCATGTGAGGCCTCCAGGCTGTGTTAAGGACGTGGGTCTTTCTCCCAAGAGCAAAGACAAGGCAGCTGGGAGGTTTCAAGGGAGCATGAGGTGAGGGAATCTGCATTCTGCATTCAATGTGGTGGAAGCAGGACAAGAACGAATGGGAAGAGCCTAAGGCTGCAGCGGCCATGCTGTGAGATGCTGGTGATGGGGACCGCGGGCCAGGAGAGGAGTTGGAGGGAAGTGAGTGGATTTGAGCTCAACTCCAGGGCCGGGCCAGCTATCAGCGGTGAGGAAGGGAGGCAACTCATCTATCTTGTCAGTCCTAAGTTATTTTTAAATGTTCGCTGACTTTCCCTCTTGAGATTCAACTTTCTTCTTCTTTTTAATTATTTTTTTGAGAGAGTCTTACTCTCTCACTCAGGCTGCATTGCAACGGTGTGATCTCGGCTTACTGCAACCTCTGCCTCCTGGGTTCAAGCGATTCTCCTGTCTCAGCCTCCCGAGTAGCTGGGATTACAGGTGGGCACCACCACGCCTGGCTAATTTTTGTATTTTTAGTAGAGACGGGGTTTTGCCATGTTGGCCAGGCTGGTCTTGAACTCCTGACCTCAAGTGATTCGCCTGCCTCAGCCTCCCAAAAGGCTGGGATTATAGGCGTGAGCCACTGCATCCAGCCGAGATTCAACTTTCTCACAGAATAGGGACAATGATGTGGCCTTTCCAACATGAAGGTGGTGCCACCTTTACCCAAATACATTTCAAAGGTAAGACCAGGTCTCTGATATTAAGAAGGAATCCCACTGAGGTAGAGGAGAATAATTTTTTTTTTTAAACTCAGCCTCAAAAACCATTTAGTCACTAAATAGCACACAAGGGAGAAAGAACAAGTCATGGAACTCTAGCCGTTCCAAAACGTCTAACGTAGGCTATGGCATTTTGCCTCTCTGAATCTGTTTTCTCATCAGTAAAAAAGGGATAACCCAGGCACAGTGTGGCTCATACCTGTAATACCAACACTTTGGGTGGCCAAGGTGGGAGGATCACTTGAGTCCACAAGTTTGAGACCAGCCTGGGCAACATAGTGAGACCCCATCTCTACAAAAAATACAAAAATTAGCCAGGTATGGTGGCTTGCATCTGTAGTCTTAGCTACTCAGGAGGCTGAGATGGGAAGATCTTGAGCCTGGGAGGTTGAGGCTGATGTGAACCATGATCACACCACTGTACTCCAGGCTGAGCAACAGAGCAAGACCCTGTCTCAAAAAAAAAAAGAAAGGGTAATACTTCTGCTCCTTCTGAGGACTAGGAATCAACATAAATAAAATGTAGCAAAAGTAGTCACAAACTATAACTATTATTATTGCTTTTTTTTTTTTTTTTTTCTGAGACAGTATCGCTCTTGTTGCCCAGGCTGGAACGCAATGGCGCAATCTCGGCTCACCAAAACCTCCGCCTCCTGGGTTCAAGCACTTCTCCTGCCTCAGCCTCCCTGCTTAGCTAGGATTACAGGCATGTGCCACCATGCCTGGCTAATTTTGTATTTTAAGTAGAGACGGGGTTTCTCCACGTTGGTCAGGCTGGTCTCAAACTCCCGACTTCAGGTGATCCTTCCGCCTCAGCCTCCCAAAGTGCTGGGATTACAGGCGTGAGCCACCATGCCTGGCTATTATTATTATTATTATTATTATTATTTTAGAGACAGGGTCTCTGTCTATTGCCCAAGCTAGAATGCAATGGCACGATCATAGCTCACCGCAGCCTTGAACTCCTGGCCTCAAGCAATCCTCCTACCTCAGCCTCCCAAAGCAATGAGATTACAGACATGAGCCACAGCGCCTGGCCTATTATTAGTAATAGTAAGCCACGTACTCCTTTTAGCCATAAACAACAGTTATCACAGAAAGAATTAACTTTTTAAATTCTACTATAAAATAGAACATTTTCTATAACAAAGGTTATGGTAGTAAATTCTATTATATAGGTTCAGTATTCCTTATCCAAAATGCTTAGGATCAGAAATGTTTCGGATTTCAGATTTTTCCTGACTGTGGAATATTTGCATTATATACTTAACAGTTAGGCACGCCTAATCCAAAACTCCAAAATCCAACTGGCTTCCATGAGCATTTCCTTTGAGCATCATGCTGGTACTCAAAAAGTTTTGAATTTTGGAGCATTTTGAATTTCGGGTTTTTGGATGAGGGATACTCCACCCGTGTAAGAATACATTAACCCAACATTCAGAGCAGGATTGCCTCTCTCAGGAAGTGGACAGCATGGTAATGAAGAAAAGTGGTCAAGAAGTCATGGATACTTAGACACACACACGGCACACACACCCATACACACAGACAAACCAACCCGGCCAGGAAGGAGGAGTCTTTCCTAATTACCTTTGCATCCCAGACCCTGGAACAGTGATTGCACTGGAAGCTTTGGTGTCCAGCAGAATCACCTGGGAGTCCTGTTGAAATGCAAATTCTCAGCAAGCTCCTCGGCTTCAGGCATACACACACACACTCATGCACATATACACATCCTGCTCCAGTACAACTAGGACAGGACTTAGACACAGGATCATTAATCAATAAGCCTCCCAGGTGATTCTGATGCAAGCAGACCTTGGATCCCTGTGTGGACCAAGGCCAGGCCCCATAGTAGGCCCTCAAGAAGGACTAAATTGATCAATCAGTCGAATGATCTAATGCCACAAACATATACTGAGAATCTAATGTACGACAGGCACAAAGTGCTTGTGTACAACACTGAGAAGTAAAATTTTAAAAATAAATGGAGAAACACCCTTTCTGCCTTCAAATCTTACAGGCTTCGTGGTGGCACACATATTTAAATGCTTGACTACAGTACAATGTGATACACACGCTCATCCGGATAACAAATTTTTACTGAGCACCTTCTAGATGCTTCTAGGCACTAGAGAAACATCTGTAAACAAGACAGCAAATCATCCCTGCCTGCACAGAGCCGACATTATAGTGACAGGTAATAGGCAAAATTAAAAAGCCGAATGTATATATAGTTTGTTGGATGGTAATACGTGCAATGGAGAAAACCTAAGCAAAGAAGGAATGGATAATAGGGTGCATCATTTTAAATCTGTGCCAGTTTCAAATCATCCACGTGGCTCTATTCCAGGAAGGTCTACATGCTTTCTCATGGCTGTTAAAATTCTACAAAAGAACAAGGGTAGGAAAGGACAGAAAGAGGAACGATGGACACAGGAGGGTGGGCTAGGGTGAGAGGGTGGGGGACATGAACAGTTTCCAGGATGAGATGAACATTGAGCAAGCAAGTTCCCTTCCCTTTCCTTCCCACACAGGAATGTCCCTCCTGCCACCCCAGGGGCTACAGAGCAAGGATCAGCTCTGACTGAGCTCACAACGCATTTGCAGCAAGGACTGGATGCCTATGTGTCTCCTACCTTTACCAAGCCCTATGTGTCTCCTTCCAGCCAATGTTATCAGCTTATGCAATGATGTCAGCCTTTCCTGGGTCGTGAATGTCAATGGCCATTTTTAGGAATTTTTTTTTTTTTTTGAGATGGAATCTTGCTCTGTCGCCCAGGCTAGAGTACAGTGGCGCAATCTCGGCTCACTGCAACCTCTGCCTCCTGGATTTAGGCAATTCTCCTGCCTCAGTCTCCCAAGTAGCTGGGATTACAGGCACCCGCCACCGTGCCTGGCTAATTTTTTGTATTTTTAGTAGAGACGGGGTTTCACCATCTTGGCCAGGCTGGACTCGAACTCCTGACCTCGTGATCCACCCGCCTCAACCTCCCAAAGTGCTGGGATTACAGGCGTGAGCCACTGCGCCCAGCCGAATTTTATTTTTTGAGACACAGTCTCATCCTGTCTCACTCTGTCACCCAGGCTGGAGTACAGTGGCGCGATCTCAGCTCACTGCAACCTCCACCTCCTAAACCCTTAATTTTCCCCAAAATTAGCCTGGGTTCAAGCGATTCTCCTGCCTCAGCCTCCCAAGACCCTGGGACTACAGGTGTGCACCACCACACCCAGCTAATTTTTGTGTTTTCAGTAGAGACGGGGTTTCACCATGTTGGCCAGCCTGGTCTCGAACTCCTGACCTCAAGTGATCCACCTGCCTCAGCCTTGCAAAGTGCTGGGATTATTGGCATGAGCCACCGCACCCGGCCCATTTTTAGGAATTATTTTTGTCATAAAAGGAACAAATGATCACAATAAAAAATGTGAAAAATACTAGAAAGCAATATTCCCAGTATTCTTACCCCTACTGCTACCTCAGGCCACGTTTCGGTGTGTTCTGGCCAGAGGTGCTATCTAACATAGCTAGGACCACTCCATACGCATAGAATTTCGGATCCTGCTCTTGTTATAACATATGCCTTTTTACTATATATGTAATTTTTAAATCACTACCTATGCATTTTTCTGTTGAAAACAAATTCTACATAAACATCATTTTTAATGGCTATATAACATTCCACCCCATTAATGCACTATATTTTATTAACCATTTCCCAAATCTTGGGTATTTAGGCATCCAAGTTCTCATAATTATTAATTACCCTGAAAATAACTTTATATGGAAAGGTATCTCGAATAATTCCCTCAGAATAGATTCCTAGAAAGAGAATTATGGAAAATGTGGAGTGTTGGAGATGAGCAGTCACCGCACAGAGTCCACGGTTGAGTCAAATTTCAGCGCTGCACCTCTTGGCTGCAGAGGCAGAGCCCAGAAGCCAGCCGCCTTCTGCCGCCTTTCCAACCTCGATGGTCAACGGTTTTAGAAGCCGGCCACCTTCTGCCGCCTTTCCAACCTCGATGGTCAACGGTTTTAGAAGTGACATATTTACCTGCTGTCGGAATCCGAGGCAATCTCCTTTCTCCCTCCAAAGCGGATCTGGCACTGCACAGAAAAAGAAGCTGCTGAGATCAGCTGTTGGGATGGGACACTCAAAACGTCATAAAACAGCCTACACAGGGCTTAAGGGTCAGGGAGGGGACACGGGACCAGAAGCTCTGCATGCCAAGTGAGGACGTCCCTGTCCCCTGGGTATCAGCACAAGACTTAAGAAGGTGCGCACCCCAGCCTTGAAGCTGCCACTTAAAGGAAACCCTTATCTCCCACTTGTACAGAAGCAAGCCTTGTGGGAAAACATTGCTAACAGAAAAACAAAAGCACACAGCCATCTGTGCATTATCCAGGAAGCTGCTCCTGCCTGTCGGCAGCTGACTGTCTACCACACACAGCTCTTCACGGGCGATAATTACAACTTCTATAAGCCTGTGCTGAATGGATCCCTTTGGACGAGCCCCAGAGTTGTCATGACTGGCTATGACGTTACAACAGCACAAATCAAGCCTCATATGAGTCATCTGGTTGTGCGGAATGACAATTTACTGAGGGTGGGAAAAATAGAAGCAGGCTACTCCTTTTTTTTTTTTTTTTTGAGATGGAGTTTCACTCTTGTTGCCCAGGCTGGAGTGTAATATCGATCTCAGCTCACCACAACCTCTGCCTCCCGGGTTCAAGCCATTCTCCTGCCTCAGATACCCAAGTAGCTGGGATTACAGGCATGTGCCACTATGCCCGGCTAATTTTTGTATTCTTAGTAGAGATGGGGTTTCTCTATGTTGGTCAGGCTGGTCTTGAACTCCCGACCTCAGGTGATCCGACCGCCTTGGCCTCCCAAAGTGCTGGGATTACAGGCGTGAGCCAATGCGCCCGGCCCTGCAGGCTACTTTTTGAATTAGTAAAATTAAAATATAGATAACATAAACATTGCCATTTTAACCATCTTTAGGTGTAAATTTCAATTCACAATGTTAAGCAATCATCACCATTATCCACTATTCTAATTTTCTTTAAAAAAAAAAAAAATAGGGTCTCTCTCTGTCACCGAGGCTGAAGGGGAGTGATGCCATCATAGCTCATGGTAATCTCGAATACCTAGGCTCAAGCAATTCTCCCACCTCAGTCTCCCAAGTAGCTGGGATTACAGGAACGTGCCACCAGGTCCAACTGATATTTTTTATTTTTTGTAGAGACAGGGGTCTCACTATGTTGCCCAGGCTGGTCTCACACCCCTGGCCTCAAGATATCCTCCTGCCCCAACCTCTCAAAGCACTGGGATTACAGGTGTGAGCCACCGTGCCTGGCCTACTTGTCTTTTCTTTTAAAGGTATAGTATCTCTGCTATGGGTAGCACGCTTGCAGGGTTCCTAAACTTATTATCAAAACTACTACAATGTGTGTGTGTGTATCTGTGTGTGTGTATGTGTATATGTGTGTGTGTATATACATATAATTTTAAATGACATATTTGTCAAAACACATGAAACTGTACACTTAAATGGCTATATTTTATTATATGTAAATTATACATCAATAAAGTTTATTTTTGAAAGTCATGCAAAAAAAGTCATATGCAACACTTTAACCGTCAAAATAACAATAATAATAATAATGATAATAATAACAGCAGGCTAGGCGCGGTGGCTCACGTCTGTAATCCCAGCAGTTAGGACGGCCGAGTTGGGCGGATCACCCGAGGTCAGGAGTTCGAGACCAGCCTGGCCAACATGGTGAAACCCCACCTCTACTAAAAAATACAAAAATTAGCCGGGTGTGATGGCACGGACCTGTAGTCCCAGCTACTCATGAGGCTGAGGCAGCAGAATCACTTGAGCCCAGGAGACAGAGGTTGCAGTGAGCTGAGACTGCACCACTGTACTCCAGCCCGGGCGACAGAGCTAGACTCCATCTAAAAAAAAACAGCAGCAGCTCTGGGCATAAGCTCCACTTTATTTCTCTCTAACTGCTACCTTTAAAGTAGTTCAACTTGCCTCTTCGCCTTATTATATTTTCCATTTCTGCAGCAGAGAAAGAACCAGCTAATAACATGGGCTCCAGATGTTACCATGTTAACAGAGGACCAGGCTCTGTCCAGGCCCTTTACCTACTTTAACAATCCAATTCCCTCAGCAGCCATACACAGATAAGTGACCCAGTTACAGAAGAGCAGAGAGCTGCTCAGGGAGGGTGCACGAGTTGTCCCTGTACACACAGAGCTAAAGAAGTAATAAAGCTGGCCTTTAATTCCAGCTACGTCTGAGCCAAAAGCCTGTGACCTTCCTACCATACAATGCCTCAAGGCTTGCGTAGATACTGCATTCTCTGGGCTCACTTCAATACTCAACGTACACCCCGGCACATGTGGTGGCATGCACCTGTAGTCCCAGCCACTTAGGAGGCTAAGGTGGGAGGATTGCTTGAGCCCAGGAGTTTGAGGTTACAATGAGCTATGATGGTACCACTGCGCTCTAGCCTAGGCAACAGCAAGACCTTGTCTCTAGAAAATAAAAAAAAAAATTTTAACACACACCCCTATTAAAATACTTACCTCCCTATAGTGTAATTACACACATAATTATAACCGTCAACTGCCCCTTCCAAAAAGCAAGCTCCTAGAATTCCTAGATTTGGATCCTAGCTCTGCCTCTTACTATGACGCCCTGAGCAAGTTGTTGGATCCCTCTGAGCTTCAGTCTCTTCATCCGTAAAATGAAACCAATTGTAGGAACTATAATCTCACAGTGTTGTTAGAAGGATTAAATATAAAGTGCTTAGCAGAGAGCCTGGCACACAGTGGAGGTGTGATCAGTGACAGCTAACAGCAGCATGCATCTGGTACATGCGGCAAGCAGATTCCAGTCTCACATCCAAGCTTACTTCCAAGCCCAGCCGGAGTCAAGCATCACAAACAGCATCACATCAATCACAGCAAAGCTACCTGGAGCGTCCACACAGCTGGGGGCAGCAGCAGAGGACCTCAGGCGTGGCCTCCATCCTCCTTGTCCTAGCCTTCTTGTGCTCGAGGGTCCTAACTCCAAACCACCACCTCTGCACCCCTCAGAGTTGCCCTCAAACACAACTGCTTGGAAATGAGACAATGAGACTTTGAAACCCACATCAATGACTTTTTTTTTTTTTAATGACACAAAGTCTCACTCTGTTGCCCAGGCTGGAGTGCAGTGGCGCAATCTCAGCTCACTGCAACTACCACCTACCAGGTTCAAGCAATTCTCCTGCCTCAGCCTCCCAAGTAGCTGGGATTACAGGTGCCTGCCACCACACCCTGCTAATTTTTGTATTTTTATAGAGACAGGGTTTCACCATGTTGGCCAGGTTAGTCTGGAACTCCTGACCTCAAGTGATCCGGTCACCTTGACCTCCCAAAGTGCTAGGATTACAGGCGTGAGCCACTGCACCTGGCCCAGTGCCTTTCTTGAAGGGACATCACTGACGGATGGGGTCCTCTAGAGGGCTTTGGGAATTCAAGACACAGGACTTCCTCCAACCCAACCTTGACCGTGTTCACTGCTCTATCATTTCCTGGGAAAAATGAGTAGATCACTTCACTGTTCCCAGGTATAAAGTGGGAGTTAGTCTGTGTATGTTATAGGGAAGAAATGACCTACATTAATTATCTGACACTATTACTCGACCAAAAAGGCAAATGTGTGCTTTCTGCTTACCTGTTTCACTGCATCCAGCAGTCGCTCCAGCAGAAATTGTCTTTTGTCATTGTTCTGTGATCCTAAAATGCAATGAGGCTTAATTAGTTCTCTCTGACGCTCGGACACGGCTGTCCCCAACTAGATCAGTCCTTTCCTACTGATCTTTAACAAAATCAGTAGCACAACTAGGTATCAATAATCTGTATCATTACAATGAAGTTTGGCTATTGCCTGTTACTGCATCAAAGGAAAACAGCTAAACTAATTTTCCCCAAATCTGAACATGTCTAGAATGGTCTAAAGGTTTCTCAACCCTTGGCACTACTGACATTGTAAGATGTTTAGCTGCATCCATGGCCTCTACACACTACGTGGCATTAGCACACACAAACCCCTGAGTTATAACAAAAATGTCTCCATGTAATGCCAAATGTCCCCTGGGAATCAAAACTGCCCCCAGTTGTCAACCAGCAGCCTAAAATAAAATATAAGTTTCCCAGTACAGCAGGAACTGCTCACTGGCTGTTCTCACTATCATCTCCAACATCCTTTTCCCATGCCACCTTCAGCAATCCAAGCTGTGAAACCTGATTACTCCTCTTCTCAGCAGCTGAGGTTGAACTTAAGCAGTCTGGCCAATGAGAAGAAAGCAGAAGTGGCTCCCAAAGTTCTGGGAAAGTCATTCATTTCTGATAGAAAGAAGAGCTATGCAGAGCATCACTCCCTCCACCATCCTTCATGCCTTAATCATAAACATGTTGGGTGGAGCCAGAGTAGCATTTTGCCACCACGAAGTCATGAGCCTGAGAGAAAGACCTAGAGAATCACAAAGACACCAGCCCTGATATCACTGAGTTGGTAAGCCAAGACTAGAAACAAGCTAACTCTCACAAAATAAATAACCCTATTTGTCCACACCACTGCACATTGGGCTGTTACTTGCATCCAAAAGCATTCCCAACTGACACACATGACATATGCTGAACTTCCATTTAGGAAGGTCTGGGGCAAGAGCACTTGAAAGCACCAGGCAGACAGTTGGTAGAGCCACACCTGATCTCCACAAGAGGCCCAATGACTCCAAGCAAGATACAAAGCCCGGAGTATGATGCACCAGACACAGAGCACATTCACTTCAAAGGATACTGAAATTCAGTTTCTAAGGGCAGACGCTCCACACTGCAGGCGTTGAATTGCCATCAGGCTGCTTCTGTCTTGGGCAACTCTACGTGGGCTGCACCAGAGAGTAGCAGCAGGGCATTATCTCAGAGGTGGTCAGTGATTCCTCCAGGTCAAGCCAGGGCCAGCTGGTTGATAACAACCACCACCGTGTGCTGGGCGCATCCTACATGCCAGGAACCAAGCTAAGCACTATGCATGCATCATCTCCCTTCATCTTCACATTCACCCTATAAGCCAGGTTCCCAAACACAGATGGGAAAGCTGAAGCTCGGGGAAGTCAAGTGATTGTGTGTGTTGATCCACCCAGGACTTATTTAACTTCTAGTGTATGTGAGGCAATGTTTTAAGAGCTGAGGACACCGGAGTTAAATGGTGTAAAAGATCCATCTTCTCATGGAGCTAAAATCCTACTAGAAGGCCGGGTACAGTGGCTCACACCTGTAATCCCAGCACTTTGGAAGGCTGAGGCAGGAAGATTGCTTGACATCAGGAGTTTGAGACCAGCCTGGGCAACATGATGAAGCCCTGTATCTACCAAAAACACAAAAAATTAGCCGGGCGTGGTGGCACACACCTGTGGTCCCAGCTGTTCATGAGGCAGAAGTGGAAGGATCACTTGAACCCAGGAGGCAATGGCTGCAGTGAGCTGAGATCGTGCCACTGCACTCTGGCCTGAGTGACAGAGTGAGGCCCTATCTCAAAAAAAAAAAAAAAGTATAAATGTAAACTAATCAATGAAAAAGTGTTAGAGAGTCACACTAGGAAGACAAAACAAACACAGTGATGGGATAGGGAGGAAGCAAGAAGGCTGCTTTAGCCAAGGCAGCCACTGAGGGCCTCTCTGCACAGGTGACATTTGAGCTGAGCCCTCTATGAAGAGAAGGAACAGCTATGGAAAGACAGGGCAGGCCAGTGTTCCAGACAGAGCAAACAGCAAGGGGAGAGGCTCGGAGGTAGGACAAGCTTGGCTCTGGTCTTCCAGGACCAGAAGGAAGTTTGCTGTGGCTTGAGCAAAAAGCAAAAAAGTGGAAGGAAAGATCAAACAGGCGGGCAGATGTCAGTCACATAGGATCGTGTGGGCCATGATAAAGGGGTTAGACTGTTGAAATTTGAATACTAATTGGTGGAACAGTGATCCTGACTCAAGACCTCTAAAGCCTGTGTTAGGACCACAATACCAAGGATCCTGCCTTACCCCCAGGCCTGGTAATGAAACCAGTCAGCAGATTCTTTGAGACACACAATAAAACAACTGACTCTTCAAAAAGTACCGTTAGTATTTTTTTCTGGAAGAGGTTTCGATCAAGAATAGCCTAGGCACCATTCCCACCAGCCATGAGGCATCTCAAGGCATCGCTCAGGATGGCTATAGACCCATCTGGCCAAGGTCCTCCAACACCTCTTGACACCTGTGTCTATCAATCAAACGCTCTTTGTTTCAGAATCCAGGGTTTGGATTCTGATCTTCCCTCCCTAACACCAGAATAGAAAAAAAGTTAGGCTTGCTTTCTTCCTTTTTCCAAGTATGAGTGAGCCCGACAGCTCTACCTGCCCTTGAGCAATGCCAACTGGAAACTTGACAGGGTTCCCCGCACTGGAAATGCCTTTGCTATTTTTTTCTCATCATAAAAGCAATTCATGCAGGAAAAAAATAGAATAATAACAAATCAGGAAAAAATGTACAAAGAAAATAAAAATCTCTTTCATCTCCCTAGTGATAATTTTTTAATGCAGTGCTTCTCAAACTTTAATGTCCACACAGATCTCCTGGAGATCTTGTTAAAAAGCAGCAATTTATTTTTTGGCGTTTTTTTCTGAGACAGGATCTCTATCACATGGGCTAGAGTAAGTGGCACAATCATAGCTTTCTACAGTCTCAACCTCCTGGGTTCAATCGACTCTCCTGCCTCAGCCCTCCGAGTAGCTGGGACTACAGGCACAGGGCACCACTCACAGATAATTTATTTATTTTTATTTTTTATACAGACGGGGTCTCACCCCAGACTCAAGCGATCCTCCTGCCTCTGCCTCCCAAACAGCTGGGATAATAGGTGTGAGCCACCACACCCAGCCCAAAAGGGAGGTTCTGGTTCAGGAGGTTGAGGATGGGGCCTAACTCTTTTTTTTTTTTTTCTGAGACGGAGTGTTGCTGTGTCACCCAGGCTGGAGTGCAGTGGCCCAGTCTCGGCTCCCTGCAACCTCCACCTCCCAGGTTCAAGCAATTCTCCTGCCTCAGCCTCCCAAAAAGCTGGGATTACAGGCACGCACCACCACGCCCGGCTAATTTTTGTATTTTCAGTAGAGACAGGGTTTCACCATGTTGGCCAGGCTGGTCTTAAACTCCTGACCTCGTGATCCACCCACCTCGGCCTCCCAAAGTGCTGGGATTACAGGTGTGAGCCACCGTGCCCTGCCAACTCTGTGTTTCTCGTAAGCTTCCAGTGGAGCTGACACTGCCGGCTCCTTTCACACCTGAATAATAAAGGTTTAGCACCTACCCTTCCTGGTATGCACAATGATCCTCGATGTCTTTTTTTTTTTTTTTTTTAAGAGTATTTTGCTCTACTGATTATTCTGGATGAGATGTCAGCAGCCTCCTCTGCCTTACTCTGCAAAGCCTCTTTTCATGATGGGGTGGGGGGGGAAGAAAAGAAAAACCTGTTCTTTATACAAAAACTACCCGAGATTGTGCAGGTCTCAACCCAGAGGCTCACACTTCCTGGCTGTGATCTCTCTGCAGGCAAGAAGCTGTCAAGTGAGATAATCTTGACCTCAGAAGGGGCAGCTGTGGCCAACTTAGCCCTGAATGAGCTTAAGAGAAAGGGGTCAGCCAGGCACAGTGGCTCACACCTATAATCCCAGCAACTTTGGGGGGCCAAAGCGGACGGATCACATGAGGTCAGGAGTTCAAGACCAGCCTGGCCAACATGGCAAAACCCCGTCTCTACTAAAAATACAAAAATTAGCCAGGTGTGGTGACGGGCGCCTGTAGTCCCAGCTACTCAGAAGGCTGAGGCAGGAGAATCGCTTGAACCTGGGAGACGGAGGTTACAGTGAGCCAAGATTGCACCAATGCACTCCAGCCTGGGCAACAGAGTGAGAGTGTCTCAAAAATAAATAAATAAGAGAGAAGGGGGTTTACTAGGCTGCAAGGAGCACAGGTGGTCTCAGGACCACTTATCAACTGAGAGGAACAGTGGAGAGCACTGAACGGGAAGTCACAAGGCCTGAGCTCTCATCCTGCCTGGCCTGCTTGCTAGCCATGTGACAGGGACAGTCACTTCCCTTGTCTGGCCACTGGTTTCTGCATGAGATCATGCCCTTCCAGCTCTACAGTCTATGGAGACTCTGCAGAGACAGGCAGGCAGAGCAATCAATGCTACCAGTCTCCTTCTTACCTTCTCCCTTTGAATCCAGTGGAGAGTACAGCACCTCCGCCAGGGCCCAGAAGAATCTGCCAGCTTCAAATGTTGCCGCCACTCAGAGAGAAGTAGGAACAATGTGCCCACCTACCGAATCCCAACCACAGGCTAAGTCATTAAATGACCTATTTAATCCTTGACAAAGAAGGAAAAGTGGTTCCATTCAGTAGAGAACACTGTGACTCAGAGAGGAAAAGACCTTTACCCAGGGCTAGACTCATGGGAAGTGGCCGAGGAGGGATACATTTCCAAGTCCATGGGATCCTGGAGCTGCCAGCTGCTAAGCCCTGCTCACCCTCGACCTCCATCACAACCTGCAGCAGTGGCCCAGTGCAAATTCAGCAAACACTTTGCCACACAGGAGCGATCAAACCCCATGTTCCTGCTTCCTCATCTCCAGGGGCAGCCCCCAGCCAGCAGTCAACCAGGTGAACAAGAACAGGCTTCTTTTTATTTCTCATTTAGATCACCATCAAAATGAAAACAGAAAATGGAAAGGCACCCAAGGGAATACCTCCAGGGGTCCACAAACCTGTCTGAGAAATGCAGTCAGCTGACACTCCCTAACTCTACTCAGAATCCTCATGTGCACGGGAAAGTCAGTCACCTAGTTGGGTCTCTCTTTAATGTTTTGTTGTTGTTGTTTGTTTGTAGACGGAGTCTTGCTCTTGTCACCCAGGCTGGAGTGCAATGGCGCGATCTCAGCTCACTGCAACCTCTGCCTCCTGGGTTCAAGCGATTATCCTGCCTCAGCCTCCCAAGTAGCTGAGATTACAGGCTCCTGCTACCATGCCCAGCTAATTTTTGTATTTTTAGTAGAGACGGGATTTCACCATGTTGGCCAGGCTGCTCTCAAACTCCTGACCTCAGGTGATCTGCCTGCCTTGGCCTTCCAAAGTGTTGGGATTACAGGCATGAGCCACCGCGCCCGGCCTTTGTCTTCAATGTTTAGAACTCTCAGGATCTAATGTTTAATGTTTAGAGTCCTTTGGATCCTACATTAATTTTTACCACAAATCTCTAGCCTTCTGCCTGGGGTCACCATTCAAGCTACAGTGACCTCCTGGAGAGAAAGAGCAGAAATTAAGAACAGGATAGTGTGGGTTAGAATCCTACTCCACCAGCCATGTGATCATGAGCAAGTTACTTAACCTCCCTCCTTCAGGCTCATCATAGAACCTACCTCTTCGGACGATAAAATGAGGGAAATTGTATTGTGCACCTAGAACAGTGCCTGGTATATACCAAGCATTTAATAAAATTAGCTATCATTATCATCATTGTTGGCAACCCTTACCCCAAGGTATCAAGACCTCTGGCTCCCAGAAGTCCTTTCAACTAGCTACCTTCTCTCCAAAGCCCAGGCAAAGCAATTCAATCCAAGCCTCTGTGTTTGCTGCCCTGGGAGATGAAAGGGTGAAAGAGGACCCCTGGCACGTGGGGAGGAGAAAACAAGCAGGAGGCAACCAGGCACTCCGGCTATATTCCTTCTTTAACCCTCGCAACCCTGGAGCTCCAGGTAAACTGGTTCCCATTCCACAGAGGTCAAGCCCCTTAATCAAGGCCACACAGATATTTATTTATTTATTTATTTATTTATTTATTTATGAGACAGAGTCTCACTTTGTTGCCCAAGCTGGAGTACGGTGGCGCCATCTCTTCTCACTAAGGCCTCCACCTCCCATGTTCAAGCAATTCTCCTACCTCAGCCTCCTGAGTAGCTGGGATTACGGGTGCCCACCACCACGCTTGGCTAATTTTTTTTGTATTTTTAGTAGAGATGGGGTTTCGCCATGTTGGTCAGGCTGGTCTCGAACTCCTGACCTCAGGTGATCCACCCACCTCAGCCTCCTGAAGTGCTGGGATTGCAGGCGTGAGCCCCCACGCCCAGCCCTGCAGATATTTAAATAGTGGTATTTCGCTGTCTCTCCATGCAGCGGTGGAGGTGACGTCATGCTAGACATTTCCCTGGTGAGATCCTTGTAACACATTAAGCAGGTACAAGCGAGAAAAGAAAAAGAAGGCAATGCTCTTTGAGTGCCCACTGTGTGCGAGGAATTCTGCCCAAGGGCACACAGTCAAGCAGGTGCTGCATTGGAGGCTGAGCCCTGCTCTCCCTAACTCTCAGGCAAGTGTTCCTTCCACACACCACACTGTCATCCTGGTGGGGACCAGGGCAAGCTCACTGAACAATTGGGAACCTGAGCCGTGCTTGCAAAACTGGGAAGGACAGAACAGGTAAATTCATAGAGACAGAAGGCAGACAGGTGGTTGCCAGGGGCTGGGGTGGTAGGGGGATGGGGAGCTACTGCTTAATGGATATGGAGTTTCCTTTGGGTGATGAAAATGTTTTGAAACTAGATAGAGGGCTGATTGCTCAACAATGCAACTGTACTAAATGCCCCTGAACTGCTTGCTTTAGAACAACAGTTAATTCTTTGTTTTGTGAATTTCACCTCAATTAAAAAAAAAAATTTAAGAGATGGAGTCTGGCTCTGTCAACCAGGCTGAAGTACAGTGGCATGATCATAGCTCACTGCAGCCTCCAACTCCAGGGCTCAAGCAGTCCTCCCACCTCAGCCTCCCAAGTAGCTGGGACTACAGGCATGCACCACCACACTGGGCTAATTTTGTACGTTTTGTAAAGACAGGGTCTCGCTATGTTGCCTGGGCTGGTCTCAAACTCCTGGCCTCAAATGATCCTCCTGCCTCAGTCCCTCAATGTGCTGAGGTTACAGGTGTGAGCTACCACTCTTGGCCCAATATTTTTATGAGAAGGACTGCAACAGGTAGATGTTGGCTGAGAAAATGTTCCTATTCTAAGGAACAACTACAGTAGGATTCTCCCAAGGGCTAGACAAGGCAACTGCATGGAGAACCCAGTCCCCATATTGAATCACACAATAGAAAAGCTACTCCCAGCTGGGTGAGGTGGCTCATGCCTGTAATCCCAGCACTTTGGGAGGCCAAAGTGGGTGGATCACTTGAGGTCAGGAGTTTGAGACCAGCCTGGCCAACGTGTGAAACCCCATCTCTACTGGAAAAAAAAAAAAAAAAAAAAGATTAGCCTCAGGTGGTGGCATGCACCTGTAATCTCAGCTAATTGGGAGGCTGAGGCAGGAGAATCACTTGAACCTGGGAGGCGGAGGTTGCAGTGAGCCGAGATCACACCGCTGCACTCCAGCCTGGGCGACAGAGTGAGACTCCATCTCAAAATAAAATAAAATGAAATAAAAAATAAATAAATAAATTTACATATATTTATATTTTTATAAAATAAAATGAATAAATGTAATAGAAACCATGCCTTGCTTCCACGGGCCCCTCCTGCACCCCTGTCTCCCCCTGCCTGGCATGGCTCTTCCTTCATGAGACGGCAAGTCTCACGGCAAAGGCCCTCTGTGACAGCCACCCCTGCCTCAGTTGCTGTTCCTAGCTCTGGCCCTTTTGCTCTCATTTCCTTTACCCTGCACTGAATTATCTATGCAGTGGCTAGAGCATCGGGAAGGGCAGATGAATACACAATAAATGACTTACTAGTATTACAGGATACACACAATGATGTTATGTGATTCATCCAATGTGCCCTGCAAAACTGCAATGAACACAGCATTTCTCTAAGCCCTGCGTGTGCATCTGTGGCGGGCTGCCTCACATGATTTGTTTCTGATTTTCACTGAACCTACACCTTTAGCATACCCTAGAATGGGGGTCAGCAAACTTTCTCTGGAAAGAGTCCCGCAGTCAATATTTTAGGCTTTGTGGGCCAAAGGGTTGCTGTCACTACCCAACTCTGCCACTGCAGTGTGAACAACAGCCATAGATAATATGTAACGAACAGGTCTTGGGCTGGATTTAACAGCCCACTGCCCTGGCAGAAATAATGAAGGCTGGCAGGTTAAAAATTAAAACAATAGTGTCGGAGTTTGTAGACCTTACAGCCACCGTGCGGTTAGATGGTTAAACGTGAGAGTTCCCCAGCAGGCTGTAGACCAGGCCCGCATCATAATCATGCTCCCATCTTCCCTTGCCCTCTAACCAAGGCCCCACATACAGAGTCTTGCAGGGAACAAGGACATCATCAACCTGTTGTCACTGCAGAATTCATTCTCAGTTACACTGGCGGGCATCTGGGATGCCCGGCGCTACCAGCCCAATGATGACTTTAGTGTTGCTGCTATTGTTTAACTCCCATCCCACCCCCCAAAATCCACAACCATTCCAAATAAAGAAACTGAAAGAAAGCAGAAGCAAAGGAGGAGGGGGGCAGAAAGGGCTGCCCAATATATGCCCGGGGCACATACAAGACCAGGAGGGACCCCCGCAGTGCCCAAGGGGTCAGGTGAGGCATGGAAATGAGCGGGTTGGGCTGGCAAGGCACAGATTGCAAGAACAGAGCAGGTGCCCCTCTCAAGATGGCAGCTGCTAGCCAGCTCTAGCAGACAGTACCTCACAGCAATACCAGCAATTGCCCCATCTCCTGGTTTTTCAAGAGAGGCTGAAAACCCAGCTTTTTTATGTCAGTTAGTTGGCACCTAATTATACTCTTGTGAGAACAATGTTCCAGCCAACTCGACATGAAACAAACACAACACACCTGGGGCCAGGCCCGCCACCAATCCGCCATACTGAGACATACGTTTAACCCTCACATCTACCTGGAAGGTGGGGGCTGGCCGCCCTGGTGAAACAAACAAAGGAACTGAGACTTGGAGACATTGATCATTTACCCAAGGAACAGCTCAGAGGTGACAGACCTGACATTTTACCCCAAACCTTGTACACTTCAACCTCCACAAAACCAGGCTCACTCCTTGAATGGCTCAATCTTAGCACAGAAAAAGGGCTACATCATCAAAGTGCTGCCAAAGAAAAAACAGCCTCCCGATGGCTGACTCAAACGTTCCCTTCTCAGAGAAGCCTTCCTGCAGAGGGTCCCCCAAGGGACACACTGCTGTCCCTCTACACAGTGCTCCCATGGCCCTGCAGTCCTGCCATAGCGCTGATGTAATCCCCATCGTGGGAGGGATTATGCATTGTGAGCTCTCGGACATAGACAGAAGCCTCACGAACTCTCTCCCATCACAGAAGGAACTCAACAGTTGTTGAATCTAGATTCTGGTGCAGCTCACTTCTGTGGCTCCCCAAGTTGCTACTTTAAATAAAAAGGACCAGAACTGGCCAGGGCACAACGGCTGCCTCATTCCTGTCATGGGCAGAGTGCGGTGGTGGTTTTATCTGCTCTAGACTTAGCATACGCACAGATAAAATGGACAATCGTTCTCCCCCAAAGTCAGGGCGCTGTCTCCCAGTATTGTAGGGTGAAGTGGCACAGCTGGCCCAGGACAAAAGGACAGACTGTCTGCCAGCACACAATGGAAAGAGACAGGCTCTGCATGCAGACAGATGGGCTCGGGCCATCCATGTGGGCTTATGGTGTCTAAGATCAAAGACAAAATAAATGAGCAAAGAATGGGGACCATCAATTTACTCTAGAGCAGGCCGGGCATCATGGCTCACGTCTGTAATCCCAGCACTTTGGGAGGCCAAGGCAGGCAGATCACTTGAGGTCAGGAGTTCAAGACCAGCCTGAACAACATGGTGAAACCCCGTTTCTACCGAAAATACAAAAATTAGCCAGGCATGATGGCACCCACCCGTAATCCCAGCTACTGAGAGGCTGAGGCAGGAAAATCGCTTGAACCCAAAGGGGTTAAGGTTGCAATAAGCTGAGATTACACCACTACACTCCAGCCTGGGCGACAGAGTGTGACTCCATCTCAAAAAAAAAAATTACTCTAGAGCAGGGATTGGCAAGTATTTCCTGTAAAGAGCAAAACAGTAAATATTTTAGGCTTTGCAGGCCATACACTCTCTGTCACAGTTACTCAATTCTGCCATTGCAGCCTGAAAGCAACCATAGATAACAGTAATTGAATAGAAATGGCTTTGTTCCAATAAAACTTTATTTGCAAAACAGGAGGCCAACCCAGTTCACCAGTTCTTGCTGTAGAAAACAAAATAAAAAAAAAACACTAGCATGGCAATGTACAAAAACTTTAAAGAGACAATAGGCCAAGCATGGTGGCTCACACCCGTAGTCTTGGCATTTTGGGAGGTAGAGACAAGGGAATTGCTTGAGCCTAGGAGTTTGAGACCAGCCTGGGCAATACAGTGACACCCCGTCCCTACAAAAAGTTTTTTAAAAATTAGCCGTGTGTGGTGGCACACACCTGTAGTCCAAGCTATGAGGGAGGCTGAGGTGTGAGGATCACTTGAGCCTATAGGTCAAGGCTGCAGTGAGCACTGATGACACCATTGCACTCCAACCTGAGTGACACAGCAAAATCCTATCTCAAAAAAGAAAGAATATCTTCCCTCCTGGTTGGAGAAATGCAAATTATATGCCTATTAATAACTACCACATGGCACCATTATGTAACTACAAATTAACCAATAAACTTTTTTTTTTTTTTTTTGAGATGGAGTCGCACTCTGTCGCCCAGGCTGGAGTGCAGTGGCATGATCTTGGCTCACTGCAATCTCTGCCTCCCGGGTTCAAGTGATTCTCCTGCCTCAGCCTCCTGAGTAGCTGGGATTACAGGCACCCGCCACCACACCCAGCTAATTTTTGTATTTTTAGTAGAGGTGTGGTTTCACCATGTTGTTCAGGCTGGTCTCAAACTCCTGACCTCAGGTGATCCACCTGCCTCAGCCTCCCAAAGTGCTGGGATTACAGGCATGAGCCACCGTACCCAGCCTCCAAGAAACATTTAAAGTGAAATTCCCCAATGCTGGTAAAGCTATGATAAATCAAGTACACACCACTGGTAACAATCTATGGGTGCAGTAAGTTCTGAAAAGCGATGTGGCAATGCATATCAAAAGCTACAAAAATAAATCAAAATCCCTTTTCACACCTTGGAAATTAAGCTAAAAAGGAACAGGGGAAATGAGAAAAGATACAAATAACAATTTCACCTGGTCCTCTATGTTCCAGGTCCTGAGAAACGCACTATACATTCATTACTTGCTTTAATTTCCATTTTCTGAAAAGGGAATTAAGAGTAAGAGTCAGAATCAGGCATGCTGGCTCACGCCTGTAATCCCAGCACTTTGGGAAGCCAAGACAGACAGATCACAAGGCCAGGAGTTTAAGACCAGCCTGGCCAACATGGTGAAACCCCGTCTTTACTAATAATACAAAAATTAGCTGGGCGTGGTGGCACGCACCTGTAGTCCCAGCTACTCGGGAGTCTAAGGCAGGAGAATTACTCGAACCCAGGAGGTGGAGGTTGCAGTGATCACACCGCTGCACTCCAGCCTGGGTGACAGAGTGAGACTCTGTCTCAAAAAAAAAAAAAAAAAAGAGTAAAAGTCAGAGAAGTTCAAAAATCTGCCCAGGCCGGGTGCAGTGGCTCACGCTTGTAACTCCAGCACTTTGGGACACCAAGGTGGGAGGGCTGCTTGGGCTCAGGACTTCAAGACCACCCTAGGCAACATAGTAAGGCCTCGTCTCTATGAAAATTTAAAAAAAAAAATTAGCCAGGTATGGTGGCACACACCTGTAGTCCCAGCCTCCTGGGGAGCTGAGGAGGAAGGATCACTTGAGCCCAGGAGGTTGAGGCTGCAGTGAGCTATGACTGCACCACTGCACTCCAGCCTGGGTGACAGAGTGAGACCTTGTCTCAAAAAAATAAGACAGAAAACAAAAAACTGCCCAACTTCTTCAATAGGGAGTTAAATCCAGAACTTGTCTGTATCCGAAGCTTTTCCGTAATAACACAATGACTTCCTGAGCATCAATGGGCACGAAGATTTGTATTGCAGTGTCCTAGTGTAGGGGTCAGTCAACTATAGCCCCCGAGCCAAATCCAGCTGCTGACTTTTTCTAAATAAAGTTTTATTGGAACACAGCCACGTCCTTTCACTTACCCATGGTCTGTGGCTGCCTTCAAACTACGACAGCAGAAATGAATACTTGAGGCTGAGACCAGATGGCCCACAAAGTAGAAAATATTTACTATCTGGCCCTTCACAGGAAACGCCTACCAATCCTATCCTAGAACACCATAAATGGAATTGACTGTCTTTTGCAATGGGAGAGAGGTTAAATAGCTGCGGTACATCAATTTGGTGGAATGCTATGCTGCCTTTTCAAAGAATCGTGAAGAGAAGGAACGTGGATAAGTGCTATCATGTAAGCAGAAACGCTCAAACGGAGATACAATGCAATTATGCAAAATGCATATATAGTGTATGCTTTGAACAAAGGCAGAAGAGGAATACCTACAAATTTAAATATTAAATGTGCCAGGAATGTATATTTAAAGGTATATTCTGTTTTCACAATAGTTTTTAATGTCATTTTGGGTTTTCGCTTTTTTTTTTTTTTTTTAAGTTGTAGGAGGAAAGAGCAGATTCCAAGAAACACAGATGCAAGCGAAGAAAAATGAGATGGAGTGGGCAAGTTTCCCTCCTCGGAGGAAGCGGGGTACTGCCTGGGTGAGCAGAGGAAACACTAGTGCCAGGTCTCTGAAGGGCTCCCGGACAGCAAAAAGTCAGGGCAAGGAAAAGAGTCCTCACTCCCCTTGCAGGATTCAAACTGCTCAGCCCCCACCTAACCTGCTCCCCTACTGGCTCTCCCACCTCAGGAAAAGGCAATTCTGGTCAGGTACAGTGTCTCACACCTGTCATCCCAGCACGCTGGGAGCCCGAGGTCAGTGAATCACCTGAGGTCAGGAGTTCGAGACCAGTCTAGCCAACATGGTGAAACCCCATCTCTACGAAAAATACAATAATGAGCCAGGCATGGTGGCGCTCGAGGCGGGAGAATCACTTGAACATGGGAGACAGAGGTTGCAGTGAGCCAAGATCACGCCACTACAGTCCAGCCTGGGTGACAGAGCAAGACTCTATCTCAAAAAAAAAAAAAAAAAGATAAGGCAATTCCAACCCCTTTCAGCTGCTCAGGAAGAAAACCTAGGAGCCACCTGCCTCAGGAAGCCTCTGCTGCCACATCACATTCCTAACCACCCCATCCAAAATTACAGCAGCCCTTCCCCTGAAGTTCATCCTCCATCCAGACAATTTAGTAGGATGGACTCCCAGCCACAGGCTCCAGACTAGACTTATGGTCCAGACCTGGCCAACCAAAATCACAGTGATGGGTTGCAGGATGACCACATGGCCAGCCCGCTCCATGGAGGAGCGGCTGCCTGTGGGTGAAGCCAACAGAGAGAAAAGACGAGTTGACAGCCAGACAGAAAGATAATCCTGATAGTCCTTTAACACGTGGATCCAGCTAAGCTTGAAGCCAGCCCTATGTCTAGACTTTTCCATTACAAGACACCATATATTCCCATGCTGTTGAAATCAGTTTCATCAGCTTCTGCCACATTCCACTGAAAAGAGCCCTGGCTAACACACTCAGCACGGTCCCAACAACATCCTTTTGCTTCAACAGACCCCAGTGGTAACAACCTTTTGATAAGTGATAGAGGATGCACCAAACTATCATCCAATGTTTGCTGAATGTTGAACCCCAAATTTCTGGCCAACCTCTGCTTCCACCAGAGCCCTTATTCTTACTAGCAGCATTGAAACTAGTGCAACCACTTTGGAAAAAATCAAATCAATTCAACTGAGTTTAATTATAGGCCAAAAAAAAAAGGAATCAAAAGTGATAAACTCTTCGATGTTAATGCTACTTTTGGAAAATCTCCCTACAGACATAATCTAAGGGATGGAAAACTACCTTGAAAAAAAAATGTTCACTGCATCATTACTTATAACAGAAACAAAAAAGAAAGAAGGAAAGCCAGGTACAGTGGTTCACACCTGTAATCCTGGCACTTTGGGAGGCTGAAGCAGGAGGATCACTTGAGGTCTGGAGTTCAAGACCAGCTCGGGCAATATACTGAGACCCTGTCTCTACACCAAATGAAAAAGTTAGACGGGTGTGGTGGCGCACCTTTAGTCCTAGCTACTCAGGAGGCTGAGGTGGGAGGGTCATTTGAGCCCAGGAGATCAAGGCTGCAGTGAGCTATAATTGTATCACCACTGCATTCCAGCCTGGGCAACAGAGCAAAACCCTGTCTCAAAAGAAAAAGAGAGGAAAGGGAGGAAGGGAGAGAGAGAGGGAGAGAGGGAGGAGAGGGAGAGAGGAAGATAGGCTAAGTTTCTACAACTAGAATCAATAGTTAAAAGTTGTACTACATGCAAAATGATGAATGATGGACTGTACATTCCATAAAAGTGATCAATAGTGAGCCCATGGAGCAATGTGGTAAAGTTTTGTCCTGAAATGTTAATGGTGAAAGCAAGATGCAAAGTTGTATGATAATAATACAATTACTGCAGCCTATATCAGTCTCAATCTTTTCTTTTTTTTTTTTTGAGACAGGGTCTGAGGGGTCTGGCTCTGTCACCCAGGCTGGAGTGCAATGGTACTTTCATGGCTCACTGTAGCCTCAACCTCCCAGGCTCAAGTGATCCTCCCACGTCAGCCCAGCCTCTCGAGTGGCTAGGACCATGGGCATGCACCACTACATCCAGCTAATTTGTGTGTGTGTGTACAAAGACCGGCAGACGGGTCCCACTATGTTGCCCAGGCTGGTCTCAAACTCCTGGGCTCAAGCGATCCTCCCACCTTAGCCTCCTAAAGTGCTGGAATTACAGGTGTGAGCCACTGTGTCCAGCTCAATCTTTTTCATTCTTTCCCCCTAAGGACACTTTTTAGACACTTTTTTGCTAATCATCCCCTCCATGAAAAAGTAATACCACAGATACAATGTACATCTGTTTATGTACTATATGCCTATCTGTGCTTTATACATCCAAGTAAGTTTTTTTTCTCTCCTGAGAACCAGTGTTCACCCCCTTGGGGGTGATATCACCCCCACTGCAAATATACGGCCTATGTATAGACAAGACAGTGGCAGATGGAAGGTGCTTTATCTGGAAATATGCTCACATTGCCACAATTTGGAGAAATCTATAAAATCTTGGATTTTAGTTCCAAATTTTAAGAGCTCTAAGCATTTGAGTTCCTATCAGTTACCTGGAGTCAAGCAACCAGGAGGCAAGATAGCCAACATCAGTAGGACCTAGTCCATCGCCAGTTGCTAGCAGAGGTGGGGGTCAACTGTTTGCTGATGGTAGAACATGTACTTCTTGCATTCCACCATCATAGATCAATCCAGTGCCTTCACAAGGGGGAAAAAATGTTGATAGCATCACTTTTCTACTTTGAATGAAAACCACAAATATTCTTTTTTCATTCATTCATTCATTTCAGCTGATTATTTATTCTAAGTACAAGCTACTGTCAGAGAGGGCCCAGTCAGTGCCGAGGAGAAAACTGTGACCTTCAACATTCCAGAAAACTAAGAAAAAGCAGCTGGGCACAGTGGCTCACAACTATAATCTCAGCACTTTGGAAGGTTGAGACAGGATGGCTTAAGGCCAGGAGTACCAGATAAACCTGGGTAACGTAGTAAGACCCAATCTCTACAAAAAAAAAAAAAAAAAAAAAATTGTAACCCAGGCGCAGTGGCTCACACCTGTAATCCTAGCACTTTGGGAGGCCAAGGCAGGTGGATCACCTGAGCTCAGAATTTTGAGATCAGCCTGCACAACATGGCAAAACCCATCTCTGCTAAAAATACAAAAAATTAGCCAGGCGTGGTGGTGCACGCCCGTAATCCCAGCTACTCAGGAGGCTGAGGCAAGAGAATCACTGGAGCCCAGGAGGCAGAGGTTGCAGTGAGCCAAGATAGTGGCACTGCACTCCAGCCTGGACAACACAGTGAGAATCTGTCTCAAAAAAATATTCGTTAATTAAAAAAAATTTTTTTTAATAAAAAGCTGCCAAAATATACATTAACGTCAGGCAAGAAACAGCAGTAAATTACCCATTAAGCCCAAAACTCTGATATATGATGAATCTTAGAGCTCATCTGTTACACAAATTGTTTGATCACTATGGGCCTGGCTTTCCTCACCCTTGAAACAGGAATCTCAGTGTCTCCTTTACTGATGGAGACCGGGCACGGTGGCTCACGCCTGTGATCCCAGCACTTTGGGAGGCCGAGGCAGGTGGTTCACGAGGTCAGGAGATCGAGACCGTCCTGGCTAACATGGTGAAACCCCATCTCTACTAAAAATACAAAAAATTAGCTGGGCGTGGTTGCAAGCGCCTGTAGTCCCAGCTACTCGGGAGGCTGAGGCAGGAGAATGGCCTGAACCCAGGAGGCAGAGCTGGCAGTGAGCCGAGATCGCATCACTGCACTCCAGCCTGGGTGACAGAGCAAGACTCCATCTCAAAACAAAAAAAAAAAAAAAAAAACTGATGGAAAGGAGCATCCAGGAACTTAAGGATGAAGACTTACAAAAGACAAAACTTGAGTATAATGACTTTCTGGCTCTACGAGTTCTACTTTCCCAGTAACAACAAACACATATCTGAAAATCAGCATTCCTTACATAGTCTGAAGAGGTGGGCAATCAAGTATTCCTATCTACTGGGTTCTTTAAAGAAAAATAAACAAATTGTGACCACCACCCTACAATAACCACCCACACATGTCTGGCAGGCATCTTTCTTCCTGATAATCTTTTTAGGTCTACATACATATATGAATCCATAAATATTGTCTTCAGTATGTTTTAATTTGCATCAAGGTATATATTTTAGGTATAATTCTACACCCTGCTTTTTTTTTTTTTTAATTGAGATGAGATCTCGTTATGTTGCCCAGGCTGGTCTCAAACTCCTGGACTCAAGCAATCCTCCCAACTGGGCCTCCCAAAGGGCTCAGATTACAGGCGTGAGCAATCACGCCAGACCCACCCTGCTTTTCTTACAGAACATTAACGTTGAGATGCAGCCACGGTGATGTGTATGAATCCGTATCAATCCTTTTAACATTTCTGAGGCTTTCCGTCAGGTGTCCACAGCACACTAGGTTTACCTACTCCCCAATTAATGGTCATCTTAGTTGTTTCTGGCCTCATGATACCCATTTATCTTGTATATATATATTACCTAGCGCCATTCCACTGCCTGGTTATTTGTACTTAATGTATTCAGCTTTGCACCCATCTCTCCTCTGACTCTACTCAAATATTTTCAACTCAAAAATACAGCAGACTCTAATTACCAATTTATAGCACATACAAGAGACTGAAAAACACTTTATGCCACACCAAAAGGATGCAATCAGCAGAGGCCTGCAAAGGATCCTTGGGATAAATAACTCTGTTTCCTTCAACAACAAATGCAAGGGGGAAAAGGAGAGAGATTAAAGGGCAGCCTGTAGTTTAAAAAAAGACTGCTTCAAAAAACACCACCAAGAAAGTGAAAAGAGCCCAGGCATGGTGGCTCAGGCTTGTAATCCCAGCACTTTGGGAGGCTGAGGCAGGCAGATCAATTGAGGTCAGGAGCTGGAGACCAGCTGGCCAGCATGGTAAAACCCCATCAACACTAATAATACAAAAATTGGCCAGGTGCGGTGGCTCATGCCTGTAATCCCAGCACTTTGGGAGGCTGAGGTAGGCGGACCACTTGAGGCCAGGAGTTCGAGACCAGCCCAGTCAACATGGCAAAACCCCATCTCTACTGAAACAACAAAAAAGTTAGCTGGGTGTGGGGGTGTGCACCTGTAGTCCCAGCTACTCCAGAGGCTGAGGCAGGAGAATCACTTGAACCTGGGAGGCAGAGGTTGCAGTGAGACGAGATTTCTCACTGCACTCCAGCACTCCAGCCTGGGTGATAGAGCAAGACTCCAACTCAAAAAAAAAAAAAGAAAATGAAAATGAAAAGACAAACCATGGAAGGGGAGAAAATTTTTGTAAACAATAAACCTGATAAGGGACTAGTATCTAAAAATTACAGAGGATTCTTATAGATCAGCAATAAAAAGACCACCGAATGTTAAAATGGCCAAAGGATCTGAAGAGGCATTTCTCCAAGGAGGATACACAATTGGTCAATAAGCACAAGATAAGATGCTCAACATCACTAGTCACTAGGGAAATGCAAATCAAAACTACGAAGAAATACCACTTCACACTCACTAGAATGTCTATGATTAAAAAGACTCTTGGGGAAGGTGTGGAGAAACAGAACCCTCATATGCTGCTGGTGAGAACTGAAAATGGTGCAGCCACTTTAGAAAACAGTCTGACACAGCTCCTCAAATGGTTAAACAGTTACCATATGACCCTGCAATTCCACTCTTACAAACATGCCCAAGAGAAATGAAGAGACTTGCCCCCACAAAAACATGTGCGTGAACGTTCATAGCAGCATTATTATTCAGAACAGCTAAAAAGTAGAAACAACTCAAATGCCCATTTTTGATGCATGAATAAACAAAATATGATATCCACATAAAGGAATATAATGTGGCCACAAAAAGGAATGAAGTACAGATATATGCTGTAATGTGGTTTAACCTCAGGAAAATTATACCGAGTGAAAAAAGCCAGATAAGAGAGGTCACATACTGTATGATTTCATTTATATGAAATACCCACAACAGGCACATCCAGAGACAGAAAGTAGATGAGTGGTTCCCAGGGTCTGAGGGGAGGGGGAAAGATGAATGACTGCTAATGGGTACAAAGTTTCTTTCTAAGGTAATTAAAATGTTGTGAAATTAACTATGGTGATGTTTACACGGCTCTGAAAATACCAAAAAATAAAAATAAAATAAACAGGAGGTGAGGGAGAGACCTAAAAGATTTAAAACACAAACCAATGTGCACTGTTTAAACCTTACTTAGATTCTGAGTTTTTAAAATACACTATAAAATAAAATGTTATGGCCGGAGCACAGTGGCTCATGCCTGTAATCCCAGCACTTTGTGGGGCTGAGGCAGGTGGATCATATGAAGCCAGGAGTTCACAAGTGGATCACATGAAGCCAGGAGTTCACAAGTGGATCACATGAAGCCAGGAGTTCGAGACCAGCCTGGCCAACACAGCGAAACTCCATCTCTACTAAAAATACAAAACTCAGCCGGGCATGGTGGTACATGTCTATAGTCCCAGCTACTTGGGAGCCTGAGGCAGAAGAATTGCTTGAACCCAGGAGGCGAAGGTTGCAGTAAGCTAAGATCCTGCCACTGCACTCCAGCCTGGGTGACAGAGCGTGACTCCATCTCTAAAACATAAATAAAATAAATAAATAAACAAAATATTATAAGTGGGGAACAGAAGAAAGAGGAAATATTTCCATGCCACTTTATTTTATCGTGTACCAGTTACCCACCCCACAAGTGGGGAAACCCACTTTCAACTGCATTCTCAAGAAACAAAATATATCGTTGGACTTCCCCTTCCATTTTCACAGACCACTTTTTCTGCCTCAATTACAATGTTTCCAAAAGAAGGTTTTCATCCTTAATGCTTTTTCCTAAAAAGTCATTTGTTGGTTTCCTTTTCTCTTTGGCTTTAGATGTAACGATTTTTTTTTTTTTTTTTTTTTTTTGGAGACTGAGTCTCACTCTGTTGCCCAGGCTGGAGTGCAGTGGCATGATCACCGCTCACTGCAATGTCCACCTCCTGGGTTCAAGAGATTCTCATCCCTCAGCCTCCCGAGTAGCTGCGATTACAGGCGCCTGCCACTATGCCCTGTTAGTTTTTGTATTTTTAGTAGAGATGGGATTTCACCATGTTGGCCAGGCTGGTCTCAAACTCCTGATCTCAAGTGACAGCCTGCATCTGCCTCCCAAAGTGCTGAGATTACAGGTGTGAGCCATCACACCCAGCAGACGTAATGATTTTTTAATTAAATTTTAAAGTTTTCTTTCTTTTGTTTTTTTGTTTGTTTGTTTGTTTTGAGACGAAGTCTTGTTCTGTCGCCCAGGCTGGAGTGCAGTGGCTTGATCTTGGCTCACTGCAACCTCTGGCACCGGGGTTTAAGCGATTCTCCTGCCTCAGCCTCCCAAGTAGCTGGGATTACAGGCGCGTGCCACCAGAGTTTTCATATTATTTCTCCTTGAAAGATAAACTGATCAATTTCTATTGGCTTATCAATTTCATTGTCTCTTGTGCTAAAGGTAAAACGAAAAGGGTCCAGAACTGTGAGCTTGTGGCAAAGACTCCTTGGTCATAGTAAAAGGAAAAGATTTTCAGACAGTGCCTAGTCCCAGCCCTCCTCTCATAACTAGGCAAAAACAACCCCACTCCTACCCCACATGAGCTCTTGCAGAAACAACAGCAGGCAGCTCTGAGATTCTGACAATGCACCTCGTGATATTCACAGTACCAGTCACTTTAACTGATGAATGTTATTTAGTCATTACAAGCCTAGGAGATAGGTACTACTAGGTATCCTCATTTTGCTGGGACTCCCAGAATGGTCGAGAACTTACTCTTAAATAACACAGGTTTATGTGGCAGGGCCAAGATTTGAACCCAGGATGTCTGGCCTCAGGGCCTGCACTTACACCAACCTACCTCAGCTCCTGGGGGAAGCCAGCTCATAACATCTTTACTGAGGTATTACTAACATTCACGAATCAGAAACCATACTTAGGCTTAAAATCATTTGATTTGCAACCAAAGGTGGATTATCTCCCAGGAAACTCCCCCTCACCAGCCCCCTCATTATTAGGACTGTCCATTTCACAAATCTTGCCCTTGAATAACAAAAACAAAAGGCACATCACTTGTTTAAACAACCAACCAACAAAAAAGGTCCACAGAGATAACTTTAAAAGTTAAAATTGAAGACAGCAGTATCCCTTGGCCTTGCCCCCCGCTCAACCTCCAGAAATGCCTGAGTGGAAGACAACGGCCAGGACGGCTGGATGCAGGGATCCTCAGAAACAATTCCACAGTGAGGGGAAAACAGGCACTAGGAGGATAGGCGGGGCTTCCTAAATAAATCCAGATCCCAGAGTGGCTGGACAGTCAGGGGAGAGCTGAGAGGCTTCCCTGAGTCACTCCCATCTCCACATACAACACCCAGGAATGACTTAGCACCAAAACACCAATAAGACTCCTCAGAGGAAAGGAGGGTAGAGTCAAGGGACTAAACTTCAGAAAACATTGAGGACGAGCTGCCCACACCCACCTCCCTCTCACTTCCAGCATCCCCATCAACACCACCCCCTCGATGGTGAGAGGAAGAAGTTTGGACTGGGAAGAAGAAGGACGAAGTGACGGTCCCCAGATGGGCTGGGCACGGGACAAGAAGGGAAGGGCTGCAGGACAAGGCAAGAGAGATCTTAAATGATAATGATGAGCCAGGATAAGACATGGACAAGGATGGAATATGCAAGGATCATCGAAATGTAAAAGCCAGGACCGGAGAGGGAAGCCGAGTGGGTAACTGGGAAGAACTGGTGATGGGAAGAGCAAAGCACTGGGAACAGGGGTGGGAGGGATGAGAGGGATGGGGAAGACAAACGGGTTGCAGAATTGAGCTCCTCTGGGGACCAGAAGCTCCTGGGACACGGGGGTACTGGGGTCAGCAAACTAACTGTCCAGAAAGACTATGCCTGTGTGGAAACTGCAGGGACTGGAGACCAGGGGCCTGGGTAGCGGGGATGACTGGGGATGGGGGACCTGGAACTGGAGCTGGGACGCAGCGGGTCTAGGAGTTAGGAGAGACTGAGACCTGGGAGGTCTCAGAACTGGGGGTCTGGACACTAGGCAAGGGGATCGCAGGACTGGAACAACTGGGGACAGGGGTTTAGGAGCTGGTTTTTATGGATGGACAGGAGTCAGGAGACCAGGAGTGCCCCGCCACGGGAGATCAGAGACCCGCAGGTGAGCAGGGGCCACGAGCCGGGAGTCCTGGGGGCCAGGGGTCTGGAAAAGGGAGCGACTGGGAGGGGGTCTGCGAGGGAGCGGGGCGCGAGGACGCAGGGGCCGGAGTGTGCAGCTGGAGCGGCGGGAGCCGGGGCGGCCGGGGCAGGTGACAGCGGCGGGGCCGCCACTCACCGCTCATGGTGCCTCTCCCCGGGCCGGTGCCTGCGCCGCGCCGCCGCCGCTGCCGCTTCTGCGGCTGCCGAGCTCCAGACAGGCCGGGAGACAGGAGCCCCGCCCCGGCCGCCCCGCCCCGGAAGTAGAGCCTGGCCGCCGACGAGGCCCCGCCCGCCGACCCGGAACGTAAACCGCGGCGCAGATCCAAGTCGCCGGACCCGGTGTGGAGAGCGGTGCTGAGGCTACGCGGGCTGGAGACTCAGGGTAAACCCGAGACCCCGCGAGGAGGCGTCGCTGTCCCCAAGTGCCCAAGACGCCTCCCCTGCCTTCCTGAGGTTCCCACGAGTGATGGGGCGACTTCGTCCCAGAGAGGGATGCGAGCGGGAAAGGAAATAAAAATAGAGGAACGGGACAAAGCGTGGGCACAGGCGGATGGGCAATCCCGGAGGGCCTCTCTAAGGAGGCGACTTCTGAGCCCAGACCTGGATGATGAGAGGAACCCAGTCCGGGAAGATCCCCAGGGAAAGTGTTCCATAAGGAGGGGCAATTGCAAGGCCCCTGCCTGGAGGGGTTGACAGGAGCGAGGGGATGAGTGAGAAAATAGGCCTGGTGCGGTGGCTCACGCCTGTAATCCCAACACTTTGGGAGGCCGAGGCGAGCGGATCACCTGAGGTCAGGAGTTCGAGAGGGTGAGTGAGAAAAGGAGATTGAGGAGGTGGAGGGAGGGCCTTGCAGGCCAGAGGAAGGAGTTTGGGCTTTTCTGCCTAATTCTAGGAAGGTCCCAGCACTTGGGAGGGCGGAGGCAGGCGGATCGCTTGAGGCCAGCAGTTCAAGAGCAGCCTGGGCAACGTAGCGAGACGCCGTTCTCTACCAAAGAAAAAAAGGACTCAAGCAGAGGAGTGATACGATCTGAATTAGGTTTTAAGATATGGCTCCTAGGCCGGACGCGGTGACTCATGCCTGTAATCCCAAGGCATGATTGGGAGGCCAAGGTGGGTGAATCACCTGAGGTCAGAAGTTCGATTCCAGCCTGGCCAACATAGTGAAACCCCATCTCTACTAAAAATACAAAAATTAGCCAGGCATGGTGGCGTGCGCCTGTAGTCCCAGCTACTGGGGAGGCTGAAACAGGAGAATTGCTTGAACCCGGGAGGCAGAGGTTTCAGTGAGCCGAGATCCCACCACTGCACTCCAGCCTGGGTGACAGAGTGAGACTCCCTCTCAACAACAACAACAACAAAAATGGCTCTTCCTGGGATGAGAATGAATTATAATGGGGGCAGGGTGGAGAAAGAGCAGGTGGTTAAGGAGTTATTGCAGTTGTCCAGGCAAGACATGGTGCCTGTCTACAGTGGTGGCAGTGGAGATAGAAAAGGTGATGGATTGGCCGGGCGCGGTGGCTCACGCCTGTAATCCCAGCACTTTGGGAGGCCGAGGCGGGCGGATCACGAGGTCAGGAGATCGAGACCATCCCGGCTAAAACGGTGAAACCCCGTCTCTACTAAAAATACAAAAAATTAGCCGGGCGTAGTGGCGGGCGCCTGTAGTCCCAGCTACTTGGGAGGCTGAGGCAGGAGAATGGCGTGAACCCGGGAGGCGGAGCTTGCAGTGAGCCGAGATCCCGCCACTGCACTCCAGCCTGGGCGACAGAGCGAGACTCCGTCTCAAAAAAAAAAAAAAAAAAAAAAAAGGTGATGGATTGAGTGTGAACACAAGTGTGACACATTCACAACGTTCTTTTGTTTTGTTTTGTTTTTGAGACGGCATCTCGCTCTGTCGCCCAGGCTGGAGTGCAGTGGCGCGATCTTGGCTCACTGCAACCTCCACCTCCCGGGTTCAAGTGATTCTCCTGCCTCAGCCTGCCAAGTAGCTGGGACTACAGGCTCCTGCCACCATACCCGGCTAATTTTTTGTATTTTTTTAGTAGAGACGGGGTTTCAACGTGTTAGCCAGGATGGTCTCCATCTCCTGACCTCGTGATTCACCCACCTCGGCCTCCCAAAATGCTGGGATTACAGGCGTGAGCCACCGCGCCCTGCACATTGTTATGAAGTCCAGGGTTTCGTCCCATTTTACACATCGGGGAAAAGGGACTGAAGGAGTATTTTCCCAACTTGTTTTGCCCACACCCCGAGTGAAGAAATGTATTTTATATCATAACCTTGTACACATAAGCATACACTTAAGGAGATGTTTTAAAAAACAATTCTGTAGGTAGTACATTCTCCTCTACTTTCTTTTTTTCCTCTAATGCTGAAGGAGACTTACTCAATTGATCCATAATACGTCTTTGTTATTTTTGTTTTTTTTATTTTGAGATGGAGTCTCACTCTGTCGCCCAGGCAGGAGTGCAATGGCGCGATCTCGGCTCACTACAACCTCCGCTTCCCGGGTTCTAGTGATTCTCCTGCCTCAGCCTCCCGAGTAGGTAGGATTACAGGTGTGCCACCATGCCTGCTAACTTTTGTATTTTGTGTGTTTAGTAGAGATCGGCTTTCACCATGTTGGTCAGCCTTGAACTCCTGACCTCAGGTGATCCACCCTCCTCGGCCTCCCAAAGTGCTGGGATTACAGGCATGAGCCACCAACCCCAGTCTGCAGCATTCTCTGTAATAATGAAAAAGTGGCGTTGGGGCTTAGAAACCAGTACCCGAAAATATGGCATTTTGACCTGCTGGACTGAAGAAGCATCATAGTCTCTCTGGCCTCGCCCATAACACAGCAAATCTCTCAAAGCCAGGATGAAGTTCCTTCATCTGCCTAAACTTGGGACCCACCAAAAATAACAATTTTTCCCCTCCCTGTAAAACTGAGAAGGTAACCACACCTGAACAAATGCTTTCACAAGATAAAGACCCTCTCAGAATCATTCAAATTCCAAAGAGAACTGTTTACAGCATAATCTCCATTCCAGGATCCATTCCATCTCCAGTGATCCTTTATTGCTCCTCAACAGAATTCCTCTTCTCCCCAGTCCCATAACCTGTTTTGCTGGGGTTCCAAGCCCTCATTCTTTTTGTAGCCTTGTGATAATTTGGCTGGGTGCGGTGGCTCACACCTGTAATCCCAGCACTTTGGGAGGCAAGCAGATCACCTGAGGTCAGGAGTTCCAGACCAGCTAGGAACTCCTAGCTAACTTGGGAGGCTGAGGCAGGAGAATCGCTTGAACCCGGGAGGTAGAAGTTGCAGTGAGCCGAGATGGCACCACTGCACTCCAACCTGGGCAACAAGAACAAAACTCTGTCTCAAAAAATAAAATAAATAATTTATAAGCTGCTGAACTCTGTTGAGGGATAGGTATTCACTCTGTGGTTCTCCCCCAGGGTACAAGTCAGTAAAACTTGTCTACCTTTTCTCCAGTTTATCTGCCTTTTCTGAGCTGATTTTTCAGCAACTTTCAAAGGACTAAGAGGAAGTTTTCCCCTTGGCCCCCACAGTGGAAAGAACCAAATCCCAGCTATGGAAATCATGGCTATAAACCAAAAATAAAATTCTCAGTCCCCCAGTCATCTGAATGAAGCCCGCCTCTTGGCCAAGGGCACTCCAAAGGCAACCTGAAAAACTAGTTCAGGCCATGATGGGAAATGGGAGCCAGACATGCCTCACGATAGACTCCTCCCTTTTAGAATTACTGATAGAATAGAGTCTTTTTTTTTTTTTTTTTTTTTTGACAGTTTCACTCTTGTTGCCCAGGCTGGAGTGCAATGGCACAATCTCGGCTCACCGCAACTTCTGCCTCTGCCTCTCAGGTTCAAGCGAGTCTCCTGCCTCAGCCTCCTGAGTAGCTGGGATTACAGGCATGTGCCACCGCGCCCGGCTAATTTTATACTTTTAGTAGAGTTAGGATTTCTCCGTGTTGACCAGGCTGATCTCAAACTCCTGACCTCAGGTGATCCGCCCGCCTCGGCCTCCCAAAGTGCTGGGATTACAGGCATCAGCCTCCACGCCCAGCTATTTTTTTTTTTTTTTGAGTCCGAATCTCGCTCTGTTGCCAGCCTGGAATGCACTGGCGTGATCTCGGCTCACTGCAACCTCCATCTCCTGAGTTCAAGCAATTCTCCTGCCTCAGCCTCCCAAGTAGCTGGGATTACAGGCGCCCACCACCACGTCCAGCTAATTCTAGTAGAGACGGGGTTTCACCATGTTGGCCAGGATGGACTCAATCTCTTGACTTCATGATCTGCCTGCCTCAGCCTCCCAAAGTGCTGGGATTACAGGCGTGAGCCACCACACCTAGCTTTTTTTTCTTTTTTTTTGAAGATGCGGTCTCACTGTGTTACTCATGCTGGAGTGCAGTGGTGTGATCTCAGCTCACTGCAACCTCCGCCTCCCAGGTTCAGGTGATTCTTGTGCCTCACACTCCAAAGTAGCTGGGATTACAGGCACATGCTACCAAGCCCCGGCTAATTATTGTATTTTCTGTAGAGACGGGGTTTCCCCATGTTGTTCAGGCTGGTTTCAAACTCCTGACCTTACGATCTGCCCACCTCGGCCTCCCATAGTGCTGGAATTACGGGCGTGAGCCGCGGCATCCAGCCCAGAACAGACTCCTTAGTAGGAAACATTTACAATCTATTTTCTGAAGCCTGCCACCTGGAGGCTTCATTGGCATGACAGAACTACGGTCTCCACAATCCCTTATCTTAACACAGAAATTTTTTTGTTGGTTTGTTTTTGTTTTTTTGAGACAGAGTCTCGCATTGTCGCCTGGGCTGTGGAGTGCAATAGCGTGATCTCAGCTCACTGCAACCTCTGTCTCCCAGGTTCAAGTGATCCTCCTGCCTCAGCCTCCCGAGTAGCTGGGATTACAGGTGCCTGCCACCACACCCGGCTAATTTTTTGTATTTTTGGTAGAGATGGGGTTTCACTATGTTGGCGATGCTGGTCTCAAACTCCTGACCTCGTGATCCACCCACCTCAGCCTCCCAAAGTGCTGGGATTACAGGCAAGAGCCACTACGCCTGGCTGATTCTAAATCTTTAGACCATAACTTAACTCTTTCAACCAATTGCCAATCAGAAAATCTTTGAATCTAGGCCAGGAGCACGGTAGCTCGCACCTGTAATCCCAGCACTTTGCGAGGCTGAGGAGAGCAGATCACTTGAGGTGAGGAGTTCAAGACCAGCCTGGCCAACATGGCAAAACCCCATCTCTACTAAAAATACAAAAATTAGCTGAGCTTGGTGCCGCACAGTTGTAATCCCAGCTACTTGAGAGGCTGAGGCTGGAGGATTGCTTGAACCTGGGAAGCAGAGGTTGCAGTGAGCCAAGGTTGCGCCACTGCACTCCAGCCTGGGTAACAGAGCAAGACTCTGTCTAAAAAAATAAAAAAGAAAGAAAATCTCTGAATCTACCTATGACTTGGAACCACCCACCCCCCCACCACCCCACTCCCCCATACCTGCTTCTAGTTGGCCTGCCTTTCTGGACCGAACCAGTGTACATTTTATATGTATTGACTGATGCTTTTTGTCTCCCTAAAATGTATAAAACAAAGTTGTAGCCCAACCACCTAGGGTATGTGTTCTCAGAATCTCCTGAGGGCTGTGTCATGGCCATTGGTCACTCATATTTGGTTCAGAATAAATCTCTTCACATGTTTTAGAGTTTGACCCTTTTCTTTAACATGACTGACCTAGCACACAACAATGTAGCAGATGAAAATGCTGATTTTAGGCCAGGCGTGGTGGCTTATGCCTGTAATCCCAGCACTTTGGGAGGCCAAGGTCGGAGGATCGCTTGAGCCCAGGAGTTCAAGACCAGCCTTGGCAACATGGCGAAACTCCATCTCTACTAAAAGAATAAAAAAAATTAGCCGAGAATGGTGGTACATGCCTGTAGTCCCAGCTACACAGGAGCCTGAGGTGGGAGGGTCACCTGAGCCCCAGAGGTCGAGGCTGCAGTGAGCCAAGATTATGCCACTGCACTCAGCCTGGGCATTGGAGTAAGACCCTATCTCAAAAAAAAAAAAGAAACGAGTAAGAAAATGCTGATTTTAGGCCAGGCGCGGTGGCTCATGCCTGTAATGCCAGCACTTTGGGAGGCCAAGGCAGGTAGATCACGAGGTCAGGAGTTCAAGACCACCGTGTCCAACAAGGTGAAACCCCGTCTATATTAAAAATACAAAAATTAGCCAGGCGTGGTGGCAGGTGCCTGTAATCCCAGTTACACGGGAGGCTGAGGCAGGAGAATCGCTTGAAACCAGAAGTTGGAGGTTGCAGTGAGCCAAGATCGTACCACTGCACTCTAACCTGGGCAACAAGAGTGAAACTGTGTCTCAAAAGAAAGAAAAAAAAAATGCTGATTTTAAACACTGGAAGGCCAGGTGCAGTGGCCCACACCTATAATTCTAGCACTTTGGCAGGCCAAAGTGGGTGGATCACCTGAGGTCAGGAGTCCGAGACCAGCCTGACCAATATGGTGAAACCCCATCTGTAGTAAAAATACCAAAACTAGCTGAGCATGGTGGCATGCGACTGTAGTCCCAGCTACTCAGGAGGCTGAGACAGGGGAATTGTTTGAACCCAGGAAGCAGAGGTTGTAGTGAGCTCAGATAGCACAACTGCATTCCAGCCTGGGCGACAGAGTGAGACTTCATCTCAAAAATAAATAAATAAATGAATAAAAATAAAGACTGGAAATGTGGGACAAGACAGGTTTTCACCATGTTGGTCAGGCTGGTCTCTAACTCCTGACCTCAGGTGATCTGCCTGTCTCGGCCTCCCAAAGTGCTGGGATTACAGGCATGAGCCACCACACCCGGCCATACCCAGGAGTTTTTGTGTGCTTAAAATGAGTTAGTATAGGCCGGGTGTGGTGGCGGGCACCTGTAATCCCAGCTACTTGGGAGGCTGAGGTAGGAGACTCTTGAACCTACCTCTTGAGGTAGAGGTTGCAGTGAGCCAAGATGATGCCAGTGCAGTCCAGCCTGGGCAACAGAGCAAGACCCCGTCTCAAAAAAATAAAATGAGCTAGTACAGGTGAAGCACTTAGAACAGTCCCTGGCACGTTAGTAAGACTATATAAGGGTTAGATATGATTATTATAGCACCACTCACATTTTGGGCTGAAAACAGTATGTCGTGCACCGTTATCACAGTTTGCGATTACACATTTACTTGTGTAATTATAGTAATGCCTGATGCTTTCATTAAGCTGGAAGCTCACAAGGCCAAGAACCACCTGTGCACTGCACACTGAATTCGTCTGGTTGATTCTAGGCTTCTCCTGTTTGCAGAAGTACATAAGTTAGCTTTCCTTTAACAATAAAGAGAAAAGGCCAGGCACAGTGGCTCACGCCTGTAATCCCAGCACATTGGGAGGCCAAGACAGGTGGATCACGAGGTCAGGAGTTCAAGACCAGTCTGGCGAAGATGGTGAAACCCTGTCTCTACTAAAAATACAAAAATTAGCCAGGCGCAGTGGCGGGCACCTGTAATCCCAGCTACTCGGGTGGCTGAGGCAGAGAATTGCTTGAACCCGGGAGGCAGAGGTTGCAGTGAGCTGAGATCGCACCACTGCACTCCCGTGTCAACGACAGAGCGAGACTGTCTCAAAAAATAAATAAATAAAATTCAAAAATCAAGAGAAACATCCGATCCTTCCTGAAATCTGTATGTATGTATATCGGAGAGAAGCGCCCTAACCATAGAAGCGTATGACTGGGGCCGGGCGCGATAGCTCACACCGGTAATCCCAACACTTTGGGAGGCCAAGGCAGGTGAATCACCTGAGGTCAGGAGTTCAAGACCAGCCTGACCAACACAGTGAAACCCCATCTCTACTAAAAATACAAAAATCAGCAGGGCATGGTGCCACGTGCCTGTAATCCCAGCTACTCGGGAGGCTGAGGCAAGAGAATCGCTTGAACCTGAGAGGTGGAGGTTGTAGTGAGCTGTGATCATGCCACTGCACTCCAGCCTGGGCAACAGAGCAGGACTCCGTTTCAAAAAAAAAAAAAAGAAAAGAAAAAGAAATTGGTTACTGAGATCTACAGAATGCTGTTTTTTTCAGTAAGTCAAGCGTTTAGAGGTCTCTAGTGAGAAGATTGTCATGTCAGCATGTTCAAGGTGATGAGCATCAGCTAGGATGATTGAGGTTGTTTGCAACAACCTCAGTGGAGAGTGGATAGTGTGGAGAAGGTCTGTGTTAAATGCTACACAGATAACACCATTGTGGACCTTAAGAAGCTGATTACAGCCCAGACTAGGGCTGTAACAAGAACAACCCTTTCAGGAACAAGACTCCTGAATAAGTGGTATACAATTTTTAAGGACCACATATCTTTGGGGCACTATAAAATCCAGCAGAAGATGAAGCTGGAGGTCTTTTTGTTTGTTTGTGTTGTTTTGTTTTGAGACGGAGTCTCACCCTCTTGCCCAGGCTGGAGTGCAGGGATGCTATCTCAGCTCATTGCAACCTCCACCTCCCAGGTTCAAGCGATTCTCCTGCCTCAGCCTCCTGAGTAGCTGGGATTACAGGTGCCTACCACCATGCCCAGCTAATTTTTGTATTTTTAGTAAAGACAGGGTTTCACCATGTTGGCCAGGCTGGTCTCAAATTCCTGACCTCAGGTAATCTGCCCGCCTCGGCCTTTCAAAGTGCTGGGATTACAGGCATGAGCCACCGCGCCTGGCCAAAACTGGAGCTTTATTATCAATAGGTTAGAATTCTTTCCCCCTCCCACCTTTCTCTCCCACCCTCACCCCCCACACTGGTATACATGCTTGTTTTTAAAAACTCACGTTAATAAAAACTTAGATGTCAGGAAAAAAAAGAGTTTAATCATGAAACCAAGGAAGTTTCTACCATTAAGCTCCCAACAGTAACCTAGAGAAATATATCTAACATAAAGAGTTTCCACAGTTAGAGGACAAAAAGCTGTATCGGCAACTGAAAAATACAGTCATCCTAAAGAGATCTGACACATCATCTATTCTGACAAAAGATTTTTAAAGTGGCACTGCTCGAGTCGAAATGGTTAATTACCTAGCAGAAATTGATTTCTCTATCTCCGTAGCACTCAAAGCAGCTGGCAGGCTCTTGCAATAGTCATTCGTTTTCGTGGTGACAAGAATGGTTGCGCCTTCCTCCATAGCTGGGAGTGGAAAGCAATGGTCAGAGTCGACCTTCGGTTTGCTCTTGATGCAGTCTTCACAGGTGCATTCTTCCACCGTGTACTCGAGGCCTCTCGGAAGAATAATTTCATCACCAGTCCTGCTCTTTTCCAGGTCAATGTTAGCCATGCCCAGGAGACCTGATCCTAATTATGTAGAAACGGAAACATTAACCCAAACTTCACAGAGAATGTGGTCATGAGAGTCTTAGCAGTACACATCGGGACTCAAAGCAATGTGAGAGAGATTTTTTCATTTTTTAGAGGTGGGGTCTTACTGTGTTGCCCAGGCTGCATTCAAACTCCTGGGCTCAAGCAATCCTCCCACGTTAGCCTACAGAGCAGTCGGGACTACAGCTCCATGCCACCACACCCAGCTTGAAACAGATCTTTTCAGTAAAAAAGAATGAGTATGTGCTGGGCCCTGTGGCTCACGCCTGTAATCCCAGCACTTTGGGAAGCTGAGGCGGGCAGATCACTTGTGGTCAGGAGCTTGAGACCATCCTGGCCAACATGATGAAACCCTGTCTCTACCAAAAAGTACAAAAATTAGTCGGAGGTGATGGCACATACCTATAGTCCCAGTTACTCAGGAGGCTGAGATGGGAGAATTGTTTGAACCCAAGAGGCAGAGGCTGCAGTGAGTTGAGATCACGCCACTGCACTCCAGCCTGGGCCACAGAGCGAGACTCCATCTCTAAATAAATAAATAAATAAATAAATAAATAAATAAATAAATGCATACAGAAATAGGGCAGTGGCTGTACATGCTTGGGAATCCAATCATGAGCAAAGGTGCTGCAGAAGTATTTTTATCTTAAGAGGCACTTAAGTAGAACATTCATTTTTCTGGGACTGGTTCTCTATTGCTTAAAAATAATTATTTTTTAGATGATTCCTCAAATAATTCAGGAGCAACTGGTTATTCATTTCTAACATTTTTCAGTAGTAAAATGTTCACTCAAGCAAAGAACACCTATATTTGTATAAAAACATGACCATAGATCTTGACAAATATGCTTTTCCTGACAGTAGCAGACCTGGCTAGGAGTTTCTGATAATGTGGCATTTAATCGATGTGCTAACTTTAGTCAAAGAGACTGATGTTTCCCAAGAAAGCCTTAGTACTTTCAATAGAGTAATTAACAGTGGAAGAATCCTGGAGAAGACTGACATTGTAGAAAATCTGCCAAGGTGTCAAAATCAGAATGAAGATGGCTCACCTCTACCAAGTTCATTTAATGTAACAATGTTCTAACACATTCGAAAGGGCTGTAACGAAGTGAAATAGTCAACGCTAAAAAAAGAAAAGGAACTGAAACTCACAATAGCCATCCCCTGGAAATAGATTTCAAAGATTCACCATCAAACCAACCTGTGTTTTTAAACTCGTCCTTTAATGGTTCAGAGTTTATCTTCCTTAGCAAAAACATTAGCACGAAAACTGCCAAAGAAATTATTAAGCTCAGTCCCAAACAGGTCCAGAGAATCGCATTCGTTCCTTTCACTGAATTGGTCACACCTTTATGAAAAGAACATCAGACAGATAATGAGCTGATAACATAATATTCACATACTTTATTGTTATTATTTATTTATTTATTTTGAGACAAAGTCTTGCTCTGTTGCCCAGGCTAGAGTGCAGTGGCGCGATCTCGGCTCACTGCAACCTCCACCTCCCAAGTTCAAACAATTCTCCTGCCTCAGCCTCCCGAGTAGCTGGGATTACAGACCTGTGCCACCATGCCCAGCTAATTTTTTGTATTTTTAGTAGAGACAGGGTTTCACCAGGTTGGCCAGGCTGGCCTCAAACTGCCGACCTCAGGTGATTCACCCACCTCGGCCTCCCAAAGTGCTGGGATTACAGGTGTGAGCCATCCACCGCACCCGGCTGTCATACTTGATTATTTTGCTAAAATAATGAATTATGGATTGTTTTGATAGCAAAATAATCAAGTATGGATTATTTCCATTCAATCACCTTAATTAATGAACATTGACTTTTAAATTCTAAATATCACTTAATTAGAAGAGCTGATTTTTAAAAAAAATCTATGTTGCTAATAGTGCTGAATCATATCAAGTTCAGTTCCAAATAATTACTTTGTTTCCATAAACATTAAAATCACTGCCTTGCTTCCTTTCTCTTTTTGATTCAAGAAAACTCACCATCATGCCCATTATGTTGATTCTCTGAATAAGCAGTCCATATAGACAGAATAGTTCACACCAATGAATAATCGTTCAAGCAATATTACTTACTTGCATTACAATAACGCTGACATGTTAGAGGAGGAGTATTAGAAGAACATCGAAGTTGACAAGGTATGCAAGCATGCAACAAACTGTCAAAATATTCATTTTGGGAGCACTGCCCAGCCATCTGCAACATGATCACAAAAAGAAAACAAGGGAGCTACAGAAAGAACAGCCTGGAAGGACAAGTAATATCTCTACAAGAATTCCAGAGCAAATGCAGCAAGAGCAGCTAGAATGTTGAGAACAATGAACTTCGCCTGCTTCGTGGGTTCTTACGGGGGCTGTCTGTGTCTTCGCGGCAGCTAAGGATTTGAATACCACATCTAATTCAAGTTTCTAAGTTTGAGTCTTGGATGGGGTAAGAGACAGGGTGTAAATATCAGGGCATATCACATCTGAAACAGAAACTGCTTATTTATAGAAGAAATTTCTCAGCCAGGTGACAGTTGCAAGATGCAGACAAGCCCACAGCATCAAGCCGAATGTTCAGTAACAGTTTCTGGAACATCTGTTAATAAGCTGTACTCTGTGAGAGGTGCCAGGGAGATAGACAAGACAAGGTCTGTGCTGTGCCCCTTAAGATCTTAACATTGAGGCCAGCTGCAGGGGTTCACACCTGTAATCCCAGGACTTTGGGAGTCAAAAGGCAAAAGGATTGCTTGAGCCCAGGAGTTCAAAATCAGCCTGGGCAACATGGCGAAACCCTGACTTTACAAAAACATTTTAAAAAGTAGTCTGGTGTAAGCTGGGCGCCGTGGCGCTCTCCTGTAATCCCAGCACTTTGGGAGGCCGAGGCAGGTGGATCACTTGAGGTCAGGAGTTCCAGAACAGCCTGGCCAACATGGTGAAACCCCGTCTCTACTAAAAATACAAAAATTAGTCAGGCATGGTGGCAGGCACCTATGATCCCAGCTACTCAGGAGGCTGAGGCAGGGAGACGTGCTTGAACCCAGGAGGCGGAGTTTGCAGTAAGCCAAGATCAGGCCACTGCGCTCCAGCCTGGGTGACAAAGCAAGACTCTATCTCAAAAAAAAAAAAAATTCTACAGGAAGATCAGAGGTGATGCACTAAGGAAGACGCACAATGCCACTGACAGAAAAAGAGACATTTAGGGTAAGAGCTCGTGGAAAGAGGGCTGAGAGGAAGATAGGTTTGGGGTATTATAATAATAATACAATAATCTATGTTCCATTGTTGAAAATTTAGAAATACAGATGAGCAGATAAAACCATTTTAAAAATCCACAGTCCAAGCATCCAGAAGTCATCACCGCTAACACCTGGTGTATCCCAGAAGTTGCAAACAGACCTGCCGATGCGATGTCTTTTGTTTCACCGATCCCTGAATTCTAGATAGATACATTTATATAGTGCATTTTTCTGTTTACATAAATGGATCACTTGAATTTGCCTTTTTTTTTTTTTTTGACAGAGTCTCACTCTGTCTCCCAGGCTGAGTGCAGTGACACAATCACAGCTCACTGCAGCCTCCACCTCCTGGGTTCAGGTGATCTGCCCACCTCAGCCTTCCAAGTAGCTGGGACTACAGACATGCGCCAGCACGCCTGGTAAGTTTTGTATTTTTTGTAGAGATGGGTTTTTGCCGTGTTGCCCAGGTTGCTCTCAAACACTTGGGGTCAAGTGATCCACCCACCTCGGCCTCCCAAAGCGCTGGGATTACAGGTGTGAGCCACTAAGCCCAGCTTGAATTTGCTTTTAACCATACTGAGTGAAATACCCATATAGAGACGTCCAGATGTTTGTCAAAAATGCAGGACTCAATTAAAATTTGAGGAAATGGCAAACTCCTAATTCAGTATAGTGATTATCTCTGAGGTAAGTGGTGGGGAAGAAGGGGAGCACAAAAAAGGCTTCACCTGTGTTTATTATATTTTCTTTATTAAGCTGAGTGGTGGATACATTGATATTTGTTGTTTTCCTTTTGTTGTATTTTTCTTATTCTTTACACTTTCTTAAGGCCCAAGGAGTGTGCCAAGGAAACCTGCCATCCCTTCTACTTTATTTCATCCTCCAAGCACCCCAACCTTTAAAAACTTATTCTTTTTTTTTTTTTTTTTGAGCTGGAGTTTCACTGTTATTGCCCAGGCTGGAGTGCAATGGCGCGATCTCGGCTCACTGCAACCTCCACCTCCCAGGTTCAAGCGATTCTCTGGCCTCAGCCTCCTGAGTAGCTGGGATGACAGGTGCATGCCACCACGCCTGGCTAGTTTTTGTATTTTTGGTAGAGACGGGGTTTCACCGTGTTGGTCAGGCTGGTTTCGAACTCCTGACCTCAGGTGACCCACCGGCCTTGGCCTCTCAAACTGCTGGGATTACAGGCATGAGCCACCTAGCCTGGATGATTTTTTATTTATTTGTTTGTTTGTTTGTTTGTTTGTTTTGAGATGGAGTCTCCCTCTGTTGCCAGGCTGGGGTACAGTAGTGCGATCTGCAACCTCTGCCTCCCGGGTTCAAGTGATTCTCCTGCCTCAGCTTCCGGAATAGCTGGGATTACAGGCATGCGCCATCATGCCCAGCAAATATTTGTATTTTTAGTACAGACAGGATTTCACCATATTGGGCAGAATGGTCTCAGTCTCCTGACCTCGTGATCCACCTGCCTTGGCCTCCCAAAGTGCTGAGATTACAGGTGTGAGCCACCGCGCCCAGCCACTGATAATTCTTGTTTTTAAAATTCATATTATTAAAAAATAAGTATTCAAACAGTGCCAAAGATTTTTCAATGAAAAGTAAGTCTTTTTCCTACCCTGGATTTCCTCTCTCTTGCCAGAGGCAGTAATTACTGTCAGTCTTCCTCTTTTTTTTTGGTTTTTTTTTTTTTTTTTTGAGACAGAATCTTGCTCTGTCACCCAGGCTGGAGTGCAGGGGCGCTATCTCAGCTCACTGCAAGCTCCGACTCCCAGGTTCATGCCATTCTCCTGCCTCAGCCTCCAGAGTAGCTGGGACTACAGGCACCCACCACCATGTCTGGCTAATTTTGTTTTTGTATTTTTAGTAGAGATGGGGTTTCACCATCTTAGCCAGGATGGTCTCGATCTCCTGACCTCATGATCCGGGATTACAGGCATGCGCCACCATGCCCAGCTAATATTTGTATTTTTAGTAGAGACAGGGTTTCACCATGTTGGGCAGAATGGTCTCAATCCCCTCACCTCGTGATCGACCCGCCTCGGCCTCCCAAAGTGCTGGGATTACAGGTGCAAGCCACCGCACCCAGCCTTTTTTTTTTTTTTTTTTTTTAAGACAGGGTGTTGCTCTATTGCCCAGGCTGGAGTGCAGTGGCACCATCAGGGCTCACTGCAGCCTCCACCTTCTGGGCTTAAGCGATCCTCCCACCTCAGCCTCCTGAGTAGCTAGGACTACGCACATGCCACCATGCCCAGCTAATTTTTGTATTTTTTGTAGAGATGAGATTTCATCATGTTGCCCAGGCTGGTCTTGAACTCCTGGGCTCAAGTGATCTTCCTGCCTCAGCCTCCCAAAGTACTGAGATTACATGTGTAAGCCACAGTGCCCAGCCACTGTCAGTCTTCTGTCTTTCCAAATAGAGCCTCTGTTTATGTCTGTCTATTCAGACCCTACCTATTTTATTTGTATCCACCCAGGAGGCAGATAGAGCATATTATACAACTGCTCATACCTTTTTTTTTTTTTTTTTTAAACAGGGTCTCACTCTGTCACCCAGGCTGGAGTGTGGTGGCAAAATTTCAGCTCACTGCAACCTCCGTCTCCCAGGTTCAAGCCATTCTCTTGCCTCAGCCTCCCTAGTAGCTGGGATTACAGGTGCGTGCCTCCAGGCCTGGCTAATTTTTGTATTTTTAGTAGAGACGGGGTTTCAGTATGTTGGCCAGGCTGGTCTCGAACTCCTGACCTCAAGTGATTCGCCCGCCTCGGCCTCCCAAAGTGCTAGGATTATAGGCGTGAGCCACTGCGCCTGGCCTCTTTTTGTATTTTTAAAGTAGTCCATAATAAATGCTAAAATCATGAAAATAAAATGCAGAAATTTAAAAAAATACTTTTTTTTTTAAATGCAGGACTTGAGCCTAGGAAAGATTTTGAACTTAGATATTGATCAAAACGTCAAATTCCTCTGGGGTCCAGGTGGTGAGGTAAGTGGGAGAGGCTGCCTAGGCAGGACAGGGAGAAGCTGAAGCAGCTGGCCCAGGAGGCTCCACTCCCTCAGCCTCTGCCAGATTGCTGACCTTTGGAAGACAGGCAAAGGAGACAGGACAAACATGATTAGAGAAATAGGGAGAGAACAAAAATTATCTCCCAGGCTGGGTGCAGTGGCTCACACCTGTAATCCCAGCACTTTGGGAGGCTGAAGCAGGTGGATCACCTGAAGTCAGGAGTTTGAGGCCAATCTGGCCAACATGGTGAAACCCAGTCTCTACTAAAAATACAAAAATTAGCCAAGCGTGGTGGCGTGCATAATCCCAGCTACTTGGGAGGCTGAGGCAGGAGGATCGTTTGAACCTGGGAGGCAGAGGTTGCAGTGAGCCAAGATTGCGCCACTGCACTGCAGTCTGGGCTACGGAGTGAGACCGTGTCTCAAAAAAAAAAAAGAAAAGAAAGAAAAAAAAATCTCCCATAACAGTCAAGCAAGGAGAGATTTTAGCCTGAGTTAGGGAGTGGAGTCAAATTCTACAGGAAGATCAGGGGCGATGCACTAAAGAAGCAGGTCATTGATGGCCTTTGAGTGTGTCCCTGATGCAAGCCAGATGGTAGATATTTAAGGAGTGGTGAGGAAGAGGAGGCAGCCAATAGGAGCCATGCCTGAGGCCAGGCGCCATGGCTCATGCCTGTAATCCCAGCACTTTGGGAGGCTGAGGAGGGCGGATAACCTGAGGTCAGGAGTTTGAGACCAGCCTGGCCAACATGGTGAAACCCCGTCTCCACCAAAAATACAAAAAATTAGCCGGGCATGGTGGCGCACACCTGTAATCCTAGCTACGTGGGAGCCTGAGGCAGGGCAATTGCTTGAACCTGGGAGGCAGAGGTTGCAGTGAGCTGAGATCATGCCACTGCACACTCCAGCGTGGGCGACAGAGGGAGACTCTGTCTCAAAAAAAAAAAAAAAAAAAGGGAACCATACCTGGGAAGCCAGAAGCCAGGGGAAGAAAGCTTTGCTAACTCTTTGGAAAGAAAACACTATTGTGTCTGACAGATATACTTGCTCAGGTACTTAAAATCTCAGGTACAATGTAGTTTACTGTGACATCACATCTATTCATAAGAGCCTAGAGCAACAGAACTGTTCGTCACTGGGAGCCTCACAATGGAAGACTATGGCCATCAGAAAGAATGAGACAGATGTGGTCTCATATGAAAGATAAATCACTAAGTGAAAAACACAAAGTACAGACTGGGCACGGTGGCTCACACCTGTAATGCCAGCATTTTGGTAGGCTGAGGTAGAAGGATCACTTGAGCCCAGTAGTTCGAGACAGCCTGGGCAACACAGGGAAACCCTATCTCTACAAATAATTTAAAAATTAGCCAGGTGTGGTAGTGCGTGCTTGTGGTCCCAGCTGCTCAGGAGGCTGAGGCAGGAGGATCACCTGAACCTAGGAGGTTGAGGCTACAGTGAACCATGGTTGTGTGCTACTGCACTTCAGCCTGGGCAACAGAGCAAGACTGTCTCAAATAAAATAAAATTTAAAAAAATAAAATAGGTAGTGTCTGAATAGACAGACATAAACGGAGACTTTTTTTGCAAAGCTAGAAAGAAGACTGATGGACTGTCTCTGGCAATAGACAAAATCTAAAGAAAGAAAAAGACTCACTTTTCATTGAAAAATCTTTAGCAGTGTTTGAATATTTTTTTTTAATAATATGATTTTTTTTTTTGAGACGGGGTCTCCCTCTGTCACCCGGTTAGAGGTAGTTGGGTGATCACAGCTCACTGCAGCCTGGAATTCCTAGGCTCAAACAATCCTCCCGCCTCAGCCTCTCAGGTAGCTAGGACTACGATAGTACGCCACCATGCATAGCAATTTTTTTTCCTTTTTAATTTTTTGTAAGGGCAGGGTCTTGCTCTGCTGCCCAGACAAGTCTTGAATTCCTGGCCTCAAGCTATTCTCCCACTTCAGCCTCCCAAAGTGCTGGGATTACAGGTGTGAGCCACTGTGCCTGGCTAGGAGCATGATTTTGAAACAAAGATTTTTTTTTAAGTTTTATGAGACAGGTGCTGATGTAATCACATCACCAAAAGAGTGCTGTGTTTGCCCTTGCGTGACATAGAAGGAACAGTGAGGAATCCAGTACTCACACCAGCCTCAAGCTTCACTTGTCACTCACAGCTCTAAGGAAGCAAAGTGGTGCTGGAAACTCCCAAAGCCATTAAAGCTGCTTCTGCCACGGCCCGAGCCCCAGCACCAAATGCTTGGCTGCCCATTCACAGAGGCAAGAGCCATACAGGGGCAAACTAAACCCCTCTACGAGCTCCCCCTGCAGAGCCCCACTTTGGCAAACAGACATTCCTGACTTCTAGATCCACTGGTTGGTGACTCCTCTGGTCCCACTCCCAGATCTTCACCTCCCGAGATCCTGCAATAATTGTGCAAAGTCTCATTCCTTCCCTTATCCCGTAACACTCACCCATGGTAGCTCAGCTCCCCAAACCAACCCTGATTGTTACCACCTCTTTAACCTTAATATTTTCAACCTACAGGCTTTCTTATTTTACTTTGTTTTTGAGACAGGGTCTCACTCTGTTACCCAGGCAGGAGTGCAGTGGTGAGATCAAAGCTCACTGCAGCCTCAACCTCCCCGGCCCAAGTGATCATCCCACTTCAGTCCCCTGAGTAGCCGGGACTGCAGGCACATGCCATCTTGCCTGGCTAGGTTTTTTATTTAACTTTATTTTTTGCAAAGATGGGGGTCTTGCTGTGTTGCCCAGGCTGGTCTCAAACTCCTAGACTCAAGCCATCCACCCCACTTGGCCTCCCAAAGTGCTAGGATTATAGGCATGAGCCACCATGCCTGGCCTAGGATTTTTTTTTTTTTTTTTAACGGAGTCTCGCTCTGTCATCCAGGCTGGACTGTAGTGGCGTGATCTGGGCTCACTGCAACCTCCGCCTCCTGGGTTCAAGCACGTCTCCTGCCTCAGCCTTCCTGAGTAGCTGGGATTACAGGCACCCACCCACCACGCCCAGCTTAATTTTGTATTTTTAGTAGAGGTGAGGTTTTGCTATGTTGGCCAGGCTAGTCTTGAACTCCTGACCTCAGGTGATCTGCCCGCCACAGTCTCCCAAAGTGTTGGAATTACAGGAGTGAGCCACCGCACCCAGCCAGCATTTTCACTGTGTACTGGGCCCCACAAGTTAAGTAGTCAGTCCTGAGTGACTCAATAAAGACAATGTTAGAAAGTTCTCATCATAGGATTTGGATTTGTGTCAGGTTATTTGGGGAGAGTTTGCAAAAACACGGCTTAGCTGATGTTGGCAGGATGTGTGGGGGATTCTGTAATTGGGGAATATCTAAGTATCAGTAGAATTCTCCAGAGAAATAGAACCAAAAGGAGATACAGAGCTAGAGACAGAGATTTACTTTAAGGAATTGCTTCATGCAATTGTAGGAGCTGGCAAGTCCAAACTCCGCAGGGCAGGCCAGCAGACTGAAAATCCACGTAAGAGTGGATGTTGCAGTACTGAGTTTGAAATCCACAGGGCAAGCCAGGCAGGCCAGACACTCAGAGAGGGTGTCTGTGTTTCAGTCTTGAGGCTGAATTCCTTCTTTTTCAGGAAATCTTGGTCTTTGCTTTTTAGGCCTTCAACTGATTGGATGAAGCCCACGCACATTATGAAGGGCAGTGTCCTTTATTCAAAGTCTACTGATTTAAGGGCCAGGCACGGTGGCTCAGGTCTGTAATCCCAGCACTTTGGGAGGCTGAGGCGGGCAGACCATTTGAGGTTAGGAGTTCAAGACCAGCCTGGCCAACATGGTGAAACCCCGTCTGTACAAAAAATACAAAAGTTGGTAGGGCACGGTGGTTCACAAGGTCCCAGCACTTTGGGAGGCCGAGGCAGGTGGGTCACGAGGTCAGGAGATGGAGACCATCCTGGCTAACGTGGTGAAACCCTGTCTCTACTAAAAGTATAAAACTTAGCCGGGCGTGGTGTCACACGCCTGTAGTCCCAGCTACTCGGGAGGCTGAGGCAGGAGAATCGCTTGAACCCAAGAGGCGGAGGTTGCAGTGAACCGAGATCACACCACTGCACTCCAGCCTGGGCGACAGAGTGAGACTCCATCTCAAAAAAAAAAAAAAAAAGAAAAAGTTAGACAGGTGTGGTGGCACATACCTGTAATCCCAGCCACTTGGAGGCTGAGGCAGGAGAATCGCTTGAACCCCAAGCAGTGGAGACTACAGTAAGCTGAGATCGCACCAATGCACTCCAGCCTCGGTGACAGAGTGAGACTCCATCTCAAAAGAAGAAGAAGAATTAATTAATTAATTAAAAATAAAAATAATAGCCATCTTGGCAACAATTGGTGCTGCCTAAATGAGGAGGCAGGGCCAGCTGTGGAGCCCTCCTGGGGGCCTGGTCAGCAGGGTACCTGTCCTCCACCCCCTAGTGCCTGGTACCCCTGGGGTGAAGCCAACTGAGCATGGAGAGTGAGAGCCTGCCAAGAGCAAAAGAGGTTTTCAGGAGGGGACCTCAAGAAGCCTGGTTCCAATGCCAGCATGAGCATCTGGTTCTCAGTCAGTGTTCCTCCTGGGCATTCTGCAGGAGATCATTTCTTTTCTTTTCTTTTCTTTTGAGACAGAGTCTCACTGTGTTCCCCAGGCTGGAGTGCAGTGGTGCGATCTCAGCTCACTGCAACCTCCACCTCCTGAGTTCAAGCGATTCTCCTGCCTCAGCCTCCTAAGTAGCTAGGACTACAGGTGCCTGCCACCACGCCCAGCTAATTTTTGTATTTTTAATAGAGATGGGGTTTCACCATGTTGGTCAGGCTGGTCTCAAACTCCTGACCTCAGGTGATCTGCCCGCCTCAGCCTCCCAAAGCGCTGAAATTACAGGCGTGAGCCACTGCTCCCGGCAAGAGATCATTTCTCATCCAGATGGCTACTGAGAGCGGGACTCCAGAGAGTGTTCATTTTTTAGTGCAATGTGGGAACCAGGCCTTTAACCCACCCTGTGGGCTTTCCACTAAGAGCCCACAGAGCCAGGTTCAAGGCTTGGTTCTCCCACTTACAGGGCTTGAGCAATTCAGTTTCCCTGCCTGAGTGTTGGTGACCTGTGCTGTGAAATAGAGAGAGACACCTACGACCTGCTGTCAGAGCCCATCAAGGTAAGATCACAAGAGGGAGGTGCCCATCAACATGGGTCTTGTTCATGGAAGAGGCGCAGAGGAAAGATTCATGCATGATTAATGACTGGCGGCAATTTCCTGCCTGCCTTTGGAATGAATCAAAAATAAGTGAAAACGTGTGGCTGAGGCAAAACATTTGGGTCTTCGGGAACTCTGCAGTGGACCAGAGGAGGCCTGGGGCTGGCTGAGTCATCTAAGTGGGTGACCGGTTTTTTCCTGTTTGCAAAACGAGAGTCAAGTTCCAGAGGGGATACGTGGAGTGGGATTAAACGTTTCTCTCCAAGCATCCTCCCAGTGGAAGGCTTCCCAAGAAGCATCATTGGGTAACTTTCCATTGCCACTATCTGCAAGAGGTGGGAGGAGGAGTGGCAAATTTCTTTTTTCTTTTCTTTTTTTTTTTTTGAGACAGTGTCTTGCTCTGTCACCCAGGTTGGAGTCCAGTGGTACGATCTCAGCTCACTGCAACCTCTGCCTCTCAGGTTCAAGCAATTCTCCTGCCTCAGCCACCCAAGTAGCTAGCTGGGAATAAAGGGGCGTGCCACCATGCCTGGCTATTTTTAGGTTTTTTTGTATTTTTAGTAGAGACAGGGTTTCACCATGTTGGCCAGGGTGGTTTCGATCTTCTGACCTTATGATCCACCTGCCTCAGCCTCCCAAAGTGCTGGGATTACAGGCGTGAGCCACCACGCCTGGCCAGAATGGCAAATTTCTTATCCAAAGATAGTCTCTCTCTAAATCCCGAAACCTTTTTTTTTTTTTTTTTTTTTTTGACACAGAGTTTCACTCGGTCACCTAGGCTAGAGTACAGTGGTACCATCTTGGTTCACTGCAAACCCCGCCTCCCAGGTTCAAGTGATTCTCATGCCTCACCCTCCAGAGTAGCTGGGATTATAGGCATGTGCCACGACGGCCAGCTAATTTTTGTATTTTTAGTAGAGATGGGGTTTCACCACGTTGGCCAGGCTGGTCTCGGACTCCTGGCCTCAATCCACCATGCTGGGATTATAGGTGTGAGCCACCGCGCCCAGCCTAAATTCTGAAATCTTTATAGATGAAATGGATTACTTCAAAATAATACAGGAGAGGCAGATGTAGGTACGTGTATAGATTATACCAGGTCAGCCTGATTTGATGGGTGATGGATATGTGAGGGATTTATTTTTAATCAATAAAAGTTTGTTGTTTTTAAATAGCAAAAAGTATTTTTTTTTTTTTGAGACAGAGTCTTGCTCTGTTGCCCAGGCTGGAGTGCAGTGGTGTGATCTCAGCTCACTGCAAGCTCTGCCTCCCGGGTTCACACCATTCTCCTGCCTCAGCCTCCCGAGTAGCTGGGACTACAGGCTCCTGCCACCACACCTGGCTAATTTTTTTGTATTTTTAGTAGAGATAGGGTTTCACCGTGTTAGCCAGGATGGTCTTGATCTCCTGACCTCGTGATCCTACCGCCTCGGCCTCCCAAAGTGCTGGGATTAGAGGCGTGAGCCACCACAGCCAGCCTAGCAAAAAGTTATTTTAAATATAATATCCAATACTCAATATGTATCGAGTCTTTTTTCTTCTTAAAAAAAATTTTATTTCTCAATTATACATAAAAGCGTCTTTTTAAAGTTAACATTCTTTTTTTTCTTTCTTTTTTTTTTTTTTAAAGACAGAGTCTTACTCTGTCACCCAGGCTGGAGTGCAGTGGTGCAATCATAACTCACTGTAACCTTAAACTCCTGGGTTCAAGTGATTCTTCTGCCTCAGCCTCCCCAGTAGCTGGGATTATAGGCTTGCAACCACGACCGGCTAATTTTTTTTCAGAGATGGGGTCTCGCTACATTGCCCAGGCTGGTCTCAAACTTCTGGTCTCAAGTGATCCTCCCACCTCACTCTCCCAAACTGTTGGGATTACAGGCATTAGCCACCATGCCTGGCCTAAAATTAATATTTTTTAACCAAGCAATTCCACGTTTAGGAATTTTGCATGAAAGAGATACAAAGCAGATTACTAGAAAGAGCTGGGTTTTTAACTGCAAAAAAAAATTGGAAATAACCAAAATGCCTATTAATAAAAGACTGCTTAACATTTATACTATAATTTTAAAATTATAGTATGCCTATTCAATAGAATGCTAGGCACTGTTTACCAAAAAAAGATGATATGAGGCTGGGCGTGGTGGCTCATGCCTGTAATCCCAGGACTTTGGGAGGCCAAGGCGGGCAAATCACTTGAGGTCAGGAGTTGGAGACTAGCCTGGCCAACGTGGTGAAATCCCGTCTCTACTAAAAATACAAAAATTAGCCAGGCATGTTAGTGTGCGCCTGTAATCCCAGCTACTCAGGAGGTTGAGGCAGGAGAATCGTGCCACTGCATTCCAGCCCAGACCACAGAGAAAGGCTCCGTCTCAAAAAAAAAAAAAAAAAAAAATTAAAGTAAATAAAAGGATGATCTGAAAGCAAAAAATAAACTAAGAAAAATAGTTGTATCTCAGGCCAGGCACAGTGGCTCATGCCTGTAATCCTGGCACTTTGAGAAGCCAAGGTGGGTGAATCACGAGGTCAGGAGATTGAGACCATCCTGGCTAACATGGGGAAACTCCGTCTCTATTAAAAATACAAAAAGTTAACCAGGCATGGTGGCATGCACCTGTAGTCTCAGCTACTCGAGAGGCTGAGGCAGGAGAATCGCTTGAACCTGGGAACCTGGGAGGCGGAGGTTGCAGTGAGCCAAGATTGCTCCACTGCACTCCACCCTGAGCAACAGAGCAAGACTCCGTCTCAAGAAAACAAAAACAAAACCAAAAACAAACAAACAAAAAACCCAAAAATTAGCCGGGCGTGGTGGCAGGTGCCTGTAATCCCAGCTACTTGTGAGGCTGAGGCAGGAGAATCACTTGAACCCAGGAAGCGGAGGTTGCAGTGAGCCAACATTGCGCCACTGCACTCCAGGCTGAGCAACAAAGTGAGACTCCACCTTGAAAAAAAATACAGAATGAATTAGGGTTTTCAATGCAGCACTGAAGTCCTCCAAGTCCGTCAAATGGTTAAATAAATTTGATGGAATGAATTCAGCAGAGACCTGAACAGGGACCAGAAGCGACCATGAGAACATGAGCACTCTAGTGCTCTTGACCTTGAGAATCCACAGGGAATACACTTGGGGTTCAAGTCAGTCTTTTTAGAATCCAAGGGGCAGAGAGATCCCAAATAGCATCTGGGCACATGTAAACATTGAAGTAGATTTTTATGTTCTAACAAAGAAAGATGGCGATAAGGGCCAGGCACGGTGGCTGACACCTGTAATCCCAGCACTTTGGGAGGCCGAGGCGGGTGGATTACCTGAGGTCAGGCATTCGAGACCAGCCTGGCCAACATTGCAAAACCCTATCTCTACTAAAAAATGCAAAAATTAGCCAGGCATGGTGGCACGTGCCTGTAGTCCCAACTACTCAGGAGGCTGAGGAAGGAGAATCGCTTGAATCCTGGAGGCAGAGGTTGCAGTGAGCCGAGATTGTGCCACTGCACTTCAGCCTGGGTGACAGAGCAAGACTCTGTCTCAAAAAAAAAAAAAAAAAGAGAAAGAAAGATGGCCGTAGTACACTACTAAGTTTCGGGTGTAGGGGTTAGTCATCGAATATTGTTAAGGTGGGTCCTATTTCCATTTGAAATGTAAATATCATGTACATGACAACAGATTCTTTCATATAGATTCAAGATCAAAACGGCATACCTGCTAAGATAGACTGTTGACTCCAGGGGTTTCTTTTTTTATTTATTTTTATTTTTTATTTTTGAGACGGAGTCTTGCTCTATCATCCAGGCTGGAGTGCAGTGGCGCGATCTCTGCTCACTTCAAGCTCCACCTCCCCGGTTCACACCATTCTCCTGCCTTAGCCTCCCGAGTAGCTGGGACTACAGACGCCCGCCACCACACCCAGCTAATTTTTTTCTTTGTTTTTTTTTTTGTTTTGTTTTTGTTTTTTTTTTTGAGGCAGAGTCTCACTCTGTCGCCCAGGCTGGAGTGCAATGGCTTGGCTCACTGCAAGCGCCGCCTCCTGGGTTCACGCCATTCTCCTGCCTCAGCCTCCCAAGTAGCTGGGACTACAGGCGCCCGCCACTACGCCCGGCTAATTTTTCGTATTTTTAGTAGAGTCGGGGTTTCACCGTGTTAATCAGAATGGTCTCGATCTCCTGACCTTGTGGTCCGCCCGCCTCGGCCTCCCAAAGTGCTGGGATTACAGGCGTGAGCCACCGCGCCCAGCCTCTTTGTATTTTTTAGTAGAGACGGGGTTTCAACCTGTTAGCCAGGATGGTCTTGATCTCCTGACCTCATCATCCGCCCGCCTCGGCCTCCCAAAGTGCTGGGATTACAGGCGTGAGCCACCGCACCTGGCCTACTCCAGGGGTTTCTATCAATACCATAAAAAACCTTTTCCCTTTGACATACTCTGAATTTTGTTGTTTGGGGGCTGGGTGTGTGTGTGTGTGTGTGTGTGTGTGTGTGTGTGTGTGTGTATGTGTATGTGCAGTGTCCATCTGTATCAGTGCCAGTGCCTGCTACATTCCTGGTTCTGTATTGAGGAGAAGGATGTATAAAGAACCATGAAATATTAGCCCTCACTTTGTTTTGAATTCTGAGTAATGTTAATTTTTCTTTTCTTTCTTTTTTTTTTTTTTTTTGAGACAGTCTTGTCTGTCGCCCAGGCTGGAGTGCAGTGGCATGATCTCGGCTCACTGCAAGCTCCGCTTCCCAGGTTCACGCCATTCTCCTGCCTCAGCCTCCCGAGTAGCTGGGACTACAGGTGCCCGCCACTATGCCCGGCTAATTTTTTTTTTTATATATTTTTTAGTAGAGACGGGGTTTCACCGTGTTAGCCAGGATGGTCTCGATCTCCTGACCTTGTGATCCACCCGCCTCGGCCTCTCAAAGTGCTGGGATTACAGGCATGAGCCACTGCGCCCGGCCGAGTAATGTTAATTTTTCTCGAAACTGAATTTTCTTAAAAGAATTTTTTTTCTTTTAGATTTAATGAGGTATTGCTAACTGAAGCCAGTTTGACATAGTGAGAGAGATGTCAAATTGATTTGAAAGGTGTGCAGCCTGATTTAAAACTAAACCCTGAATCCTTTTAAAGAACAATAAAACATATTTTACATGCAAAAAAATCATGTATATATGTTAGTATATGCATAGGAAAAACTAGAAAGAAGAGTGTTAGCCAAGCCATCCAATGTCTTACTTCTCTGTATGTTCTCAGCACCTTCTCAGTTAGATGCTGAGAACATACAGAGAAATAAGAAGTTTTAATGTAAATTCCACGAAGAAAGAGAACTTTTGTTTTGTTCTCTGTTATGTTCCCAGTGTCTGACACATGATATCTACTTGGTAAATATTTATGGGCTGGAAGGGAGAAGGAAGGAAGGGAGGATGAGAGGAGGGAGGGAGCGGTAGAAAAGAGTCCTGGCCCCCAAGTTGTTCACTGTTATTCACAGCCAGGCTTGGAAACAGATGTGTGGGCAGAGTGCAAAGAACATTGGGAGAAAAGGGCTCTGAGTTGGTAGGGACTTTGCATAAACTCTCTCTCGTCCTTATGTTAGCGTCCTCCTTTCCTCAGAAGAGAAGTCATTTGCAAAGTCATCAGGCATGAAGCCCATCTTCAAATTCAAGGCTTAGCGGGCATGGTGGTTCAGGCCTATAACCTCAGCATTTTGGGGGGCTGCAGCAAGAGGATTGCTTGAGCCCATGAGTTCGAGACCAGTCTGGGCAACATAATAAGACCCTATCTCTTAGAAAAAAATTAATTAGGCTAGGCGTGGTGGCTCATGCCTGTAATCCCAGCACCTTGGGAGGCTGAGGTGGGCAGATCACCTGAGGTCAGGAGTTCAAGACAAGCCCAGCCAACAGGACGAAACCCCATCACTACTACTAAAAATATAAAAATTAGCCAGGGGTGGTGGCAGGTGTCTGTAATCCCACCTACTCAGTAGGCTGAGGCAGGAGAATCCCTTGAACCCGGGAGGTGGCTACAATGAGCCAAGATCATGCCACTGCACTGCAGCCTGGGTGACAGAGCGAGACTCCATCTCGGAAAAAATAAAACATAAAAAATAATAATTAAAAAACAAATTCAAGGCTTATGTGGTTGCAGAGAACACTCTTCTTTGAGGACAAATGAGAACCAGATATTCCTGTTAAGTCGGGGGCACAAGTGTTGGCAATGAATATACTGTATCTCCAAAGCAGATAGATCTTAGACAACCAGAATCTCTGGGGAAAGGCCGCATTCATCAACCTCTGGGGGAAACTGGCTTCAAGTGACTCAAAGGTGACACCCAATGTCGCTCTGGGTAACTACACAGAAATCCTAAACGGTGTTAAAGAAGAGGGAGCAAGGCTGCCCTTTACTTCCAATGCTGTCCAGCCAGCTCCATAAGGCTCTGAGAGGCTGGCTCAGGTGAGCCAGGGCTCAAGTGAGGAGACTGGCCAGGGCTTGGCTAAAAGAGCCTGTCACTCAAAAGTAAGCCCAAAGCAAGATAAGCTGCATTCTCAGGGCTGCTGTATATTTTCTCAGCCTGAATAAGCTGCTGCTGATTTAGTTATCCGGGTTCTTCTCGGATTCCTGTGGCTGCATTTGAATAGCAGAAATCCTGGCAAGAGGAGATGAAGATCTGGGCTAAAAACTTCACTGAGGCTAACATCTCAGGAGGACCCTGGTGTCACATGAGCCTGGGTGGGAATCTGCTTTGCCTCCTACCAGCTATGTAGCGCTGGTCACACAACTTCACCTTGCTAAGCCTCAGTTTCTTGCTTTTTAAATGGAGATGATGATACCTATTTTGCAAGGTTGCTGAGTTGATTGCATGAGATCACCGACGTGCACAGTAATAAAATAGAAAAGGCTTCGCAAGTATTGCTGTCATTACTACTGTGGCTGACATTTACTAAGCCCTTACCAAAGCCTTTCTCTCTCTTTTTCTTTTTTTGAGACAGGGTCTAGCTCTGTTGCCCAGGCTGGAGTAGAGTGGCCCGATCACAGCATCATGGCTCACAGCAGCCTCAACCTCCTGGGCTCAAGCAATCCTCCCATCTCAGCCGCCTCCCTTACAAGAAGCTGGGATTACAGGCATGCGGCAGGCACCACACCCAGCTAATTTTCAAATTTTTTGTAGAGACAGTGTCTTGCTATGTTGCCCAGGCTGGTCTCCAAGTCCTGGCCTCAAGCAATCCACCCACTTCAGCCTCCCGAAGTGCTAGGATTACCGACATGAGCCACCACACCCAACAAATCACTGCCTTTTTCAATGCTCACAGCAAACCTCTGAAGTAGCTAATATTTCTTTTCTTTCTTTTTTTTTTTTTTTTTTTTTTTTTTTGAGACGGAGTCTCGCTCTGTCACCCAGGCTGGAGTGCAGTGGCGGGATCTCGGCTCACTGCAAGCTCTGCCTCCCGGGTTCACGCCATTCTCCTGCCTCAGCCTCCCAAGTAGCTGGGACTACAGGCGCCCGCCACTACGCCCGGCTAATTTTTTTGTATTTTTAGTAGAGACGGGGTTTCACCGTTTTAGCCGGGATGGTCTCGATCTCCTGACCTCGTGATCCATCCGCCTCGGGCTCCCAAAGTGCTGGGATTACAGGTGTGAGCCACTGCGCCCAGTAAGTTTCCATTTTACACACTCCACAGTCTGTATTTCCTATGAATTGGTACTTGGATCTACAGACTTGTTTGTATTTATGTTCAGTCTTTTTGCCAAAAAATATTTCAAAAATGGTGTTGAGCGTGCTTTCCTCACAGACGCACAATGACCAATTGTCTCTTTGTGGTATCGGCAGCCATTGGTGCTTGATGACAGGATCCACAGTTCATTAGGAGTGCTTCTTTATTTCTGTTTGGTGAGGTGACCAGGTCACCAACCCTTCCCAGTTCACCTGGAACTTCCCCCGTTTTGGCACCTTCAGTCCCATGGCCCAGGAAACCACTCAGTCCCAGGACAGCTGGTCACCCTGCAGGAAAGCCATGTTTTAGGCAGTGACTCTTCCCACCCCCACTCTGCCTCCCTTTGCCATAGTGGGCAGAGAAGTAGGAGACAGGATGTGGATAACGGGCTGGAGAATGCAGGGGGAGGGGTCTGTATCTAGTGGCCAGTCTTGGGTGTAATTGACACCTTAGTAGTTGTCCACCTAGTATCCGCTTTCACCTTCTTGCAATCCCCTGATTTTTTGATTAGGTAATGGTCCCTACCCACAGCCCACATGCTTCACGGGCACTGATGCTAGCCCCAGCTTCCATGACCAGCTGCTCCCTTCCAGAACCCAGGACGAAGCCGGTCAGTGCAAGCCAGTCCCCATGCCACACCTTGGGCCAATAAATCACAAGGGGTAATTTGTCAGAGGCATTTGGGAAAACATTTCCTTATTCTTTTTTTAAAAAATTATATTTACTTTTATTTTTTTCATCTAGAATTTCTGATGAAGATCACTCTTTAAAATATGTATATGTGGCCAGGAGCGGTGGCTCACGCCTGTAATCCCAGCATTTTGGGAGGCCGAGGTGGGCAGATCACGAGGTCAGGAGATTGAGACCCTCCTGGCTAATACGGTGAAACCCCGTCTCTACTAAAAGTACAAAAAATTAGCGGGGCGTGGCATCGTGCGCCTGTAGTCCTAGCTACTCGGGAGGCTGAGGCAGGAGAATGGCGTGAACCTGGGAGGTGGAGCTTGCAGTGAGCCGAGATCGCGCCACTGCACTCCAGCCTGGGCGACAGAGCGAGACTCCATCTCTCAAAAATAAATAATAAATAAATAAATATATATATATATAAATAAATAAATAAATAAATAAATAAAATATGTGTATGTACCTATGTACACACACACACACACCATTCAACCATTGGCTGGGCATGGTGGCTCACACCTTCCAGCAGTTTGGGAGGCTGAGGCAGGAGGATATCCTGAGCCCAGGAGTTTGAGACCTGCCTGAGCATCATAGTGAGACTCCATCAGAACAAAAAAAATTGTTTAATTAAAATATATATAATTGAATTTTATTTTATATATTATATATATGTTTATATATATACCATATATATATATATATATAATTCAAATAGTTGAATTTAGGCTGGTCAAGGTGGGTCACACCTGTAATCCCAGCACTTTGGGAGATTGAGGCAGGTGGATCACACCTCAGGTCAGGAGTTCGAGATCAGCCTGGCCAACATGATGAAACCCCATCTCTACTAAAAATACAAAAATTAGCCGGGTGTGGTGGCGGGCGCCTGTAATCTCAGCTACTCAGGAGGCGAGTTTATGTTACTTTGTGTAAACATATGCTTTCATTCCTCTCAGTCAGAGATACCTACGAATAAGATTGCTGGATCAATTTATCTTTACATTTTTATTAAACTTTCCAACTGCTTTCCAAAGTGGCAGGCCCCATTTTACTTTCCTACCGGCAATGTGGGAGAGTTTCTGTTTCTCCATAGCCTCACCACTTATTATTCTCTTTTTGAGTATTAGTCATCCTAGTGGATATGAAGTAGTATCTCATTATGCATTGCTTTTCTTAAAGATATGGTCTCACTCCGTTGCCCAGGCTGGAGTACAGTGGCACAATCATAGCTCACAGTAGCCTCAAACTTCTGGGCTAAAACTATCCCCCCACCTCAGCCTCAGCCTCCTTAGTGGCTAGGACTAAAGGCACACACCACTGCGCCTGGCTAATTTTTTACCTTTTTTTTTTTTTTTTTTTTTTTGAGATAGAGTTTAGCTTTTATTGCCCAGGCTGGAGTGCAACGGTACGATCTCGGCTCACCACAACCTCCACCTCCCGGGTTCAAGCAATTCTCCTGCCTCAGCCTCCCAAGTAGCTGGGATTATAGGCATGTGCCACCATGCCTGGCTAATTTTGCATTTTTAGTAGAGACAGGGTTTCTACATGTTGGTCAGGCTGGTCTTGAACTCCTGACCTCAGGCGATCTGCCCGCTCTGGCCTCCCAAAGTGCTGGGATTACAGGTATAAGCCACCATGCCCAGCTCTCTGGGTTCTTTCCTTCCTTCCTTCCTTTCTTTCTTTCTTCTTTCATTCTTTCTTTTTTTCTTTTCTTTTTTTTTTTTTTGTAGAAGCCACAGGAAGAAACAAATCATGAGGGGATGGTTTGACAAGCTACAAACACTGGAGTCATAATATACCTGTATTTAACTTGGTAAATCCAACTATGCATGTTTGAATGTGAGAGAGACAGAGAAAGAAAGAGACAGAAATGAGACAGACAGAAAGAATAATGCTTTAAATAATGCAGGGGTTTCTGCCTTCCACTCTGTAAGAACATAGAACCCATGGGCTGAATAGAAGGAGGAGAGGGCACAGCTGTCCTTCCCTCAGCCTGTCTTAATCCAGGGCCTTCACATTCCCTATGCTCAGCATGACTCCAGCATTTTGTTTTTGTTTTTGTTTTTTTTTTAAGACAGAGTCTCACTCTGTCACCCAGGCTGGATTGCACTGGCACGATTTCAGCTCAGTGAAGCATCCACCTCCCGGGTTCAAGCGTTTCTCCTGCTTCAGCCTCCTGAGTAGCTAGGACTACAGGGACGTACCACCACACCTGGCTAATTTTTTTTGTATTTTTAGTAGAGATGGGGGTTTTACCTTCGTGGTCAGCCTGGTCTCAAATTCCTGGCCTCAAGTGATCCACCCACCCCAGCCTCCCAAAGTGCTGAGATTACAGGTGTGAGTTACTGCACCCTGCTTATTTATTTTTGAAACACGGTCTCACTATGTTGCCCAGGCTGGACTGCAGTGGTGCCATCAGAGCTCACTGCAGCCTCGAACTCCTGGCCTCAAGGGATGTCCCTGCCTCAGCCTTCCAAGTAGCTGGGACTATAAGCACACACTATCTCATTGGCTATTATATCTTTTTATATATTTATTTATTTGTTAGTTTGTTTATTTTTTCAGACAGAGTTTTGCTTTTATTGCCCAGGCTGGAGTGCAATGGCGTGATCTCGGCCACCGCAACCTCTGCCTCCCGGGTTCAAGCGATTCTTCTGCCTCAGCCTCCTGAGTAGCTGGGATTACAGGCATGCTCCACCATGCCTGGCTAATTTTTTTTTTTTTTTATTTTTAGTAGAGATGGGGTTTCTCCATGTTGGTCAGGCTGGCCTTGAACTCCCGACCTCAGGTGATCCACCCACCTCAACCTTCCAAAGTGCTGGGATTACAGGCATGAGCCACCGTGCCCGGCTGGCTATTATATCTTTAACACATCTCCAAGGTTTCCTCATCTCCATTTTGAACAGAGAGGGCTTCAGCAGGTAACAGCATCTGGCCTAAATGTATTTTATTTCTTTTGTATATGTTTTGTTTTGTTTTCTGTTCCAGTTTTTTTTTTTTTTTTTTTTTTTTTTTGACACGGAGTCTGTGTCATCTCTGCTTACTGCAAACTCCATCTCCCAGGTTCAAGCGATTCTCCTGCCTCAGCCTTCCAAGTAGCTGGGATTACAGGTGCGCACCACCACGCCCAGCTAATTTTTGTATTTTTAGTAGAGACAGGGTTTTGCCATGTTGGTCAGGCTGGTCTTAAACTCCTGACCTCAGGTGATCCACCCGCCTCGGCCTCCCAAAGTGCTGGGATTACAGGCGTGAGCTACCGCACTCTGCCTATAAAAAATTTAAGGCCAGGTGTGGTGGCTCATGACTGTAATCCCGGGACTTTGGGAGGCTGAGGTGGGCAGATCACACGAGGTCAGGAGTTTGAGACCAGCCTGGCAACATCGTGAAACCCCCGTCTCTACTAAAACTACAAAAATTAGCTGGGTGTGGTGGCACGCGCCTATAGTCCCAGCTACTTGGGACTTAAAGCAGGAGAATCTCTTACCTGGGAGGTGGAGGTTTCAGTGAGCCGAGACCGCAATAGTGCATTCCAACCTGGGCGACAGAGCAAGACTCCATCTCCAAAAAAAAAAAAAAAATCCAGTTTATCATCTGTATCACAGGCAGTACTGGTGTTCTGCTGTTTTCTGGTAAAATCTTCACCTCATGTTTTAAAATTTGTGGTAATGTACCGAGTATCACAGCCAATTTGTTAATCTTCCTCTCTTATAAATTATACTATTAGTTTTGCCTCTTTTTTTTTTTTTTTTTTGAGACAGAGTCTTGCTCTGTCACCCAGGCTGGAGTGCAGTGGCGCGATCTCGGCTCACTGCCAGCTCCACCTCCCAGGTTCACGCCATTCTCCTGCCTCGGCCTCCCAAATAGCTGGGATTACAGGCGCCCGCCACCACGGCCAGCTAATTTTTTGTATTTTTAGTAGAGACGGGGTTTCACCATGTTAGCCAGGATGGTCTCGATCTCCTGACCTTGTGATCCACCCGTCTCGGCCTCCCAAAGTGCTGGGATTACAGGCATGAGCCACCGTGCCTGGCTTTTTTTTTTATTTTAAGACGGAGTTTTGCTCTTGTTGCCCAGGCTGGAGTACAATGGCGCGATCTCAGCTCACTGCACCCTCTGCCTCCCAGGTTCAAGGGATTGTCCTGCCTCAGCCTTCTGAGTAGCTGGGATTACAGGCGTGTGCCACCATGCCTGGCTAATTTTTGTATTTTTAGTAGAGACGGGGTTTCACCATGTTGGTCAGTCTGGTCTCGAACTCCTAACCTCGTGATCCGCCTGCCTCAGCCTCCCAAAGTGCTGGGATTACAGGCGTGAGCCACCATGCCCAGCCAAATCTAGGGCTGGAACATGGCTGCAGCATACAAATAGAATTGAATTCCATAGTTTTGTTAACCCTGTTTTTTGTTTGTTTGTTTGTAGTTGTTGCTGTTTTTGAGACAGAGTCTCGCTCTGTCGCCTAGGCTGGAGTGCAGTGGTGCAATCTCGGCTCACTGCAAACTCTGCCTCCCGGGTTCAAACTATTCTCCTGCCTCAGCCTCCCAAGTAGGTGGGACTACAGGCGCCCACCACCACACCCAGCTAATTTTTGTATTTTATTAGAGACAGGGTTTCACCATATTGGCCAGGCTGGTCTGGAACTCCTGACCTTGTGATCCGCCCACCTCGGCCTCCCAAAGTGCTGGGATTACAGGCGTGAGCCATCACACCCAGCCCCTGTTTTGTTTTTGTTTTGCTTGTTTCTTAGGGTTGTTTTTCTATTTATGGTAAAGGCATTGGCTTTCCATTTGTAGCATCAATAGAATATTTCCTGTTTACAATAACCTTATGTCATAGTAAATGGTAAAGGGATTTAAAGCAGTGGTTTTCAGCTGCCAGAGGCCTGAGTGAGTTTGGGCACACTCTGTGTGATCGGGCAGAAGGCCTGTGGGAAGTTTAGCTGAGGACAGGGCCAGGAAAGGTGATGGACAGTGGGGGTCTGTCCTGGTCACCAGGCCCCTGGGTCCTGCCCACCTGCTTGGAGCTCCCCACCCATCACACATGATGCTGCCAAGCCCTCTGGGTATTGTGGGCAAATACCTTAGGAGAGAAGCTGATGAACTTTGTTTCTTGAAATGCACAGATTCCTTGGACGTCCCTGAGAGGCCATTCATGAAGGTCAACTTGGTTTTCTCCCCCTCATTTGGGTTCAGAATTTAAAGTCCACACACACGGGCAGTAAGATGATATAGATAAGGACATCATCACTCGGTTTCGGATGTTAAAATGTCTAGGTGGGTTAGGGGTGATTTGAGATCATGCAACCTTGTGCCACAAAGAGGAATTCCCAGGCCAGAGGGAGACATTTTATTGCCATGTTATGATCTCATCATTGAGTTGAAAGGCAATCTTGTTTCATTTTGGATTCTTTCTTATGTTTATGTCTTATAAGGGCACTTTGAATTTCCAAGCAAATAATAATTTTGAATTAGCTTTTAATCATTGACTTCTAGCACAGTTATATGATCAGAAACATGCTGTGTGATTTGATTGCTCTCAAATATATTGAGATTTGCTGGAACAAAATAAGTCAGGTTAATTTTTGTAAATGTACCATGCATGCTTAAAATGAATGTACGTACATTTGTTCCTGAGATACAGGTTGATGGACAGATGGCTACATGGATGTGATGGAGATGGTTTACTATCGGGACCTTCCGCATCCTGCTGATGTTTTGTTGCTTAGGATATGAATGGCTGAGCGGAGGCTGTAAAACCTGGCACTCTGCTTGGGTATGAGGTTCTTCCTGCCATCCTGCCATCATTTGTTTTTTATGTTTTGTCGCCAAAAGTGACCTTGAGGAACCCTGGGAGCTCAGGAAGGAAGGAGCGCCCAGAAGCAGGGACAGGGAGCTGGTTGGGGAGGACCAGAAATCAGGTTTGTGAAGGTTCCAGAGAGGACCTGTCCTTGGGAGGAGAGTGGGAGACTGAGATGGGGGAGGGGTCATTGGAATGATGCGGGCGCTACTTGGCATGTCCATTGTGAGGCACGTCCATTGTGAGGCACCACCGGGGTCATCAGGGATTGGTGGAGAGGGAGTATAAAGCCCCAGGGTTGGTAAGGGAGGGCCCAGACCGAAGAAGGTTTGGTGGATAGCAGAACCTTTGTCTCCCTCTAATTGCCCCTAAGCCTCACGCTCCCTTGCCCCGCGTGTCCTGTTGCTTCCCTGATCTTCTCCGTGACCTGTAGCTAAACCTTCCACCAGCGCTTGAGAACTTAATTTGAACCGGATCCTTTCCCAGACCCCTTTCTTCTTCTCCTCCTCCTCCTCCACCTCCTCCAGGTGCCCAACAGCCCCCTTCTCCTCCTTTCCCTTCCCTTACTTCCCCCCTTCCTCTCCCCTTCCCCTCCCCCTCCCCTCCCCCTCCCCAACTCAGATCCGGCCCGGTCCCTGTCCCCTTCCCTCCCCCTGCCCTAAGCCACCTCCACCTCTGTCCTGGCCGCCTCAGGGCGCCCTGAAAGGACCAGGACATGCGGGTGCTGTGGATGCTCTTTTGGCTCCTCTTTTGGCTCCTGCTGGAATTTATCAGCCATCAGTCCACCTGTGTGAGTAGACGCTGGACCCGCGGGGTTTCTTCCTTTTTACTGGGCTGTGTCACGCGGCATGAAATTACACAGCTCAGGCCTGTAATCCCAGCACTTTAGGGGGCCGAGGTGGGCAGATCACTTGAGTCCAGGAGTTGAAGACTAGCCAGGGCATCATAGCGAAACCCCATCTCTACAAAAAATTCCAAAAAAGATTAGTCGGGCCTGGTGGTGCGTACCTGTTATCCCAGTTACTGGAGAGGCTGAGGTGGGAGGATCGCTTGGGCCCAGGAGCTGGACGTTGCAGTGAGCCGAGATGGCCCCGCTGCACTCTTGTCTCTAACAAACAAAATGGACCAAAACAAAGTGAAATGTCATTTGATTTGTGTCATCTGGTTTGATGACTTTTTTTTTTTTTTTTTTTTTTTTTTAGACAGAGTCTCACTCTGTCGCCCAGGCTGGAGTGCAGTGGCAAGATCTCGGCTCACTGCAACCTCCGCTTCCGGGGTTCAAGCAATTGTCCTGCCTCAGCCTCCTGAATAGCTCAGATTACAACGCCTGGCTAATTTTTGTATTTTTAGTAGACCACCACGCCTGGCTAATTTTTGTATTTTTAGTAGAGACGGGGTTTCACCATGTTCGCCAGGATAGTCTCCATCTCTTGACCTCGTGATCCGCCTGCCTCAGCCTCCCAGTGCTGGGATTACAGGCGTGAGCCACCGCGCCTGGCCAAAATATATAACCTTAAGTGTAAGTTTACTAACTTTGGAAAGTACATACACCAGCATAAACCAACCCCCTTTCAAGATCTACATTATTTTATTTATTTATTTATTTATTTGAGACAGTTTCTCCCTTGTTGCTGAGGCTGGAGTGCAATGGGGCAATATCAGCTCACCGCAACCTCTGCTTCCCAGGTTCGAGCGATTCTCCTGCCTCAGCCTCCCGAGTGGCTGGGATTACAGACATGTGCCACCACTCCCAGCTAATTTTGTATTTTTAGTAGAGATAAGGTTTCTCCATGTTGGTCAGGCTGGTTTTGAACTCCCGACCTCAGGTGATCCGCCTGCCTCGGCCTCCCAAAGCGTTGGGATTACAGGCGTGAACCACCGTGCCCAGCCAAGATCTACACTATTATGTCACCCCAGAAAGTGAACTCTCACTCTTCCCAGCCAGTCTCTTTCTTATCATAGGTTAGCTTGCTTATTCTGGAATTTCGCGTATACAGATGCATGCCATGCCATAGGTACTCTTTTGTGTCTGCTTTGTTCTGCTCAACACCATGTTTCTGAAATCATTACCATTGTTGTATGGTTCTCTAACTCCATCATTTCCATTTCAGACTCAGCATATGCTGAGTTCAACCTGTTGAAGGGCTATCTCTGTTTAATTCACCATCTTGAAAGAAACATTTAAAATTGAGATGTTTTCAAGAATATATAGTTAAATCCTGAGGAATCGATGTAGAAATGTTATCACAAGCTGTCTGAACTTACTCAGGGGAAGTCTTCGTCTTCACTCACATAAGAGTCTAATGGAATTAATATCAACAATCTTAGAGAAATCCCACACTATTCATGCCATTTTCATGATCTCCACCTTGGTAATTTTTTTTTTTTTTTTTTTTTTTGAGACAGAGTCTCGCTCTGTCACCCAGGCTGAAGTGCAGTGGTGCAATCTCGGCTCACTGCAACCTCTGCCTCCCGGGTTCAAGTGATTCTTCTGCCTCAGCCTCCCAAGTAGCTGGAACTATAGGCGCGTGCCACCATGCCCTGCTAATTTTTTGTATTTTTAGTAGAGATGGGTTTCACCGTGTTAGCTAGGATGGTCTCAATCTCCTGATCTCGTGGTCCACCCACCTTGGCTTCCCAAAGTGCTGGGATTGCAGGCGTGAGCCACCACGCCCGGCCCACCTTGTTAATTTTTAAGCACTAAAATTTGATACTTATTTGTGAATGAAGTAATCTCTTCATTGTATTTTTTTTTTTACTTATGCTGAGATTTAAATGACAAAGATTCATATAATCCAAGAGAGAAGTATTATTTAGAGGGATTCTTTTACCATATGATATATAATAAATGCATCCAATGTTATACATCAATTTAAAAAACAAGTAAATAACTTTAAAGAAAAGATAACTACTGGCCAGGTGCAGTGGCTCACACCTGTATTCCCAGCACTTTGGGAGGCCAAGGCAGGTGGATCACGAGGTCAGGAGTTGGAGACCAGCCTGGCCAAGATGGTGAAACCCTGTTTCTACTAAAAATACAAAAATTAGCCGAGCGTGGTGGCAGGCGCCTGTAATCCCAGTTACTCAGTAGCTGAGGCAGGAGAATCGCTTGAACCCGGGAGGCGGAGGTTGCAGTGAGCTGAGATCATGCCACTGCAATCTAGCCTGGGTGACAGAGCAAAACTTTGTCTCAAAACAAAAAAGAAAAGATAATTACTTTATACTTAGCTTGTCTTACCCATGAGTGACGGGCTGCATGTGGCCCAGGACAGTTTTGAATGCAGTTCAACACAAATTTGTAAACTTTCTTAAAACATTAGGAGATTTTGGCCAGGTACAGTGGCTCATGCCTGTAATCCCAGCACTTTGGGAGGCTGAGGCGGGCAGATTACCTGAGGTCAGGAGTTTGAGACCACCCTGGCCAACATGGCAAAACCCCATCTCCACAGAAAATACAAAAATTTGCTGAGTGCACTGTCAGGCACCTGTACTCCCAGCTACTCAGGAGGCTGAGGCAGAAGAATCACTTGAACCTGAGAGGCAGAGGTTGCAGTGAGCCGAGAGCACACCACTGCACTCCAGCCTGGGTGACAGAGTGAGACCCCATCTCAAAAACAACAAACAAAAACAAAAACAAAAAAATGGCCGGGCACGGTGGCTCACACCTGTAATCCCAGCACTTTGGGAGGCTGAGGCAGGCAGATCACCTGTCAGGAGTTCAAGGCCAGACTGGCCAACATGGTGAAACCTCATCTCTACTAAAAATACAAAAATTAGTCGGGCATGGTGGCAGAGACCTGTAATCTCAGCTACTCGGGAGGCTGAGGGAGGAGAATGGCTTGAGCCCAGGAGCTGGAGGTTGCAGTGAGCCGAGATTGCACCACTGCACTCCAGCCTGGGCGACTGAGTGGAGCGGAACTCTGTCTCAAAAACAAAAAGAGGTTTTTTTTAGATCATCAGCTATTGTTAGTGTTAGTGTATGTTATGTGTGGCTCAAGACAACTTTGCTTCTTTTAATATAGGCAGGGAAGTCAAAAGATTGGATATCCCTGCTTTATACCAAGAAAGACAACACCCCACATTTGCAATGCCTAAAAACACTACCAGCCATCTGAAAAACATGTGACTTCTAACTTCTGTTCTTTTTTGTAACAGTGGAATCCCACGGTGATATCTGAGGGATGTGGTTACCTTTTGGAGGAGGTTGACGGTTTCTAAGGATGATTCTTTCTGAGTGAAATATTGTCAGTGTCATTGACCTTTTCATTATTTCAACTATTATTATTCCAGGTTATCAATACTCTGGCTGACCATCATCATCGTGGGACTGACTTTGGTGGAAGTCCTTGGTTACGTATCATTATTGCATTTCCGAGAAGTTATAAAGTTGTCCTTACCCTCTGGACAGTTTACCTTTGGGTGAGTGTACTAACTTTCTGTAGAGGTATACTTGTAATCACAAATAAGAATAAATTATATAAAACAATTCACATTTCTGGACTTCATTATGAATATGTGGTTTTACCCAAAAAATCAGGGAAATGATTTATTAGCATAAGAATTATGAAAATATCTGCCATTTACATTATGAAAATTAAATAGGTCAGTGTTTGTTTAATAGAATGTCAACAGAGCTTTTGGTCAAAAATAAGTTTTTTTAACCTTTGTGCTATTTGTCACAAATGGAGTATGAGGTTTCGTCACTTAAATAGGAAATTCTTTCTAAACTCTTCTGCTTTATAGTTCTATCGTATGGGTGGAAGGAAAGCTTCCAGTCTCGTCTCTGAAGATTCACTGCAGAAATGAGCTGAAAAGACAGCTTAACAGGAAAAGAAAAACATAGAACAGGCATAAACATGGGAACCAGCTGAAAAATGAGACTGCTAGAAGGGCTGGATGGTTGATGCTTAAAGAGCACCCTCTTCTGAGGGGAGAGGGAGATAGATGGAGATGTAGGCCATTTAGAGGGGCAGCAAATGATTTTTAGGGGAAATGAAAGAGCCCAAGGAACAAACAATTGGCCTGAGACAAAGTTCCTCTGAGGTCATAGGGACGAGGTGACAAACTGCCAGAAGGTGAAGGGCACAACTGCACTGCGTCTCATGATGCAGAGAAAGCCCCAGAGAATCTCTTAGAACTGCCCTCCAAGAGAATCAATGAAAAGTGTGTCTGGGCAGGGTAATTTTGAATGACATCATTCAAAGTGCATGTTCCCACTTGCAACTGGAGAGAGATCAGTATGTCAAAAGTCTGTACTTGGTAAGAATTTGGCTGCTAAGTTGTGCCATAATTTGTCTTTTGAGCCTTTTTTCCTTTGGGTAAGTTGAGCTCTACATTTTGTCTTGCCATTCATGACAGTAAAAATGTGGTTGTCTGGGGGCTGAACCTCCTTCTGAACAATGATCCAAGATAAAAGTACTAATACCACAATGCTTTTTGATATTCAAGGGAAGAGGAAGTATGTTTCAGTTTTACCACCTAGATAATTACACGTCATTTGGCACTGCCTTTCAAGATATGTAGAAAACAGAAAATATATGAGTTATGAAGATATCTAGGCACATTTAACATTCTCTATGCCACTTAGTCCTGAACAGAGAATTTTCGGTATAAATTGGAGGAAGCTTTTTTCTTTTTTTTTTCTTTTCTCACCCTCAAGACGAGTCTCCCTCTGTTGCCCAGGCTGGAGTATAATGGTGTGACCTCGGCTCACTGCAACCTCCACCTCCTGGCTTCAAGTGATTCCCCTGCCTCAGCCTCTCAAGTAGCTGGGATTACAGGTGCCCACCACCATGCCCAGCTAATTTTTGTATTTTTAGTAGAGTCGGGGTTTTACCATGTTGGCCAGGCTAGTCTCAAAACCCGACCTCAAATGATCCACCCACCTCAGCCTCCCCAAGTGCTGGGATTACAAGCGTGAGCCACCACGTGAGCCAGGGGAAGTTTTTAAATTTACCACTTTTTAACAATTCCACTTAGGAAAGTTCAGTTGAGCTGTTGGACTTGGACAACTTCGCACCTCTCATCTTTGTCCTTGTCATCTAGTCATCTATACCATTACCTCCTAAGCAGGGATATCATGGGTGCCATGAAGCATTCATGCGTGATGGCATTTCTTGGCTTCTCATTTCTTCATGTGTTTGAAATTTCCCCTAGCTCCAAACTGGGCCAGCTACCTTTCCTATGAAATCTAGCAGTAGCTGTGGGATTGACGTGGTTGCTCTTTTCATCTTTTTAGATTACCCATTGCTTCTCTCGAAATCCTAGTACATGATTTTTTTTTATCCTATGTGCAGAAATCAGGAAAAAACAAATTCTACAAAGAATTTGAAAGATATTATTTCAGGCCAGATGTGGTGGCTCATGCCTGTAATCCCAGCACTTTGGGAGGCTGAAGCAGATGGATCATCTGAGGTCAGGAGTTCAAGACCAGATGGGCCAACATGGTAAAACCCCATCTCTACTAAAAAGACAAAAATTAGCCAGGCATGGTAGCAGACACCTGTAATCCCAGCTACTTGGGAGGCTGAGGCACAAGAATCGCTTGAATCTGGGAGGTGGAGGTTGCCGTGAGCCAAGGTAGCGCCACTGCACTTCAGCATGGTTGAGAGTGACACTCCGTCTCAAGAAAAAAGTCATTTCAATGACTACCTCAGGAGATTCATAGGTATCTGACCCACATCTGAGATGGGATTTGCATTGCATTTTAGCTATGATGAGAACAAATATTTAATATCTTAGAAGATTAAAAGCATACTGTGATAATATGGAAATCTTGGTGGGAATTCAGTCATTAGTGAGAATGTTTTGCGTTAAGTTCAAACCAGCCTCAATGAAGCTGATGTGAGGGAAGGGAAAGTGAACTCTGAGTAGAGCAGGGACAGAAGGAAGATGCTCCAGTGCAGATCAGGAAGGAGCAGGGGGTGAAATGTTACAAATTCTAGAACTCAGAGAGCTGAAGGTAATTACTTCCTTTTCAAGTTGTGAAACATGTTAACCTGTGGTAAAATACTTATAAGATGATAATTACCATCTAACCGTGTTGAAGTGTACAGTTCAGTTGTGTGAAGTATATTCAGGTCATTTTTTTTTTTTTTTTTTGAGACAGAGTCTCACTCTGTCACCAGGCTGGAGTGCAGTGGTGGGATCTTGGCTCACTGCAACCTCTGCCTCCTGGGTTCAAGCAGTTCTCCTGCCTCAGCCTCCCAAGTAGCTGGGGCTACAGGCGTGCATCACCATGCTCAGCTAATTTTTGTATTTTTAGTAGAGACGGGGTTTCACCATGTTGCCCAAGATGGTGTCCATCTCTTGACCTTGTGATTCACCCACCTCAGCCTCCCAAAGTGCTGGGATTACAGGCGTGAGCTACCGCACCTGGCCTATTTTTTTTTTTTTTTTTTTTTTTGAGACAGAGTTTCAATTTTGTTGCCCAGGTTGGAGTGCAATGGCACAATCTCAGCTCACCACAACCTTTTCCTGCTGGGTTCAAGTGATTCTCCTGCCTCAGCCTCCTGACTAGCTGGGATTACAGGCATGCACCACCATGCCTGGCTAATTTTGTATTTTTAGCAGAGACAGCGTTTCTCCATGTTGGTGAGGCTGGTCTCAAACTCCCGACCTCAGGTGATCCGCCTGCCTCGGCCTCCCAAAGTGCTGGGATTACAGGAGTGAGCCACCGTGCCAGCCTCATGTCATTCTTATGTGTGTGTGTGTGTGTGTGTGTGTGTGTGTGACAGAGTCTCATTCTGTCTCTCAGGCTGGAGTGCAGTGGTGTGATCTCGGCTCACTGCAACCTCCGCCTCCCAGCTTCAAACGGTTCTCTGCCTCAGCCTCCCGAGTAGCTCGGATTACAGGCGCCCGCTGCCATGCCCGGCTAATTTTTGTATTTTTAGTAGAGACGGGGTTTCACCATCTTGGCCAGGCTGGTCTTGAACTCCTGACCCCGTGATCCACCTGCCTCGGCCTCCCAAAGTACTGGGATTATACGCATGAACCACCGTGCCCAGCCGTCATTCTTATATTATTATTTCCTAGTTGTCTTTCCTGAAGACTATCTTCCAGTCTGAAAATGGACATGATGTATCCACAGATGTACAGCAGAGAGCCAGGAGGTCCAACCGCCGTAGACAGGAAGGTATGGCTCTGTTGGAGTCCCCATAGTGTGGAAATGAGTTTGCCCTGGAAAGGGAAAGAACAGCTTCTTGCCCTCAGGTTTCTCACCTTCTCCTCTCCTCACTCTCACCAAGGGCTGAGGTCCATTTGTATGCACACAAAGAAAAGAGTTTCTTCCTTTCCAGGAAATAAAATTGGCCTGAAAGACGTCATTACTCTACGGAGACATGTGGAAACAAAAGGTAGAGCTAAAATCCGTAAGATGAAGGTGACAACGAAAATCAACCATCATGACAAAATCAATGGAAAGAGGAAGACCGCCAAAAAACAGTAAGATGTGCCTTGACACAAATATTGTTGTATGAACCATGTGCCAATCAAAGTAGACAACTGTAAAGTCCTTGAGAATATTTTCTACAATATTTGTGGCAAATTCAGTGGGTTCAAAATTGAGTTTGTCCTTTCTGCTTCATTAGTTTAAGCTGTATAATTCCTTTCCCTTCCTACATTCTTGTTTGTCATTTTTTCAGGGGAAGAGGAGTTGCTAGTACTGGCATTGGTTTTCCTTTCTCTGTCTCTTTTTTTTTTTTTCCTGAGATGGAGCTTTGCTCTTGTTGCCCAGGCTGTAGTGCAATGGCACAATGTCAGCTCACTGCCTTTTGGGTTCAAGCAATTCTCCTGCCTCAGCCTCCCACGTAGCTGGGATTACAGGTGCCCACCACCACGCCCAGCTAATTTTTGTATTTTTACTAGAGATGGGGTTTCACCATGTTGTCCAGGCTGGTCTCGAACTTCTGACCTCAGGTAATCCACCTGCCTCAGCCTCCCAAAGTGCTGGGATTAGAGGCATGAGCCACCACAGCCAGCCTTTTTTTTTTTTTTTAATTTTGAGATAGAGTCTCGCTCTGTCGCCCAGGCTGGAGTGCTATGGTGCAATCTTGGCTCACTGCAACCTCTGCCTCCCAATTTGAAGCAATTCTGCCTCAGCTTCCTGAGTAGCTTGGATTACAGGTGTGTGCCACCACATTTGGCCAATTTTTTTTTTTTTTTTTTTTTTTTTTTTTTTTTTTTGAGACAGAGTCTCACTCTGTCACCCAGGCTAGAGTGCAGTGGCATGATCTTGGCTCACTGCAACCTCCACCTCCCAGGTTCAAGCGATTCTTATCCCACAGCCTCTTGAGTAGCTGGGACTACAGGCATATGCCACCATGCCCGGATAATTTTTGTATTTTTAGTAGAGGCGGGGTTTCACCATATTGGCCAAGCTGGTCTAGAACTCCTGACATCATGATCCGCACACCTCGGCCTCCCAATGTGCTGAGATTACAGGCATGAGCCACCGTTCCCAGCCCAATTTTTGCATTTTTAGTAGAGACAGGGGTTCACCATGTTGGCCAGGCTAGTCTTGAACTCCTGACCTCAGGTGATCTGCCTACCTCAGCCTCCCAGTGTGAGCCACCGCACCCAGCCTGGATTGTTGAATTCAATGCTTGGGTCACCTCCAGATTCATTTTCACAGTCTTTCATGTTTTGGTCATATTACATTGTATTTTGCTGCCATATGACTGATCTTTTTTTGTTAAATGTGAGATACTTGTTAAAAAATATTTAGCAATGAATTGAGGCCTAGTAGCATGTTATCTTGCTGCAGAAGAGATGGGAGTCTACTTCTGGGGGATGGTCAGGGGTCCTCCATACAGGCTGCAATTGAGGTCGTCGGTGCAGGCTCAGTCCCTACAAAGGCCAGGGTATTTCCTGTCCACCTCTATTCTGATGCATGACTCTTCTGGGTCTCAACCAGAGCCAGTGGACTTCAGTATGGGTCGCTTTCATTGGCAGACCCTCAATCCACTTGTTTTCCATCTAATCCCACGCATGTGTGCAAAAGCTGCTGTGCTTCTTTGCATCTCAGTAGTTCCTTCTGGAATTCAGCAATGAAACTCAGGGAAATGGGTTCCAAATGCGAAGCTGACTTTCGTCCTGGGTTTCCTTCTTCTCCATCTTCACCTCTTGTCTGTTTACTGCCATGTTAGCAATTTGATGTATTCAATCATGGGTTTTATATTCTGTTTGGTGTCCCCCATTGTTCTCATCGGAGATCAGAAGCTTCAGATGCACTTATGTCAACTCAAGAGTAGAATGCTTCCTTAGCTTCCCTCCAGAGTCAGGTTTTGTGTTTCTAGTTCCCAAGTGCACAGCAGGAGTAGTGATGTCCTCACTGGCTTCTCATTTGCATTAAGCTGTGAGCTTCTTTAGCGTGGGGACAGGACCCTGCTCCCATTGCATTCTCAGCACCTCACCACACACACCTTGTTTGAGGCCACTCCAGACAGCATGTGCTGAAGGATGCCTTGTGGTCAGAAACAAGTTCATTAACTTTCTCTTTGAAGTGTTTTCGCCCCTGTTTCCTAGCGTTCTGGGAATTTTACACATCCTTCCTATAAAACCAAGTATCAGGTGAGATCCTTAGGATCAGGACCATGAATCAAGTGGTGTGAGGGCAACACAGCAAACTTACCCTTTTTAGGCCGTTTCCTTTTTCTGCCCTCAATCTCTGTGAACTGAACCTTGTTAAAGTCAGTCAACACCAGGGTGGATGGTTTGCCGTTGTCACCTATTTTCAGGACATAACACCCTGACTTAGGAGCCATTCCGATCATTTCTAATTCAATAGATGCGCCCAGCATTCAGATTGCCTTTTCTCTCAACCAGGATCTTTAAAGTCGATGACAAAAGTTCCAGTCCTGAATCATGGCAAAGTGCAGTAGTGAACTGCGGGGTTATTCTGGAAGGATCTCTCTATGGCTGATGGTCTCAGTTCCGGCATCAGCCTCTGACTGAGAATCAGGTCTCACACAGGAGGAGTCAGATGAGGAGCAATCCTCTGCTTCCGATGGAGTTAGTTGTGATGAATTGGTGAGGTCTGGTTTTTCACACTGAACTAAAATGAGCTTTCGCTGTGTCAAGCACAAGACTGACCCCAGAGACACACATAGTGCACCTCATAGAAGCTTTTAATAGTCTTTATATTTACTAAAGAATAGGACTAACTATGGAACTATGAAGATGAGCTGGAAATGACAGGTGACTTGCCAGCAGGCCAGAGTGTGACTTTTTTTTGTCCCTCAATGGGAGGTGTCAATTCTCCCTTCGGTTGTGAGAATCAGTTGGTTCATTTGTGGGAAGGTTGCAGGGGGGATCTTTGAATCACAGCCTTCAGATGCCAGAAGGGCAGAGGGAATCCCACACGGGCTGGTGGATCATGTGTGTGCATTTCTCTCCCTTCTAATCTGAGGAAACTAAGCGTGAAAGAATGTGAGCATGCAGAAAAGGAGAGGCAGGTGTCAGAGGCAGAGGAAAATGGGAAATTGGATATGAAAGAAATACACACCTACATGTGAGTTCAGAAACTGAACCCCACCCTCTTGGGAAACGCCCATTGGAGTGTTGTTTTTAACCTTTGTACAATGTTTAGACCCAGTAAATGCAGAAATAGAAACAAATGGTCAGAAGACATATCGTGAGAGAGAGAGAGAGTTCACAAAACAGAAAACAAAGTACCTTAATATTTACCAGTGACCAAAAGATGTGAAGTAGCAAAACGGCTCCTGACCCCATTGCCAGCTAGACTGTGTGGAAACTCGGTTCATACCAGCCATTCTAGGGGTGGGGTGAGTTGTTGTCATCCTTAGGAAAGTGTGTTGTTGTAGGATCAACCACATCCTTCAAAAGGACTATGCCTGTTTATAAGCCCAGCTGTTTCTGCCCTGTGAAACACGGTAAAGATATTAATACAAAGAGAATACAGCTTTATGATAAAAGATGCTCAATGAAGGATGAATTAGGGATGTACTGAGAATGGGGAAGGAAACTATCATCTCAGAAGTCAGCAGGCAGTAAGCAAGAGGAGGAATCAATACAGCAACAGTTTGGATCAGACTGTACAGTTTTTTGTTTTTGTTTTTCTGAGATGGAGTCTTGCTGTGTCACCCAGGCTGGAGTGCAATGACGTGATCTTGGCTCACTGCAACCTCCGCCTCCCAGGTTCAAGTGATTCCCCTGCCTCAGCCTCCCGAGTAGCTGGGATTACAGGTGCCTGCCACCACGCCTGGCTAATTTTTTGTATTTTTAGTAGAGACGGGGTTTCACCGTATTAGCCAGGATGGTCTCAATCTCCTGACCTCGTGATCCATCCGCCCCGCCCTCCCAGAGTGCTGGGATTACAGGCGTCAGCCACCGTGACCGGCTCAGACTGTACTCTTATAGCCATCTGAAATACGTTTTCTAGGTAGAGATAGATTGTGTAAGGGTACAGTTGTGAGGATAACAGAAACATGGCAGATTATTTAAAATCATCCTGAAAGTGGTGCTTTATCTGATGAAAGTGATTGTAATCCATAGGAAAATGTTTCAACGTGCGCAAGAGTTGCGGCGGCGGGCAGAGGACTACCACAAATGCAAAGTAAGGAGCTTCCTCCCTGCAGTTGCAGGATAGTTCAGTGCTGATGCAGATGATGCCACGGCCCTTAGACTCTCTCAACATTCAATTTCTCATGTGTTGGCTTTTTCAGATCCCCCCTTCTGCAAGAAAGGCTCTTTGCAACTGGGTAAGTTTGCTTGTTTTCCTTGCTTTTGGACATAGTCTGCCAGGTCAGGACATGGATACATTTTTCTCCCTACAGCTCTGTGCTCAAGCCCTGCAGAGGGAGATGGCAGAGAGAAAGGCTGCCTACAAGCATCACAGTCCCATCCCTGTTGGTAACCGTGTTGCGCAAAAACACCTTCATCCCCACCCAGTGGGGCCCCTGATCTAATATTCTAAGTGTCAGAGGTTCCGTATTTGTAATAGCAGATGGGCCCTGACTGTAAACTAGTGAAGAGTGAATGTAACTTATTACCCACAGGGACAATTCCAAATGAAGGCCTTAAATGATGCTCAGCTAAGCTGGTTCTTGTGTGGCCTCTGTACCTTCAAAAGCTGCCGAGTCCTATGATTACACGTGATGGGACTTGTACACTTGAAGTGAAACACAGTTTTAAAACTTGCTTTGTTTAGAATTCCCACCTCATTTTTCCATGGACAAAAGTATTCTTTATGTCCTAGTGCACTTACAATTTGGTATTACCTGGGAGTGAAAAGAAATATTACAGCCATGCCTAACTGACTTCTTGAGGTGAGATTGTTCTGTCAGAAAACCCTCTCCCAGTTCCCCTGCAGCTCTTCAGGAATCCACATCTCTCCAGAGCTCTTTGTTCTCATGGGTGGCACCTCCAGAGTGAAGAAGATCCTTTGTCAAGAAGGGAAACAGAGGGGAAATGAGAGGGTCCTGCAGGCAGAGCTGGAATCAACTTCCACTCTGCCTCTTGCAAGCTGTGTGACCCTGGGCACAATTTCTCCTTCCTCTGGAAACCTCTGTTTTCTTAGATTTGGAGCAGGGTGGTCACACTGACCTTGCAGAGTTCTGAGAATCAGAGACAGAACATAAAAGGCCTGGAAAACATTCTCCAAAAAGAAGCTGCAACATGTGTGGACAATGGGCTTTTCATGCCTCTCTTACTGTCTCTTACTGTCTGTTGACCTGGTGCAAGAAACATGCTCTGGTGATGGCTGTGAGGGAGGAATGAGGATAGACATAGACACTCCTGTGTCTCAAACATGCTTCTTTATTACTCTGTTATGACTCTGTCTTCCCTGGGGCAGGACCCCAGCCTGCCTACATTTGCAGACAGACACAGTGGCATGTGGAGACAACAGTGTGTCCCAGTGACTTTTCTTTACCCTCCAGCTGTTGGCAGTACTCAGTGGAAGGGTGATATTATGACACTGATACTGCTATTTTGAAACCTGGAGGATGGAAAGGTGCAAAAATCTATCACCAGCAACAGAAGGTGCAGACTGTGTTGGTGGCGGTAATTTTGTCCATCAAATGAATATGTGTGAAAACATTCCCTCCTTTGGCCCTACAGGTCAGAATGGCGGCAGCGGAGCATCGTCATTCTTCAGGATTGCCCTACTGGCCCTACCTCACAGCTGAAACTTTAAAAAACAGGATGGGCCACCAGCCACCTCCTCCAACTCAACAACATTCTATAACTGATAACTCCCTGAGCCTCAAGACACCTCCCGAGTGTCTGCTCACTCCCCTTCCACCCTCAGCGGATGATAATCTCAAGACACCTCCCGAGTGTCTGCTCACTCCCCTTCCACCCTCAGCTCCACCCTCAGCGGATGATAATCTCAAGACACCTCCCTTAGCTACTCAGGAGGCTGAGGCAGAAAAACCACCCAAACCCAAGAGGTGGAGAGCGGCTGAGATGGAATCACCACCCGAACCCAAGAGGCGGAGGGCCGCTGAGGTGGAATCACCACCCGAACCCAAGAGGCGGAGGGCCGCTGAGGTGGAACCATCATCACCCGAGCCCAAGAGGCGGAGGTTGAGTAAGCTGAGAACAGGCCATTGCACTCAAGCCTGAGCAATAAGAATAAAACTGAGTAGAACAAAATAAAAAAATCAAAAAACAAAACAAAACCCACACTCCAAAAACAAACTAACAAAGAATAAATAAATAATATAAAAATAAAATAAATACTGCAGTCCTTATGTTATTGCTTTGTTTTGATATCTGGTATGATTGCCTGAGGGACCTGAGGTTGTTAATCATAGGGGGTTTTTTTAATCTTTAGAAGTGGTTGGTTATGTAAAATATTATTTTTTTTTTTTTTTTTGAGACTGGATTTTGCTGTGTCACCCAGGCTGGAGTGCAGTGGCTCGATCACAGCTCACTGCAGCCTCAACCTCCTGGGCTTTAAGCAATCCTCCTGCCTCAGCCTCCCAAGTAGCTGGGATCACAGATGTGTGCCACCACGCCTGGCCAATGTTAAAAAATCCTTTAACTTTTTTGTAGAGATGCACTCCTGGACTCAAGCGATCCTCCTACTTGTCCCGACCACCAGCCCCTTTCTGATAAACATTTACACTGTTTATTATCTGATGCCATTTCTATCTTCTTCCTTGTCGTCCAGACATCAAAGAATTAGGTTTCTTCAGGGTTTTCTTTTTCAAGTGCTCAGTGTTAAAGATCACTCACATTAGGGCCAGACACCACGGCTCATGCCTGTAATCCCAGCACTTTGGGAGGCCGAGGCGGGCAGAGCACTTGAGGTGGGGAGTTTGAGACCAGCCCGGCCAACTTGGTGAAACCCCACCTCTACTGAAAAAATACAAAAATTAGCTGGGCGTGATGGTGCATGCCTGTAGTCCTAGCCACTTGGGAGGCTGAGGCATGAGAATCGCTTGAACCCAGGAGGCAGAGGTTGTAGTGAGCCAAGATCACATCAGCACACTCTAGCCTGGGTGACAGAGCGAGACTGACTCAAAAAATAAATAAAATAAATATCACTTACATTAGATATACCCAAGGGGTGGTCTATGGAGACTTGGAGGCAGTGGTTATTGCAACAGGGGCACGGAAGTCATCTGGCTATGCCAGGGTGCCCAGGGGATACTCGGGGTGGGTGGCATGGTGCTGCTGGGGACTCACCGCACAGGACGCTCTGATTGACGCACTGCCAGGAGTAGCGCTCTGTCTTGGGGCTGCAGCCGGCCTCCTCAGCTCGAGTGTAACAACAGTCGTGGCCATGGCAGCACCTGCGGATGTCACATGGGCAGGACAGCAGGTGGGTGAAGCTCTCTCCTGGCCCTCCTCTCTTGCCAGGACCATGGGTGACTGAAGACCCCCAGGGAGGCACAGCATCCTCTTATCTAAGTTTTTTTTTTTTTTTTTTTAAGAGACAGGGTCTTTCTCTGTCGCCCAGGCTGTACTGCAGAGGCACAATCATAGCTCACGGCAGCCTTGAACTCCTGGGCTCAAGCGATCCTCCCACTTCAGTGTCCCAAGTAGCTGAGACTACAGGCACACGCCAGCATGCCCGGCTGGTTTTTTAATTTGTATTTCCTTTGAGACAGCATATCTCTCTGTTGCTCAGGCTGGAGTGCAATGGCTCAATCAGCTCACTTTAGCCTTGAACTCCTGGGCTCAAGTGATACTGCCACCTCAACCTCCCAAGTCTGCTACTACAGGAACACAAACTCCTTTTTTAAATTTTTTGTGGATATGGGGTCTCACTATGTTGCCTAGGCTGGTCTCGAACTCCCAGGCTCAAGCAGTCCTCCTACCTCAGCCTCCCCAAATGCTGGGATTACAGGTGGGAGCTACTGTACACCTGGCCTTATCTAAGCTGTTTCCCTGAAAATCCCCGTCTTGGGTAATGATTCCATTGGCCCCACCATGCCCTGTCCTGCCTTCCTGGCTGTGCCCAAGCTTGGTCCCTGCCTGCCTGCCTGCCTCCCTCTCTGGGTCTCGAGCTCCTGTGACACATGACTCCTCTCTCTTCCTGGAGTGATCCAAGCCCTGCCACTTCCTGACTTTGCCCACACTGTACCCTCTGCCTGGGGCAACTTCATGTCTGCCCATTGTCCCTTAGGCCTCAGCCCAGGCACAAGCCCCTGCCTCCGGAGGTCATCCAGGCCTCACCAGGCTACACCCTCTCGTAAAATTGGATTCCCTCCCTTCATGGCAGGTTTATAATGAAATCCTCCTCAGAGGCCAGGTGCGGTGACACCCATCTGTAATCCCAGCACTTTGGGAGGCTGAGGTGGGAGGATCACTTGAGGCCAGGGGGTCGAGACCAGCCTGGGCAACATAAGAGAGACTCTTGTCTCTATAACAAATTTAAAAATTAGCTCACCAGGCCAGGCTCAGTGGCTCATGCCTGTAATCCCAACACTTTGAGAGGCCGAGGCAGGTGGATCACGAGGTCAGGAGTTCGAGAGCAGCCTGACCAACATGGCGAAACCCTGTCTCTACTAAAAATACAAAATTAGCCAGGCATGGTGGCACACACCTCTAATCCCAGCTACTCGGGAGGCTGAGGCAGGAGAATCGCTTGAACCCAGGAGGTGGAGGTTGCGGTGAGCCAAGATCACGCCATTGCAGTCCAGCCTGAGCAACAGAGCAAGACTCTCTCTCGAGACAATAAAAACACACAAAAAATTAACTCGCCATGATGGCACATGCCTATAGTCCTAGCTACTTGGGAGGCTGAGGTGGGAGGATCACTTGAGGCCAGGGGGTCGAGACCAGCCTGGGCAACATAAGGAGACTCTTGTCTCTCTTGTCTCTATAACAAATATAAAAATTGGCTCACCAGACCAGGCTCAGTGGTTCATGCCTGTAATCCCAACACTTTGAGAGGCCGAGGCAGGCAGATCACCTGAGGTCAGGAGTTCGAGACCAGCCTGGTCAACATGGTGAAACCCCATCTCTACTAAAAGTACAAAAATGAGCCGGGCTTGGTGGCGTGCACCTGTAATGCCAGCTACTCAGGAGGCTGAGACAGGAGAATCACTTGAACCCGGGAGGTGGAGGTTGCAGTGAGCTGAGATTGTGCCACTGCACTCCAGCCTGGGCGACAGAGTGAGACGCCATCTCAAAAGAAAAAAGATTGTTTTATTTCTCATTTATTTATTTAAATAAAAAAATTGTTTATTTAAAACATGAAAGAAGGTGTTGAGGCATTGGCAATTGGCAATCGGCCAGGCGCAGTGGCTCACGCCTGTAATCCCAGTACTTTGGGAAGCTAGGGTGGGCGGATGGCTTGACCTAGGAGTTAGAGATCAGCGAACATGGCAAAATCCCATCTCTACAAAAAATACAAAAAAACTAGCCAGGTGTGGTAGCTCGTGCCTGTAATCCCAGCTACTCGGGGGGCTGAAGTGGGAGGATTGCTTGAGCTTAGGAGGTGGAGGTTGCAGTGAGTCAAGTTCATGCCACTGCACTGCAGCCTGCATGACAGAGCAGCACCCTGTTTCAGAAAAAGAAAAAAAAAAGGCAATCTTGAGATTCCAGGTAAGTTTGTGAGTGATGGTGATTCTTTTTACTGTTCTATATTTATACTGTTGTATATTTATAAAATTGTATATATATATTTTTTTTTTGAGATGGAGTCTCACTCTATTGCCCAGGCTGGAGTGCAGTGATGCAATCTTGGCTCACTGCAACCTCCACCTCCCAGGTTCAAGCGATTCTCCCGCCTCAGCCTCCCTAGTAGCTGGGGCTACAGGTGCGTGCCACCACACCCGGCTAATTTTTTGTATTTTTTTGGTAGAGACGGGGTTTCACTGTGTTAGCCAGGATGGTCTCGATCTCCTGACCTCGTGATCTGCCTGCCTCAGCCTCCCAAAGTGCTGGGATTACAGGCGTGAGCCACTGCTCCCGGACAAAATTATATTTTTTATTTTTTAATTTATCTTTTGTAGAGACAGGGTTTTGCTATATTGCCCAGGCTGGTCTTGAACTCCTGGCCTCAAGCACTCCTCCTGCCTCAGTTTCCCAGAGTGTTGCAATTACAGGCATGAGCCACCATACCCAGCCTTAAATTCTCAAAGCTGAAAAAAATTCCCCCTTTCCCAACTGTACTCCTGCCCCAAACAAATTGAATCAAGGAAGACAGAAAAAATATTTTGGTAAAGACTTGGGAACCCAGGCTGAAGTCTGAAAGTCTGAATAATTTCACATGGGATCTTTTTTTTTTTTTTTTTTCTGAGACAGGGTCTTGCTCTGTCATCCAAGCTAGAGTGCAGTGGTATGAACAGGGCTGCTGCAGCCTCAGCCTCCTGTACTCAAGCGATCCTCCCACCTCCGCCTCCTGAGTAGTTGGGACTACGGGCATAAGCCGTTGCACCCTGCGTTAACTTTTTACTTTGAAATAATTACAGACTCACGAAAAGTTGCAGAAATGGTAGAGAGGTCCCAAGTACCCTTCACCTAGCTTCTCCCAACAGTAAAATCTACCATAACTATAGTACACTATCAAAATTCAGGACATTGACATTAAGACAGCACAACTAACTAGACTACACACTTTACTGTGATCTCACTTGTTTAACCTTTTATTTTTGACTTCTTTAAGTTACAAAAGCAATTTGTCCATCAACGGATAAACAAATTGTGGTAAAATCCATACAATAAAATATTAGTCAGCCATTAAAAGGGAGTAAGTGGCCGGGCGGGGTGGCTCACACCTGTAATCCCAACACTCTGGGAGGCCAAGGCAGGCAGATCACAAGGTCAGGAGTTCGAGACCAGCCTGGCCAACATAGGGAAACCCCCTCTCTACTAAAAATACAAAAATTAGCCAGGTATGGTGGCTCATGCCTGTAGTCCCAGCTACTCGGGAGGCTGAGGCAGGAGAATCTCTTGAATCCGGGAAGCAGAGGTTGTGGTGAGCCAAGGTCGCACCACTGCACAGCAGCCTGGGCGACAGAGCGAGACTCTGTTTCAAAAAAAAAAAAATGGGATGAAGTACTGATGCCTGCTTCAACATGGATGAACCTTGAAAACATTATGCTAAGTGAAAGAAGCCTGCCAAAAAAGGTCATAGTGCTATTGTGATATAGTAAGAGATATATACTTGGGCTCTGCCCCCAGTTTCTGGCACAGAGGTTCTAAAACTCTTGACATTTCCTGAGCAATAGAGGTGCTAGGTGCATCATTTGTTCTAATATTTGGTATTTGACCCGGGTTCCTGACACAGAGCTCCTAATCCCTTGGCATTTCCTAGGTGAAAGGAGTGTCTTTTGTTCTAATCATACAACTCTTTTTTTGTGTGTGTGTGATGTAGTCTCACTCTTGTTGCCCAGGCTGGAGTGCAGTGGCACGATCTCGGCTCACTGCAACCTCCACCTCCCGGGTTCAAGTGATTCTCCTGCCTCAGCCTCCCAAGTAGCTGGGATTACAGGTAGGTGCCACTATGCCCCGCTGATTTTTTTTTTTTTTTTTTTTTTGAGACAGGGTCTCACTCTGTCGCCCAGGCTGGAGTGCAGTGGAATGATCTTGGCTCACTGCAACCTCCACCTCCCAGGTTCAAGTGATTCTTGTGCCTCAACCTCCTGAGTAGCTGGGGTTACAGGTGTGCATCACCATGGCTGTCTAATTTTTTTGTATTTTTAGTAGAGACAGGGTTTCACCATGTTGGCCAGGCTGGTCTCAGACTGCTGACCTCAAGTGATCCGCCCGCCTCGGCCTCCCGAAGTGCTGGGATTACAGGTGAGAGCCACTGTGCCCGGCCTAATTTTTGTACTTTTAGGAGAGACGGGGTTTCACCATGTTGGCCAGGCTGGTCTCGAACTCCCGACCTCAGGTGATCCCCTCTCCTCAACCTTCCAAAGCGCTGGGATTACAGGCATGAGCCACAGCGCCCAGCTGGCTATTATATCTTTAACACATCTCCAAGCTTTCCTCATCCGCATTTTGAACAGGGAGGGCTTCAGCAGGTAATAGCATCTGGCCTACATGTATTTTGTTTCTTTTGTATATGTTTTGTTTTGGTTTTTGTTTCTGTTTTTTTTTTTTTTTTTTTTTTTTTTTGACACGAAATCTCACTCTGTTACTCAGGCTGGAGCGCTGTGGGGTGATGTCAACTTACTGCAAACTCCATCTCCCAGGTTCAAGCGATTCTCCTGCCTCAGCCTTCCAAGTAGCTGGGATTACAGGCGTGTGCCACCACGCCCAGCTAATTTTTGTATTTTTAGTAGAGACAGGGTTTTGCCATGTTGACCAGGCTGTTCTCGAACTCCTGACCTCAGGTGATCTGCCTGCCTCGGCCTCCCAAAGTGCTGGGCATCAGCCACCGCACCCTGCCTAATGATGCAACTCTTGATGGGCTCCTAGAAGACGACTGGTCACCAGAAAGGCCAAGTCATGATTAGAAGCTTGGAACTTTTAGCCCCACATCCAACCTCTCGGTGGGCAGAGGGGCTGAAGGTTGAGTTAATCAGCAACGGGCAATGATACAATCAGTCATGGCTATGTAGGGAAGCCTCCATAGAAACCCAGAAGGACAGGGTTCAGAGAGCTTCTGGGTTGCTGAACACGTGGAGGACCCTTGAGGATGGCACACCTGGAGACAGAATAGGAACTGTATGCCCCTTCCCAGCCCTGTGCATCTCTTCCACGTGGCTGTTCCTCTGTATCCTTTGTAATGTCCTTTATGGGTAACTGTAAGTAAAGTGTTTCCTTGAGTTCTTTTTTTTGAGACGGAGTCTTGCTCTGTTGCCCAGGCTAGAGTGTGGTGGAGCACTTGGCTCACTACAACCTCTGCCTCCCATGTTCGAGCGATTCTCCTGCCTTCAGCTTCCTGAGTAGCTGGGAATACAGGCACCCACCACCACAACCGGCTAATTTTTGTATTTTTTTGGTAGAGACAGGGTTTCACCATGTTGGCCAGGCTGGTCTCAAACTCCTGACCTCAGGTGATTCGCCTGCCTCGGCCTCCCAAAGTGCTGGGATTACAGGCATGAGCCACCGTGTTTGCCCTGTTTCCTTGAGTTCTGTGAGCCACTCTGGCAAATTCCCTGAACCCATGGAGGGGGTCATGGGAACCCCCAATTCATAGCCAGTTGGTCAGAAGCACAGGTCACAATGTGGAACCTGTTATTGGCATTGGAAGTGGGGGCAGTCTTGTGGGACTGATCCCTTAACTTGTGGGATCTGTCCTAACTCTGGTTAATGTCAGAATTGAGTGAAATGATTGCTTATCCTGTTGGTGTCTGTTGAAGAATTGGTTGGTGGTGGGTAGAAACTCCCTCACTTACTGGTGGAGTACAACTGGCCCTTAAACAATGTGAGCCTGAACTGCGAGGGTCCCACTTACACATGGATTTTTTTTTTCAATCAAATGAGGATCAAAAAGACGGGATTCTCAGGATGCAGGAACTCAAGTGTAGGGAGGGCTGACCTTTCATACACACAGTATAGATTGTGGGATTTTAGTATGGTTGGATTTTTGTATCTGAAGGGCTCCTGGAACTAATCCCCTTCCTCTACCCAGAGAGGACTGTACTCTGTGTTGAGCGGTGACTTGTGTGTGAGAGTAGGAAAAACTCTGATTTTTCCTAAGTTTTCTAAATTATTAGTCCTGGGGTGGGGTGTGGTGGCTCATGCCTGTAATCCTAGCACGTTGGGAGGCTGAGGCAGGAGGATCACTTGAGGTCAGTAGTTCCAGATCAGCCTGGGCAATATGGTGAAACCCTGTCTCTACTAAAAATAGAAAAATTACCAGGGGGTTGGGGAGGGGGGGTGGCGGGCACCTATAATCCCAGCTACTCAGGAGGCTGAGGCAGGAGAATTGCTTGAACTTGGGAGGTAGAGGTTGCAGTGCGTGAAGATTGCTCCACTGCACTCCAGCCTGGGCAACAGAGCAAGACTCCATCTCAAAAAATAAAATTAAATTAAATTAAAATAGCTAAGTGCGGTGGCTCACATCTGTAATCCTAGCACTTTAGGAGCCCAAGGCAGGCAGATCACTTGAGATCAGGAGTTTGAAACCAGCCTGGCCAACAAGGTGAAACCCTGTCTCTACTAAAAAAAAATACAGGCCAGGCGTGGTGGCTCACGCCTGTAATCCCAACAGTTTGGGAGGCCAAGGAGGGCAGATCACAAGGTCAAGAAATTGAGACCATCCTGGCCAACATGGTGAAACCCCGTCTCTGTTAAAAATACAAAAATTAGCTGGGCGTGGTGGTGCACACCTGTAATCCCAGCTACTCAGGAGGCTGAGGTGGGAGAATCGCTTGAACCTGGGAGGTGGAAGTTGCAGTGAGCTGAGATCATACCACTGCACTCTAGCCTGGGCGACAGAGCGAGACTCTGTCTCAAGAGTCTCAAGTTATTTAAAAAATAAATAAATAAATAAAATTATTAGCCCTATGTGTCAGCAGTCTTAAATGAGTATCAAAGGACAGTATCATCCCAGCTAAATTGATTAAGCACCTTTTATACACCGGGCATTACACTAGGCAGTGGAAATGTAAAGAAGATTAAGGTAAGACCCTGCCCTCAAGTCGCACAACTTACACACAACTTAGCACAACTAACAAGAAAGACTTTTCCCTTTTCCGCTGGAGCTCTGTTTGGCAGGTCAAAGCTTTGGAAAACCAATGGAGTGGATTTTTTCCTGAATATCCATAATTATCCTATTCAGAGACAAGGAAATTAATGACATCAACTGCTTTTCTAAGCAGCAGTCTGAGCAGTTTCTGCCTTTGTCCCTAGAAAAAGTACCAGGCAGAAGGAAACTCTGCTAATTCAATTAGATGTGAAGAACTAACCTATGAGAAAGTGATCATTCAGTGCTGTAGGAGTGCTACATGGAGGAGAGTAGTATTCAAAGACAAAATGCTTAGAGAAGGATGTGTAGTTCATTATTTGAGTCAGCTGATTGTGTTGACATTTTCTTAGGGGTGGGTGGGTGGGGAGTGAAAATCTGGAAAGAGAAGGCATTTCATTTAGAACACATTGTATTTTTTCTTGTGAATATAAGATGAAAATCTTTTATTCAATAGCAATACAGGTCTCGCATAAATGAAGTTCTAATTTTCATAACAGTTGTTAAGTTCTCTGTAAATCTGACAGTCACTTAATACCAACTTTAAAATGGACATTGTTAAGTATGATTCAGTGAGGTCTTCAGGTATAATAATAGGCTATAACCAAAACTTCCTATTAAGCAGAGGCAAACTCTGCCGGGTGTGGTGGCTCACACCGATAAGCCCAGCACTTTGGGAAGCTGAGGCAGGTGGATCGCTTTTTTTGTTTGTTTTTTGAGACAGAGTCTCGCTTTGTCGCTCAAGCTGGAGTGCAGTGGCGCGATCTCGGCTCACTGCAGGCTCCGCCTCCTGGTTTCACGCCATTCTCCTGCCTCAGCCTCCTGAGTAGCTGGCAATACAGACGCCCGCACACCACGCCCGGCTAATTTTTTGTATTTTCAGTAGAGACAGGGTTTCACCGTGTTAGCCAGGATGGTCTCAATCTCCTGATCTCGTGATCCGCCCACCTTGGCCTCCCAAAGTGCTGGGATTACAGGCGTGAGCCACCGCGCCCGGCCTAACTTGTATTTTTAGTAGAGACGGGGGTTCCACCACGTTGGCCAGGCTGGTCTCGAACTCCTGACCTCACGTGATCCATCTGCCTCGGCCTCCCAAATTGCTGAGATTACAGGTGTGAGCCACTGCGCCTGGCCGGTATGTGTTTTTTTAATCCCTAAAGCTTGGTAGTTTAATATTAAATTCAAATTACTGTAGCCTAGGACTCTTTTGAAAAATACTTGACAGCTTCGTTTTTGACCTATCTCATTAGGCTGAGTTCTCTTTTATCTTTACAATACAGATGTTTAAAATTAAAATACAGATCGGCCGGGCGCGGTGGCTCACGCCTGTAATCCCAGCACTTTGGGAGGCCGAGACGAGCGGATCACGAGGTCAGGAGATCCAGACCATCCTGTCTAACACGGTGTAAACCTCGTCTCTAATAACAATACAAAAAAAATTAGCCGGGCGTGATGGCGGGCGCCTCTAGTCCCAGCTACTCCGGAGACTGAGGCAGGAGAATGTTGTGAACCCGGGAGGCGGGCTTGCAGCGAGCCGACATCGCGCCACTGCACTCCAGCCTGGGCTACAGAGCAAGACTCCGTCTCAAAAAAAAGAAAAAAGAAAATTAAAATACAGATCTAGATCTGGATTTTGTTAGGTTTTTTTTTTTTTTAACAACCTAAGGTTGTTCAGAAACATCTATTCTATGTATGTGCTTCTTTAGTCTGTAATTTCTAGGCAGATTAGTTGCACCCTGTCTAGACTCCTTTCAGAAAAATACTAACAATATGTTTTTCTCTGTCTTGGGCTCCACATGGGTGAATTACAGGAAAGCTTAACAGGTACTCAGAGCAACATTTTTTCCTACTTCATGAAGGGCCTAAATGCGAACTCTTAAGTATTTCTCGTTTGCTTTTGTTCTTTTCCCAGGTTTACCTAATCTGTAAGTGTAAGATGCAGTCGATGAAAAGTACTATGGGAATTCTTGAGCAAATCAGACCATTCAAAAGGAAACCACTTCACGTAATGGTGCATAAGGAAGCTAGACTCACCAAAATAACCCTGTTAGGTAAGCCGGATACACCATGGAATACGGCAATCCTCTGTTTAATTTGCAAACCCTTTGGCGGGGAGGAGGAAAGGATGGAAAAATTTGGGTGAAGGCTTTATATGACTAGTCAAACAAACGGTGAGTCATTGAAATTTTCCAGTTAACAATCCCTTCTGCCTGGGCAGAGCCTGGGCCCCAGCGCTTTATGAGCCACACTGCAGTTTTAAGCCGGAATATCTCACGGTTTTATTGTTTCTTCCACGAAATGATTACATAAAATGAAATCAGCTTTGCAATCTGCACCGGCTTTGAAATGAAGGGCAAAATCTGGCTGGGGGTGAGGAGAAAGAAGGTGGAGAGAGAATAAGGTACGGAGACTGTGAGGCAGAGAACGCAGGAAAGGTGGTGAAAAGAGAGTACAAGAATTTTCGGGAGCTGAGTGTATTTTTCTTCCCCATGTTATAGATGCTGTCCGTTTTCCCCCAGCCTGTGTCCAGCAGGCCAGAGTGGACCCCTCCTATGGGCTAAAATACTCTCGGTCTTCGGCCCAGCACAGAGCTGCACCAACCAGGGCCTGCCGCTGCCCCCCCACCAGGTGACAGGTGGGGCCGCCGAGCGGCCACCAGACCTCCGCCTCCTCGCGTTGCCTGCCGGGAGCCGGAGCCGCTTCCGGTTGCGCCCTGTCCCTGAACTTCGACTCCCGTCGGCCCCCGGGAAAACCGCAGCGGGGTAGCGCGGGCGCTGCCGGAACTTGTAGTTCCACCTCCCGCCGCGCTAAATAGCCGGAAACGGGGGCGGCCAGAACAGAGAACTACCGAGGCGAAGGTACGGGTGGCGGCGAGGGGTCAATCCGCGCCGGGGGTGGGGTTGGCTGTGAGGCCGTCGGAGGTGGTTGGGTGGGAGGAGATCCGCTCACACACACGAGGAGGAGGGTTGAGCTGCCGCCGCCGCCGCCTCTGTCGTCGTCGCGAGTGTGGAGTCGGGACTGGAGCTGCTGCCGCGGCGACGCCGGGGATCTTTGTCGCTAGCTCCCGGCCCTTCTGCCCCGCCGCCTTCCCTCAGTCAGCGTTGCCCACTCCTCTCCGGCCGGGCGCCCCTGCCTCCATTTCCCGCTCTCTGTCCACCACACACACGGCCCCCCCGATCATGGATCCGGGCAGTGGCGGCGGCGGCGGCGGCGGCGGCGGCGGCGGGAGCAGCAGCGGCAGCAGCAGCAGCGACTCGGCGCCTGACTGCTGGGACCAGGCGGACATGGAAGCCCCCGGGCCGGGCCCTTGCGGCGGCGGCGGCTCCCTGGCGGCGGCGGCCGAGGCCCAGCGGGAGAACCTCAGCGCGGCCTTCAGCCGGCAACTCAACGTCAACGCCAAGCCCTTCGTGCCCAACGTCCACGCCGCCGAGTTCGTGCCGTCCTTCCTGCGGGGCCCGGCAGCGCCGCCACCCCCAGTTGGCGGCGCCGCCAATAACCACGGAGCCGGCAGCGGCGCGGGAGGCCGTGCGGGTAAAGGCCCGGGACGCGGGAGGAAGTCCGGCCGGGCGCCGGAGCCCACATGGCGTAGGGGTGCGGTCCGGGGGCGCGCGGCCCTGGGGCCCGGTCGGCACGTGGGGCGCTGACAGTGGCGCCGTCTGCCTGGGTGGGGCGCCCCGAGCCCGGGAGCCGGCCTTCGCGGGGCGGCCCGCGGCGGTGGCCGGGCGGGGAGCGGACAGCGGGCAGCGCGCCCAAAGACCCGGACCCGAGTGCCGCCCCTCCGCGCCCCTGCCCTGCTCTGGAGTCCGCAGTTACCCACTTGAGATGGGAACCGTATGGAACGGAGTGGGGGCCGCGGCGGATCCCTGCCACGAGGCGCAGAATGAGGACAGATGGAGCCAGGAGTCATTTGGGTGGGCGTTTAGAGATCCCAGGAGTTGGGGAGGACGAATGGCCGAGTTTTCCTTTCACCTTAGGCCCAGCCGAGAGAGCGTCTTCTGCTGCGTTTTCTACTATTGAAACTGTAATTACGGTTTAAACTGTCCGTGGCCCCCAACCGTCCTGAAGGAATCCCAAGATGCATTGCAGCCTTGTGATCGGGCAGAAACTTGGCTATCAATACCAAGATCTGTTTTACCCTTAGCATTGTGTACGCTTCTAAAGTTTACAAAGTGCCACAAAGTTAGGATTCCTCACTTAATGTGTGATAGGAGACTATATTGATTTGTGTCTTTTTAAAGTGAAGCTTACACTTTTATCCTTTGTCAGCGACACGTTTAGAGAATTTTCATTGCTGTAAAATCGTTGACCTTATTCAGATTGCTTGGAATAACTCACTGTGTTCGTGCATCAGTAGTTCAGTCTATTTCTTCAGACACTTGAGCATTTGTTATAATTTAATAGTTCTCACGTGTCTTTCTGACCGTAGCTAGTAGACATACATTTTCTAATCCATAAAATTTCGAGTTAACTTTGGTTTTTAAACATCTTCCCGTACTTAGGGGTTGCTTAAGTCGTAGGTAGCATGCTTGCAGGTGCTGACGTTGTAGGAATATCCGGTGAGTGAACTTATGTATTCTCATAATGGTGCTTATTTTGTGGTAGGTAGCTTGCTTTCAGGTACTGATTTTGTGGGAATGTCAAATGAGTGAACTTAAGTATTCTCTTCCTAATGGTGCTTATTTTAGGAACTATCAGTGTTTCCTTAAAGAGAAAATGAAAAAGGAAGGAAAAGGCTGAACGTCCTTTCATCATTTAGCCAGGACGTTAGTGGGGTGGGTCATGACATCCAGCGCATTTTAAGTGAGAACATATTGTTGATTTCTCTCTTTAAAGTTCTGTATTGTGGTGGTTCTTAGATAAGTGGACATTATAAAAGTGCTCCAGGAGTTTGGTTTCTACAGAAACTTTTGTCACCGTTTGCTCTTTCGTGGTAAAGGGATAGTGTCTGGAGAAACACTCTGATGACGTATGTACGTCAGCACGGTTGATTTGGTGGTTTTGTTGACAGTGGCATTTATTTGTGTGGGTGGTTGATGTTTTCTTTTGAGGAGATCGAGCACTTTCAGGGTGGTACGGCTCTAGACAATGTTTTCCTCTTGAATAAGGAAGCTTAGCTTGTAATTCTTGACTTACATCAAGCCATTTTGACTGCCTAACCTAGTTCACTTCTCAGCTCCTAAAAGTGCCCATTCCCTACCTTACTTTGCAGATTCCGTTTATCCAGCCATTTTCTTTCTTGGCTCTTCCTCCTTTCTGTGGAGCCACCAGCACCACTCTGACTAGACTCAGGACTCCATTTACAGCCTGTCCAGCGAGTCATCCGGGGATAACCAACCTTGGTCTAGAATGGTCACTGTTGGTGACTAGGTATTACCTCTTATGCGGGCTTTCTCTCTTCCTGATAGTTGCTAATTTGTAGTTACACCTAATCTTTTTCTCTTTGACAGTGCTAGAAATTGGAGATGCGAAAACCTGTAGGGAAGTAGCTGTCAGTAAGAGAATCCGTACAGCATGGTCAACTTTCTTGTTTTTAATCAAAAAACTATTTTGGTGTTACCGACTTTACCAATTGCTTGTACCAAAATGCCAGTTCATGTTTTTAAAAAATTATCCTATGTAGGATGTCTATTTGGAAAAGAACTGATTTTCTAAGTTGAGGTCCAGGGTTATATTGAGACTGTTGGATTGCATGTTCCAGACTATTAAGTCCATAAAAAGCCAGCATCGGAGAACAATCAGTGCTTATAAAAAGCAGGGGGATAAATAGGAAATAACACCTGGATTGGAACTTACAAAGGGGGAACCAAAAAGTTTGCAAGGTTTTTTTGATAGCGAGGAAGTGGACAATAGGGCTAGCATGTTCTGTTCTTTAGTTAAGCCATAGCCGAAATTTGTGCTGGGTGTGTTTTTAAACTGCATGCCGGGAAAGCTGTTGAAGGAGCCTGGAGAGTCAGACCTTGGGATTCAGTATTGACCTTGGATCTCTTTGAAAACTAAAGAATATAGGTTCCTTAAGAAATAATTAAGTGGAACCCATTTAAGTGTAATTAAGTGTAATTCATTTAAGCACAGTTCTCTAGAGCCAAGTAAATTGGCCAAGAGATTCTCCTTAAAAAGTGAGGTCCCCAAGTGAATAAAAATATAGAAGACAAGGCTTAATGTATATTAGAACAAGCATTTTATCTGATAGGATGTATTTAAGTTGCAATTTGCACCTAGTTTTTTTTATTGTTAGATAAGAAACTGGTTTAGTAATTTTAGGGTTACTTGAACTTTTTAGAACAGCCAGAGCTTCTAAAGTAATGATGTGGTGTTCTTTGCATCATCCCACCTTTAATGCTTCTCAGAACTCACTGCCATTAAGAAACAAGCATGGAATAAAACCAGCAGCCCTCAGTACTTACTTGGAGGAGGCACTGTCTCCAAAACTTAGCAGATTGTATTGTGGAACTTGAATTTTAAAGAGAAACATTCTGTTTTGTAGTGTTCCGTATTTGCTGAATGCCTTATTTATTGGAAGAGGAGGTTTTTTTTTTGTTTTTTTTTTTTTTTGAGACGGAGTCTTGCTCTGTTGCCCAGGCTGGAGTGCAATGGCACGATCTCGGCTGACTACAACCTCCTCCTCCCAGGTTCAAGCAATTCTCCTGCCTCAGCCTCCCGAGTAGCTGGGATTACAGGCACCTGCCATCATGCCCAGCTATTTTGTGTGTGTGTGTTTTTGCAGGGATGGGGTTTCACCATGTTGGCTAGGCTGGTCTTGAACTCTTGACCTCAGGTGATCTGCCCGCCTTGGCCTCCCAAAGTGCCGGGATTACAGGTGTGACCGCGCCTGGCCTTTTTTTTTTTTTTTTTTAAATGATTGACATTTAACTTACACACTGTAAAATTCACCCTTTTCAACTGTACAAGCTGGGCGCATTGGCTCACACTTATAAACCCAACACTCTGGGAGGCTGAGGTGAGAGGATTGCCTGAGGCCTCCATAAAACATAGTGAGACTGAGACCCTGTCTCCACAAAAAAAAAAAAAAAAAAAAAAAAAAAAATACAGCTGGGTGCAGTGGCTCATGCCTGTAATCCCAGCACTTTGGGAGGCCGAGGTGGACGGATCACCTGAGGTCAGGAGTTCGAGACCAGCCTGGCCAACGTGGCGAAACCTGTCTCTATTAAAAATATAAAAATTAGCCAGGCATGGTGGTGCGCGCCCGTAGTCCCAGCTACTGGGGAGGCTGAGGCAGGAGAATCACTTGAATCTGGGAGGCGGAGGTTGCAGTGAGCCGAGATCACACCACTGCACTCTAGCCTGGGCGACATTGACACTCTGTCTCAAAAAAAAAAAAAAAAAAAAATAGCTGGGTGTGGTGGCACAAACCTGTAGTCCCAGCTACTTGGGAGGTTGAGGTGGGAGGATCTCTTGAGCCCAGGAGCTGGAGGCTGCAGTGAGCTATGATGGCACCATTGCACTCAGCCTGGGTGACCAAATGAGACACTGTCCAAAAAGAAAAGTAAAGTGTACATACAGTTCAGTGGCTTTTAATATATTTGTAAGGTTATGCAACCATCACCACTTGGCAGATGCTTTTTAGAATATTCTCAGTTTTAAGCTGGAACATCTCAGAAGTGACCTCTTCAGGGCCACCAGAGTAGAGAGGATTCCAAATCAAAGTAATGGTTGTTTAATCCAGAAAGGCCCTTACACTTTATTAATATGTTAAATTCTATCTGTTGAGGTAGATAATAGGTAAGATTCTGTATTTGAGAATGTGTTTTTGAGACTGAAGTGCCTGCAAGAACAGTGCTCATATAAAGGTGTTTTTAGGCTTCAGTGGGACAGCAGATGGGGTAGAGGAGAGGCCCCACAGTATCCCTGGAGTATCACAGTAGTAAACACTGCCTTTCGTTACTTCTCCTGCCATGGCTGACCTTTTTGTCTCTTGTTTCATGGTTTTACACGTATGAATGGCTTGAGACTGAGGATTTAGGGAAGAAGCGAAGGCATCATCTAGGGCTGTGCTGTGCCAAGTTGAGCAGTTGTTTAAACTGTTAGAATTTTTGACTGGTGTAAAAACCCTCTTTGGAGCAGGTATTACGTAGTGCTGTCAGTACATATCTTATTGCATTCTTCTGTTCTTTATTTTTTACCTTTTCTGAAGTTGCACAGCGTGAAAAGACAGCAATTTCAGTTTGAACAAGTTAAGGAAGTAATGTAGACGACAAAGTTTAAGCCTTGATTTGCTTGCTTTGGTTTGCTGGGGAAGAAATGTCTGAAAGTGTTCAGATAGTATTTTCTTTCTGGTTGAAGAGAAAGGAATGAAAAAGAGATTTGATAACCTTCTGGGTTGAGTTAGCAGTATTGGAATGGAATTTTTTTCCAGAAATGCGAATTTCTGGTTTTGCTCAGATATATGTACTAGCGACTCATTAACAAACATTTACCAGTCCACTGAATGAAAGATGCTATGCTAGGCACTTGAAATAACACCAAGATGAATAAATTGTGGTCCTGAAGGAATCTAGAAAGGGATCAGATGCCCAGTGTACTCTAGTGGAAGTCACAGTGTGGTAAGTGAGCCCTGCAGAGAGTGTAGAGAAGGCTTTCAAAGCCGAGAACAGCAATCCCTTACGTAAAACCTCTCAGTCTTGTCACTCTCATAAAACTAAAGATTTATCTATTATCTGCTCACTGTTCTTTGCGAATGCCTTGTGTGTATTTTTTTTTCTGGCCTCCTGGGCCAGAGTTGCAGCCAAAGCCTGATCACCAAGGTTGTGTGTATTTTAAAAAACTTTTTACTTATTATTTTTTAGAGACGGGATCTTACTTTGTCACCCAAGCTGGAGTATAATTGTGTGATTATAGCTCATCGTAACTTCAAATCCCTGGGCTCAAGTGATCTTTCACCTCAGCTTCCTGAGTAGCTAGGACTATAGGCACCCACCATGACGCCTGGCTAAGTTTTTTTGTTTGTTTTTGTTTTTTGAGATGGAGTTTCGCTCTGTCACAGGCTGGAGTGCAGTGGCCCTAACTCGGCTCACCGTAACCTCTGCCTCCCCAGGTTCAAGCGATTGTTCTGCCTCAGCTTCCCAAGTAGCTGAGATTACAGGTGCCCGCCACCACGCCCAGCTAATTTTTGTATTTTTAGTAGAGATGAGGTTTCACCATGTTGCCCAGGCTGGTCTCGAACTCTTGACCTCAAGTGATCCACCCGTCTCGGCCTCCCAAAATGCTGGGATTACAGGCGAGAGCCACTGTGCCTGGCCAAGTTTTGTATTTTTAAGTTTGTCGAGAGTGCTGAAGGTAGAGCACTGGTTATCTTTTTACAGTACTTGTCTATTTCGTATTAAACAGCAGTGAGTTCAGTTACTATGAGTCTGGCTAGTGTGTCTATTGGGGCATGTTTAGAATTTCATCATTCTACCCTTGGTTTTAAAATATCTTCGGGAGACAAGAATTTGGCTACTAGTTGAAGGATCTGAGGTCCTCAGAACAATCAAGAAAACTGACAGTTTTTAGCTGTTGATTGTTGATTCATTTCAAGGCTTAGAAGTTTCTGCCTTGTTTTCAGTAGAGTTTAACAAAGTGAGCCGAGACTGTAGATTTATATGGCTCCTTCGTAAATGGCTTTGTTCTAAGGAAACCTAGTTGTTACAGTACTCTAAGTTGAACCAGTTTCCCATCATAATTCTACTTTCAAAGAGAGAAGAACACTTAATAAGGCTTTCCCGAGCACCTGACCTAACAGTGGTGACACTCACTTCCAAACCACATTCCCACTAGGTAATTGTATGTCGCTTCACTTGAAAAAAAAAAAGCGCATTCTGCAGAATGTCACTGGGTAATTTCCTGGTTGAATATTTCTGTAGAACTCCAGTATGTTACCATACTACTTGTCCATTGCCTTTAGGTGGTTAATTTTGGTAGCAGAAAAATGTTTCGGTTATTTTTTTATTTTTGACATGGAGTCTCCCTTTGTTGCCCCGGCTGCAGTGCAATGGCGTGATCTCGGCTCACTGCAACCTCCACCTCCCGGGTTCAAGCGATTCTCCTGCCTCAGTCTCCTGAGTAGCTGGGATGACAGGTGCGCACCGCCATGCCTGGCTAATTTTTGTATTTTTTTTTTTTTTTTTTTTTTTTTTTTTTTTTGAGACGGAGTCTCGCTCTGTCGCCCAGGCTGGAGTGCAGTGGCGGGATCTCGGCTCACTGCAAGCTCCGCCTCCCGGGTTCACGCCATTCTCCCGCCTCAGTCTCCCAAGTAGCTGGGACTACAGGCGCCCGCCACTACGCCCGGCTAATTTTTTGTATTTTTAGTAGAGACGGGGTTTCACCGTTTTAGCCGGGATGGTCTCGATCTCCTGACCTCGTGATCCGCCCGCCTCGGCCTCCCAAAGTGCTGGGATTACAGGCGTGAGCCACCGCGCCCGGCCTAATTTTTGTATTTTTAGTAGAGACAGGGTTTCACCATGTTGGCCAGGATGGTCTTGGTGGCTACTGACCTCAAGTGAGCCACCCACCTCGGCCTCCCAAAGTGCTGGGATTACAGGTGTGAGCCACCGCACCCGGCTGTTTCTGTTATTTTTGTACTTTTTTGAGGGTATCTGAAATGGTTTTGGTTTGTGTATTTTAAATGTTATTTAAATGGTTTTTTGTTTCTTTTTTGTTTTTGAGATGAATCTCTCTATGTCGCCCAGGCTGGAGTGCACTGGCACGATCTTGGCTCACTGCAACCTCTGCCTTCCTGGTTCAAGCGATTCTCCTGCCTCAGCCTCCCAGGTAGCTGGGATTACACGTGTGCACCACCATCCCCAGCTAATTTTTGTATTTTTAGTAGAGACGGGGCTTTGCCATGCTGGCCAGGCTGGTCTCGCACTCCTGACCTCAAGTGATCTGCCCACTTCAGCCTCCCAAAGTGCTGGGATTACATGTGTGAGCCACCGCGCCTGGCCTCAAATTGTTTTTGAAGTAGTTAGGTTGTAGCTCATAAGACTGTCTTTCAGGGTTGTTTGAAAAACATAATGGAATTTTAGTTACTCTATGCAAAGTCTGATCAGGTTGATAATGTGGCATTGCTTTTGTGTCCGAATAAAGAGGTTCTTAGAATGTTAGCGCTGGATACGACCCTAGCAGTTGTACAGCCTCTTCATTTTCAGATAAAGGAACTGGAGCCTTAGAAATGCTAAGTAAATGCCTAAGGTCACTCACAGAGTTAATGACACCATTGAGTCTAGAATGCAGATTTGCTACCTGCTAGTTTAGTGCTTGATCTGCCACATCATGCTGTTTAATAACAGGGGGCGGGAAGGGCATGCCTGGAGCTAATTACTACAACTAGCGTGTAGTTTTCTGAGAGTGGCCCTGGCATTTGCCTAATGTTTCATTCTTAAAGGTTTTTGAAATTATTTTGGGGCTTTGAAGTGCTTGCTGTAATAAATTTATTGAGCATTTACCACCCCTTATCAGTTATTTAGTCTTCACAACATTCTCTTGAGGTTAGGTACTGTTGACCCATTTTACAGATGAGAAAATAAAGGCTCAGTAAAGCTAAATAACTTAGGTCAGTCATATCCATGAGAGGAGTGAGGCTTGGAATCGAGGTCATTTCAAAGTTTATTCTAGTAGTGACTGCTAGTGCTTTCCTTGTGATTTTGTATTAAAGTAGACTGAGACTCTCCAGAAACTGGACCTGTGAGCTTGGACCATGGCATTTCTCTGTGTTCTGTCTCAGTAGTAGCAGAATGACATTTGTCATAAGTAGGCAGTGCTCTGATTTAAAGCAATATTTTGAAATTACTTCTTTTTACATTTTAGCAAGTGTTGATGTAAAATACTTTAAAACAGCTCTGTTCACCACTGTCTGTACCGAGCCTTTTTATTTTTAGAGTGTTAGGTAATTAAGGCAAAACCATCCACATTGTTTTATGTGTTCTGTAGACTTCTTTCTGGTGTTTGCTTTTACTGTTTTTCAGTATTGTCTACAGGAGAAAAAAAGAAAAACCTCAGCTTGCAAATTTTTGTTCAGAGATGGGATCGTTCTTTGTTGTTGGAGGGATTTACATTAAAAAAATTCAAGAAATATTGTCTCATGTGATCTTACCAGATAAGTGCCTATTATTAAGACTTGTTGGCTGCTGGATTTATTATCTTAGCCTAATTTTCTTTCTGAGTTAAATGAATCTTGCTTTTTTATCGTTACCACCCTGGCATAATCCAATGGGAATATAGTATGAACCACATAGTTAATTTAAAATTTTCTTTCTTTAATTTTGTTTTTTGAGACAGGGTCTCACATTGTTGCCCAGGCTGGAGTTCATTGGCACAATCATAGCTCACTGTGGCCTCAACCTCCTGGGCTTAAGTGATTCTTCTGCCTCAGCCTCCTAAATAGCTGGGACTACAGTTGTATGCCTCCACGCCTGGCTCATTTTTACATTTTTTTTTGTAGAGACAGAGCATCACTGTGTTGCCCTGGCTGGTCTTGAACTCTTGGCCTCAAGCAACCCTCTTAGCTTGGCCTCCCAAAGTGCTGGGTTTATAGGCGGGAACCACCACAGCTGGCCCAACATCTCCTGAGTGTAGTGTTTCCCTAACCCCTTCTTAGAAAGTTGGCACATTTAAAATTGTTTTCACTCTCTTGAGCCCTAATGGAAATGCAATGAATGTACAGATGGAGGCTAGGGGTCCTGGTCAGAAAAGGGAAGTGAGGCCAGTTGTGGTGGCTCATGCCTGAACCCAGGAGGTGGAGGTTGCAGTGAGCCCAGATTGTGCCACTGCACTCCAGCCTGGGCGACAGAGTGAGACTCCATTTCAAAAAGAAAAAAGAAAAGTGAAAAAATGAAGTGATGTGACTGGAAGGAACCAGTGTGAAAATCAAAGGAAAACACAGTAATTCAGTAAAAATTGATTGTGTATTTATTCTATACAATACATCATGCCAACTTGTTGAGACTACTGAAGTAGAGAAAAAAGTCATCCACCCACAGTTCATTCTGGAAGTCTACAATCTAGGGAACAAGAACTAAGATACATGTGTACCTATAATTTATTTATTTATTTACTTACTTATTTTTGAGACAGAGTCTCGCTCTTGTCGCCCAGGCTGGAGTGCAGTGACTCAGTGATCTCAGCTCACTGCAACCTCCACCTCCCCGGTTCAAGCCATTCTCCCGCCACAGCCTCCTGAGTAGCTGGGATTACAGGTGTGTGCCAGCAGACCCAGCTAATTTTTAATTTTTTAGTAGAGACGGGGTTTCACCACGTTGGCCAGGCTGGTCTCAAATTCCTGACCTCAAGTTATCTGCCCGCCTTGGCCTCCCAAAGTGCTGGGATTACAGGTACAGGTGTGAGCCACTGCACCTGGTCCCCATGTGTGCCTCTAATTTAAAGAGGTGTCATGTCCTAGGGGAGTGATCATTAGCCCTTCAGGGTAGGGGATGGACAGGGAATGGGATAGAAATGGGGGATTAGGTAGGCAAGTGTGTACTACAATTAAGGAGAATCCTTGAGCTAGAACTGTTATCCAAAGTGTAATCGAGAACCACATGTGGCTATTTAAATTTATTAAAATTAAATTTAAAATTCAATTCCTCAGTCATAATAGCCATGTTTCCAGCGCTTAATAACCACATGTGGCTGGTGACTATCATGTCACAGCACAGATATAAAACATTTCCATCACTACAGAAACTTGGACAGAATTTTGTCACACATATTTCTTACTTTCATGCAATGTGAGACACTTCTGTGACAGATCCGAAGTTGTATTTTTCTTTAATGAACACCCATTTGGCTAACAAAACTACAGTTTCACTCAGGATGCCTGTGTTTTGTTGTTATTGTTTGATACAGGGTCTTACTCTGTCACCCAGGCTGGAGTGCAGTGGTGTGATCACCGCTCACTGCAGCCTCCACCTCCCAGGTTCCAGTGATTCTCCTGCGTGGGACTACAGGCCTGTGCCACTATACCCGGCTGATTTTTAAATTTTTTGTAAGGACGAAGTCTCCTTGTGTTTCCCAGGCTGGTCTCAAACTCCTGGCCTCAAGTGATCCTCCTGCCTTGCTTCCCAGAGTGTTGGTTTTACAGGCATGAGCCACTACACCCGGCTTGAAGATTAGTTTTGTATCTAAAGCAGTATGAATTTAAATTGCTGATTTATGAAATACATGCATCAAGCACTTTTTAAGACTTAGCCAAACATTTGTGTTTAAAACATGTAACTTGAATCAAAACGTAGCTTTTTTTTTTTACCTGCCATGATGTCTGTGGCCTTGACTGACGTATGCTGTGAGGATATGCTGGCCAAGTAGGATTCTCCATATTCAAGTCCTTTGACCCATGATCATAGCTTTAAAAAAAAATTGTACACTCTTTTAAAAAATTGAAGCAAAATCCACATAACATAAAACTGGCTGGGCGCAGTGGCTCACGCTTGTAATCCCAGCACTTTAGGAGGCCAAGGCGGGCGGATCACAAGGTCAGGAGATCGAGACCATCCTGGCCAACATGGTGAAACCCCATCTCTACTAAAAATACAAAAAATTACCCAGGCGTGGTGGCGCGCGCCTGTAGTCCCAGCTACTCGGGAGGCTGAGGCAGGGGAATCGCTTGAACCCAGGAGTCGGAGGTTGCAGTAAGCCGAGATTGCACCACTGCACTCCAGCCTGGCAACAGAGCAAGACTCAAAATAAATAAATAAAATAAAATAAAATAAAATGAGTCAGGAATGATGTTGGTGTTGAGGTTGGCATACGTATCAAGGACAGTAACTACCATGGCTCCCGAAGTGTTGCCAAAACCTCAGATGTGTGGCCTTCTGGCCAAGCGTCTGCGATTTCAATGTTTGGAGCATTCATGGTGTCCCTGGGGGTTGCAGCTTTGTATGAGTTTGGTGTGGGTGAACCAAGAAAGAAGGCATATGCAGATTTCTGCAGAAATTATGAGATTTTGAGCAGATGAGGAAGGCTGGTATCTTTCAGTTTAAAGTAATCTTGGAATATAAAGAATTTCTTCAGGTTGAATTACCTAGAAGTTTGTCACTGACTCGTGTTCCTGAACTACGACACATGAATATGTGGGCTAATAGTTCGTCTTGATAAACAATTAACAAACAAATAAATAAAGCCATTTTAAAGTGAACAATTCAGTGGCATTTAGTACATTCACACTGTGTTGTACAACCAGCAATTCTATGTAGTTCTAAAACATTTCCTTTTTTTTGGAGACAGGGTCTCACACCGTGGTCCAGGTTGGAGTGCAGTGGTGCGATCTTGGTTCACTGCAGCCTCCCTCCACCTCCCGGGTTCAAGTGATCCTCCCACCTCAGCCTCCCAAGTAGCTGGCACTACAGACATGTGCTACCACACCCAGCTAATTTTTATTTTATTTAATTTTTTTGAGACAGAGTCTCACTGTTATGCCCAGGCTGGAGTGCAGTGGTGCAATCTCGGCTCACTGCAACCTCCGCCTCGCAGGTTCAAGATTGCCAGATTCTCCTGGCTCAGCCTCCTGAGTATCTGGGATTATAGGCACCTGTCATCACCCTGGCTAATTCTTGTATTTTAGTAGAGACGGGGTTTCACCATGTTGGCCAGGCTGGTCTCAAACTCCTGACCTCATGTGGTCCGTCTGCCTCAGCCTCCCAAAGTGCTGGGATTATAGTCATGAGCCACCGTGCCTGGCTTGAAACTGGATTGATAGTTAAAATTTGATTATGGTGAAGCAACACAAACACCACATATTCTATGATTCCATTGACATGAAGTATTCAGAAGAGGTAAATCCACAGAGACAGAAAACAGACATACTGTTGGCTGCCAGAAGCTAGGAGAGAGTATGGGCAGTAACTGCTAAATGAATACGGGTTTCCTTTTGGGGTGATTAAAATGTCTTGGAAGCCGGGCGCGGTGGCTCACACGTGTAATCCCAGCACTTTGGGAGGCTGAGGTGGGTGGATTGCTTGAGCTCAGGAGTTGGAGACCAGTCTGGGGAACCTATTGAAACACCATCTCTATAAAAAATTTAAGGCCAGGTGTGGTGGCTCATGACTGTAATCCCGGGACTTTGGGAGGCTGAGGCAGGCAGATCACATGAGGTCAGGAGTTTGAGACCAGCCTGGCAACATCGTGAAACCCCCGTCTCTACTAAAACTACAAAAATTAGCTGGGTGTGGTGGCACACGCCTATAGTCCCAGCTACTCGGGACTTAAAGCAGGAGAATCGCTTGAACCCAGGAGGTGGAGGTTGCAGTGAGCCGAGACTGCGATAGTGCACTCCAACCTGGGCGACAGAGCGAGACTCCATCTCTTAAAAAAAAAAAAAAGATCCAGTTCCAGTTTATCATGTGTATCACAGGCAGTACTGGTGTTCTGCTGTTCTCTGGTAAAGTCTTCACTTCATGTTTTAAAATTTGTGGTAATGTACCAAGTACCACAGTCAAGTCATTAATCTTCCTTTATTATAAATTATACTATTAGTTTTGCCTCTTTTTTTTTTTTTTTTTTTTTTGAGACAGAGTCCTGCTCTGTCTGTTTTTGAGACAGAGTCGTGTCACCCAGGCTGGAGTGCAGTGGTGCGATCTCGGCTCACTGCCAGCTCCACCTCCCGGGTTCATGCCATTCTCCTGCCTTGGCCTCCCGAGTAGCTGGGATTACAGGTGCCCGCCACCAAGCCCGGCTAATTTTTTGTATTTTTAGTAGAGACAGGGTTTCACCATGTTAGCCAGGATGGTCTCGATCTCCTGACCTTGTGATCCACCCGCCTCGGCCTCCCAAAGTGCTGGGATTATAGGCATGAGCCACCGTGCCTGGCTTTTTTTTTTTTAAGATGGAGTTTCGCTCTTGTTGCCCAGGCTGGAGTGCGATGGTGCAATCTCAGCTCACTGCAACCTCTGCCTCCCGGGTAGCTTCCTGCCTCAGCCTCCCAAGTAGCTGGGATTACAGGCACAAGACACCGTGCCCGGCAAATTTTTGTGTTTTTAGTAGAGTTGGGGTTTCCTCATATTAGTCAGACTGGTCTCAAACTCCTGACCTCAGGTGATCCGCCCGCCTCCACCTCCAGAAGTGCTGGGATTACAGATGTGAGCCACCATGCCCAGCCTAGTTTTTCCTCTTTTTTTTTTGAGACAGGGTCTCACTCTTTCACCCAGGCTAGAGTGCGGTGGTGCAATCTTGGCTCACTGCGACCTCTGCTACCTGGGCTCAAGCGATTCTCCTGCCTCAGTTTCCTGAGTAGCTGGGACTACAAGCATGAGCCACCATGTCTAGCCTAATTCATATATATATATATATATTTTTGTGTGTGGAGATGGGGTTTCACCATGTTGCCCAGGCTGGTCTCAAACTTAGTTTTTCCTTGTAATTTGGGGCATGGCAGTTGCACTCAGTGGTAAACCCTGAAAGCTTTCCCACTTAGAAAAAATTGTTCCATTTTTAAATAGTTAATAAAGGTGTGTTTCTAAACATAGAGATAACACTGGAAAATTTGAAACTGTAATTTCATTCCTTGAGAGGGTTCTAACTTCCTTTACTAGCAGCTGTGAACCATGTAGGATGTGAGAAATTACACCCTAATCATCTATTTCCTAGCCATGAACAGTTCAACCTCGGAAAATTCTAAGCCCAGGCTCATTAGTAGCCAGTAAAATCTGGATGTTATGTGAGTCATGAATAAGACCAGAGTAGAATGAACAAGTAAAGGTTTACTGTGTATGTATGAAGATAGGGTAGAAATATATCGGTTTTATTTTTATTTTTTGAGACAGGGTGTCACTCTCTCGCCCAGGCTGGAGTGCAGTGGTGTAGTCAGGTCTCATTGCAACCTTGACCCTCCCAGGCTCAGCCCCCGGAGCAGCTGGGACTGCAGGCGCATGCCGCCATTCCCGACAGTTTTTTGTTTTTTGTTTTTTGTTTTTCTTTTTTTGGTACAGGTGGGGTTTTGCCATGTTGCCCAGGCTGGTCTCAAACTCTTGCCATCCTCCCACCTTGGACTCCCAGAGGTTTAGGACTACAGGTGTGAGCCACCATGCCCAACCCATTTGCAACTTACAATCCATTGTAAGTTGAGGAGCCATCTGTATTGTAAATCTAATAGTTGGTGCCAGGAACTAAGTGGTCAGGTGTAAGTACTGTTTTGTTTTGAAAAGCTGTTACAGTTAGTGATACACTTGAGAGTGGTGAGGAAGCCCACCACACCCGTCATTTTCCTGCCTTAAGATACGCAGTACATCATAACTGTGTGTCCGTCAGAGCTTAGTTTACTTGTACACTGATTTTCAGCAGGGACTATCTGAGGAAGGGGAAGATGGCACTTGCATAACTTGGAAATGCCTGCAGTTGATTCTGATGTGCCTGTATGTTAGATGGTAGTGATTACAGGATCTGTTTCCTAAGGCTTTTGGTGGGAATGAGCTAGCAGTCGGCACTTAGGGCTCAATAAAAATTAGTTAAAGCAAATTGCTACCCCCTCCATCCCCCACTCCCTACACAATATGGATTTGTGAGTACTTTTATCCTTGTCTGGCCCATAATAGATACTCAATACATATATATATGTATTCATTTTTATTAATTTTTTTTTTTTTGAGACGGAGTTTCATTCTTGTCCAAGCTGGAGTGCAGTGACGTGATCTTGGCTCACTGCAACCTCCACCTCCCGGGTTCAAGCGATTCTCCTGCCTTGGCCTCCCGAGTAGCTGGGATTACAGGTGTATGCCACACCCAGCTAATTGTTTTGTATTTTCAGTAGAGACAGGGTTTTGCCATGTTGGCCGGGTTGGTCTTGAACTCCCGAACTCAAATGATCCCCCCGCTTCCGCCTCCCAAAGTGTTGGGATTACAGGTGTGAGCCACCGTGCCTGGCTGATACTCAATACATATTGATAGGATTGAGTTGGAGTAGTTACATAGCAGATGGAGACACATTTGTTGAATACGCCAGGAGTTCTTTAACTGACACTAAACAAATTATTCTCCCATTTCCTCCCATAAACTCCTCAACAATCCTCTCAGGTAGATGGTATATCATTTCCACAATTTCAGTGGAATAAGTGCAGGCACAGCTTGTAATAAGCCAGGAGTTAAACCTAGGAGTCAGCTCAGTTCCAGGCTCTGAGAAGTACCCCATGCAGTCACCTCCTTCTTAGGGTGGCCTGTGAACTTGATACTCTCAGTACTACCTGGCTTCCTCTGAAAACTGAGTAATTTTTCCTTACCTTATCCTTAAACTTTTCTTGAAAATGGAAAAGCAAAAAAAAGTTAATCTGTATTGTGTTGAAGTACAGTTTCTGCCTCCTTCCAAACCAGGTTCAAATGCGTTTCCCCCCTGTTTGTTAATGTCCTGCTCATCCCACAGCTTGGGGTCATCTTAGACCTTTTACTCTCCCTTTCTCCCAACTCCTGTCAGGTGTAGCCCCCATCCCCTCCTAGTTGTATTGCTTGGTTGTCTCCATGGCATGCTTTCTTGCAGTGGTGATGTGGGTCTTCCTGCCTGTGGGGTCTTGCCCACTCTAGTTCATGTAGTTTAAGCTGCAAGAAAAAGATCTTCCTAAGTGACAGTCTGAGCCTGTCACTTAAAAAAAAAAAGAAAACAATTTGGTTGTCCTTTACCTATCAGGGACAGGAAATTACTTTACTCAACATTTGATGCTATTGAAGGTTGGGCCCAAAACACTTTCTCTTGACTCTTACAGGTATTGATCCTTTCCGGGCAATGATTTTACAGGTTACAAATTCATTATTTTTTCATACTTGCTGTGCATGATTCATATGATTTAATTCTTTAGTATCGTTTTCTGTCGTGGAGATTCTTTAAAGCAGGGGCACGTTCATATTGGAGTATAATTTAGGTTTGTCTGTATCTGACAAACTAAAATCCAAAAAGCAGACTTAGATATTTGGTTATTAGTATGTATTTCTCCTACATCTCTTCCAGTAATGTCATAAGTAAATTTGCAGTGTGGCAACTGGAAACTGGATTGTTGCTTGGTTTTAGAGTTCTAGTATAGGAAAAAACTGGCATCATTGGAATCACCTTTTCTGCAGATATTTTTAATGGCTTATATATGTTTCAGGACTTTATACACATGTCATTTATCTTATAGGTATCTAATTTATTCAGGGATTTTGATAACATGAGTATGGAATATTAAAAAGGGCTAATCACAGGCTGGATGCGGTGGCTCAAGCCTGTAATCCCAGCACTTTGGGAGGCCGAGGTGGGCAGAACACCTGAGGTCGTAGTTCAAAACCAGCCTGACCAACGTGGCGAAACCCCATCTCTACTAAAAATACAAAATTAGCCGGGCATGGTGGCATGCACCTGTGATCCCAGGTACTCAGGAGGCTGAGGCAGGAGAATCGCTTGAACCGGGGAGATGGAGGTTGCGGTAAGCCAAGATCGTGCCATTGCACTCCAACTCCAGCCTGGGCAACAAGAGTGAAACTCAGTCTCAAAAAAAAAAAAAAAAAAAAAGGGCTAATCACAGCTTTCTTGGGCTGGGTTACCTAGAGAGAATCACGGGAAGTAGATGTGTATTTGTTGAGCACATCTCTAATTTGATCTGTGCTGAGCTGCAAATTACTTTGACAGTATCTGTGAAGAAAAGGTTTATAAAGCAAATCAAAAGAATAAGCATGTTTTTATGAATACATTGAAACTACTGAAAATGTTTCAAAATTGGCTGTAATTAGTAGAATTTTGAAAAGTAGGTTAAGCAGAGACTTCTAACTTGAAGGCCTGAGTTAGCTGCCATTGATCTGGGGTTATTGATTGAGGCTTGTGTCGTGTTATTGAACTTCTGTTTTTACTGCATATTAAAAGATAAGTGAAATGGATGGATAAGTATCAATTTTTAATAGAACTTCTTTCTGTTAAACAGCACCTGTGGAATCCTCTCAAGAGGAACAGTCATTGTGTGAAGGTAATGATGTACTCTTTGAAAGTCTACTTGAGAAAACATTAGGTTGTCTATATGGTGTGTAAAGCTAGATACTGTTTGGTAAATATATATTATATTTCAATCTCTTGTCTAGGTTCAAATTCAGCTGTTAGCATGGAACTTTCAGAACCTATTGGTAAGAAAATTTCTGACCATATTAATACAGTAATATGAAACTCTTTCACTCTCAAGATTTAAGGTGCATTATGTAAGTTACGATTATTGTAATGCCTACATTTAAGACACATTGAGTCTTTGCTATTAGTATTTAGAAAGTAGAACAAACTAGGCACTAACACTGCCTTGATAAACTTAATGATTGCAAATAAAATTGAGTGGAGGAATGGTCAAGTCAATTTAAATACCTGTACCTGTTCTGTTTTCTTTTTTTGAGACGGAGTCTTGCTCTGTCGCCCAGGCTGGAGTGTAGTGGTGCAATCTTGGGTCACTGCAACCTCCGCCTCCCAGGTTCAAGCGCTTCTCCTGCCTCAGCTTCTTGAGTAGCTGGGATTACAGGCGCACACCACCACAACTGGCAAATTTTTGTATTTTTAGTAGAGGCGGGGTTTCACCATGTTGATCAGGATGGTCTCGAACTCCTGACCTCGTGATCCACCCACCTCGGCCTCCGAAAGTGCTGGGATTACAGGTGTGAGCCACCATGCTCGGCCACACGTTCTGTTTTCTTGGTGAAAAATGTTCTTCCTTTTTATAACTTTATTCTTAAGGGTTTCACGTTCTCAGCGTGATTAAAGTTGATGCCAAAGTTTTATTAGTTTAAGAGGAAAAAGAAAATATTTCCTAAATCCTTTCATATTTCTCGTGTGTCACGATTTTAAACTTTCCTTTTTTTCTTACTATCAGGGTGTCTCAACACTGGAATAACTAGGCTGTTGGGAATGTTAGAACTCTTGTTTGCATTTTGTTTGCCATTATGAAAATGAAGCTTTGCTAAAATAGCAATCTCAGCCTGTGAGTCAGTGCCCTCTGATGTGATACCAGCAGTGAGTCTGCCTTGAAAGCTGTCACCCATTTCTGCTATGAAAGAGGTTTTCCTGCTTATGTGTCACTAGGCATTAGGAAATGGAACTACATATGCAAACTTCCATTTGTTGTTTTAAAGCTAGTGTATTTTAAAGTATAGATTGTAAGTCTTTTTCAGAATACTAAGTTAAAATGTCTTTCTTCAGTAGAAAATGGAGAGACAGAAATGTCTCCAGAAGAATCATGGGAGCACAAAGAAGAAATAAGTGAAGCAGAGCCAGGGGGTGGTTCCTTGGGAGATGGAAGGCCGCCAGAGGAAAGTGCCCATGAAATGATGGAGGAGGAAGAGGAAATCCCAAAACCTAAGTCTGTGGTTGCACCGCCAGGTGCTCCTAAGAAAGAGCATGTAAATGTAGTATTCATTGGGCACGTAGGTAAGCTGCTCTCATAGCAATTAAAGTTACTGGATACATAAAACATAGAACATCCTTTTTAGCTACCTGGAGATGTTTAGTGAAACTGAAGGAAATTAATTGAAAATGTCTTGATTTTTAACTTGCTGATTTTTTTTAGCTGGCAAAAAATTGCAAGTACTTTTTTCCTGAAGTTTAGGCAAATGAATAATTCTGTAACGGCATAGATGCTGGAAGAAAAACTTCAGTATATTGTACGTAACATATAATTAGTCTATTGACCATTGATGGTAGTTCAGCATAGTATTATATATCAGTATCTTAGAAAATGTGCCCTTTTTTATGTGAACCTCAGTTAACTTGTTAATTTTAATGGGATTGACCTTACCAGATAATTTTGTGTGAAGCAGGAAATCAATAATTTGGAGTAACTTCTGGATGCTTGCCAGGTTGCTGGTTTAGCAAAAAACAAAAGAACAAATTTATTTAATTTACTCAGATATTCTCTAATTATCTGGCCTATCCCCAGAATTGTGAGAAAAAAAATACAGAATTATGTGTCTTTCATTTCAGCTATCTCTGCCTTCCCCCCAGATATGAAACACTGTACCCCTTCTTTTAGTAGCAAGAACTCTTTTGAAAGTGTAAAGGAGCGGCTGGGCACTGTGGCTGGCGCCTGTAATCCCAGCACTTTGGGAGGCCAAGGCGGGCACATCACGAGGTCAGGAGTTCAAGACCAGCCTGGCCAACATGGTGAAACCCCGTCTCTACTAAAAATACAAAAATTAGCCAGGTGTGGTGGCATGAGCCTGTAATCCCAGCTACTCCGGAGGCTGAGGCAGGAGAATTGCTTGAACCCAGAAGGTGGAGGTTGCAGTGAGGTGAGATCGCACCACTGCACTCCAGCTCTGGGCAACGGAGCAAGATTCCGTCTCGTGGGGAAAAAAAGGTGTAAAGGAGCACATACCTCATTTGCTGTAAGTGAAAGGAAAAGCACCTGAATCTAGTTCACAGTTCTTCAGCTGCTTTTGCTCTTGGAAACTTCTCTTGGGGAATTTATAGTCTGTTGCCGCTGTGCTTTCGGAGTAATCTGTTAAAAAATTCTTTATCAGTAAAGTGTTTTTAAGTGGTTTTTTTTTTTTTTTTTGAGATGGAGTTTCACTCTTGTCGCCCAGGCTGGAGTGCAATGGCGTGATTTCAGCTTAGTGCAACCTCTGCTTCCCGAGTTCACGCGATTCTCCTGCCTCAGCTTCCCAAGTAGCTGGGATTACAGGCGGCCGCCACCACGCCTAGCTAATTTTTGTATTTTTAGTAGAAACGGGGTTTCACCATGTTGGCCAGGCTGGTCTCGAACTCCTGACCTGAGGTCATCCGCCCTCGCTGGCCTCCCAAAGTGCTGGAATTACAGGCGTGAGCCACCGAGCCCAGCCTTGAGGCTCATTTTCAAAAGGAGAAGGGTAATGAACTAGGATTTATGCCCCAAATTCATATGGAAGATTTAATTATGTATGTTAAAGGGTGCTGTTGTTTGCATATTTAGCCATTGGTTTTTGGTTTTAACCTATGGTTTGCATGTTGATGTTACTTTTAGATGCTGGCAAGTCAACCATTGGAGGACAAATAATGTAAGTCTGTATCTTTTGTTAAATAACAGAGTTAAATTGATGTAATGAATTTTAGGCATTGTAAACCTTCATACAGTCACACAAAGGAGATAAAACAGGTCCCCCAAAGAAAAATTAAAAATAAAATTACTGGGACACAATACTGATGTTAAGAAGTGATTTTTGGCCTGGTGTGGTGGAACACACCTATAATCCCAGCATTTTGAGAGGCTAAGGTGGGAGGATCACTGGACTTGAGGTCTGGAGTTTGAAACCAGCCTGGGCAAGACAATGAGACTCTGTCTCTACTTTAATTTTTTTAAAAGTAGTAGTTTTTGTAATGTGATTATTACTAGTGTTAAATGTGTTTCTGAAAGCTTTTTACATTTTTTAAAAATAAAAAATGAACACAGAACTCTAGATTATGGGAAACTTGGTCTCCTTTGCATATAACATACATGGGAATAATGACAACCAGCTCTTGAATCTGGTGAATGGGGGAACTGTTTTTTCCTCATTCATCAGCTCCTTAAATGTATATGGATTTAATAAAAGACAGGTAGACTAGCTAAAATGCTAAGATAATTTTTTGATCGTATTATAGAAATTTCCTAGGTATGAAATGACCGTGGCTGGCCTTTAGTAATGCATTTTAGTATTGACAAATCTTGATAACTAAAAAGTCCTAAATTTTTAATTGCTTCTCTAAATTAGACCCATTTCTTTGAACTGTGTCATCAGAGGACCTAGAGGGCTTGCCATCATCTTGCCTAGTTAAATTTTTTTTTTTTTTTTTTTTTTTTTTTTTTTTTTTTTTTTGAGATAGGGTCTCATTCTGTCACCAAGGCTGGAGTGCAGTGGCATGATTTTGGCTCACTGCAGCCTCGACCTCCTGGACTCAAGCAATCCTTCCACCTCAGCCTCCCAAGCAGGTGGGATCACAGGTGCATGCAACCAAGCCTGGCTAATTTTTGTGTTTTTTTGTAGAGGTGGTGTTTCATCATATTGCCCAGGCTGGTCTTGACCTCTTGGGGTCAAGTGGTCTGCCCACCTCTACTGCCTCCCAAAGTGCTGGCATACAGGTGTGATTAACCACACCTGGCTAATCATCATTGGTAATCTTGCCAGTTACTTTTGAACATTTCCACAACAGAGACTCTAAGACAGGCTGTTAAACAGGGGTCCTTCCCCAGGTCTCTGTGGTTGAAGTGTCACAGCCATATGATGTTATGTTTCAGGACAGTGTATATTTTTTGCTGATGGGCTGTAAGTTTTGGTGGCGTCACACTGGGTTTCTACATGCAAATGCTTAGGTGCACTGCACTATAGATGTCTACGTGGAGAACACAGATGAAAGCTATAGGGAAAGGAGAGCTTTGAATTGGATTGAGTCAAGGAAGTATGCATTACTAACGAACTATTTTGAAATTATTATCTCATTTTGACAAGTAATAAGACTTACTTGCCTAGACAACATTGTTGCAATTTTTTTTTCTTTTCTATAGTACCTACATTTACATTTACTTGTTATTTTATTTTTAAATTTACTTGGCTGGGCATGGTGGCTCATATCTGTAATCCTAGCATTTTGGGAGGCCAAGGCGGAAGGATCATTTGAGCCCAGGCTTCAAGAAGAGCCAGGACAATATAGTGAGACCCTCATTTCTATAAAAAATAAAAATAAAACTATATTTATTTTAAGAGACAGGGTCTCGCTGTGTTGCCCAGGCCGGAGGGTAGTGGCTATTTATAGGGGGGAGGATGATAGCGCACTATAGCTTCAAATTCCTGTGCTCAACTGATCCTCCTACCTCAGCCTCCCAAGTAGCTGGGACTACACGCTTGCACCACCATGCCCACCTTATATTTACTTAAAAAAAACAAACAAAAACAAAAAACAAAACCTACTATATTCTGAAATAATTTTAGATTTACGGAATGGTTGCAAAAACAGTACGGGAAGTTCCCTTCATTCATCCTGCCCTGATGTTGACATCTTATAACCATAGTCATTCATCAAAACTTCCTTATTACTGGTGAAATTAGTCATGATTACTTGGTTAAGGTGTCATCTGTCAAGATTGTCCACTATAAGGTTATTGTTTTCCCTTTTCTTTTCTTTTTTTTTTTTTTTTTTTTTTTTTTGAGACAGAATCTCTATCGCCCAGGCTGGAGTGCAGTGCAGTGGTGTGATCTTGGCTCACTGCAACCTCCGCCTCCTGGGTTCAAATGATTCTCCTGCCTCAGCCTCCCAAGTAGCTGGGATTACAGGCATGCACCACCACGTCTGGCTAATTTTTTTGTATTTTTAGTAGAGATGAGGTTTCACCATGTTGGTCAGGCTGGTCTTGAACTCCTGACCTTGTGATCCGCCTGCTTTGGCCTCGCAAAGTGCTGGGATTATAGGCCTGAGCCACCGTGCCCGGCCATTTTTTATTTTTTGTTTTTTTTGTTTTTTTTGTTTTTTTGAGAAAGGGTCTCCCTGTTGTTTAGGCTGGAGGGCAGTTGTGTAATCATGGCTCACTGCAGCCTCAACCTCATGGACTCAGGCAGTCCTCCCAACTCAGCTTCCCAAAGTGCTGAGATTACAGGCATGAGCCATCACACCTGGCCTGATTTTTTGTTTTTTTTAGAGACAGGGTCTTGCTCTTAAACACAGGCTAGAGTGCAGTGGTGGAATCATAGCTTACTGTAACCTCACACTCCTGGGCTCAGGTGATCCTCTCACTTCAGCCTCCCAAGTAGCTAGGAATACAGGCATGCATCACCACACCAGGCCAATTTTTTAATATTTATGTGGAGATGGTCTCACTGTGTTGCACTGGCTGGTCTCAAACTCCTGGCCTCAAGGGATCCTCCCACCTCAGCCTCCCAAAGTGCTGGGATTACGGGCATGAGCCATCACACCAGGCCACTTTGTCTGTTAATTCGAGACTGTAAATATCCTTTTTCCACTTACACTTTCCATAATTTTAGCATCCACCAGTGGTTCCTTTACTTTAACTATTTTCTGGCCAGGCGTGGTGGTTCTCATGCCAGTATTCCCAGCACTTTGGGAGGCTGAGGCTGGCAGATCACTTGAGGTCAGGAGTTCGAGACCAGCCTGACCATGGTGAAACCCAGTCTCTACTAAAAATACAAAAACTTAGCCAGGCATGGTGGCACACGCCTGTAATCCCAGCTACTTGAGAGGCTGAGACAGGAGAATCGCTTGAACCCAGGAGGAGGAAGTTGCAGTGAGCTGAGATCACGCCACTGCACTCCACCCTAGGCGACAGAGCGAGACCCTGTCTCAAAAAAAAAAAAAAAATATGGCCAGGCGTGGTGGCTCACGCCTGTAATCCCAGCACTTTGGGAGGCTGCGGCAGGTGGATCACCCAAGGTCAGGAGTTCGAGACCAGCCTGGCCAACGTAATGAAACCCCATCTTTACTACAAGTACAAAAATTAGCCGGGTTTGGTGGTGGGTGCCTGTAATCCCAGCTACTCAGGAGGCTGAGGCAGGAGAATCACTTGAACCCAGGAGGCAGAGGTTGCAGTGAGCCGAGATTGTGCCATTGCACTCCAGGTGGATGACAAGAGCGAAACTCTGTCTCAAAAAAAAAAATATATATATATATGTAATATATATATTTTATATAAAAATGTGTAATATATTTTATATAAAAATATGTTATATATGTTATATATATATTTTATATTTTTTTAGACAGACACACACATATAAAATAACTATTTTCTGACGTTGAAATTTTCGACAATTTTCACGTTTTCCTAATTCCACTGAGTAATTTGTGAGTAATTGTTTACTTTTTTTTTTCTTTAAATGTTTTCAGGTATTTGACTGGAATGGTTGACAAAAGGACGCTTGAAAAGTATGAAAGAGAAGCTAAAGAGAAAAACAGAGAAACTTGGTATAGTAAACTTTTATGACACTTATAAATTACTTTTAAGGAGACGATGCCCACTTAGTGCTTTTGGAGCCTGTTAAAATATAAATTGTTGAAGTCTAAAATCGTATCACAACAAAGGAAATTTCCCCTCTCCTCATAATACACAGTAGATGAGTTCCTAATGCTTTAATAACTTACACAGAGAAATTTGGAAACAATCCATATATCTGGTGATAGACTTGTTGAAAATACTATAAACCATCCATTTAATTGGGTGATTTTGCAACCACTGAAAACTTACATTTACATAATTTATAGTAACCATGAATAGAACTTGCGTTGTGGTGGCAGTTGGGGGGAAGCAGGAAACATCCCTGTACTTAAGATATGACCATTATATAAATAAATGCTGGAAATAAAATGGAATGGAATTATTGACAGTGGTTGCCTTTGAATGGTGAGACAGTCAACTTTTTTGTTTTCTAACCTTGTTACTTTTATTTTTAAAAAGTTAGCAAGCCTTACCTCAATGGGATATTGACAGTCATTTTTTTAAAATAAAATTATATTCCTCTAAAATAAGCGGGAGAAATGCTAGTCAGTGTTGTTATAAAAAATTGAGGACATGCTGTGAAGATGATGAGGTAAGCTAAATTAATGCCCACTATTACGGATGGTTTGAATTTATATGAATTTTTGCCTGGCAGTGTGATATTGAAGCAATTTTTAGCAAGTAACCATTGCTCCCACATGGTGCGTTAGTGGCTTTCAGTTTTCAAAAATATCTGAGGACAGTTATTTTTTATTTTATTAAAAAGTTTTAGTCCTGGCACAGTGGCTTAAGCCTGTAATCTCAGCACTTTGGGAGGCCAAGACGGGCGGATCACGAGGTCAGGAGATCGAGACCATCCTGGCTAACATGGTGAAACCCCGTCTCTACTAAAAATACAAAAAATTAGCTGGGCAAGGTGGCAGGCACCTGTAGTCCCAGCTACTTGGAAGGCTGAGGCAGGAGAATGGCGTGAACCCGGGAGGCGGAGGTTGCAGTGAGCCGAGATTGCACCACTGCACTCCAGCCTGGGCAACAGAGTGAGACACCATGTCAAAAAAAAAAAAAGAAAAAAGGAAAACAACTTTTATTGGGCCAGGCGCGGTGACTCAAGCCTGTAATCTCAGCACTTTGGGAGGCAAGGCAGGCAGATCACACCTGAGGTCAGGAGTTCGAGACCACCCTGGCCAATATGGTGAAACCCTGTCTCTACTAAAACTACAAAAATGGCCGGGCACAGTGTCTCACGCCTGTAATCCCAGCGCTTTGGGAGGCCGAGGCAGGCGGATCACCTGAGGTCAGGAGTTCGAGACCAGCCTGACCAACATGGAGAAACCCTGTCTCTACTAAAAATACAAAATTAGCTGGGCATGGTGGCGCATGCTCTAATCCCAGCTACTCGGGGGGCTGAGGCAGGAGAATCACTTGAACCTGGGAGGCGGAGGTTGCGGTGAGCCGAGATGGTGCTGCTGCACTCCAGCCTGGGCAACAAGAGCTAAACTCCATCTCAAAAAATATATATACAAAAAGTAGCCGGGCGTGGTGGTGGGCACCTGTAATCCCAGCTACTTGGGAGGCTGAGGCAGGAGAATAGCTGGAACCTGGGAAGCAGAGGTTGCAGTGAGCCGAGATGGTGCCACTGCACTCCAACCTGGCCAGAGCAAGACTCCCATCTCCAAAAAAAAAAAAAAAAAAAAAAAAAAAGAAGAAGAGGGGTGGGGGTGCCGGGCACGACCTAGGCTCTGTTGCCCAGGCTGGAGTGTAGTGGCTCCATCTCCACTCACTGCAAGCTCCACCTCCTGGGTTCACACCATTCTCCTGCTTCAGCCTCCCAAGTAGCTGGGACTACAGGCACCCGCCACCACGCCTGGCTAATTTTTTGTATTTTTAGTAGAGACAGGGTTTCACCGTGTTAGCTACGATGGTCTCAATCTCCTGACCTTGTGATCTGCCTGCCTCAGCCTCCTAGAATGCTGAAATTACAGGCGTGAGCCACAGCATCCATCCAAAAAAGTTTTATTATTACCCTTTAACTCTCAAGACAGCCATTATTTGTGTTGTATTTTGTGCCATGTGAGTATAAAAATGAAGTAATAAGGGAGCTCATTATCACTTAACACACAGTGATATTGGCATTTGTAGTTAGTCTTTCTGTGTAGTCAACTTGCCATAAAGTTCTAGATGGTATAATTGACTGCGTTTATATAAAAGCTCTAAGGGTTTGAATCAAAATAATACATTCTTTCAGTTTTATTTTATTTATTTATTTTTTTGAGACGGAGTCTCACTGTGTCACCAGGCTGGAGTGCAGTGGCGCGATCTCAGCTCACTGCAACCTCCGCCTCCTGGGTTCAAGCGATTCTCCTGCCTCAGCCTCCCGAGTAGCTGGGACTACAGGCGCCCGCCACCATGCCCAGCTAATTTTTGTATTTTTAGTAGAGATGGGGTCTCACCATGTTGGCCAGGATGGTCTCAATCTCTTGACCTCAGGTGATCCGCCTGCCTTGGCCTCCCAAAGTGCTTGGATTACAAGCATGAGCCACTGCACCTAGCCCTTTTTTTTTTTTTTTGAGAGACAGAGTCTCCCTCTGTTGCCCAGCCTGGAGTGCGATGGCACGATCTTGGCTCACTGCAACCTCTACCTCCCAGCTTCAAGCGATTGTCCTGCCTCAGCTTTCGAAATAGCTGTGACTACAGGTGTGCACCACTATGCCCAACTTTTGTATTTTTAGTAGAGATGAGGTTTCATCATATTAGCCAGGCTAGTCTCGAACTCCTGACCTCAGGTGATCTGCCAGCCTCGGCCTCCCAAAGTGCTGGGATTACAGGCGTGAGCCACTGCGCCCAGCCCTATTCTTTCAATTTCTTTGTTTTCTTTTGAGACGGAGCCTTGCTCTGTCGCCCAGGCTGGAGTGCAATGGCACGGTCTTGGCTCGCTGCAACCTCCTCCTCCCAGGTTCAAGCGATTCTCCTGCCTCAGTCTCCTAAGTACTACAGGTGGGCTCCTCCACACCCAGCTAATTTTTGTATTTTCGGTAGAGACAGGGCTTCACCATGTTGGTCAGGCTGGTGTCGAACCCCTGACCTTGTGATCCGCCGCCTTGGCCTCCCAAAGTGCTCAGATTACAGATGTGAGCCACCGCACCCGGCTCAATTTTCATTTCACCAATCTTGTTCGTGATTTAGGTGTTGTGTGTCATCCATTATATCTTTAATGGTGAAGAATATCCTAAAAACTCTGATGTTCTTAGGAATATTGTTCTTTTTTTAAAAATTATTTCAGGTACTTGTCTTGGGCCTTAGACACAAATCAGGAAGAACGAGACAAGGGTAAAACAGTAGAAGTGGGTCGTGCCTATTTTGAAACCGAAAAGAAGCATTTCACAATTCTAGATGCCCCTGGCCACAAGAGTTTTGTCCCAAATATGATTGGTGGTGCCTCTCAAGCTGATTTGGCTGTGCTGGTAAGAAAGACATTTCCAGTCCATCTGTATATTTGTTAGTAGCCCCGCTTATATCTTTAAATTTGAATTTATCTTCTAAAAGCTCAAATTCAGGTTGCAGTGAAATATAATGATGTACACGGTCACAGTTTTCATCATACTAATCTCTCTTCAAGAAATCTTCAAAATTTGATTTACTTCTGAAAATACGTTTCACCTTTTCTCTCCTGTTGCTATTATCTATTACCATGTCAGAACTTAGTCTCCATTAAATGCCAAGCCCACCGTTAGGCACCATGGGTAAAAAATGAATAGGAAACCATCTGTTTCATACGGTCTTCAGTCATTTTGCGCTTTTCACAATGTACTGGTAGTAGATCACAATTTTTTTTCCTTTGTAGTTACAATAGCTAGAAAGTAAATGTTGGAATTTTAAAATATGCAGGTATACTAGATTTTGGGAATGTGGGGGATTGGAAGCATCTAGACATTGTTTGATTTGTGACATTCAAAAGCAGGTACGTCATAACTCGTTTGCTTCTATTTTCTTGCAAAAAAAAAAAAAAAAACTCGTGATATAACTGAAAGGAAAGATGTTTTACTGCCATAAGGGTATGCCTGAAGGCGAAGGAGTAAACTGTTTCCTTTCTTGGAATTAGGTAATCTCAGCCAGGAAAGGAGAGTTTGAAACTGGATTTGAAAAAGGAGGACAGACAAGAGAACATGCAATGTTGGCAAAGACAGCAGGTGTAAAACACCTAATTGTGCTAATTAATAAGATGGATGATCCAACAGTAAATTGGAGCAATGAGAGGTGAGCGTAGATGTCTGGTATTTTATGTTAGTGGGATTAAGGATGGTTTTGTTATTGTACGACTTTTTCTCTAGGGTTTTTCTAAACCTTAATCTGTTTACTTAGGAAACTAGAGTTCTTGGTTTACATTATAATTGAGTTATTTTGGTTACATTATAATTGCAGATATGAAGAATGTAAGGAGAAACTAGTGCCATTTTTGAAAAAAGTTGGCTTCAATCCCAAAAAGGACATTCACTTTATGCCCTGCTCAGGACTTACTGGAGCAAATCTCAAAGAGCAGTCGGATTTCTGTCCTTGGTACATGTAAGTAACTGTTTTTTCCTTTTTTTAAAAAGGAAAAGGATGTTATTACTTAAATTACTTATAAAGACATATGCTGAGTAACATGTTAACATATGCTTTTGAGCATATATCTTTATAAGTAATTTAAGAAAATATTAAATGTAACCTTGGCTTTAAAAATACTAAGATCTTTGCCCATTTTTAAACTGGGTTGTCATTTTGTTACTGAGTCCTAAGAGTTCTTTTTAATACTGGCTACCAGTCCCTTATCAGCTACAATATGATTATAGCAAGTATTTTCTCCCACTTTATGGATTGCCTTTTTTCACTTCTCGATGGTGTCCTTTGAAGCACAAAAGGTTTTATTTTTGAAGTTTTTTACATTTAGATATGTATTTGATTTTGAGTTAACTTTTGTGTAAGATGTAAGGTCTATGTGTAGGTTTGTTTTGTTTTTGTATATTAATTGTTTACACACAATTTGTTGAAAAGACTATTCTTTTTTCATTGAATTGATTTGGCTCCCTCTTTGAAAATCAAATGACCATAAATACGAGTTTATTCTTGAACTCCGTGTTTCTTTTTTTTGGTTTGTTTTTTTGAAACAGGTTTTCACTCTGTTAACCAGGCTGGAGTGCAGTGGCATGATCTCGGCTCACTGCAACCTCTGCCTCCCAGCTCAAGAGATCCTCCCACCTCAGCCTCCCAAGTCGTAGGGACTGTAGGCACATGCCACCGCACCCGGCTGATTTTTGTATTTTTAGTAGAGACAGATTCACCATGTTGCCCAGGCTGGTGTCGAACTCCTGGGCTCAAGAGATGCACCTGCCTTTCGGCCTCCCAAAGTGCTGGGATTATAGGCATGAGCCACTGCACGCAGCCAATACTGTATGTTTAAAGGGGAAATTATTTTATAGAATCTTGGTTTCATAGCTGGAAAAGTCCATAAAAAGTAATATAGTCAATTTATTACATGTAGGCTATTTGCTATAAAATATTTCTCTAAATTTTAATAAGTTTATGAGGAAGCCTTATACTGAGCAGTTTTATAATAGTTTTCTGTGGAATAAGTGAGATGAAATGGATAATAAAGTGGTTGAATGGGAAGAATACATGAGTAGAATGAAAATATTATTAGAAGCTGTTTATAGTCATGTAACTTAACATTTTGATATTTATGTTGACTTCCTTTAATGGCTTTGTTGTTATGTTCTCAGTGGATTACCGTTTATTCCATATCTGGATAATTTGCCGAACTTCAATAGATCAGTTGATGGACCAATCAGGCTGCCAATTGTGGATAAGTACAAGGTACCCAAAATGTTAAAGAAATTGGGTTTCCTGGGAGGGGAAATCATTGTTGTGCATTTTGTTTCTAGTTTTGAAAACTTTTTTTCTTTTCTTTTCTTTCTTGTTTTTTTTTTGACAGAATCTTGCACTCTGTCCCCCAGGCTGGAGTGCAGTGGCGCGATCTCAGCTCACTGCAAGCTCTGCCTCCTTGGTTCAAGTGATTCTCCTGCCTCAGCCTCCTGAGTAGCTAGGACTACAGGCTCCCGCCACCACGCCCAGCTAATTTTTTATATTTTTAGTAGAGACGGGGTTTCACTGTGTCAGCCAGGATGGTCTCGATCTCCTGACCTTGTGATCCACCTGCCTCGGCCTCCCCCAAGGTGCTGGGATTACAGGCGTGAGCCACCGTACCTGGCCTTCTTTTTTTTTTTTTTTTTTGAGACGGAGTCTCACTCTGTCACCCAGGCTAGAGTGCAGTGGTGTGATGTCAGCTCACTGCAACCTCTGCCTCCCAGGTTCAAGAGATTCTCCAGCCTCAGCCTCCTGAGTAGCTGGGACTACAGGCGTGTGCCACCGCATCCAGCTAATTGTTTTTTGTATTTTTAGTAGAGACCGGTTTTCACCATGTTGGCCAGGCTGGTCTCGAACTCCTAACCTCAGGTGATCCGCCCGCCTTGGCTTCCCAAAGTGCTGGGCTTACAGGCATGAGCCACCATGCCCGGTCCAAAAACTTTATTAACAACATAACATTGATGTCTTTTTCTTAATGGCTTTATATTAGTGGTATAGATAGACCATAATTTATTCAACAAGTTTAGTTTATTTTAGCTGTTTCCCGATGAGCCAGGGATCATATCTTAGTGATAAACTCATAGATGTAACTGCTGGGCTCAAAGGATTTTCTTATTAAAGTTGATGCATATTGGTAAATAGCATCGCAAAAATACTGTGCTAACTTCTGTCACCACTAGCAGCATGAGTGTTAGTTTTACCACAGCCTCACCAGCACTGGATGTTCGTCTTAAAAAAAATAAACTTCCTTGTTTTTAACTGGATTTCCAACTTGAATTTTTAAGTTTTGCGGTATCAATGTATGTAATGTTTTCCCCTCCTCAAATACATTATTCTTTAATTAGCTCCGTTCTAAATTTCTTTAACAAGTATTGCTTTTTCCAATTTTATATATGAGGAAACAGGCCTAGAGATCAGGAGAACCTGAATTTGTACAAACAGTTCAGATCTTCCAACATAAACTTCTGTGTTGTTTTCTGCACCTTTTTTTTTTTTTTTGAGATGGAGTCTCGCTGTTTCACCAGGCTGGAGTGCAGTGGCATGATCTCGGCTCACTGCAACCTCCGCCTCCTGGGTTCAAGCGATTCTCATGCCTCAGCCTTCCGAGTAGCTGGGATTATAGGCAGGTACCACCACACCCAGCTAATTTTTGTATTTTTAGTAAAGACGGGGTTTCACCATGTTGGCCAGGATGGGCTCGATTTCCTGATCTTGTGATCCACCCGCTTCGGCCTCCCAAAGTGCTGGGATTACAGGCGTGAGCCACTGAGCCCAGCCTTTTTTTTTTTTTGAGACAGAGTCTTGCTCTTTTACCCAAGCTGGAGTCGAGTGGTTCAGTCTCGGCTCACTGTAACCTCTGCCTCCTGAGTTCAAGCGATTCTTCTGCTTCAGCCTCTGGAGTAGCTGGGATTACAGGCATTCCACCGTGCCTGGCAATTTTTTTTTTTTTTGTATTTTTAGTAGAGATGGGGTTTCGCCATATTGGCCAGGCTGGTCTCCAACTCCTGACCTCAGGTGGTCCACCCACCTCCACCTCCCAAAGTGTTGGGATTATAGGCTTGAGCCACCACATCCAGCTTGTGCCATTTTCTTTTTAAATTATAGGCATACTGAATTATTAATATGATCATACATATGCTTATGACACAAATTATTATAGAGTATTTGTTACTGAGTTTAAGATGAACCTAAGCCTTCTACTTAAGCAAATGATTTTCCTTTATGAATAAGCAGTGTAGAATTTCACTTTGGGCTATTGAGCTGTTATACAGCACCAAGAAGTCTGAAACTGGATTTTATTTTACATTTGATCAGGATATGGGCACTGTGGTCCTGGGAAAGCTGGAATCAGGATCTATTTGTAAAGGCCAGCAGCTTGTGATGATGCCAAACAAGGTAAGAATCGGTTATGCTGTTTCCTATCTATTTATTGATTTTTTTTCTTTTTCTTTAAGAGATAGGGTCTTCTTCTGTCACCGAGGCAGGAGTACAGTGGCGCATTCATAGCTTATTGCAGCCTCAAACTTTCAAGCAATCCTGCCACCTGAGCCTCCCAAGTAGCTGGGACTATAGGCTTGTGCCACTCTGCCTGGCTAATTTTTTTTTTTTTTAAATAAAAATTGAGATGGGGTCTCACTATGTTGACCAGACTAGTCTCTAACTCCTGGCCTCAAACAATCCTCCCATCTTGGCCTCCCAAAGTGCTAGGATTACGGGCGTGAGCCATCATGCCTGGCCTCCTTTGTGTCATTTTTGACTGTTCAGTTGCTGAGATTTGCAGATAACCTGAGGCAGGGCTTCTCTAACAGCTCCAAAGATGTTGCTTATGCAGGACCACAGACTTGAGTCATCAGTACCTTCAGATGGAGATTTTGCTAGATTTCAGTGAGAATTTATTTACCATGCTAACTCCAGGCAGAGTAAATTAGAAAAAGAATCCATTATCAAATGTAATATTTAGACATAATTGGCACCTTACAAATTGTATTATCTGGTTTCTTGATGCCTTGTGCATTGGAGATGAGAATATATAGTATCTTCTAAAATGTTTACATTTTAAAGCCTACTTTTTCCTATTATCTTTGCAACTTGGAGGCTAACATATGAGTGAAAATAATTCTCAGGTTGAGTTCTTAGTTAGTTGTTGCTGCTGTTGTTGTTTTGAGATGGAGTCTCACCCTGTCGCCAGGCTGGAGTGCAGTGGCACATTCTTGGCTCACTGCAACCTCCGCCTCCCGGGTAGCTGGGATTACAGGCATGCATCACCATATCTGGCTAATTTTTGTGGTTTTAGTAGAGACAGGGTTTCACCTTGTTGGCCAGGCTGGTCTCGAACTCCTAACCTCGTGATTTGCCCGCCTGGGCCTCCCAAAGTGCTGGGATTACAGGCTTGAGCCACCACACCCAGCCCTTACTTACTCAGTTTTGTCTGTAGAGTTGTCCCAAAAATTATGGAGATGAGCCAGGCATGGTGGCTAACACCTAGCACTTTCGAAGTTTGAGGTGGACCGATTGCTTGAGCCCAGGAGTTGGAGACCACACTGGGCAACATAGGGAGACCCTGTCTCTGTGAAAAATAAAATTAGCCACTTGTGGTGATACGTGCCTGTGGTCGTAGCTATTTGGGAGGTTGAGGCAGGAGGATTGCTTGAGCCCAGGAAGTCAAGGTTGCTATGATTTATGAGCTCTGATCACACCACTGCACTCCAGGCTGGGCAACAGAACGAGACCTTTACTAAAAAAAAAAAAAAAAAAGCTATGGAAGTGTAAGGCAGCTTGGTGGTTGCAAGGGGCTGAAGGAGGGAAAGTAAGGAGTGACTGCTTAACGGGTGTAGGATTTCCTTTTTGGGACAATGAAGTTTTAGAATTAGATAGTGGTATTGATTGTACAACATGGTGAATACACTAGATGGCACTGAATTGCAAACTAAAATGGTTTAAAAGTTGAATGTTATTACTTATATTTTACCAGAATAGAAAAAAGTATGATTCTCTAAACATAAGTGAAGTTAGTGCCCAGACATATTTGCAAGTGAGGGGCCTTAGTAACTAGTATAGAGAAAGTAGCTGTTCTCTGTGGAAGCTATCACTTGATACTAATCACTAGGCAGGTATAGAATGTCCTAGAGTTGAGCAAGCCTCAAAAACTCACTTCAGTTTAGTCCTCCTGAATCTCAGTGGAACAGAGCTAGAATAGTTTAAAAGACATAGAGGCAGCTGGTGGGTGGGCCATGCCTGTAATCCCAGCACTTTGGGAGGCCAAGGTGGGTGGATCACGAGGTCAGGAGTTCGAGACCAGCTTGGCCAACATAGTGAAACCCCGTCTCTACTAAAAATACAAAAAATTAGCCAAGTGTGTCAGCGGGTGCCTGTAATCCTAGCTACCCAGGAGGCTGAGACAGGAGAATCGCTTGAACCCGGGAGGCGGAGGTTGCAGTGAGCTGAGATCACGCCACTGCACACCAGCACAGGCGACAGTGCGAGACTCCGTCTCAAATATCAAATAAAAAAGAGGCCAGACTTTTACAATAAAAAATTCATGGGGTTGGCAACCTACGGAATGAGAGAAAACATTTGCCAATCATGTATCTAAATATGGGGTTAATATCTAGAATATATGAAGAACTCCTACAAGTCAACAGAAAACCTGAACAACCCAATTCAAAAATGGGCAAAGGACTGCAATAGACATTTTTCCAGAGAAGATGTACAAACAGCCAAAAAGTACATGAAGAAATGCCTAGCACTGCTAACTATTAGGGAAATAAAAATCAAATCCACAGGGCTGGACATGGTGGCTTATGCCTATAATCCCTGCACTTTCGGAAAAGCTGAGGCAGGAGGATCACTTGAGTTTTGAGACCAGGCTGGGTCTCTCACTATGTGTGAGATCCCATCTCAATTAAAAACTTTTTTTTGGAAAGCAGAGTAACACGTGTTGGCAAGGATGTGGAGAATTTGGAACCCTTGTGCACTGTTGGTCATGTAAAATTGTGCCAAGTGCCGTGAAAAAATATAGCAGTTCCTCAAAAAATTAAACATAGATTTCCCACATAATCCAGCAATACTCTTTCTGAGTATATACCCAAAAGAGTCTCAGATATCTGTATAAACATGTTCATACATGTATTATTCACAGTAGCCAGAAGGTGGAAGCAACCCTGGTGTCCATAAAGGATGATGGATAAAGAAAGCGTGTTACATACACGTAATAGAATATTGCACAGCCTTAAAAAGGAAGTTCTGACACAGGCCACAACATGAATGAACCTTGAGGACATTATGCTATGTGAAATAAAACAGTCACAAAAAGACAAATACCGTATGATTCTACTTAAATGAGGTACCTGGAATAGTCACATTTGTCACCTGAAAGTAGGATGGTGGTTGCCAGGGTTCGGGTGAACGGGGAGTTTCAGTTTTGCAAGATAACAAGATTTCAGAGTTCTGAATATTGGTTGTACAATATTTTAAATGTATTTAATTTAGGTGTACTATTGAAATGTACACCTAAAATGGTTATGATGGTAAATTTTGTTACATGTATTTTACCACAGTAAGTAATTAATGGGTTAAATTAAAAATTGGTTATTTTTTACTTTGATATTTTATGAAACTGTTCTGAGATACAGATTGTTTTTTGTTTTTTGTTTTGTTTTTTTTTTTTTTTTTGAGACGGAGTCTCGCTCTGTAGCCCAGGCTGGAGTGCAGTGGTGTGATCTCGGCTCACTGCGACCTCCACCTCCCAGGTCCCGGTTCAAGCAATGCTCCTGCCTCAGCCTCCCAAGTAGCTGGGATTACAGGAACGTGCCACCATGCCCAGCTCATTTTTGTATTTTTAATGGAGACAGGATTTCACCGTGTTGGCCAGGCTGGTCTTGAACTTCTGACCTCGTGATCCACCTGCCTTGGCCTCCCAAAGTGCTGGGGTTACAGGCGTGAGCCACTGCGCCCAGCCGATACAGATTGTTTTTTAGGTGAGTGACTTCTAAACTCTTGTTTCTTTCTTTTTTTTTTGAGACGGAGTCTCCTTCTGTGGCCCAGGCTGGAGTACAGTGGCGCCATCTCAGCTCACTGCAACCTCCACCTCCAGGGTTCAAGCAGTTCTCTGCCTCAGCCTCCCGAGTAGCTGGGATTACAGGTGCCTGCCACCACGCCTGGCTAATTTTTGTATTTTTAGTCGAGACAGGGTTTCACCATCTTGGCTAGGCTGGCCTTGAACTCCTGACCTTGTGATCCACCCACCTTGGCCTCCCAAAGTGCTGGGATTACAGGTGTGAGCCACTGTGCCCGGCCTTTTTTTTATTATTATTATTATTATTTTTTATTTTTTGGAGATGGAGTTTCGCTCTTATTGCCCAGGCTGGAGTATAGTGGCACGATCTCGGCTCACTGCATCCTCTGCCTCCTGGGTTCAAGCGATTCTCCTGCCCAAGCCTCCTGAGTAGCTGGGATTACAGGTGCCTGCCACCACGCCAAGCTAATTGTTTTTTTTCTTTTGTATTTTTAGTAGAGACAGGGTTTCACCATGTTGGCCAGGCTGGTCTCAAACTCCTGATCTCAGGTGATCACCCGCCTCGGCCTCCCAAAATGCTGAGGCGTGAGCCACTGCACCTGGCCTGCATAGCATTATTGATGTAGTAAATGTCACTGATGGTAAATTTCCCGTGTATCTCCTCTCAGGTCACTTGTTCTTTTGCTTCACCTTGCTGCCACAGCCAGCACTGGCAGTACTGAGGAGCAATACTGGCATCAGAACTGGAGGCTCCATAACTATTTTATTTTTACATTAAAAACTTTTTTTTTTTTTTTTTTTAAAGACAGGGTCTCGCTGTGTCACTCAGGCTACAGTGCGGTAGTGTGATCATAGCTCACTGCAGCCTTAAAACACCTGGGCTCAAGCAGTCCTCATGCCTCAGCCTTCCAAGTAGCGGGGCTAAAGGCATGTGGACTACCCAGCTCCGTGGACTATTTTGTTAGAAACAAAGAGTTTAGGCCGGGCACAGTGGCTCACGCCTGTAATCTGAGCACTTTGGGAGGCCAAGGTGGGTGGATCACCTGAGGTCAGGAGTTTGAGACCAGCCTGGCCAACATGGTGAAACCTCGTCTCTACTAAAAATACAAAAAATTAGCCAGGCATGGTGGTGGGTGCCTGTAATCCCAGCTACTTGGGAGGCTGAGGCAGGAGAATGGCTTGAACCCAGGAGGCAGAGGTTGCAGTGAGCCAAGATCGCACCACTGCACTCCAGCCTGGGCAACAAGAGCAAAACTCTGTCTCAAAATAAAAAAATAACAATGCTATGCAGCCATCATCACTATCTAATTCCAGACCATTTCATTACACCAAAAGGAAATGATGTATTCATTAAATAGTTGATAGACTTTTAAAGCTTAGTTCAATAATTTTTAAGTAGTGCATAATTCCGATATTTGGAGATTGATAGGTAATAGAAGACAGGTTTATTAAATCCTTCATAGAATTCCATAATAATAAAAATTATATCCATAAAACTGAAATCCAAATATTAAATTGTGTTTTCGATTTTGAAAAGGTAAAAAAAGGCAAATGCTAGTGTATACAGTGTTCTAGTTGGAAATGATTAGAATGTGATATTTAAAAGGTGACACGTTAATACTTTAATTGGCAGTTATACTTCTAGGATATGATTTTTGCTGATCATATCTAGGCTAAGATTTTATGTCATACAAACATAAGTGTTTACAGTCAAATCTTGCAACTCTTTATTGAGCAGACAGACATTCAGATCATTTTATGTTGCGTAATGCAGTGAATGTGTCAGAAAACCTCCAGTCTTGTTTTCTTTTAAAGCACAACGTGGAAGTTCTTGGAATACTTTCCGATGATGTAGAGACTGATACCGTAGCCCCAGGTGAAAACCTCAAAATCAGACTGAAAGGAATTGAAGAAGAGGAGATTCTTCCAGGGTTTATACTTTGTGATCCTAATAATCTTTGTCATTCTGGACGCACATTTGATGCCCAGGTAAACAAATTATTGTTGTTGTCATAGTGGGTTTTAATGTCTAAATGAAATTAGAATATCAGTGCCTTTTGTCCTGATTATTTGTGACATGCCAGTTAACCCATCTTAGTGTAGAGAAGGGGAATGGAAATATTATAAGCCACTTATATATCATAACCACAATAGGCACCTCATACAAGGTCTTCAAGCTGGTACAAGTGCTTACTGGATAAGGAGTATTCTTTGTAAGTTCCTTTTTATGTTTGATCTCCTGATGATACATTCTACAGTATCTAATATTCACTTTGACCAGAGCACAGTTACTGTGGAAGTCATGGTTTATGTGCTCATTGACAGCACATAGCTTTCCAGACAAGAAATCACACAGGTTTCCCTGTTATTAACAATCTAACCTCCCTGGGAGAATGACAGAGTAAGTGACTGGTGTGAATAACAGAATTTTTTAAAGTTCTTTTCTAAGGTATGACAACTAATCAAGTTAGATTTTGATGCCAGATGTAAGGTTGTTTACTTTACTGGACCTTGGATATTGAGAAATGGATAAAGCTGGATAAGTTTACATCTAGGTAGCTTCTGAGCGGTAAAAATTAGCTTAGTTCCTTGGGGAATATAAGGAAAGTCTTCCCAGATAAGAAAGTTGGCCTGCTGTCTTTTGTTTTGTTTGGAGATGGGGTCTTGCTCTGTCACCCAGGCTGGAGTGCAGTGGCGCGATCTTGGCTCACTGCAACCTCCACCTCCGGGATTCAAGCGATTGTCCTGCCTCAGCCTCCTGAGTAGCTGGGATTTAGGCGCCCACCACCACGCCTGGCTGATTGTTTTGTATTTTTAGTAGAGACAGGGTTTCACCATGTTGTCCAGGCTGGTCCTGAACTCCTGGCCTCAGGTGATCCCCCCGGCCCCCCTGCCGCCTCGGCCTCCCAAAGTGCTGAGATTACAGGCGTGAACCACTGCGCCCAGCCAGCCTGCCGTATTTTGAAAGTTGACCAGGGACTTGCCAAGAAGATAAATACAGGATAAGATACTGAAATTCATGCTTTGAGTTCAAGCAGCCTGACCCATCCTGTGAACAAAATTAGTAAGACAAACCTATCACCTCTAACACAAAAATCACTTAAGTTGATGTCCTAGTGAGATGGTAACACTAATTCTTGGGATTTATATGGCGCTTGAGAACATTGAATTCTTATTTACCCTAAGGCTAAAGATAAGAATGTGTGTGTTTGTTTGACAGATAGTGATTATAGAGCACAAATCCATCATCTGCCCAGGCTATAATGCGGTGCTGCATATTCATACCTGTATTGAGGAGGTGGAAATAACAGTGAGTTTAAGATAATTGGTTTATTTCTGTTTTAATACTGTTTTATCTTCATAATTTCTAATCAGCAACAGTGATGCACTTTTATTTCTACACCTGTTCTTAAAGATTATTTTATTTGGCATTATTCTGATTTTCTCATACTCTTTTCTTGGTTAGGCCTTAATCTGCTTGGTAGACAAAAAATCAGGAGAAAAAAGTAAGACCCGACCCCGTTTTGTCAAACAAGATCAAGTATGCATTGCTCGCTTAAGGACAGCAGGAACCATCTGCCTTGAGACCTTTAAAGACTTCCCTCAGATGGGTCGTTTCACCTTAAGAGATGAGGGTAAGAGCTTTTAAACTGACGTCTAGTAGTATATCCAGGATACCTAGCTTTGGTCATCTTCATCATCTCAGTACAGTACACATTGCAACAGGTTCACAGAAAACTTCGATTCACATTCTTATTCGTATGAGTGTTTTATGAGTTGAATGTATTGAACAGAATTGACCACGTGCTTTAGTAGTAATGCCAAATCTAGTAATGCTCTACGTGAAGAATCTTAATTTTGATGTTTTGTGAGTAGTGGATTTGGAGGGCTATTTTGTTTACTAAGATATTTCTATGATGTAATCCTTTGTAATATGTCTAGCGATTAAAAGGAACATAGAGATTGATTTTTTTTTTTACACCTAATTTTTCAGAGGTCTAATCTTTGTGACCTTTTGTGTGCATCCATTTCTGCCTACCTCTGGGTGACGCAGAACAACTAACATTCCCATCTTGGGGTCATGAAGTTCTTTGGCATAAAAACAAAATGATTGTTATGAAACGTTTCCTTATGAGCTTTTAATATTCCTGTCCTTTTCCTTTCCCTTTCCCTTTCCCTTTCCTCTTCCCTTTCCTTTCCTTTTTTTGAGATGGAGTCTCGATCTGTCACCCAGGCTGGAGTGCAGTGGCACCATCTTGGCTCACTGCAAGCTCCACCTCCCAGGTTCACGCCATTCTCCTGCCTCAGCCTCCCGAGTAGCTGGGACTATAGGTGCTGCCACCATGCCTGGCTAATTTTTTGTATTTTTGTAGAGACGGGGTTTCACCACGTTAGCCAGGATGGTCTTGATCTCCTGACCTCGTGATCCGCCCGCCTTGGCCTCCCAAAGTGCTGGGATTACAGGCGTGAGCCACCGTGCCCGGCCCAGCTGTTAATATTTCTAACTTAGATAACCATTTTAAGACTATAGAAGACTTTACATAAAACTTTATAGTTCCATTGAAATACAGAATAGTCATTTCACATGTTCATTCCAATTCCATTTAGCAAAAACTACTTTGTATCTACAAAGTGTCAGGAACTGTGCTAAGCCCTGGTGATGAATACAGTTCCTGAACTTTACATTGGATGAAATTGTATAAAGACAGTGTTTATTTTACTTTAAAGGCCCAGAACTCTTCTGGTTGATAGTAAAACTGGTTATTGGGTTTATCTTATTAATATAACAAAATGATAGTTTTAGTTTACCACTCAGAACCTGATAAAATCAGGAAGACAGAAGAAAAGCAATTAATGTAGCAGGAATTCTTAACCCTAGAATTATTTTTTCCTAAAAGCTAACTTGGCTTTAAAAAAAAAAAAAAAAAAAAAAAAAAAAAAGCTAACTTGGCTTTTAGGTTTTCCACAAGACCCAATGGGTTTTGTATCCTTTCAGTCCACAGGATTACTACCAGAAGGACGTGTTCACTGCACTGTAGTCAGTGGTGATTGCTGTGCCTTTTCACAGTTACTTAAGGATAGGTTTTGGGATTTTTTTTTTTAGCAGCTTTATTGAGATACAATTTCCATAATATGAAATTGACCTGTTTTAAGTATGTAATTCAATGAATTTTAGTATGTTTACAGAATTGTACAACCATCACCATATACTAATATTAGAACATTTAGAACACCTAAAAAGAAACCTTACACCTGTTCATAATCACCCCTTATTCCCACCTCCACCCCAGGCAACCATTTTTCAATTTGTCTTTTATAGACACTCCATAAATAGAATTATAAATTATGTGGTCCTTTGTCTAGTTTATTTTACTTAGTGTGATTTTGAGGTTCAACCATGTAACATGTTATTTATTCCTTTGTATCACTGAATAGTACTCCACTGGGTGGATATTCCACAAATACGGATATTCCCTTTTCTTATTTTTAATCCAAAGAGGTTTTTTGGCCCAGTGTGGTGGCTCACCCCTGTAATCCCAGCACTTTGGGAGGCCGAGGCAGGCGGATCACCTGAGGCCAAGAGTTCAAGACCAGCCTGGCCAACATGGTGAAACCCTGCCTCTACTAAAAATATAAAAATTAGAATGGGCATGGTGGCAAGCACCTATACTCCCAGCTACTCAGGAGGCTGAGGCAGGAGAATCACTTGAACCCAGAAGGAGGAGGTTGCAGTCAGCTGAAGTCGCACCACTGCACTCCAGCCTGGGTGACAGAGTAAGACTCTGTCTTTATGCAGTGGCTCATGCCTGTAATCCCAGCACTTTGGGAGGCTGAGGCGGGTGGATCACCTGAGGTCAGGAGTTCAAGACCAGCCTGGCCAACATGGTGAAATCCCGTCTCAACTAAAAATACAAAAATTAGCTGGGCGTGGTGGCAGGCATCTGTATCTCAGCTACTGGGGAGGATGAGGCAGGAGAATTGTTTGGGGGGTACGGGGGGAGATAGGTTTTTGATACAGGGAACCATCTCTTTACCAGCCCCCCCAAATAAGACCCTCTTATTAAGACTACCTAAATAGAAGTATCATGGGTTTGGCAGTAAAGCTAGTTAATTAGTAACTTACATTGTAAAAAATATTTTTGTGATTTAAAATAATAAGTTTTAATATCTTATATAGACTTGCTGTTAACTACTGAAAGATTTTTTTAAAATTTCATTTCTAGGTAAGACCATTGCAATTGGAAAAGTTCTGAAACTGGTTCCAGAGAAAGACTAAGCATTTTCTTGATGACCCTGCACAATACTGTGAGGAAAATTGACTGCAGAAGCCTACTTCACACCGCCTTCTCTTATTTTCTGCCCATTGATAAACCTCTCCCCATATTTTGCAAAGAGGAAATTCACAGCAAAAGTCCACATTATGTCAGCTTTCTCATATTGAGAGCTCTGCTATGCCACTGTTGAATTTTTCCCAAGATTCCTGTCCCTAGCCCTCACTTCAAACTCTGCTTCCTTGGACAGATTTGGCAATAGCTTTGTAAGTGATGTGGACATAATTGCCTACAATAATGAAAACCTACAGGAATTTTTTTATTTTTCATTTTCCCCTTAGGCATATTTAGTATTTTTCCCCCAGGCAGATCATTCTGAGTGTGCGAGTGTGTGTGCACATGTTACAAAGGCAACTACCATGTTAATAAAATATTCAATTTGAAATCCTTTTCGGTATTTGAATTGCTTTTGAATAATGTTTTTTATCTGGATGTAACATTGTTGCATTAGCTTTTTAACTTTCCCAAGTAATTGAATACATTTTATTACTTGGACTTTTATAAACTCTTTCCCTACCCACTATAAATGAGACATTCACAGCGTTCAAGTTTGTATTAAAGGAAAGGATTAGTTTGACCCCTTCTTTTGATGGTTAATGCATACATGCAGTTAAATCCCTTTATGCAAATGTGACACTGCTTTACTAGGTCTTTTAGTTATTTATTTATTTTTTTTTTTTTTGCCAATTTATATTGTAACATGATTTCTTGAACACAGTAAGTTGTTTTAAAATAAAAGAACAGCATACTGTAGTTTTTATAAGTAAAGCGTAATGAAATTGTACCCCTAGAGAAAATTCCATTAACTTGTTAAATTAGTGGAATTAACAACAAATAAAGCATGTTTGAGACCTGGCAAAAATTCCTCTGGTAGTATTTATAAATAGAGCTGCATGCCTCTAGTATGAAAACCGTATCAGTTGCAAGTGCCACTTCTACAAGTTACTCAGTTTACTCTTTGTATCAGTAACTTTAAAGGTTGGATGATCCTTGCTGGTTAAAGCTAAATCTCAACCTAGCAACTAAATGAAAATATTTAGAATCATCAGAATCTGAACAGACTAAAATTATCAGCGATAAGCAGAATCAAGCAGGGTATAAGTTTTATCTCAATTATTTGAAATTGACTGAGTTTTCTTAAGTGTAAAGCTGAAATTTGCTAACCATGTTTTTGATGAACCACAGTGCAGCATTGTGTGGGTTTTAGATTGAATGACTCTCTGCTATAATTATCATGACTTTGAAATTTTTCATGAGAATAAATGAGGAATGGAGGCAATTTGTGGGTTTATCCAAAGCCCCCTTGATGTTGAGTGTTGCCATTGATCAAAGATAGCCTCTTTTAGATTGTGATTTCTCTCTAAATAAGATACTTTGTATATTTAATGACAAGTCTCTTCCCTATAATTTTGCTCCTCAGAAAAGAAAAGCCTAGACAGACTGTATTTCCAGTCACAGAACATAAAACTTAATCTAATGGGTGTTTTGTTTTGTTTTGAGACAGAGGCTCACTCTGTCACCTAGGCTGGAGTGCAGTGGCTCGATCTCAGCTCACTGCAGCCTCCACCTCCCGGATTCAAGCAATTTCCTGCCTCAGCCTCTTGAGTAGCTGGGATTACAGGAGCCCTCCACGAGGCCCAGTTAATTTTTGTATCTTTAGTGGAGACGAGGTTTCCCCCTATTGGTCAGGCTGGTCTCAAACTTCTGACCTCAAGTGATCCACTCGCCTCAGCCTCTCAAAAGTGCTGGGATTACAGGCATGAGGCGCCGCACTTGGCCTAGTGTTTTCTTAACTGTGAAATTCCCATTCATTTCTTGAATGAGGCTACATCTTATGGACAGAGCAAAGTTATTGTCCTACAGATTCTTAAAACTATAATTATGGCTATTGCATGAAATTTAAATAGATTTTATTATGTCTGCAAATCTCTGGGCTTTTATTTTTCTGGAAAATATAGGAGCTTTAATCAAAACATAATAGTTCTTTTTGTAATTCCATGTTAATAAAAACAAATACTAGCAATTGCTTGAATTTTAATGAATATTTAAAAGTTCAAGAGCCACGGAAATCACTTCCAGAGATAAGAGTTCCCTTTCTAAATAGAACACATTTTTAAAAAATAAGTTATGTTTGCTACTAAAACATTTACACTGTTAGACTATTATGTGCATGTTGCCAAGACTCTTAAGTAACTTGGATATCAACTGTGAAGGGCCTACCTCTAAAAAGTAACAGGTCATACAAATACAAATGTAACTGTAAAAATTCCACTGGATTCTTGCATATTTGCAAGATTAGATTATTCAAAAGAAATTTCAGTGCTAAAATTAACCAGCAACATAAGTTCTATGGGCTTTGAAAATTGTTCTCATCTTTTTAAAGTTGATGCATTTTCAATCCTGCTTACACAGGCTGTTCATTTGGATAAGTAAATAAAATGTCTAAGGTGAACTTGGCATTATGTGGAGATGTTGGACCGTTATAGAGCAATACAAATTCCTATGCTGTCATTCTGTTTTCTGCAAATGCAAACGTGCTTATATGGTCAACAGTGCAAAAATAGGGTAGTTGGCTGCATATTTAGGGTATTACCTAAGCATTTGTTCTCTAACGTTGCTCTACTAGAATGATTTTTTTCTTGCATCTTTTCACATTAATGATGTTCTTTATATAACTTTCATGCGATTATTTAGTTTTTTAAATTAATAAAGTGAATTTAAGAAATATTGAAATAAACATCTAAGTAATTGCCATTTTAAACCCTTGTTTCTTACTGTGGGAGAGGGGGAAATACAGCACTCATTTCTTGTTTTTAATTTGCAGAAGTAAGTGAAAATCTATGTAAAATCAAACCAAAAGAGTTGGACTGAGTGTGTATTGTCTTGAGATTAAGTGACAAATAGTAAAGTGTTACTGAGTAATTAAGCCCATGTATTTTTTTTTTGTGAGTTGAAAATCTTTGAAATATGTGATAACCGAATGTCAAAAGTTCCTAAACTCTAACAGTGCAGGTTGTTCACTGTAACGAGGTAACTCATATTTGCTGGTTACATAAACTACAAGTACTGCTCTCACAATATGGGACTTTGAACTGTGATGTAGTTCAACAGTTGCCGGCATCCTCTCAGCTGATACGCTGCGAATATTTTGGGTTAGACTTGCAGCCAGATGCAGTTTTGCAACCCAAGAAAAAAGTTGAACCTATGATCAAAAACTGCTCCCAAGATGAACCTGGAAAAAAATCAGCTAAGCTCCCTTGGCGATCTGCAGGAACACTAGTAATGACTGGAATTACTCCGTGATCTTTGATGACTATTACACATAACAGCACTCTAGCACCTTTTCTTACTGGCATGGACTTCCTCATGGACTGCTACTTCATGGATGATAGCTTCATTGCTTTGGGTAGGGATTTAAGGTAGTCAAGGGGAAAATACGCAGTTTTATTACAGGTCTTAACATCAGGCAACTTTCAACTTTAAAACCCTTTGTGAAAAATGTGGTTATAGCACTATAGCTCTGATTTTAGGATGGTTAAATGTTATATTCATTGTTGGCTTACCTTATCAAACTGTGCCATTAATCCTTTCACAGACATAGGTAAGGAAGAGAACAACCAGTGGATTCAGGGGACAATTATCTATCTCCAAATAATAGGCTTTTATTTCTTGCAGCTAACTTTTTCAGTGATTCTAGCAGATGCCATCTAGTACATCCTTGATCTTGTTTCTTTCGTGAGAGATCTCGCCATGGCAGCATCTTGTTAAGTAAGTGTAATTGCACATGCACAAAAGACTTAACTAGCTTTACATTTAGCAGTCAGTTGGTTAGATTAGGTTTCATAGTAAATGAATAGGAATAGAAAGAATAGGAAGTGTTTTTATTTTCCAGTAGTAATTCCGTGGATTCCATTTGACCCAGTTTACTATCAGTTCAGTTCAGGTAGATTTGGTTCAACTTTTGGTGGTTTTTGGCTCTAGGATATTCTTGACTTTAATATCCTAGAACTTACTGAGTCTTCCCTTCAATAAATACACTTCTCACATACCTCTAATCCTATGCTTCCTTGAAACAATAATGCTAGCTGAGTTGTTTACTAAGGATTATTATAAGGGCCTGAAGGTGTGGGAGTGGAGATTAATTAAAACCTTTATGTTCTCCAATATAAGGGAAAAGCAGGTTGGTACTACTTCTGATTAGGCAGAAAACACCAGGATTCCTTAAGTGATCCTTGAAATGGTTATTGTTTTCTGCCTTGTCACATTTGCCACTGTGCCCTTTAAAACGATGTGGAAACCTCAGGTTTGTGGACAGCACAGGTGGAATGACATCTTGTGCTTCCTGAGGCTCCCCTCTACCAGGCACATTAGCTTAGTGCTTCAGATGTCAGCCCAAGTCCTTGTTACCTCCTTTTCCTGCTGCCCAGGGAAGAGTGTGTGTGCTGGAGCTGGAGCGCTTGCACTCTTCAGGTGACTATTCTCACCTCCATTTCCTCCACATGCATTAGGTGAAACTGAGGTCTAAGCCTCCTGCAAGGTCTACATTTTAAGGACTCACACATCAGGCTCTCAGAAATGTACACAGGTATTAGTTCTGTTTGTTCTAAAGGAAATGTGGGTATCTCTCAGGCCAGGACTTAGTGACTAGTTTTCGCTAGACAGCAGGTTAATACCTAGATCTCATTTAAAAAAAAAAAAAAAAAACAGGATTAAAGGGAACTGATCAGGTTTGTTGAGTTTTTTAGCCTAATTCCAAAGCATGGAAGAGTGCTCTAGGTAGGAAAGAAAGCTTTTTCTTACGATTTGTAGCTACCTACTGTGCCTGACTTGGTGCCTGTGTGAGGATTAAGCCCTTAGTCTGCTCTTGCAATTATTCAAATGACAAATTAAATTTGCTTTTGTAATAACAATAAAAGTTGTCATCTTCCCTTTTGAAGGATTTGTCGTTTGTAATTACCTGTGTTGTAACAAGCAAAAACCATGCCCTTTTTTGTACAATCCTTTTATTTTTGTATCAGGTACTGGAACCATCTACCAAAAGGTTTGTTGGATGGATCTAATAAGCTCTGTCACATAAGGGATTCACAAACGTCATCTGCTTGCATATGGCATGCAAGTCTTTTGTATAATGTATACGACAACCTTAGGAAACAAAAATAAGAACCCTATAGGAAGTTAGGGATGCTGAATAATAAATAACTAGATCACAGTTATGTGGTTTTATGTGAACAGTAGAGTTGGGGGAAACGTCAATTATTATTAGAACTATGAACCTCTACATTCAGGATTTTTAATAAAGATCAAGAGACCAAATAGTGCTTGCCCTTTTCATTCAATGTGCAAGGGCAAGAAGAAGTTAATGATAAAGGTAACATACACAGTGGCTACTTGAATGACAGCAGTTCATTCCTGTGTACTAAGTTCCTGTTTGAACTGTCTTTAGGTGAATCGCTTTGAGGTTTTGGCAGTCAGCCTCTAGGTATTTGGCATTAAACCAATCATAGCTTAAAACTTGGGACCAAGCTTGCTATTAAAGTAGGGGTTCAGGCCAGGCACGGTGACTCATGCCTGTAATCCCAGCACTTTGGGAGGCTGAGGCGGGCAGATCACTTGAGGTCAGGAGTTCCAGACCAGCCTGGCCAACGTGGTGAAACCCAGTCTCTGCTAAAAAACACAAAAATTAGCTGGGCGTGGAGGCGTGTGCCTGTAATGCCAGCACTTTTTGGGAGGCCGAGGTGGGTGGATCACGGTGTCAGGAGATCGAGACCATCCTGGCTAACACGGTGAAACCCCGTCTCTACTAAAAATACAAAAAATTAGCCGGGCGTGGCCTGTAGTCCCAGCTACTTGGGAGGCTGAGGCAGGACAATGGCGTGAACCTGGGAGGCGGAGCCTGCAGTGAGCCGAGATTGCGCCACAGCACTCCAGCCTGGGCGACAGAGTGAGACTCCGTCTCAAAAAAAAAAAAAAAAAAAAAAGAGATCGAGACCATCCTGGCCAATATAGTGAAACCCCATCTCTACTAAAAATACAAAAATTAGCTGAGTGTGGTGGCGTGCGCCTGTAATCCCAGCTACTTGGGAGGCTGAGGCAGGAGAATCACTTGAACCCGGGAGGCAGAGGTTGCAGTGAGCTGAGATCGTGCCACTGCACTCCAGCCTGTTAACAGTCTTTAAAAAAAAAAAATGAAATTTGCTAGATGCAGTGGCACAAACCTGTAGTCCCAGCTACTCCTGAGTTGGCAAGATCACCTGAGCCTAGGAGTTGGAGGCTGCAGTGGGTTATGGTTACACGTGTGAATTGCCACTGCACTCTAGCCTGGGCAACATAGTGAGATGCTGTCTTTTTTTTTTTTTTTTTAAGTGAAATTCTTGTTACTGTCAATCTTTCCTTCAAATTGTTTCTGAAGGCTTTGTGCACCCACATTACTTGCAAGAAATATTTTCGTATGTTTTCTGCTAGGAATAAGAGACTGCCTATAACAAGTAAAATTCCTTTAGCTGATGGGTGTACTTTTTGAATTATTTGGAATATGATCCTTCTGTTAAATATTAGGCCAGGCCAGGCACAGTGGCTCACGCCTGTAATCCTGGCACTTTGGGAGGCCAAGGTGGGTGGATCACCTGAGGTCAGGAGTTCAAGACCAGCCTGGCCAACAGGGTGAAACACCGTCTCTACTAAAAATACTAAAATAAGCCAGGCATGGTAGTGCAAGCCTGTAATCCCAGCTACTTGGGAGGCTGAAGCAAGAGAATCGTTTGAACCCGGGAGGTGGAGGTTGCAGTGAGCCAAGATGGCACCACTGCACTCCAGCCTGCGCAATGGCAGTGAGACTCCATCTCAAAAAAAAAAAAAAAAAAAAAAAGGCCAAAAATTTCCTCTATCTGCAATGAGTCACATTTAATGTTTGTTAGCTGCACATTTTCTTAACATCCCATTGCCCACATTTGATCCCTTAACATTTGCCTTCAATGGAAATGATGATCATCAAACAGTAATATTAGTTTACATGTTTAAAGCATTTTCACTAAAAGTTCTGTTCTCTGGTTTGAGCTTAGTCAGGAGTCAAGCTACTGGTAATAACTCAACTGGTAAAAATAATTCAGAGGGCATAATGGAAAAAAAAACCATATTTAACTTGTTTTGTACCTTGTATATTTAGTTTGAAATTTTTAATGAGGATTTCCTCCCACTTAACTGGGCACAGTACTCCCAAAGGACTTTGTATTTGCTTATCAACTACACAAGTTCCACATTTCCAAATACAAGAAAATAATTTGAACGTTTCCACATGGAGATAAATAGGTGATGGATATCCCAATTACCCTGATTTGATTGGTACACATTGTATGAATGTGTCAATTATCACATGTACCCTGAAAATCTGTACCTCTATTATGAATTAATTTTTTAAAACTACAGAAGTTACTTAAAAGCAGTCGGTATCACTATCTTTGTTAATTCCCTGGCAAATACATCAGGTTTTAGGATAAAAAATAAATCTTCAAGATTTAGATTCTTAGGAGTATGATTTGTAAAGAAGTTCCGGAAGACAGATGTTGTATGACAAAGGAGAGGATTTTTTATTAAGGTAAAATTTGCATACAGTAAGAAGTACAGATCTTAAGTTTACAATGAGTTTGTCAAGTGTATACAACTGTGTAAACACCCCATCAACATGCAGAACACATCACCCCAGAAAGCTCTCCTGCTACTTTCCAACCAATCCCCTCTTGCCAAGGCATTCACTGTTTTGCCATCTATTATAACAGTTTTGTCTGTTTTTGAACTCTGCATAAATGGAATCACATAGCTTGAACTCAACTTTGTCATCTTTGGCACATTACGTTTCAGAGATTATGTTGTGTGTATCAGCAGCTCATTTTTTTTTTTTTTTTTTGCTAATACTCCATTTTATGAATATTCTCTAATTCAAATGATCTATCCTTGAAGGGAGATTTGATTTTGCTTTCCAATTAGCATTCTTTGACAGGTTAGTTGCAAATGCAAATACCTTTCTTCTGAATTTCTCTAATGCAAGGAAGTAAAACCAGAGAGAAAAGTCTCACCTCTTCTTCATCTACTTTTATAAAACTTAACAAGGATAAACAGATAATGTAGTGATCCTAATAGGTAGTGAAATAACATGAGCTCCCTTATCTCCCTTTCCAATCTTAAAGAGGGTCTTCCCTGTATTGCCTGTGAGGTACCATTTCTTTCCTTTCCTTTCCAGTCTCGCTCTGTCGCCTAGGCTGGAGTGCAGTGGTGGGATCTTGGCTCACTGCAACCTCCACCTCCCAGGTTCAAACAATTCTCTTGCCTCAGCCTCCCGAGTAGCTGGGATGACAGGCATGTGCCACCATGCCCAGCTAATTTTTGTATTTTTTTTTAGTAGAGACAGGGTTTTGCCATGTTGGCCAGGCTGGTCTCTAACTCCTGACCTCAGGTGATCCACCGGCCTTGGCCTCAAAAGTGCTGTGATTACAGGCATGAGCCACTGCGCCTGGCCTGAGGTGCCATTTCTAAATGATGTGCCAATTCTAAAACTGGATTGTCCCTGTGACTTTCATGTTGCTAGGGCTAACTTGCAGAACTAACCTGACTTGCACCTCTACTAAATAACTGTTTTAAACTTCAGGGCTAAGTCCTTTTCTTTTTCTTTTTTGGTAGATTTATTCAATTCTGTGCATGAATAACTCCTCTAAGTCCTTTTCTTTTTCTTTTTTGGTAGATTTATTCAATTCTGTGCATGAATAACTTCTCTAAGTCCTTTTATAGATCCCTGATTGATGACGTAGCATAATACTTTATAGCATAGTAGCTATTTAAAACTTTCCTGCCAGGCACGGTGGCTCACCCCTGTAATCACAGCACTTTGGGAGGCCGAGGCAGGTGGATCGCCTGAGGTTGGGAGTTCTAGACCAGCCTGGTCAGCAAAGTGAAACTCCGTCTCTACTAAAAATACAAAAATTAGCCAGGCATGGTGGCACTTGCCTGTAATCCCAGCTACTCGGAGGCTGAGGTAGGAGAATTGCTTGACCCCAGGAGGCAGAGGTTGCAGTGAGCTGAGATCGCGCCACTGCACTCCAGCCTGGGCAACAGAGAGAGGCTCCATCTCAAAAAAAAAAAAAAAAAACTTTCCTAGTTTGAACAAAGATGCACTTTGAGTTGTCATAACATTTACCAGTTATATACTGGTACTGGTTAAAAGAACACAGTCCTGCAAGTTGTCAGCTGGTTCGCGTCAATGATAAAAAGAGACTAATGGCATCCCTTTCAGCAAAGGGCAGGAGAAGAGAACTAACCTTGTGCTATTTAACCTATTTTTTTTAAATGTAGAAATCACTTCTAAGAGTGGCCTTAATATTCCATTCCTGGCCGGGCGCGGTGGCTCACGCCTGTAATCCCAGCACTTTGGGAGGCCGAGGCGGGTGGATCACAAGGTGAGGAGATCGAGACCATCCTGGCTAACACGGTGAAACCCCGTCTCTACTAAATATACGAAAAAAAAAAAATTAGCCGAGCATAGTGGCGGGCACCTGTATTCCCAGCTACTTGGGAGGTTGAGGCAGGAGAATGGCGTGAACCCAGCAGGCAGAGCTTGCAGTGAGCCGAGACTGCGCCACTGCGCTCCAGCCTGGGCGACAGAGTGAGACTCCGTCTCAAAAAAAAAAAAAAAAAGCCTGTTTGTTAATCATGTATTAAGTGGGGTTGGTGTACACTATGATACCTAGCAGCAAAATGGTGTACTTGTGATACCCACATAGATTGTATGAGGACAAAGAGTTAAAAATAAACAGCAAACCTAAGTTAATAAAGTCAGGTTTTCTACAGAAAACCTCTTTACATTTCTTTCTCTGGCAATATCATATTTCTCTTGTTTCTCTTCCCCAGCCTTCCACCCCCTCGCCCCCAAATCAGAATCAAATATCAGTTTCTTTACTGATTGGCTATTTCTTCCCTGCTTGAATGCAGTTAAGCTCTTTTGGCCCCTAAGATGAACAATTTCATTTTCCAATCCATTTAATAATGATTGTATTATTTTCAGCAAAGGGAAGAAGAGAACTAACCTTGTGCTATCATGAACATGACAGACACTGTGAAGATAGATTCTCTTAAATCCGAGGGAACCAGCTTCATTTAACAGATGAAGACATTGAGGCTTGGGAGATTAAGCCACCTTGCCCAAGGCTAAACAATTAGTAAATCATGGAGTTGGGATTCAGACTGATCTTTCTGACCCAAAACACCATGTCCTTTGTACCTTCCTTAAAATGTCACATTCTACATTTGGGCAATATTGTTTTACCTTTGATTCAATTATGTTTAGGTTAATATTACTTAGCAGATTTCAGTACCAAGAATATGCTGAGTATTAAATTGCTTTCAGATAATCCAGACATCACCAATTGACTATGTGGCGTTTCTTTTGTTAGTTGGCCATGTGTTACCACTGATTTAATAGTGCTATATAAAAAACGATGTCTAATAGTTTTCTAAGGTTACTAGTTGATTGTAATATTTATTTTGAACTAGAATATGAGTTCCATTATTAAGGGTGAAGTTTCTTAAACTTTATGTTTAGCATTCAGCAACATATTCGAATGTTCTTTACAATTAGTTGATTTACCAAATCCCTAATAAAATTAACTTTATGTACCTCCAAAAAAGATTTTCAAGAAGTTTGAAGAGAGATATCTCAGTACTTTCCAAGAGAAACAACTTAATAGTATTCATGGTATCAGTGAGACCTGGGTACTCGAATGTTGAAATTAATTACATTGGTTTTTGTAGAAATGAGGATTCACTATGTTATCCAGACTAGTCTAGAACTCCTGGCCTCAAGCAATCCTCCTTCCTCAGCCTCCCAAAGTGCTGGGATTACAGGTGTGAGCCACCACGCCTGGCCTATTTATTTATTTTTTAATTTTTTCACCCTGTCTTGTGGTGCTGACAATATGGTCTTTTATTATTATGTATTCTTCTCACCTTCAATATTTAACAGTGTTAACACATCTTCAGATATCTCCACTCCCTCATGGCTTCTGTAACTTGGCACCCTCTTGGTTTGCATTCTTTTTTTTTTTTTTTTTGAGATGGAGTCTCGATCTGTCGCCCAGGCTGGAGTGGGAGTGCAGTGGCGCAATCTCAGCTCACTGCAACCTCTGCCTCCCGTGTTCAAGCCATTCTCCTGCCTCAGCCTCCTGAGTAGCTGGGACTACAGGCGCGTGCCACCATCCCCGGCTAATTTTTTGTATTTTTAGTAGAGACAGGGTTTCGTCGTGTTAGCCAGGATGATCTCAATCTCCTGACCTCGTGATCTGCCCACCTTGGCCTCCCAGAGTGCTGGGATTACAGGCCTGAGCCACTGCGCCCGGCCTTCATTCTTTCTTTCTTTTTTTTTTTGAGACAAAGTCTTGCTCTGTTGCCTAGGCTGGAGTGCAGCGGCGCAATCATGGCTCAATGTAGCGTCAACCCCCTGGGCTCAAGCAATCCTCCCATTTCAGCATCACGAGTATTTGGGACACAGGCATATGCCACCGTACCCATCTAATTTTTCTATTTTTTGTAGAGACAGGATCTCATTATGTTGCCCAGGGCAGTCTTGAACTCCTGAGCTCAAGTAATCCGGCTGCATCAGCCTCCTAAATTGGTTTTCTTTTACATCTTCAACTATTTCTCTGTTTCCTCCTTGTTTGTTATTGAAGGTTTCTTTACAACTCTATTATTCGTCTAGACTTTTTTTTTGCAATCTCACCTATTAACAAAGCTTTAATCATCACCTCCATGAAAATGACTTCTAATTTCCTTCTTTTTAGTTCAGGAATATTCTCTTCCACATTCCAGATCCATTTAGATGTACCATTGGAACTTCAAACTCAAAATACAGTCATGGGTTGCTTAATGAGGATACATCCTTAGACATGCGTCTTTGGATGACTTTATAGTTGTGGGAATATCGGTGTACTCACACAAACCTAAATGGTATGGCTTGCTACACACCTATGCTATGTGATACAGCCTATTGCTCCTGGGCTACAAACCTGTACAGCATGTTACTGTACTAAATACTGTAGGCAACTGTATCTAAAATATACAGCAAAAATACAGTATAAAACATTAAAAATGGCACACCTGTATAGGGCACTTATCATGAATGGCGCTTGCAGGACTGGAAGTTGCTCTGGGTGAATAAGTGAGTGAATGCGAAGGCCTAGGACATTACTGTACACCACTATAGACTTACAAACACTGTACACTTACGTACACTAGATTTATTTTTCTTTTTTTTTTGAGACAGGGGTCTCACTATATTGTCTAGACTGAACTTGAACTCCCAGGCTCAAGCGATCCTCCTGCCTCAGCCTCCTGAGTAGTTACGACAACAGGCACACACCACTGAGCCTGGCTTTAAAAATTTTTTCTTTCTTCAATAATAAATTAACCTTGGCTTACTGTAACATTTTTACTTTATAAACTTACATTTTTAACTTTGTGACTCTTTTGTAGTTAACACTTTGCTTAAAACACAAACACTTTGTACAGCTGCACAAAAATATTTTTCTTTATATCCTTACTCTGTAAGCTTTTCTCTATTTTTGAAATTTTTAATTTTTTTTTCCTTTTTTTTCTTTATTGAGACGGAGTCTCACTCTATCGCCCAGGCTGGAGTGCAGTGGCGCAATCTCTGCTCACTGCAACCTCCACCTCCCGGGTTCAAGCGATTCTCCTGCTTCAGCCTCCCAAGTAGCTGGGCTACAGGTGCATGCCACCACACCCGGCTAATTTTTTTATTTTTATTTTTAGTAGAGACGGGGTTTCACCATATTAGCCAGGATGGTCTCAATCTCCTGACCTCGTGATCCACCCGCCTCAGCCTCCCAAAGTGCTGGGATTACAGGCGTGATCCATGCCCGGCCTTTTTTTCGTTTTTAAACTTTTTTTTTTTAGATGGAATCTCGCTCTGTCACCCAGGCTGGAGTGCAATGGGGTGATCTCGGCTTGCTGCAACCTCCGCCTCCCGGGTTCAAGCTATTCTCCTGCCTCAGCCTCCCCAGTAGCTGGGATTACAGGCACCTGCCACTACTCCCGGCTAAGTTTTGTATTTTTAGTAGAGATGGGGTTTCATCATGTTGGCCAGACTGGTCTCGGAACTCCTGACCTTAGGTGATCTGCCCGCCTCAGCCTCCCAAAGTGCTGGGATTACAGGTGTGAGCCACCGCACCTGCCCCTTTTAAAGCGTTTTTATTAAAAATGAAAGGCTGGGCGCAGTAGTTCACGCCTGTAATCCCAGCATTTTGAGAGGCGGAGGTGGGCAGATCACGAGGTCAGGAGATTGAGACCATCCCAGCTAACACAGTGAAACCCTGTCTCCACTAAAAATACAAAAATTAGCCAGGCGTGGTAGCATGTGCCTGTAATCCCAGCTACGCAGGAGGCTGAAGCAGGAGAATCGCTTGAACCCGGGAGGTGGAGGTTGCAGTGAGCCAAGATCGCTCCATTACACTCCAGCCTGGGCCACAGAGCAAGACTCTGTCTCAAAAAAAAAAAAAAAAAAAAAAAAAAAAAAGTAAACACAGGCTGGGCACAGTGGCTCACACCTGTAATCCCAGCACTTTGGGAGGTCGAGGCGGTAGGATCGCTTGAGCCCAGGAGTTTGAGACCAGCCTGGGCAACAGAGCGAGAACTTGTCTCTACTAAAAAAGAAAGAAAAGAAAGAAAGAAGGCGGGCGGTGGGAGGGGGGGGGTTGGCGGAGAGAGAGAGAGAAAGCAAGCTAAAATAAAATAAAATAAAATAAAATAAAAAGAAGACACAAACACACACCTAGGCCTATGACTACACAGAGTCAGGATCATCAATATCAACTGTCTTCTACTTCCACATCTTATCTGTCCCATTAGAAGGTGTTCAAGGACACTGACACTGACACATGGAGTTGTCATCTCCTATGGTAACAATGCCTTCTTCTGGAATATCTCCTGAAGGACCTCTCTGAGGCTGTTTTACAGTTAACTTTTTTTTTATAAGTAGAAGGGATACACTCTAAAATAACTATAAAAAGTATAGTATAGGCCGGGTGTGGTGGCTCACGCCTGTAATCCCAGCACCTCGGGAGTCTGAGGCAGGCAGATCACCTGAGGCCAGGAGTTCAAGACCAGCCTGGCCAACATGGCGAAACTCCATCTCTATTAAAAATACAAAAATTAGCTGGGTATGGCAGCAGACGCCTGTAATCCCAGCTACTCGGGAGGCTGAGGCAGGAGAATCGCTTGAGCCCAGGAGGTGGAAGTTGCAGTGAGCTGAGATTGTGCCACTGCACTCCACCTTGGGTGACAGAGTGAGACTCTGTCTCAAAAAAAAAAAAAAAAAAAAAAAAAAGTACAGTATAGCAGGGCATGGTGGCTCACCCCTGTAATCTCATGCCCAACACTTCAGGAGGCTAAGGCAGGAGGACCACTTGAGCTCAGGAGTTCAAGAACAGCCTGGGCAATGTAGTAAGATCCCATCCCTAAAAAAAAAAATACAGTATAGTACATACATAAACCAGTAACATAGTTGTTTATTATTATCAAGTAATTATGTACTGTACATAATTATATTTGCCATACTTGGGGGCAGTGCAGGTTTGTTTATACCAGCATCACCACAAACGTGAGGAATGCGCTGACATTATGATGGCTATGACATCACTAGGTGACAGGAATTTTTCAGCTCCATTATGATCTTACGTGACCATGTATGTGGGTCTGTTGTTGAAAGAAACATCATTATGTGGTACAGCACTCTACTGAAAAGGAATCTTATGTTTTCCCTCTAAATCTGCTGCTCCTCCTTTCTTCCCCAGTTCTATTAATACCACCCATTTGCCCAGCTTTTCAGGCTCTTAGAATTAGGGAGTAATCTACATTTCTCTCCTTCTATGTCCAAGCTCAGGTCAAGCAGTATAAGTACCCTGTCCTCACTATCACCCTACCATCAGATCTTGATACCACAATAGTTTCCTATGTTCATCCCCTTAAGCCCTGTCTCAGGCCATTCTAATGCATTATTCATTCTAAAGAAATACTATTTATGTCACTTATAATAAATAAATAAGGAAAAATAGTGAAGATACCATTTGTAGTTTTCCTACCATTAACTGGCTCTCTTCTACCCTCTCAAAGCTTATCGTCAAATGGGGGAGAGCCAATTATAGTAGGAAAACTATAAATATTTTGGGGTAAAAGGACAGGATTATCTAAGCTACAATTCTCCAGAAGTAATCTGAAGCAGAAATTAGAAGGATGAGTTAATATATGTGGGGATGGGATATGGAGGTACAAGGTGATAGTGTTCCAGGAAGAAGTGACAGTACATTGGAAGGTATGAAGAAAAGTAGAACCTGCAGAGTTGAAACTAGGACTTAAAGATTGAAGGGTTGAGTGGCAGGGTATGAAGTTAGAGAGATAAAAAGAAAGGGACCAGATGAAGAGTGCCTACCATGTTGAGAGTGACCATGTTACTTATCTTTTAAAAATTTTTACTTATTTTTTTTTAGACAGGGTCTCACTCTGTCACCCAAGCTGGAGTACAGTAGCACAAGCATAGCTAACTGCAGCTTTGAACTCCTAAGCTCAAGAAATCCTACCTCGGCCTCCCAAAGTGCTAGGATTACAGGCATGAGTCACCATGCCCAGTCCATATGATTTATCTTTCAAACTGCAACACTATTTTCTTGGACAAATACTAAACTACACAGGATGCCAGACAAGAGATGCAAACTGTGATACATACAAGGCAAATTAAGGAATATGCCTCATCCTAATGACAAGAATCCAATGAAGGTGATGCAGCACAGTTTGATATGATCAGATTTCAATTTTAAAAAGATTACGCCATCCGACGGGTAGAGAATGGACTGTAAGATGCAAAATTAGGCTGGAAGTGATGGCTCACACCTGTAATCCCAACACTCTGGGAGGCCTAGGTGGGAGGATCACTTGAGCCCAGGAGTTCGAGATCAGCCTGGGTAACATAGGGAGAACCCCATCTCTACAAAAAAGTTAAAAAATTAGGCGGACATGGTGGCACACACCTGTAATTTCAGCTACTTGGGAGTCTGAGGTGGGAGGATCACTTGAGTCCAGGAGGTTGAGGCTGCAGTGAGCTGTGATCACCCCACCACACTCCAGCCTGCGCGACAGAGTGAGACCTTGTCCCAAAACTAAAATAAATAAAAATAAAAGATGCAAAAGTAGATGTGGGAAGACAAGTTAAGAGGTTGTTGCAGTAATCTAAGCAAAAAACAAAAAACAAATACATGATAATGTCCTCTACCACAACGTGGCAGGAATAAAAAGAATTGGATACATGCAAGAGACATTTAAAAAGAATAAACAAGGGCTCGGTGCAGTGGCTCATGCCTGTAATCCCAGCACTTTGGAGGGCAGAGGCAGGAGAATCACTTGAGGTCAGGAGTTCAAGACCAGCCTGGCCAACACGGTGAAACCCCATCACTACTAAAAATACAAAAATTAGCGGAGCATGGTGGCACACGCTTGTAATCCCAGTTACTTGGGAGGCTGAGGCAGGAGAATTGCTTGAACCCATGAGGTGGAGGCTGCAGTGAGATGAGATTGCGCCAGTGCACTCCAGCCTGGGCTACAGAGTGAGACTCCATCTCAAAAAAAAAAAAAAAAGGAACAAGCAAGACTTTGTTATTGACTATGTTTGGGGGATGAGAAGGAAAGAGTTAAGAATAACTCTCATATTTGGCTTGGTGGTACCAATGATGGAAACAGAAAACACAAGAGGGGCCGGGAGCGGTGGTTCATGCCTGTAATCCCAGCACTTTGGGAGCCGGAGGTGGGTGGATCACTTGAGGTCAGGGGCTCGAGCCCAGCCTGGCCAACATGGTGAAACCCCGTCTCTACTAAAAATACAAAAATTTGCCAGGCACCGTGGCGCGTGCCTGTAATCCCAGCTACTCGGGAGGTTGAGGCATGAGAATCGCTTGAACCTGGGAGGGAGGGGTTGCAGTGAGCCGAGACTGTGCCACTGCACTACACTCCAGCCTGAGCGACAGAGCAAGACTCCATCTCAAAAAAAAAAAAAAAAAAAAAAAAAAAAAAAAAAACACACACACACACAAGAAGAGAAGCAGGTTTGAGAAGATGATGATTCACGACGGGACTTGCCGAGGATAAGGTCCTAATAGGACTTTTCCAAGACAGGTGAATATGTCTATGAGTCTGAAGACAGGAGGTATACTAATCTGTACTAGTTATCTACTGATGGATAACAAATTACCCCAATTTAGTGCCTTAAAAGAACACACATTTATGATATTACAGTTTTTATGGGTCAGGAATCTGGGAGCAACCTAGCTGAGTGGTTCTGGCTCAGGGCCTCTTGAGTTTGCAATCATCTCAAGGTTGGACCCGGGGAGGATCCACTTCCAACCTCACTTGTGTGGCTGCCCAAGTGTCCTCACAACATGGCAGCTGGCTTCCCTCTCTCCAGGGCTGCCTTACAAGTAATGAGGGAGGGAGTAAATGAGAGAGGGAAACAGGGAGAGAAAGAACATCAAAGATGAAACTACGGTCTTTTTTTTTTTTTGAGACGGAGTCTCGCTCTGTCACCCAGCTGGAGTACTGTGGTGAGATCTCGGCTCACTGCAAGCTCTGCCTCCCCCGTTCACGCCATTCTCCTGCCTCGGTCTCCCGAGTAGCTGGGACTACAGGTGCCCGCCACCAAGCCCGGCTAATTTCTTTTTGTATTTTTAGTAGAGACAGGGTTTCACCATGTTAGCCAGGATGATCTCGATCTCCTAACCTTGTGATCCGCCCGCCTTGGCCTCCCAAAGTGCTGGGATTACAGGCATGAACCACCTTCCCCGGGCCATGAAACTACAGTCGTTTTATAACCTAATCTCAGAAGTGATATAGCATCACTTCTGCCATATTGTTTCATAGAAGCAAGCCACTAAGTTCAGTGTATACTCAAGGGGAGGGAAACGAAGCCTCATTAGTTGAGGGGAGAGGTATCAAAGAATCCATAGATAGGACACATCTTTAAAACCACAATATCACAACCAGATTATTAACTTACCTAACGCATAAATCATCACTACCTTTTCTTCTCTACTGCCAGTTCAAAAACCTTTTATCTTTACAATTTCTCCAAAGTGAGTATAAACCCTCAGCTTGATAATGAATTCATTCCTTTACCTACTTTCCAAACTGCATCTCCCATTCCTCCCCTCTGCACATTCCTGCTCTAGCTATGTACTGCTTCCAAACACTTCCATACACTTTCACCAGCATTCATGCTGTGTCCTTGGCCTACAAGTATGGTTCTCAAACTTAAGTTCAGGTGAAAGAACATCTGATAGCCTCCATATTCTCAAGAATACTACAAAACATGGATCAACAAAGCCCAGTGTAACAATTCATTAAGCTGTGCTAAAAGGAAACCACTCTTACTAATAGATTCTAGAATACACAAAGGGAAGCAGGTGCCAATGATTTCAGAACATTTCTTCTACAACTTGATTAAACACAAGGCTATTACTAGAGATTAGCAGAACATCCTTTCATGGAAGGAACACCTTTTGAAAGCAATTGAAGGAAAGCCTATTACTCTCATTCCTCCATCTCTCAAAACTTTATATAACTAGTTGCAAAAAGTCTGAAACCAACCTGAAGGCGCCTAAAAAAGTTCCTAAATAAACTGTAGTGTTGTTGCATGGTGGAACACCACAGAGCCGTTTAAAAAGATGAGGCAGAGCTTTGTGTACTGACTTGGAACAATCTCCAAGGTATATTAAGAAGAAAAAGCAAGGTGCGGAACAATGGGTATACTAGGCTACTATATGTCTTTTTCTAAAAAGTAAAAGTTTGACCAGGTCCAGTGGTTTATGCATATTACCCCAGCACTTTGGGAGGCTGAGGTGGGAGGATCCCTTGAGGCCAGGAGTTCGAGACCAACCTGGGCAACATGGTGAGACCCCTCCCTGTCCTCATCTCTACAAAAAAATTGTAAAAGTTAGCAGGACGTGGTGACCTGAACCTTTAGTCCTACCTACTCGGGAAGCTGAAGCCGGAGGATCTGTTGAACCCAGCAGTTCCAAACTGCAGTAAGCTATAGTCATGACACTACACTCCAACCTGAGTGACAGAGCCAGACTCCGTTTCTTAAAAAAAAAAAAAAAAAAAAAAAAAAAAAAGGCTGGGCACAGTGGCTCACACATGTAATCCCAGCATTTTGGGAGGCCAAGGTGGATCACCTGAGGTCAGGAGTTCCAGACCAGCCTGGCCAACATGGACAAACCCCGTCTCTACTAAAAATACAAAATTAACGCCGGGCGCGGTGGCTCAGGCCTGTAATCCCAGCACTTTGGGAGTCCGAGGCGGGCGCATCACGAGGGCAGAGGTCAGATCGAGACCATCCTGGCTAACACGGTGAAACCTTGTCTCTACTAAAAATACAAAAAAAAAAAATTAGCCGGGCGTGGTGGCGGGCGCCTGTAGTCCCAGCTACTCGGGAGGCTGAGGCAGGAGAATGGCGTGAACCCAGGAGGCGAAGCTTGCAGTGAGCCAAGATCGCGCCACTGCACTCCAGCCTGGGCGACAGAGCAAGACTCCGTCTCAAAAAAAAAAAAAAAAAAAATTAGCCAGGCATGGTGGTGCATACCCGTAATCTCAGCTACTGGGGAGGCTGAGGCAGGAGAATAGCTTGAGCTCAGGAGGCGGAGGTTGCGGTGGGCTGAGATCTCGCCATTGCACTCCAGCCTGGGCAACAAGAGCGAAACTCTGTCTCAAAAAAAAAAAAAAAAGTAGCCGGGCATGGTGGCGTCCGCCTGTAGTTTCAGCTACTCGGGAGGCTGAGACAGGAGAACTGCTTGAACCCGAAAGGGAGAGACTGCAGTGAGACAAGATCACTGCACTCCAGCCTGGGCGTCAGGGCAAGACTCCCTCTTTAAAAAAAAATTGGCCGTGGTGGTTCACGCCTATAATCCTAGCACTTTGGGAGGCCGAGGCAGGTGGATCATGAAGTCCAGGAGTTCAAGACCAGCCTGGCCAGGATGGTGAAACCCCATCTTTACTAAAAATACAAAAATTAGCCGGGCGTTGTGGCGCGTGCCTGTAATCCTAGTTACTCGGGAGGCTGAGGCAGAGAACTGCTTGAACCCGGGAAGCGAAGGATACAGTGAGCCCAGATCGTGCCACTGCACTCCAGCCTGTGCGACAGAGCGAGACTCCATTACAAAAAAAAAAAAAAAAAAAAGGAAAAAAATTAATTAAACCCATCCAACAAGAGAAAGGAGAAGTATCTCCTAAACATGCCTAGAACATCTCTGGAAGGTTCCAGGAGACACTGGTAAGGGTACCTCTGGGGAGGCGGGTGGAGTGGGAGGAAGACATTACAAAGCAAACCTGTCCTACCCAAGGGCCGCGTGCGGCCCTGGAGGCCAGGCTTTGAATACAGCCCAACACGAATTCGTAAACTTCCTTAAAGCATTACGAGATTTTTTTTAGATTTTTTTTTTAAAGCTCGTCGGCTATCATTAGTATTAGTTTTATATATGGGCCCAGGCAATTCTTCTTCCAGTGTGGCCCACGGAAGCCAAAAGATTGGACTCCCCTGTTCTAAGGTATTCCATTTGTCAGTTATCCAGCCTCCACTCCTAACCTGTTTGTTTAGCGACAAGGTCTCACTCTACTGCCTACGCTGGAGTGCAGTGGCGCGGATCAGAACTCACCGAGCCTCGAATTCCTCAAGATCCTCCATCCTCCGCCTCCCAAGTAGCCGGGACTACAGGCGCGCACCACCACGCCGGCTAATGTTTATAATTTTTGGAGAGACGGAGTCTCGTATATGCACGGACTGGTCTCCAACTCCTGGAATCCCTCCGCCTCGGCCTCCCAGAGCGCTGGGATTCCAGACGCCAGCCACGCGCACGACCAGCCACGCTTATTTGTACAGGATCTTACCTCCCGCCTCTCTGCGAGACCAGAAGCTCCTAAGAGACTGGCCCAGACTCATCTTTCGGTCCCTCATGCTGCTTAACGTGGCAGGTCGGGTGGCTCCGGGTGGCTCCCGTGCCTTATATTTCAGGGACTCCTCACCAGCCTGGGGTTGGCGTCGCCTAAAGTCAACGGGCAGGTGGGCAGTGGAGCCAGGATTCCGCGCTCTGCCCATGCCACGCGCGGCCTTCCCGGAGGCGGGGACCGTGGAGTGTGGAGGACCCCACTGGGCCTCCTGACGGGACTCTTCTCTCGCCTCAAGGCGCTTTCTTGATTTCTATCTAGTAAGAGTGAGAGGACACCCAAGCTACTCCCCACAGCTCATGGAAAGCTGGAGAAAAGCGGAAGAGCAGGTGCCTCCTCAAAGAAGGGATTCTGACAGCAGCCACTGCCCCGGAGAGCGAAACCCCACGCTCTCCCGGAAATGACGCACAGAGGCTCGGTTCCCGCCCCCTCGCTTCCGGGGCCGGGCTTGCTCGCGCGTGCGCACCAGAAGCCAGCAGTGGGGTTGCACACGCGCCTCTTCACGAGGTGGAAACAAGATGGAGGATTCGGCCTCGGCCTCGCTGTCTTCTGCAGCCGCTACTGGAACCTCCACCTCGACTCCAGCGGCCCCGACAGCACGGAAGCAGCTGGATAAAGAACAGGTGAGTGGTTCCTGGGGAGGGTGGCTTGGAAGCAGTGTGGCGGTTACCTCGTGAGGCGCAGGGTGCCGGAACCCGAGTGCGTGCTCGGCGGACTTCCCCGGGGCTGTGGGACGGTCGCTGGCGGGCCGTGTGCCTCAGCTGTCTCTCCCCTTTACACACGTGGGTGGGCGCCTGCTTTCCCTGGTCCTGCGGCCTGGCGCTAGTGAATTGGGTTGCAAGTGTGCTGTGGAGCTAGATGAGATAGACCTGGCGACCTGGCTTAGCTTCCCTATCATTAGCGCTTGACCGAATCGCTTAGTTTTGCAGGTCTGTTACCCGTTATTTAAAGTGGGCCCTTCGGCTCCCCGTTATCCAGGATCGGGAGAGGTAATGAGTGTAAAGCGCTTTGGCCTGGTACATGGTAAGAAGGTGCTCAGTAGGCCGGGCGCGGTGGCTCACGCCTGTAATCCCAGCACTTTTGGAGGCCGAGGCGGGTGGATCACCTGAGGTCAGGAGTTCGATACCAGCCTGGCCAACATGGTGAAACCCCGTCTCTACTAAAAATACAAAAATTAGGTGGGCGTGGTGGCGGGCGCCTGTAATCTCAGCTACTCGGGAAGCTGAGGCAGGAGAATTGCCAGGAGTTCTCAGTAAATGCTAAATGCATTTTGCTTTGCGTTTTTCCTGGGATTACTGCTTTCATCATTGAGGGCAGGAGGGGCACGTTTCCCTCTAGCCCAATCTCTTTAAGTAGAAGAGGTGCCCTTCTGCACACAGTACTGGAAGTGGGTACTTAGGCATGTTTGATGGATTCTTAGATTTCTGTGAATATAAACTGCAGGATCCTAATAGATACGGTTATGGAGGTTACCCCTTGAAATAGAAGTTGGAAGGGAAAAAATAGAAGGTGTGGGAGGGGGCAAATGCTAAATTAGATTGAGAACATTTCATTTATTTGTGTAAGTTATTGTGAAAACATTTCACTTATTTGTCTAATTTCCACTTTGCAGGTTAGAAAGGCAGTGGACGCTCTCTTGACGCATTGCAAGTCCAGGAAAAACAATTATGGGTTGCTTTTGAATGAGAATGAAAGTTTATTTTTAATGGTGGTATTATGGAAAATTCCAAGTAAAGAACTGAGGGTCAGATTGTAAGTTGTGATTTTCTACCTTTGCTGTTTTTATCTGTGTGTTTATTCTTTGTAACTCGAACAATTGCATCATGGTTACTAATGGAAACTTTGCAAACTTATAATAAAAATCTGACGTGAAGTAAAACAACTATGTCCAAAAGAACCATAGAGGCTTGATGTGGTGGCTCACACCTGTAATCCCAGCACTTTGGGAGGCCGAGGTGGACGGATCACCTGAGGTCGGGAGTTCAAAACCAGCCTGGCCAACATGGTAAAACCCTGTCTCTCCAAAAATACAAAAATTAGCCAGGCATGATGGCGGGTGCCTGTAATCTCAGCTACTCGGGAGGCTGAGGCAGGAGAGTGGCAGTGAGCGGAGATGTCTCCATTGCACTCCAGCCTAGGCGACAGAGCAAGACTCTGTCTCAAAAAAATAAAAAATAATAAAAAATAAAAGAACCGTAGAAATTCAGATGTGCTAAAATTTTCTAGAAATTTCACCAGTTTTCTTAGAGCTTGGTGGACAGCTAACGTAATCAGGTCTGTTGAATCGAAAACGTGGTGTTCGAAAGAATAAAGGTGGAATAAGTTAAACAGCTTTATTTTATTTTATTTTTTTATTAGAAACTGTTATCTTTCCATGTCAAGCAAAAATTCTTTGGGGCTACAATTTATTCCTTTGTACAGAGACTATTAAAAACTGCAGTGAATTTCTGTCTATGGAAAAGAAATCCATGGTGATTATACAGAATGCTTCTTCAGAACATAGGTTGTAAGCATAAGAAATGAGTTAAACCCTTGTATTTTATTTTCTGTAAGATGTGGCATAATTGTGTTTGCTGGTCCCTCTTGGTTTAGTCCATGTTTTTGGTTTCGATTCTTTTATCTCTCCTTTTTTTTTTTTTTTTAAGAGACGAGATCTTGCGCTGTTGCCCAGCTGGAGTACAATAGTGAGATCTGTGTTCACTGCAACCTCAACCTCCCTGACCTGACTCAAGTGATCCTCCCACCTCAGCCTTCCAAGTAGCTGGGACTACAGGTGCACACCACCATGCCTAGCTAATTTTGAAATCTTTGTGGAGATGAGGTTTCACTGTGTTCTCCAGGCTGGTCTCGAACTCAGGCTCAAGCAGTCCTCCCTCTCAGTCTCCCAAAGTGTTGGGATTACAGGCATGAGCCTCCATGCCTGGGCTGTTTCAATTCTTAAAAGTTATGTTATGCTGGGCATGGTGACTCATCCCTGTAATCTCAGCACTTTGGGAGGTGAGGTGGGTGGATCATTTGAGGCCTGGGAGTTTGAGATCATCCTGACCCAACATGGCGAAATCCCATGTCTCCTAAAAATACAAAAATTAGCCAGACATGATGGTGGGCGTCTGTAATCCCAGCTGTTTGGGAGGCTGAAGTGCAAGAATCATTTGAACCCAGGAGGCAGAGGTTGCAGAGACTCCAGCCTGGGCGACAGTGAGACTCCCATCTCAAAAAAAAAAAAAAAAGTTATGTTGGCTGAGTGTGGTGGCTCACACTGTAATCTCAGCAGTTTGGGAGGCTGAGGCAGGTGGATTGCTTGAGCCCACAAATTCAAGACCAGCCCAGGCTATGTGGCGAAACCCTGTCTCTACGAAAAATACAAAAATTAGCTGGGCCTACACCCAACTGGTACGTGCCTGGAGTCTCAGCTATGCTGGAGGCTATCGTGAGCTATGATCACACCACTGCACTGCAGCCTTGGGTACTGAGCAAAACCCTGTCTCAAAAAAAGGAAAAGAAGAAAGAGTTATTATGTTTATGGAGCTAAGAGTTTTAAAGAAGGTAAAATTCTGAACCAGGCTTGTCCTGATTAAGCTAGGTTTTTATAGCGCATTACAGTACGTGTGCACATACAGCAACATATGTATAATAATTATATATGCAAGCATTTGGAAGTCTTTAAGTATATTTTAATTCTTGTTGTATCCCAAGTGTTAATTGATATTTGGGCCTGTGTGTTTTTGTGATTTACTTGCCATTGAAAGTGAGTTTTGTTTTTTGTTTTTGTGTTTTGAGACGGAGTTTGCCTCTTGTTACCCAGGCTGGAGTCCAGTGGTGCGATCTTGGCTCACTGCAACCTCCACCTTCCGGGTTGAAGCGATTATCCTGCCTCAGACTCTCAAGTAGCTGGGATTACAGGCACCTACCACCGTGCCTGGCTAATTTTTTATAATTTTAGTAGAAACAGGGTTTCACCATGTTGGCCAGGCTGGTCTTGAACTCCTGACCTCAGGTGATCCATCTGCCTTGGCCTCCCTAAAGTGTGGGATTACAGGCTTGAGCCACTACTACCGGCCATGAAATGTATTTTTAAGTGTTGTTCTTGGTGCATTATTTGCTTAACTAGCATGACTAAAAGTTATTTAAATAACACTAAGTTTATCGCGTATTCTGTGTGATACAAACATGCATAATGTGTGTAATAATGCTTTCCTCGGTTTCTTTTCACGTATTTTGTAGGACCTTGCCTCATAGTATTCGATCAGATTCAGAAGATATCTGTTTATTTACGAAGGATGAACCCAATTCAACTCCTGAAAAGACAGAACAGTTTTATAGAAAGCTTTTAAACAAGCATGGAATTAAAACCGTTTCTCAGGTAGGAAGCCTGGTTAATATTTTCAAGTTATTTAGAGGATTTAATTCAGGCGAAATGGTATCACAAATACATTGCTATATTTCCTAGTATTTTTCTTCTACTTTTCTCTTTTTAATTTAATTTGTGGTGGCGTGTACATCAGTAGCTTTTATATCTTGCAAATTATAAAAGAGGTGGCTCGTGTCATTCCTCTGTACTTCCACAGCATCTTGTTTTTCTCTGATTTGCTGTTTTGTAGTTGGTGTACTTGTCTTTATTACCCTCTGGATCTAAGGTATCTAAGTTTTTTTGTTTGTTTGGAGTCTCGCTCTGTCGCCCAGGCTGGAATTCAATGGCAGGACCTCGGCTCACTGCAACCTCCACCTCCCAGGTTCAAGCTATTCTCCCACCTCAGCCTACCGAATAGCTGGGATTACAGGCACCTGCCATCATGCCCGGCTAATTTTTATATTTTTATAGAGACGAGGTTTCACCATGTTGGCCAGGCTGGTCTTGAATTCCTGAGCTCAGGTGATCCACCCACCTCGGCCTCCCAAAGGGCTAGTATTACAGGCGTAAGCACATACAGCAACATATGTATAATAATATATATATGTTGCCCACCTAGATCTAAGTTGCTTTAGCTGGGGTCTTTTCTCATTTGTCTCAGTGTTCCCAGCATGTAGCGTAGTGCCTGGCACATTTTAGGCCCTCAAGTGTTCATTAAAGTATAGAGGCATGGCTCTAGGACATTTTTAAATCCAAATCCAAATTGTTGCCTAAGTATTTCTTCTCCTTGTTTAGATTCCTAACTTCTTGTTTTTATTCTTCTCTATACTTCCTAGATTATCTCCCTCCAAACTCTAAAGAAGGAATATAAATCCTATGAAGCCAAGCTCCGCCTTCTGAGCAGTTTTGATTTCTTCCTTACTGATGCCAGAATTAGGCGGCTCTTACCCTCACTCATTGGGAGACATTTCTATCAAAGAAAGAAGTAAGTTTCTTAGTAATGACTGGACTTTAGCAGCATGAAGCTTCTAGGTGTGTATGCATTGTGTTCTGAATGCCTGTGTGTTTATTTTGTAGAGTTCCAGTATCTGTAAACCTTCTGTCCAAGAATTTATCAAGAGAGATCAATGACTGTATAGGTGGAACAGTCTTAAACATTTCTAAAAGTGGTTCTTGCAGGTAGGTAAAAGGCATTCATGTGTGCCTCTTTTAATCTTGTATTTGACAATGATTTTATATATACTTATTCGTTTTGTTTTGTTTTTTGTTTTTGTTTTTTTTTTTTGAGATGGAGTCTTACTCTGTCTGCCAGGCTGGAGTGCAGTGGCACCATCTCGACTCACTGCAAGCTCCGCCTCCTGGGTTCACGCCATTCTCCTGCCTCAGCCTCCCGAGTAGCTGGGACTACAGGCGCCTGCCACCACGCCCGGCTAATTTCTTTTTGTATTTTTAGTAGAGACAGGGTTTCACCGAGTTAGCCAGGATGATCTCGATCTCCTGACCTCATGATCCGCCCGCCTTGGCCTCCCAAAGTGCTGGGATTACAGGCGTGAGCCACTGCACCTGGCCTTTTTAAAAAGATTTTGTTAATGGCTCCAGATCCTTTTTTAAAACTAAAATCTATTCCTCAGAAGTGATCAATTCTCGGGTCAGGTGCAGTGGCTTATGCCTGTAATCCCAGCACTTTGGGAGGCCTAGGCAGGAGGATCGCTTGAGCCCAGGAGTGCAAGACCAGCTTGGGCAACATAATGAGACCCTCTCCCCCAGCCAATTACAGAAAAATCAAGAACATTAGTCAGGTGTGGTGGTGCATCCCTGTGCTCCCAGCTACACAGGAGGCTGTGGCAGGAGGATCACTTGAGCCTAGAAGGTCAAGACTGCAGTGAGCCATGTTCTTGTCACTGTTCTCCAGTCTGAATGACAGAGCAAGACTGTCTTTAAATGAAAAAAAAAAAAAGTTCAGTTCTCTAGAACAATGTTGTCTGATAGCACTTTCTACTGTGATGGAAATGGCCTGCATCTGTGCTGTCTCATACAGTAGGCACTATTTGTATGTAGCTATTGAGCACTTGAAATGTGGCTACTGTGTTAGAAGCTGAATTTTTAGTTAATTTAAAATAGGCACATGTGGCTAGTGGCTGATGGTCACTGCATTGGACGGGGCAGCTCCAGATACTAAGAAAAGCAAGGAGAGTAAGATGAATGCTTGGAGAACATGACTAGTTCTAGGCTTTGAGCTTGTCCTTTATCGTGCCACTGCACTCAGTGGTGCAGTCACAGTTCACTGCAACCTCCAACTCCTTGGCTCAAGCAATCCTTCCACCTCAGCCTCCTGAGTAGCTGGGACTACAGACACACATCACCATACCTGGCTAATTTTTCAATGTTTTGTAGCGGCGGGGTCTCACTATTTTGCCCCATCTAGACTTGAACCCCTAGACAAAACCGGTCCTCCTGTCCTGGCCTCCAAAAGTGTTGAGATTATAGGCGTGACCCACCACACCTGGCCTCAGATTGTCCTTTAAAAGCACCATATTACCCCTTAACGTGAAGATCCACCTCATTCTTGGTTTAACTTCCTATTAAATGAATTCAGCACTTATCCTGTTCATCTGCCTATTTGGTGTGTGTGTTGTCATATTGGTTTAACCTTACCCTGGATACTGAGCTAGGCGGAGCCCCCACACCTAGTCTTACCTACTAGAACAGATGTTTTAGGGCAGTGATTGCTTCCAACCTCTGGCTGAGCAAAGGATGCGGTTCAGGCTATTTTATTAGGCTGAGAAGTGACTTAAGTTTGTATTATTGGCAGTGTATCAGCTTGGGGAGGTAGGGCAGGTTTTAAATGTATTGAAAATACATTTTATGAAGTACTGCACTTGCTGACTGCGGTGTGGAGATGGCTAGCTGCCAGTAAGGCAGAGCTGTAGGCCACTGCCCTTCCACCCAGAGATTCCCCAGGAGCCGTGCAGACCCAGTGGACACAGTCGGCAGAAAACAACACAGACTTCTTGCCTCTGCTCACCAGGGAGGCCTGACCCCAGGGGAGTGTCTCCAGGTAGAGCAGAGCAGGGTACTGGTGGGCAGGACAGGTGGTCTCTGGTGTTGTCTTTAGCCTGCTGCTGGGAATCCCTTCATCAGGTGTAATGAAGTAGCCTAGAAGAGTTGGTCACGGAGCCTAGACCCCTACCCCTTTGGTTAAAGGCTAATGTCAAAGTAGTGGCTCATGGAAGTGGTTGGCTAGAAGTTCAGGCCTTGTTTATGGGACCCATGAGTATCTGGGAGAAGAAGATGGTACCATGAAGGCAGGTAAAGGAGCAGCAGTCTCCTGCCACTGGGGATTTTCCAAGGCAAAAGCAACAGCTTAAAGAAAGTTGCAGACAATTGAGAAAAAAAGAAATCATTCTTTATTTCCTCTCTTACCTTTCCCCAGCAAAAGAATTTATTTTCCTCTTCCACTTCTGTTCCTCTCCCTTCTTCCCCCCCACCATCTTTCCATCTGGGATGCTCAGGTGTGCTTGCAGGCAGGTGGTGACAGGCACAGGGAGTGGGCAGTGCCCAGTCTTTGGCTGAAGAGAGAGAGGAGCAACAGTCCGTCTCATTCCTCATTCCGCAGACACTGTGCCGACAGTGAGCCTTCCTTCTGGCTCACTTCCTTCTGGCCCCAGCGCTGAGCCCTCCAGGCTTCCCACTGGGCTTCTGCCTGCACTCTGTTTCACCTGAAGGGATGGTCTTGCTCGTAGCTGAAAGACACTATTCCACCAGGGACAAGAACTATTTACTCTTTTTTTTTTTTTTTTTTTTTTTTGAGACAGAGTTCTTGCTCTGTCGCCCAGGCTAGAGTGCAGTGGCTTGATCTCAGCTCACTGCAAGCTCCGCCTGCCGGGTTCACACCATTCTTCTGCCTCAGCCTCCCAAGTAGCTGGGACTATAGGCGCCCACCACAATGCCCAGCTAATTTTTTTGTATTTTTTTAGTAGAGACGGTGTTTTACCATGTTAACCAGGATGGTCTCGGTCTCCTGACCTCGTGATCTGCCCACCTTGGCCTCCCAACGTGCTGGGATTACAGGCGTGAGCCACCACGCCCAGCCACAGAACTATTTATTCTTGAACATGGCGGCTGGGTAGAGCAGTAGAACTATAGAGAGAGCAGGTGACCCTCCTGGAGGTAGGTCCCTTTAGAACAGCTTGAAGGCGGACTCAGCGACATGGGGTTGTCTAAGATAAAGGTAGAACCTCCTCTGGCCCTGCCTCCCAATGCGCCTAACCTCACAGTCAGGTGCTACCAGCTCTTTAATCACTGCCTCGGCTGGGCATGGTGGCTCACGCTTGTAATCCCAGCACTTTGGGAGACCGTGGCAGGTGGATCAGTTGAGGGCAGGTGTTTGAGACCAGTCTGGCCAACACAGTGAAACCCCATCTCTACTAAAAATACACAAATTAGGCCGGGCGCAGTGGTTCACGCCTGTAATCCCAGCACTTTGAGAGGCCGAGGCAGGCGGATCACCTGAGGTCGGGAGTTTGAGACCAGCCTGACCAACATGGAGAAACCCCGTCTCTACTAAAAAAAAAAAAAAAAATACAAAAAATTAGCCGGGCGTGGTGGCGCATTCCTGTAATCCCAGCTACTCGGGAGGCTGAGGCAGGAGAATCGCTTGAACCCAGGAGGTGGGGGTTGCAGTGAGCCAAGATCACGCCATTGCACTCCAGCCTGGGCAACGAGTGAAACTGCATCTCAAAAAAAAAAAAAAAAAATTAGCTGGGCGTGGTGGCATGCGCCTGTAATCTCAGCTACTAGGGAGGCTGAGGCAGGAGAATTGCTTGAACCCAGGAGGCGAAGGTTGCAGTGGGCCGAGATCACGTCACTGCACTTCAGCCTGGGCGACAGAGCAAACTCCATCTCAAAAAAAAAAAAAGTCACCCCTTCATGATGTGACATTTTACTTTAGGTAGAAGGAATTTCTAGTACATGAAAGATGATAATCTTCCTTTAAAACATATTTAGGCTGGGTGTGGTGACTCATGTGTATAATCCCAGCACTTTGGGAGGTTGAGGCAGGAGGATCACTTGAGCCCAGGAGTTCCATACCAGCCTGGTGGATCACTTGAGCTCAGGAGTGAGAACCCATCTCTACAAAAAATACAAAAATCAGCTGGGTGACCTGTAGTCCCAGCTACTCCGGAGGCTGAGTTGGAAGGATTACTTAAGCCCAGTACGTTGATTGTGCCACTGCATTTCAGCCTGGGCGACAGGAAAACCCTGTCTCAAAAATGAAATAAAATATATTTAGAACCTAAAGATTTTAATGGGATTTTTTTGTTTGTTTTTTTGTTTTGTTTTTTTTTTCAGACTGTGTTTTTCCCTGTTACCCAGGCTGGAGTGCAGTCGCCAGATCTGGGCTCACTGTATGTAGCCTTGAGCTCCTGGGCTCAGGTGATTTTTCTGCCTCAGCCTCCTGAGTAACTGGGATTACAGGCATGTACCACCATGCCCAGTTAATTTTTGTTAGTGTGGTAGAGACAGGATTTTGCCATGTTGCCCGGGATTAATATTTCTACCTTTTTAAAAGAAAAAGAAAAACTTGAGGATTATGTATTTATATTTCTCATATACCTGCCTGGTTTATTTTGAAAAATGGTTTTTTAAAATCTTGTCTAATACTATATTAAATTTCAGTGCTATACGTATTGGTCACGTTGGAATGCAAATTGAGCACATCATTGAAAACATTGTTGCTGTCACCAAAGGACTTTCAGAAAAATTGCCAGAGGTACAGTATTACAGGTGCATCAATTGATTGTTCATTTAAAAGAAACAAAGTATATGTAGACGATGTTACTCTTTTCTTTGTTTCAGAAGTGGGAGAGCGTGAAACTCCTGTTTGTGAAAACTGAGAAATCGGCTGCACTTCCCATCTTTTCCTCGTTTGTCAGCAATTGGGATGAAGCCACCAAAAGATCTTTGCTTAATAAGAAGAAAAAAGTTAGTAGAATTTTAAATACTTACAGAATGAATAATGAAGGGTGTAAATTCAGTCACTAGGAGAGAAGTAGACCATCATCGCTGCCCGACTTTTCAGTTATCTTCTGGTTTTGTGGTGGTTGTGCTTTTGTCACTTTACATGAGGTAAAATGGGTATGCTTTTGTCACTTTACATGAGGTAGTTGATGTTAGTAATGCGCATTAAGATAGAAATATCTTGTATTTATTGATAAATTGGATTTTTTTTTTATTTTTGTTAGATCCAGTGCTTGCTGGGTTTTTTTAGAGAGACAGGGTCTCACTCTGTCCCCCAGGCTGGAGCACAGTGACGTGATCAAGGCTCACGGCAGCCTTGACCTCCTGAGCTCAAGCAATCCTGTTTCAGCCTCCCGAGTAGCTGGCACTGCAGGCATGCTTCACCATGCCCAGCTAATTTTTAAATTATTTTTTGTACACACATGGTCGCCCTGTTTCCCAGGCTGATCTTGAATTCTTGAGCTCAAGCGATCCGCCTGCCTTGGGCTCCCAAAGTGCTGGGATTACAGGCATGAGCTACTATGCCTGGCCTGGATTAACTGGCTTTTGAGGGGGCCTGAGTTAAGTTCCTACCACATATTTCCGGTCATAGAAACATCACCATACTTCTAAATAAAGACCAAAACATTTAAAATATTAAACATTGAAATAAATGTGAGCTATATATACATTTGAAACAGTAATAAAAGGAATTGACATAATTATTTACCCAGTTATTCCCATCCACGGTTGTAGGTGGCTGGAGTTTAATCCTGATAGCTCAGGGAAAAGGGTAACAGGCAAGAGCCAACCCTAGAAAAGGCGCTGTTTCATCACAGGACAAACTCATACACCTACATTCGTTGGGACTGGGACTGGGATAACTTCAACACACCAGTTCACCTAATGTGCACGTATTTGGATGTCGGAGGTTATGCTCACAGATACCTCCTGAGCTTGGTTTGTAGGTTTTCAGTATTACTCGTACTCTAGCAAAAGAAGCTTTCGGAAGGAGAGAAAATTTAATTTTTTGCTATTTGTTAGACTGATCTCCTAGTGTTTCTCTCTTTAGCCATGTTAATTGTGTCCAATGAATTTTTAATTTTGTTTTTGAGACAGAGTTTCACTCTGTCGCCCAGGCTGAAGTGCAGTGGCATGATCTCAGCTCACTACAACCCCCCGCCTTCCAGGTTCAAATGATTCTCTGTGCCTCACCCTCCTGAGTAGTTGGAACTACAGGCACGTATCACCATGCCCAGCTAATTTTTGTGGTTTTAATAGAGATGGGGTTTCACCATGTTTACCAGGCTGATCTCGAAGTCCTGACCTCAAGTGATCCTCCTGCCTCAGCCTCCCTGAGTGCTGTGATTACAGGCGTGAGCCACCGCGCCCAGCTGAGTATTATTCTTTACACTCTAAACCATACTGTGTTTCACAAAAGTCTCTTAACTGTATACTTTAGATAGTCAGATTCTGAAATGCCGGTATATAATTTACTGCATAAAATGCATGTTTGGCTGTGAGTCAAAAACTGCGGTTGAGGTTCCAGTGCTGGTTAGGGAGTTTGTTCTCTGTATAGATCGAGGTCCATTTAGGGGCTTATGGATAATCAAAACTGCACGTGGTACATCTATGCCGTTTGTTAACCAACAGAACTGTTCCTGCTAAAATGTTTGTATGGTGTTTTTTGGTAGGAGGCAAGGAGAAAACGAAGAGAAAGAAATTTTGAAAAACAAAAGGAGAGGAAGAAGAAGAGGCAGCAGGCTAGGAAGACTGCATCAGTTCTTAGTAAAGATGATGTGGCACCTGAAAGTGGTGATACTACAGTGAAGAAACCTGAATCAAAGAAGGAACAGACCCCAGAGCATGGGAAGAAAAAACGTGGCAGAGGAAAAGCCCAAGTTAAAGCAACAAATGAATCCGAAGACGAAATCCCACAGCTGGTACCAATAGGAAAGAAGACTCCAGCTAATGAAAAAGTAGAGGTATTGTTTTAATATTTACTGTTCATAATGGATTGGTTCAGTGGCTACTGTGTCAGGCAGGTACTGTGCTGAGCAATAAATGATGAAAAATACTAGAGTGAACCCAAAGAACTGTGAAGGTGGTTATCATATCATGATTTATTGTACCTTTTTTTTTTTTTTTTTTTTAGATGGGATCTTGCTATATTGCCCAGACCGGTCTTACACTCCGGGGGTCAAAACAGTCTTCCCACCTTGGCCTCCCAAAGTGCTGGGATTACAAGTGTGAGCCACCACACCTAGTCCCAACCGGTTGGCTTTTTTTTTTTTTTTTGCTTTGCTTTTTTTTGAAGATGGAGTCTCACTCTGTCACCCAGGCTAGAGTGCAGTGGCATGATCTCAGCTCACTGCAACCTCCGCCTCCCTGGTTCAAGCAATTCTCCTTCCTCAGCCTCCCGAGTAGCTGGGATTACAGGCGCGCACTACCATGCCCAGCTAATTTTTGTGTTTTTGGTAGAGACGGGGTTTTGCCATGTTGGCCAGGCTGGTCTTGAACTCCTGGCCTCAGGTGATCCGCCCGCCTTGTCCTCCCAAAGTGCTGGGATTACAGGCATGAACCACCGCACTCAGCCACCAGTTGGCTTTTACACAGAGAATCTGGGAACCCTTGCCCTACACCATGTGCCAGGGATGTGCAGCTACATTTGGAAGACTCAGGATTTGCTCCCATGTGTCTCTGCTGTGCTCCTCATGGTGCTTCCAGGATTCCCTCCCCTCAGTCATAGGGAAAGGTGGTTTTCCTCTGATTGGACCAGGAAGACCTCTGGGTCTTCACAGTTTTTTTTTGTTTTTTTTTTTTGAGACAAGGTCTCACTTTGTTGCCCAGGATGGAGTGCAGTGGCATGATCTCGGCTCACAGCAACCTCCACCTTTCGTGCCCAAGCAATTCTCGTGCCTCAGCCTCCTGAGTAGCTGGGATTACAGGTGTGTGCCAACATGCCTGGCTAATTTTTGTATTTTTAGTAGAGATGGGGTTTTGCCATGTTGGCCAGGCTACTCTTGAACTCCTGGCCTCAAGTAATCCACCTGCCTCAGCCTTCCATAGTGCTGGGATTACAGGCATGAGCCACCTCACCTATACCTCATTCTTAATAGTGGAATACAGCTTATTTCTGTCATCATACTGAGGTGTACCTTTTGGGGGTTAACTAATAAAAACAGTAACTTGGCCATGCGCTGAAAAACAGTAACTTGGCCGGGCACAGTGGCTCACGCCTGTAATCCTAGCACTTTGGGAGGCCGAGGCAGGTGGATCACCTGAGGTCAGGAGTTCGAGACCAGCCTGGCTAACATGGTGAAACCCTGTTTCTACTAAAAATACAAAAAATGAGCCGGGCGTGGTGGCACACACCTATAATACCAGCTACTCGGGAGGCAGAGGTTGCAGTGAACTGAGATTGTGCCATTGCACTCTAGCATGGGCAGCAAGAGCGAAACTCAGTCTGAAAAATAAATAAATACAAATAAAAACAGTAACTCCTGGAGTTAGAGTGTCAGGTTTTGTGGCTTTTTCTATATTAAACTTACTTTTTTTTTTCTTAGATTCAAAAACATGCCACAGGAAAGAAGTCTCCAGCAAAGAGTCCTAATCCCAGCACACCTCGTGGGAAGAAAAGAAAGGCTTTGCCAGCATCTGAGACCCCAAAAGCTGCAGAGTCTGAGACCCCAGGGAAAAGCCCAGAGAAGAAGCCAAAAATCAAAGAAGAGGCAGTGAAGGAAAAAAGTCCTTCGCTGGGGAAAAAAGATGCGAGACAGACTCCAAAAAAGCCAGAGGCCAAGTTTTTCACCACTCCTAGTAAATCTGTGAGAAAAGCTTCCCACACCCCCAAAAAATGGCCCAAAAAACCCAAAGTACCCCAGTCGACCTAAAGTCAGTGATTCAACTGGAAGGAAACCTCAATGCTGCCTCCAGAGCTTTTTGGAAATACTCAGATCCTGGCCGCCTTTGTAACCTTCTCTAAACGTCAGGCCTGGACTTAAAAGATTTTTTAAAACCTCCATAAGTAGTCCAGGGGCGGTGGCTCACGCCTGTAATCCCAGCACTTTGGGAGGCCGAGGCAGGCGGATCACAAGGTCAACGAGATCGAGACCATCCTGGCCAACATGGTGAAACCCTGTCTGTACCAAAAATACAAAAATTAATTGGGCATGGTGGTGGACACCTGTAATCCCAGCTACTAGGGAGGCTGAGGCAGGAGAATTGCTTGAACCTGGGAGGCGGAGGTTGCAGTGAGCCACTGCACTCCAGCCTGATGACAGAGCAAGACTCAGTCTCAAAAATAAATAAAAATAATAAAACCTCCATAAGTAATCCTGACATATGTTCCTGGGTATAATCTGTTTCTAAATTGTCCTTCTGTGTATTTGCTAATGTAATAGAGGGAAAAATAGAGTGCTTCTCTGTGGTTGTTCAGCACTTTAGGTAGCCAAGGTGAGAGGATTGCTTGAGGCCAGGAGTTTGAGACTAGCCTGGGCAACTTGGTAAAACCCCATCTCTACAAAAGAAAAAAAAAAATTAGTGTGGCATGGTGGCATGCATCTGTGCTCCCAGCTCCTCACGAGGCTGAGGTGGAAGGATCAAGTGAGCGCAAGAGGTTGAGGCTCCAGTGAGCCACGATCACCCCACTGTGCTGTAGCCTGGGTGACAGTGTGAGATTCTGTCTCAGAAAAAACAAAGTATAACATTGCTTTGCTTCTGAGTATACTGTTGGCTTTCCAAATCAGTGGGTCTGACTTGAGGTCTGTGATGTGACCCTTTTCCTCACCTGCTCAACCATTATTCACATGGACTCCATCATATTCATTTGTAGTCATTCCCAGAGTGGCCCAGTGAGGGTCTCGCTGTATGAGAGTCGGCTACGGAATTTAGGAGAAACAGAAGTTTCTTGGCTTTCATGCTGAGCTTGTTGGTCTAAGCTTATGAGTCACTGGATTAGCATCCATATGGGAAGGGAAATTAACATGGAGTCATTTATACAGGGACTAAATTGAATCCTACCTACCGGAGGCAAGAACATGATTTATCTTCCATAAGCCTTATCCTCTTCCTCCTTATTCCTCAGTCCATATGGATTTGCTTATGTATGACAACTCCAAGGAATCTTGGAAGAGTAGATTGCTAACGTTTCCACAATTGTCAAGTATATTCTGAGGCAGTAAACACCTTTTTAGGTACGTGGCCTTTCACTGGTTGTGAATTGGTATGCATCCGTAGTAGTAAGTTCACAGATTCACTGCAGTGCAGGAATGTTCTTGCATGCCAAAGACTCAACTGCTTTCAAAGATAATGTGGGTGCTAGATGCAGTGGCTTACATCTGTAACCCTGTTAGGGTGACCAGACCCAACACCAGGTCGTGGGGGTGACAAAGTCCAGTGGAGTCAAAGGATTGAGAAAAAGACAGTTTGAGAGAGAAGTAGGACCAGCAGACCATCGGGATGGTGGAGGCTGTGAAGGCCGTGAGCTCTGGGAGCCCACACTATTTATTGGTAATCCAACAAAGAAACAGATGGTGAGAATGTGAAGGTCAGAAGGGCACCTTGCATTAAGCACATGATTTACAGCTGTGATGGTTTAGCATTTGCTCTGCTACTTGAGATGATGGAGAGCAGGTTCTTTTAACTCAAGTTACAGTCGATCCTGGGAGAGCAAGGAGCCAGCAAGTCTAGACATTCCAGAGCCACAGGCCCTGGATTTTATCCAAGCCACGAGGGATTTTATGCCCTGGGCTTAGATTATGGTGCGTCAGGGCAGCCTTCCACCCTTTAGCACAGAGCTTGGTGTTCCAAAGACCACAAGGGGTTTTAGACCCTTGACCCTGGACATATTCCAAGACTCTTTTACATTATGTCAGAATGCAAGCCCTGCCTCAGCTTCTCCCAACACTCAGCTTTTCGCAACATAATCCCAGCACTTTGGAACGCTGGGTGGATTGCTTGAACCCAGGAGTTCGAGACCATCCTGGGCAATATGGCAAAACCCCATCTTTACCAAAAATAAGCTGGGTGTGGTGGAACATGCCTGTGGTCCCAGCTTCTTGGGAGGCTGAGGTGGGAGGATTGCTTGAACCCGGGAGGTAGAGGCTGCAATGGGCCATGATCACGATCCTGCACTCCAGCCTGGGCAACAGAGAGAGACAGTCCCTGGCCCACTGCCCCCTTCCCTGGCCCAGTCTCAAAAAAAATGAGGCTGGGCGTGGTGGCTCACATCTGTAATCCCAGCCAAGGCTGGCAGATCACTTGAGGCCAGGAGTTCTGAGACCAGCCTGGCTTACATGGTGAAACCCCATCTCTACTAAAAATACAAAAACTAGCCAGGCATGGTGGGAGGCACCTGTAATCCCAGCTACTTGGGAGGCTGAAGCAGGAGAATCACTTTAACCCGGGAGGTGGAGGTTGCAGTGAGCTGAGATCACACCACTGCACTCCAGCCTGGGCGGCAGAGCAAAACTGAAAAAAAGAGAAAAAAAAAAACATCTAGCTCTCCCTGAAATTAGAGGAGTCTAGCCTGCTTTTGCTGTTTTTTTGGTAGCGAGAGTAGCGGGCAGTGGGGGAGATGGTCTTACTCTGTTCCCCAGGCTGGAGTGCACTAGTGTCATCACAGCTCCAGCCTCAATTTCCTGGGCTCAAGGCGATCTTCCCACCTCAGCCTCCCAAGTAGCTCAGACTACAGGGGCATGCCATCACAGCTGGCCAGTTTTTACGTCTTGCGTAGAGATGGGTTTTCCCTGTGTTCCCTAGGCTGGGCTCGAACTCCTGGGCTCAAGTCCTCCTGCCTCAGCCTCCCAAAATGTTCAGATTACAGGCATGAGGCAGCATGCCAATCCTGTTTTTGCATTTTAGTAACACAAATTGTAATGTTAACTTTTTAAATTATGAAAGCATCTAAAATATAAAATTATTTGTAACCCCACTGTCCTTTTGGGCTTCTATAAATGAATATACATCTAAAATGTGGGGGTTTAGCTTAATTGATTGTTTTCCATAGAAACTAGGTTTTATGGGAAGATGGTTGGATAGACTTGTTTCACTTAAAGGTCTGGTTTGTGTAGGACAAACCCACATATGTAATCGTGCCAGTCTGTTCTCTGCATGACATAATTTTCCAGCAATAGCTGTGTGGTTTTTGTAATCCTATCATCTAGTCAGTTCAAGATCTTGCAACACTGTGTGATTCTTTGCTCCGTAGTTCAGTCTTGTTGAACATGACACAGGTGTTTACTTTCCTGTTCTTGCATCTAGTTTCATTCTAATAATGTTCTCTGTTGAAAAAGCTGGCTTCAATTTATTGAGCAAGATGCTGGTGTTATCATCTAACATAAAACCTATCTTATAATAAAGTGTTGACACATGTAATGAGTACTGTACTGAAAAATGGTGGTATGTATATGGTTTGTACTGATTATGTATCGCTTTTATACCATCAAAAAGTTGAAAAATCATAAAGTTGAATCATCCTAAAATGGGTACATTCTGTACTATGTTTCCAAGGCTTCAGAAGTGTTGCATACACATTCCTAGCCAGCTGATAGTGCTAGGAGCCAACAGTAGTCTCCCCCGGGGGCCAAGAGGAGGGCGAAATCTCTACTATGGTATATGATGTTCTCGTGGGCCAAGTATGAGGGTGATATTTCATTGTTGGCACTGGGTTTCTGGAATCCATCCTCTTCACCAGGGAGATTTAATGAACCAAATGAGATCTGATGGGAGAAATTTGAGTGTAACGTTTTTGTTCTGAAGGAAGTAATTGAGTTTTAGTTCATTTGTTTTTTAGGAATCGTAATAATTAAAATTTCATTTTAAATGCCATGAATGTATTTAAGTCAATCCAACTGTATAATAAACACCACATTGTGGCTGGGCACGGTGGCTCACGCCTGTAATCCCAGCAATTTGGGAGGCTGAAGTGGGCAGATCACCTGAGGTTGGGAGTTCAAAACCAGCCTGCCCAACATGGCAAAACCTTGTCTCTACTAAAAATACAAAAATTAGCCGATACGGTAGTGGACATCTGTAATCCCAGCTACTCAAGAGGCTGAGGCAGGATCCGTCTCAAAAAAAAAAAAAAAAAGTCCAGGCGTGGTGGCTTACACCTGTAATCCCAGCACTTTGAGAAGCCAAGGCAGGTGGATCACGAGGTCAGGAGATCGAGACCATCCTGGCTCGATCTGTACTAAAGATACAAAAAATTAGCTGGGCGTGGCGGCATGTGCCTGTAGTCCCAGCTATTCGGGAGGCTGAGGCAGAAGAATGGTGAGAACCTGGGAGGTGGAGCTTGCAGTGAGCCGAGATCACGCCACTGCACTCCACCCTGGGCGACAGAGCGAGACTCCGTCTCAAAAAATTATATATATAATCACATTGTATTTCAGTCTCCTTGAGAAATACTAAAATGAGGGTACCAAGAAGTTGCTCTACTTTCCGTATACGGGTGTTTAAGAGCCAGGAAATCTTCCCATTTAGTTAAATATTTGAAAGTTCTGCACTCCCTACATTTTATTTTCTGAAATTGTTGCAGTATTTCTTGCCTACAGATAGTATTAATATTCAAAAACCAAGATTCCCAATTTGGACTTTATGAGCCATGAGAAACCTTCATCAATCCTTGAATCCTAAGGAAATTAGTGCAACTGATCAAAGACCATGAATAAAATTTGGTTATGGGGATTATTATTTCAGGATAGTGGTCCTGGAGAGAAAAAATGGCAAATTATTTAGGTGGTTCTACTTAACCCCAGATTATAACATAGCAGTCCAACACTTAAAATGATTAATATCTCCTGTTATATAACTCTGCTGGGTCATTTTCTTATTTTCTTTTTTTTCTTTTCTTTTCTTTTTTTTTTTTTTTTGAGATGGAGTCTTGCTCTTGTCACCCAGGCTGGAGTACAATGGTGCAATCTCAGCTCACTGCAACCTCCGCCTCCTGGGTTGAAGCGATTCTCGTTCCTCAGCCTCCTGAGTAGTTGGGATTACAGGCGCACACCACCACGCCCGGCTAATTTTTGTATTTTTAGTAGAGACGGGGTTTCACCATGTTAGTCAGACTTGTCTAGAACTTCTGACCTCAGGCGATCCGCCCGCCTCAGCCTCCCATAGTGCTGGGATTACAGGCGTGAGCCACAACATCTGACCAGTTGCTACACTTTTAAACTTAGATTGTGCATTTTGGGGGACGTGGTGATGGAAATAATGGGAAGGCTGGCAAATCTCCTACAAGCCGCCCCTTTTCTACTGAATGGAGCAATGGGCCTCAGAAACAGAAATGAAAGAACGTGGCTGGAAGTGGTGGCTGACGCCTGTAATCCCAATATTTAGGGAGGCAGAGGTGGGGAGATGAGGAGTTCGAGACCAGCCTGGCCAACATGGCGAAACCCCATGTCTACTGAAAACACAAGAATTAGCCAGGCCTGGTTGTGCACGCCTGTAGTCCCAGCTACTCAGGAGGCTGAGGCAGGAGAATCGCTTGTGTCTGGGAGGCGGAGGTTGCAGTGAGCCAAGATCGCACCACTGAACGGCAGCCTGGACAACACAGCAAGACTCCATCTCAAAAAAAAAAAAAATGATAAAATGTAACTAACTGTACCCAGCAAAACAAGGACCATTCAAGCAGACCTTAAGAGCTCCTGCTGGGCATGGTGGCTTATGCCTGTAATCCCCACACTTCGGGAACTCGAGGCAGGAAGATCACTTGAGCACAAAAGTTTGGGAACAGCCTAGGCAACATAGCCGGCCCTTGTCTCTACAAATAACTAAAATACTGGCCGGGTGATCAGTCACAGTGGGTCACCCCTGTACTCCCAGCACTTTGAGAGGCCAAGGTGGGCAGATCACTTGAGGTCAGGAGTTCGAGATCAGCCTGACTAATATGGTGAAACCCCATCTCTACTAAAAATACAAAAATTTGCCAGGCATAGTGGTGTGTGCCTGTAATCCCAGCTACTTGAGAGGCTGACGCAGGAGAATCGCTTGAACCCAGAAGGCAGAGGTTGCAGTGAGCCGAGATCGCGCCACTGCACTCCAGCCTGGGCTGGGCGACAGAGTGAGACTCCGTCTCAAAAAAAAAAAAAAAAAAAGAAAAGAAAAAAAAAAGAAAGGATCACATTGTATTTCAGTCTCCTTGAAAATACGAAAATGAGGGTACCAAGAAGTTGCTAAGTGTCATCCTATTCGTAACACCTGGCCAAAAAACCCTTGCTCTATTTTCCATATATGGGTGTTTAAGAGCAAAGAATTCTTGCCATTTAGTTAAATATTTGAAAGTTCTGCACTCCCTACATTTTTTTTTCTGAAATTGTTACGATTTTTCTTGCCTACAGATAGTATTAATATTCAAATACCAAGATTCCCAATTTGGACTTTATGAGCCACGAGAAACCTTCATCAATCCTTGGATCCTAAGGAAATTAGTGCAACTGATCGAAGACCATGAATAAAATTTTGGTTATAGGGATCATTTCAGTATAGTGGTCCTGGAGAGAAAAAATGGCAAATTATTTAGGTGGCTCTACTTAACCCCAGATTATAACACTGCAGTCCAGCACTTAAAATGATTAGTATCGGCTGGGCGCGGTGGCTCACACCTGTAATCCCAGCACTTTGGGAGGCCAAGGCAGGTGGATCACGAGGTCAGGAGTTCGAGACCATCGTGGCCAATATGGTGAAACCCCATAAAAACACAAAAATTAGCCAGGTGTGGTGGCACGCGCCTGTTGTCCCAGCTACTCAGGAGGCTGAGGCAGAAGAATTGCTTGAACACAGGAGGCGGAGGTTGCAGTGAGCCGAGATCGTGCCACTGCACTCCAGCCTGGGTGACAGAGCCAGACTCCATCTGAAAAAAAAAAAGGAAAGAAAAATAAATAAAAGATTAGTATCACCTGCTTATATAACTCAGCTGGGTCATTTTCTTTTTTCTTTTTCTATTTTTTTTTTTTTGAGACGGAGTCTTGCTCTTGTCAACCATGCTGGAGTACAATGGTGAGATCTCAGCTCACTGCAACCTCCGCCTCCTGGGTTCAAGCAATTCTCATGCCTCAGCCTCCTGAGTAGCTGGGATTATAGGTGCACACTACCACGCCCGGCTAATTTTTATATTTTTAGTAGAGACGGGGTTTCACCATGTTGGCCAGGCTTGTCTAGAACTCCTGACCTCAGGCGATCCGCCTGCCTCAGCCTCCCACAGTGCTGGGATTACAGGCGTAAACCACCACACCTGACCAGTTGCTATGCTTTTAAACTTAGGTTGTGCATTTTGGGGGATGTGGTGATGGAAATCATGGGAAGGTTGGCAAATCCTCTCCAAGCCACCCCTTTTCTACTGAATGGAGCAATGGACCTCAGAAACAGAAATGAAAGAAAGTGGCTGGACGTGGTGGCTGACGCCTGTAATGCCAGTACTTAGGGAGGCAGAAGTGGGGAGATCACCTGAGGTCAGGAGTTCGAGACTCAGCCTGATTAGCCGGGCGTGGTGGCTCACGCCTGTAATCCCAGCACTTTGGGAGGCCAAGGCAGGCAAATCAACTGACGTCAGGAGTTCGCGACCAGCCTGACCAACACGGAGAAACCCTGTCTCTACTAAAAATACAAAATAAGCCGGATGTGGTGATGCATGCCTCTAATCTCAGCTACTTGGGAGGCTGAGGCAGGAGAATTGCTTGAACCTGGGAGGCGGAGGTTGCGGTGAGCCAAGATCACGCCATTGCACTCCATCTCGGGCAACAAGAGCGAAACTCTGTCTCAAAAAAAAAAAAAAAAAAATTAGCTGGGCGTGGTGGTGCACACTTGTAGCCCCAGCTATTTTGGGAGCCTGAGACGAGAATCGCTTGAACCCAGGAGGCGGAGGTTGCAGTGAGCCGAGAAGGTGCCACTGCACTCCAGCCTGGGCGATAGAGGGAGATTCCATGTAAAAAAAAAAAAAAAAAAAAAGTATCTCATTATGTTGTCCAGTTTGAACTCCTGGCCTCTAGTGATCCTCCCACCTCAGCCTGCCAAAGTGCTGGGATTATAGGCATGAGCTACTGTGCCTGGCCAGTGCTTATTTTTTCTCTCCAAAATGGGATTAGTATCACAAAATATTTTCATGCCTTCTGCACCCTTTAGTCTGTAAATAAAACCTGTAAATAATAATAATACATATAGTTCCACTTCCAAGCATAAGCACAGTTAATATTTAATATCTTGATTTTTTTACAGTATTTTTTCCTGTGCTTATTTTTCTTTTCTTTCTTTCTTTTTTTTTTTTTTTTTGAAACAGAGTCTCGCTTGGTCGCCCAGGCTGGAGTGCAGTGGCGCGATCTCAGCTCTCAGCTCTCTGCAAGCTCCGCCTCCTGGGTTCACGCCATTCGCCTGCCTCAGCCTCCCGAGTAGCTGGGACTACAGGCGCCCACCACCATGACCGGATAATTTTTTGTATTTTTAGTAGAGCTGGGGTTTCACCGTGTTAGCCAGGATGGTCTCGATCTCCTGACCTTGTGATCCACCCGCCTCGGCCTCCCGAAGTGCTGGGATTACAGGCGTGAGCCACCGCGCCCGGCTCCTGTGCTTATTTTTCTCCCTTTGTTTCCTTCTGGTCTATATTTTCCAAGATTCCTTCAATGATATGATTTTGTAGTGAACAAATGCCAGCCCTCCTTCAACTCATCCCTCTGAAATGTCTATTATTGAGAGCATGATAAAAATATTTAAAGATTTCTGGTGGGGGCAGGTGGTATTTCTGAAAAATGCACACTCCTGGTCCTGCTGCAGACCTGCTTAACTGGAATTACTGTATACATGCGGGACTTAGGAATCTGTGTTTTGACCAAGAGGCCAGGTGATTCTTCTGCTCAGTTAGTGCTGGGAAACAGTGCTAAGAAGGATACAGTGGCTAGAAGTCGTCCTGTCGTCCTGCCTCACAGTAACATCGTTACCGAATTCTCAGCAGGTGAACCAAATGAAATGGTCAACTGAAAGCCAACCAGGGTAAAACAGATCTTTTATTTCTTGTTGTTGTTATTATTATTTTTTTTTATGTGGGGACATTCAAGTGAACTGCTATATGCATTTGCCCCCAGTCTCTCCTTGTGAGAAGTGAATTTCTTCAACGTTTATAGAACTGAGGTATTACATTATTGGATGAATTAAGAAAACAATCTAACCTGATGTGTGAAAATTTCTGCTTGTGAGAATCCGTGTTATTTCAATTATCCAATCAAGAGCCTAATTCGTATAAAAGAAACACAGCAGCTTGTTGCTCATCTTTTTATCTAAGGACGGTTTGTCTTGACAGAGGGTGTCTGGCTGTTTTGGGGAAACTATTCCTGACCTTATTTTGACTAAAAAGTTGCCTGCTGTACCAGGTGAGAGAAGCTATCATTTCTTTTATAAAACTTTTAGCTTGCTTTTTGTTAAGTGTGTTTGAAAGTCACTTAAAAGACTGACTTAAATATGAATATTGTTAGTCGGGCTGTATATTTTTTTTATATTAAGTTATGATTTATATTTCTTCAGAGATCTAGTCTCTTGTTGATCTCCCTTGACTATTTTTCTGTTAGGCTGTTGGATTTCTCTTTTTTTCTTTCTTTTTATTTTCTTTTTCTTTTTTTTTTTTTTTTTGAGACAGGGTCTCTGTTGCTCAGGCTGAAGTGCAGTGGCATAATCTCAGCTGACTGCCTCCTGAGTAGCTGGGATTACAGGCATGTGCCACCATGCTCTGCTAATTTTTGTATTTTTATTGGAGACGGGATTTCACCATGTTGGCCAGCCTGGTTTTGAACTCTTGACCTCAAGTGATCTACCCTCCTTGGCCTCCCAAAGTGTTAGCATTACAGACGTGAGCTATTGTGCTTGGCTTTTAAAAAATTTTTAGACTTTTAGTAGAGACAGGGGTCTCACTAAGTTGCCCAGGCTGATCTCTTTTTTTTTTTTTTTTTTTTTTGAGACAGAGTCTCACTCTGTCGCCCAGGCTGGAGTGCAGTGGTAGGATCTCGGCTCACTGCAAGCTCCGCCTCCCGGGTTCACGCCATTCTCCTGCCTCAGCCTCCCGAGTAGCTGGGACTACAGGTGCCTGCCACCACGCCCAGCTAATTTTTTGTATTTTTAGTAGAGACGGGGTTTCACCCTGTTAGCCAGGATGGTCTCGATCTCCTGACCTTGTGATCCGCCCGCCTCGGCCTCCCAAAATGCGGGGGTTATAGGTGTAAGCTACTGTGCCTGGCCCTAAACTGGTTCTTGAAAAAGGTGGCAGATCAATACGCCCCTGCAAAGCAGGGGGAAAAAACAAACATTTGCTATTTAATAACCTAGGCAGGAAAGATAAGCTAAAAAAAATCAAAGAGAATTATTCCTATTTCATACCAACATTCTCTTTTTTTTTTTTTTTGAGACGGAGTCTCACTCTGTCGCCCAGGCTGGAGTGCAGTGGCGCGATCTCAGCTCACTGCAAGCTCCGCCTCCCGGGTTCACGCCATTCTCCTGCCTCAGCCTCCCGACTAGCTGGGATTACAGGCGCCCGCCACCACCCCAGGCTAATTTTTTTGTATTTTTACTAGAGACGGAGTTTCACCGTGTTAGCCAGGATGGTCTCGATCTCCTGACCTCGTGATCCGCCCGCCTCAGCCTCCCAAAGTGCTGGGATTACAGGCGTGAGCCACCGCGCCCGGCCCATACAACATTCTTAAGTCTAGATAATGGGAACTAATAAGTTCCCAAAACTGAATGAAGAGACAAAAACCTAAAAACTGGAAGAGAAAAGACAGTGAGATTTCACTTAATATTGTGGGCCAGGTGCGCTGGCTCACATCTATAGTCCTAGCACTTTGGACGGCTGATGTGGGTGGATCCCCTGAGCTCAGACCAGCCTGGGTAACGTGGCAAACCCCGTGTGTACTAAAAATACAAAAATTAGCTGGGCAAGGTGGCTTAGTCTCAGTCACTCTGGAGGCTGAGGGAGGAGGATCACTTGAGTGTGGAAGGCGGAGGTTGCAGTGGGCCGAGACCACGCCAATGCACTGCCAGCCTGGATAACAGAGCAAGCAAGATCCTATCTCGAAAAATAAAATAATATCATGCATACAAATCTTGAGTTGTTGCCATTATAATTCAAAGATTCCCAATTCATTCTGCGAAAGTAATTTTTTCGGTACTCAAACCTAGTAGTTTTCTTCGCCAGAAAAACTCCTATCACCTGGTCTTAAGATAAATGTAAGATACCACATACTGCTTAACCAGGATAATAACAGCTTAGGAGAGCTTATCTGAGGAATGTAAGGATGGCTAAACATTAGGGAATCAGAAACAAAAATTGTTAGTAAACTAAAGAACACAGCATAGTTAGCCAGAAATGCTAAGAAAATTCAGCTACAAAACTTACCAGCAATTTAGGGTTAAAACATCATATGAAATGGCAAATTAATAAAATGGTGCCATTAACGGTGAGTTCAAACCTAAAAGGCCAATATTTGTCATTGTTTTCATTAGTGTTTTTTTTGTTCCTACATACTGTAAAATTTTGTGACAAATTCTGTTCCACCTAGTATTTAACCTGACACCTAAAATGTTTAGTGTATACAGTTGCAAAGACATAATTACTTGCCATTGTGTAAATAGTGATCTTTGAAACTAAAACTATTCCATTCTCAAATACATCTGTTGGACTCTAAATACCTAAGGGAGTTGATCGTCACCATCACCCACTTAAAGAAAACACCTGGGCCACATGTGGTGGCTCACACCTGTAATCCCAGCAGTTTAGGAGGCCGAGGCAGGAGGATTGCCTGACCCTAGAAGTTTGAGACCAGCTTGGGCAACAAGGTGAAACCCCGTCTCTACAAAAACATACAAAAAAAATAAGCCATGGGTGGTGGCAGGCGCCTGTAGTCCCAGCTACGTGGGAGGCTGAGGTGGGAGGATCACTTGAGTCTGGGAGGCAGCAGTTGCAGTGAGCTGACATTGCGCCACTGCACTCCAGCCTGGGGAACAGAGCAAGACCCTGTCTCAAAAACAAAACAAAACAAAAAAACCGGTTGGGCGCGGTGGCTCACGCCTGAAATCTCAGCACTTTGGAAGGCCGAGGCGGGCAGATCACGAGGTCAAGAGATCAAGACCATCCTGGCCAACATGGTGAAACCCTGTCTCTATTAAAAATACAAAAGTTACCCAGGCGTGGTGGCACATGCCTGTAGTCCCAGCTACTCGGGAGGTTGAGGCAGGAGAATCACTTGAACCCAGGAGGTAGAGATTGCAGTGAGCTGAGATCACACCACTGCACTCCAGACTGGCGACAGAGTGAGACTCCGTCCCAAAAAAAAAGAAAAAAAGCAAGGTTTTACCATTTTTTCTCTTTGAATTTTTTTTCACTCCAGTTGTCCACATGATTTTATATTAATGTAGTATTATTTTATTTTTTTTGAGACAGAGTTTTACTCTTGTTGCCCAAGCTGGAATGCAGCGGTGTGATCTCGGCTCACTGTAACTTCTGCCTCCAGTGTTCAAGCGATTCTCCTGCCTCAGCCTCCTGAGTAGCTGGGATTACAGGCATGCGCCACCATGCCTGGCTATTTTTATTTTTGTATTTTTAGTAGAAATGGGGTTTCACCATGTTGGACAGGATGGTCTCGAACTCCTCGCCTCAGGTGATCCGCCCACCTCGGCCTCCCAAAGTGCTGGGATTACAGGCATGAGCCACCACGCCCGGCCATTAATGTATTATCTTTATGCTTAGCTTTCATTCAGTATTCATTTACTGCTTGAAAAACCTAAGACTTCATACTATGTTGGGCAGAGTTACTCTTACCACTTATCTCTTCAGGAAAGATGATTGAATAGTAGATGTTCTCAGGTTTTCACTCCGTAAATGACTTTTGCCAGTGCATTAAGAAAAACAATTGATTTGGAAGTTGGCTATTAATCCAATTAATTAGAAGCCAAGCCTTTTTCCACAGGGCCTGTGATGTGTTGATAAAATGCCACACAACCATTTCTCAGTGAAAAGCCCAACCGGGACTTGAGTTATGTTGGTGGCTATGGAGTTCTGCAATCCACAATTGATGTTCTCTAATAACCAGTGACCTTGAGTGAACTGTCCCCAAGGCAAGAGCAACCACAGCTGCGGGGAGCGTTTGGCAATCACTATCCCCACCCAAGCTTCTCCCTTGGTAAACTTTGTACCTACTGGGTCCTCATGCTGGTGGAAAAGAAAATACATTTCCTTCTCGTGACTGTCCCCTCTCCTTCAAGTCAATGTTCTTAATCTTTGACCTTGGATTTCATCACTTGTCACTTGTTTTTGTTTGCTTCTTCGGGATTTTTTTTTTTTTGAGATAGAGTCTTGCCATGTTGCCCAGGCTGGAGTGCAGTGGTGTGATCTCAGCTCACTGCAACCTCTGCCTCTGGGGTTCAAGAGATTGTCCTGCCTCAAGCCTTCTGAGTAGCTGCAACTACAGATGTGGGCCATCATGCCTGGCTAATTTTTGTTTTTGTTGTTGTTGTTGTTTGTTTTTTTGAGATGGAGTCTCACTCTGTCACCCAGGCTGGAGTGCAATGGCGTGATCTTGGCTCACTGCAACCTCCGCTTCCTGGGTTCAAGTGATTTTGCTGCCTCCGCCTCCTGAGTAGCTGGGATTACAGGTGTGCGCCACCACACCCAGCTAATTTTTATATTTTTAGTAGCGACGGGGTTTCACTATGTTGGCCAGGCTGGTCTCAAACTCCTGACCTCAAGTAATCTGCCCGCCTCAGCCTCCCAAAGGGCTGAGATGACAGGCGTGAGCCAATGCACCTGGCCTAATTTTTGTATTTTTAGTAGAGAATGGATTTCACCATGTTGGCCAAGCTGGTCTCAAACTCCTGACCTCAAGTGATCCTCCTGCCTCGGCCTCCCAAAGTGCTGGGGTTGCAAGCATGAGTCACTATGCCTGGCCTTGAATTTCATCACTTGTACCTAAAGTATAAAAACATAGATTTACCATCAAATAGTAATGGTGCTTCAGGAAGAAGTTAAGCCTACTTCAAGTACCTTTGGCCTTGTACTTCAGTTTCTTCTTCTTCTTCTGTTTTTGAGACAGAGTTTTGCTCTTGTTGCCCAAGCTGGAGTACAATGGTGCAATCTTGGCTCACCACAACCTCTGCCTCCCGGGTTCAAGCGATTCTCCTGCCTCAGCCTCCCAAGTAGCTGGGATTACAGGCATGTGCCGCCACGCCCAGCTAATTTTGTATTTTTAGTAGAAATGGGGTTTCTCAATGTTGGTCAGGCTGGTCTTGAACTCCCGACCTCAGGTGATCCACCTGTCTTGGCCTCCCAAAGTGCTGGGATTACAGGCATGAGCCACTGCACCCAGCCATTTTCTTCTTTTTATTATTTTTATTTTTTTTTTGAGACGAAGTCTCATTCTTGTCACCCAGGCTGGAGTGCAATGGTGCGATCTTGGCTCACTGCAATCTCTGCCTCCCGGGTTGAAGTGATTCTCCTGCCTCAGCCTCCTGAGTAGCTGGGATTACAGGCTTCTGCTACCACACCCAGCTAATTTTAGTATTTTTTGTAGAGACAGGGTTTCATCACGTTGGCCAGACTGGTCTGGAACCCCTGACCTCAGGGAATCCACTTGCCTTGGCCTCCCAAAGTGCTGGGATTACAGGCATGAGCCACTGTGCCCAGCCTTCTTTTTTTAGAATTGAGATGGGGCCTTTCTATCTCCCAGGCTGGAGTGCAGTGGCACAATCAAGGCTTACTGAAGCCTCAGCTCCCAGGGTATCTGGTACTACAGGCACGTGCCACCATGCGTGGCTAATTTTTTGTATTTTATTTAATTTATTTATTTATTTTTTGTAGAGACAGGGTTTTGCCACGTTCCCCAGGCTAGTCTTGAACTCCTGGGCTCAAGCGATCCACCTGCCTCGGCCTCCCAAGCGTGAGGATTCATTTTCAGAAGCAGTCTTTTTGGATGTCTTGAGATAGCTTCATGAAATTTCACTTGTAAACCAGAAGTCTCAGAAGGTCTCAATCACTGTAGAGGTTTATTTTAGCTAACATTGAGGACATGCCCAGGAAATAGACAGAAGCCACAAGAGGATCTGGAGTCAGCACTTTTTCCAAAGAGGATTTAAAGGGCTTCAATATTTAAAGGGAAAAAGTGGGCAGGAGGGGAGAGGTGAAAAGAAAAAATGGAGAAGGATAGGGTAGCATTGTAATGAGGCTTTCAGCACTCACTCAATCCACGTGTTGCATGTGAAAAGGAAAGAGAGGAAGAACAATCAAGTCTTTCTCTTGAACTTGGGCAATCTGTACTTGACCTGTAGATAAACATAGAAATCAAATATGCGGCCGGGTGCAGTGGCTCACGCCTGTAATCCCAGCACTTTGGGAGGCCGAGGCGGGTGGATCACGAGGTCAGGAGATCGAGACAATCCAGGCCAACGTGGTGAAACCTGTCTCTACTAAAAATACAAAAAATTCGCCAGACGGGGTGGCAGGCGCCTGTAATCCCAGCTACTTGGGAGGCTGAGCCAGGAGAAATGCTTGAACCCGGGAGGCAGAGGTCGCGGTGAGCCGAGATTGCACCATTGCACTCCGGCCTGGGCAAAAAGAGCGAAACTCCGTCTCAAAAAAAAAAAAAAAAAAAATCAAATACGCATGGGTCTCAGCGTGGGTGGGTCAGCAATTTATAGTCTCTTCTTGTCTCCTACCTATGAAGATAAGCTATTAATTTACATTGTCAGGGTAAGAAAGTCCCCGTTGTGAGGCGTGTGGCCTTCTATCTTATAGCTATCTGTTTAGGAACAAAACGAAAGGCAGATTTTGTTGTGTGTGACTCGATTTCCAAGCTTAACTTTTCCCCTAGGCATAGTGAGTTTGGGGCTGAGATTTTGTTTTCTTTTCACACTGTAAAGATGTATCTTTTTATTTCCTTTTTTAAAAAATTTGAAACAGGGTCTTGTCCTGTCACTCTGGCTGGAATACAATGGCGTAATCATAGCTCACTGCGGCCTCCATCTCCTGGGTTCAAGTGATTCTCCTGCTTCAGCTTCCCAAGTATCTGGGACTACAGGCATGTACTACCAGAACTGGATAAATTTTTTATTTTTATTTTTTATTATTATTTTTTTTGAGACGGAATATCGCTCTGTCGCCCAGGCTGGAGTGCAGTGGTGCAATCTCGGCTCACTGCAAGCTCCGTCTCCCAGGTTCACGCCATTCTCCTGCCTCAGCCTCCCAAGTAGCTGGGACTAAAGGCGCCCGCTACCATGCTTGGCTAATTTTTATGTATTTTTAGTAGAGATGGAGTTTCACCACGTTAGCCAGGATGGTCTCGATCTCCTGACCTTGTGATCTGCCCTCCTCGGCCTCCCAAAGTGCTGGGATTACAGACGTGAGCCACTGTGCCCGGCTATTTTCTTAAAATTTTTAGTAGAGGCAGGTTCTCACTATGTTGCCCAAGCTGGTCTTGAACTTCCAAGCTGAAGCAGTCCTCCCATCTTGGCCTCCAAAAATGTTGGGATTACCAGCATTTTTGTGAGTGAGCCACCGCACCCAGCCAAAAGATGTATTTTAAACCATTAAGAACTCTGACCTCCTGAGAGTCTCCTCAGAGGGGAATTTGGGTGCCTCTTAGAGGCCAGCCCTTTAAATTACCCTCAGGATATGAGACAGGGTGAAGGGAGTTCTGACTGAAAATGCATAGTAGGCCCAAGGTGGTGCTTATGTCTGTAAACCCAGCATTTGGGGAGGCCAAGGTGGGCATATCACTTGAGGTGAGGAGTTCGAGACCAGCCTGGCCAACGTGATGAAACCCCGTCTCTATTAAAAATACGAAAATTAGCCAGCCATGGTGGCGGGCACCTGTAATCCCAGCTACTCGGGAGGCTGAGGCAGGCGAACTGCTTGAACCCGGGAGGTGGAGGTTGCAGTGAGATAAGATCGCACCACTGCACTCCAGCCTGGGCGACAGAGTGAGACTCTGTCTCATTTAAAAAAAAAAAGAAAAAGGGCCGGGCACGGTGGCTCATGCCTGTACTCCCAGCACTTTGGGAGGCCGAGGCAGGCAGATCATGAGGTCAAGAGATTGAGACCATCCTGGTCAACATGGTGAAACCCCGTCTCTACTAAAAATACAACAATTAGCTGGGTGTGGTGGCGCACGCCTGTAGTCCCAGCTACTAGGGAGTCTGAGGCGGGAGCATCATTTGAACCCGGGAGGCAGAGCTTGAAGTGAGCCAAGATCGCGCCACCGCACTCCAGCCTGGCAACAGAGTGAGACTCCATCTTAAAAAAAAAAGAAAAAGAAAAAGAATGCATAGTAGATGCAATTCACAGAAAAGAAGAAAAGATTCTATTTACACTTTTTGTATTTGAGCTTTCATAGACTTTTTCTTCCCTTAACCACTGCAGCAAAAAATCACCATGTACCAACCTATCCAAACTTATCCATGGATGAATCTATCCAGAAGACGGGAGTTCCGATGCTTGTCTTGCTCTGAATGTCTGCTTGTCACCTGCTTAGGGTTATCGACTGTGATTCTGGGACTCATTGTTGTTCTACAGGACCCCTCTGACTCTGTGGTTTTCTCTACTGGATTAACAATGATAGCCATAGGTGCTTTTTTTGTTGTCCTCACTGGAGTGACAGCCCTGTGTACGGTTACAGTCGACGAGAACTTGCAGAAAACCACGAGGCTAAGACTAGGAGTGATACGAAAAAGCGGAAGTCTCCAAGGAACTACAGAGCCTTCCATGACTCACTCAATAATCGCTAGCACCTCGCTGTAGTTGTACATTGAACCCTGGCATCTTCGTCTTTGGAACTAAGTCTCCTGAGCATTGTTTTTAAATAGAAATAAAATCTGGCTTTTAAAAAAACTCTTGTAATCCCAGCAGTTTGGGAGGCCAAGGTGGGTGGATCACAAGGTCAGGAGTTCGAGACCAGCCTGGCCAACATGGTGAAACCCCGTCTCTACTAAAAATGGAAAAATTAGCCAGGTGTGGTGGCAGCCGCCTGTAATTCCAGCTACTCTGGAGGCTGAGGCAGGAGAATCGCTTGAACCTGGGAGGCGGAGGTTGCAGTGAGCCGAGATTGTGCCACTGCACTCCAGCCTGGGCGACAGGGTGAGACTGTCTCAAAAAAAAAACCCTTCTAATTTTATAATGTTCTTATTCCCTAAAACATAAGATTCTGTCTACAGAAGGACCTTCAGGTCATAACGATGCCTGTCAAATTCATGCCATCTGGCCGGGCACAGTGTCACTCACCTGTAATCCCAGCACTGTGGGAGGCCAAGGTGGGTGGATCGCTTGAGCCCAGGAGTTTGAAGCCAGTATGGGCAACATGGTGAAATCCTGTCTCTAAAAAAAACAAAATACAAAAATTAGCCTGGGCATAGTGGTGGATGTCTATAGTTCCAGCTACTTGGGAGGCTCAGGCAAGAGAATCGCTTGAGCCCAGGAGGCGGAGGTTGCAGTGAGCCGAGGTTGTGCCACTGCACTCCAGCCTGGATGACACAATGAGACTGTCTTCCCCTCCCACTCAACAAAAAATTACATGTCGTTGCCGGGCGCGGTGGCTCACGCCGTAATCCCAGCACTTTGGGAGGCCGTGGCAGACAGATCACGAGGGCAGGAGATCGAGACCATCCTGGCTAACACAGTGAAACCCTGTCTCTGCTAAAAATACAAAAAATTAGCCAGGTGTGGTTGCAGGCGCCTGTAGTCCCAGCTACTCTGGAGGCTGAGGCAGGAGAATGGCCTGAACCTGGGAGGCAGAGCTTGCAGTGAGCCAAGATCACGCCACTGCACTCCAGCCTGGGCGACAGATTGAGACTCCGTCTCAAAAAAAAAAAAAAAATCCAAGTCGGCCGAGTGCGGTGACTCATGCCTGTAATCCCAGCATTTTGGGAGGTTGAGGTGGCTGGATCACTTGAGGCCAAGAGTTCAAGACCAGTCTGAGCAATATGGTGAAACCTCATCTCTACTGAAAATACAAAAACTAGCCAGGCGTGGTGGCATGCACCTGTAGTCTCAGCTACTTGGGAGGCTGAGGTGCAATAATTGCTTGAACCTGGGATGCAGAGGATGCTGTGAGCCAAGATTTCTGAATCAGGTCTTGGAAAACAACCTGTCTTTCTCCTGCCATTTTTCTCCCCAAGGCAGGAATCTTCTCACCTTTCTTCTTGCAGTTGGCTATAAAGTTCTGTGGCCAGGCACAGTGGCTCACGCCTGTAATCCCAGCACTTTGGGAGGCCGAGGTGGGTGGATCACGAGGTCAAGACCCAACCTGGTCAATATGATGAAACCCCGTTTCTACTAAAAATACAAAAATTAGCTGGGCATGGTGGCGCGTACCTGTAGTCCCAGCTACTCAGGAGGCTGAGGCTTGAAGCCAGGAGGAGGAGGTTACAGCGAGCAGAAATCTCACCACTGCACTCCAGCCTGGCGACAGAGCGAGACTCCGTCTCCACAAAAAAAAAAAAAAGTAAATTCGGTGACGTACCTTGTCTGACAGTAGGTGACAATACTCCCATTTCAGAAGGGGTCTACCCCATACCCTGGAAGAAGGAATGTCGTCTAACCTACTTTGATTGCAGGTCACAATACCCCCTACTTCAGAGGAGATCCTGCCATATACCCTGGAAGAAGGGGCCACAGAAAGCATGAAGAATTGGAGCCTTGCTCTGTTTCTCCACTTCGTCTGTTAGATCATGGCCTTTGTGTCCAGTCATGTTTCTGTCTGGTTGTTCGTCACAACTATCCAGTGCCTAAGAGCACAGGGTTCAGGGAACTTCCAGAGAGCTGAACACGGGGAGGTTCCTGGAGGGTGGCTGACCCAAGAAGGTCAGGGAAGCTCTGAGCCCCTTTCCCCACACCTCACCCTATGCATCTCTTCATCTGTATCCTTGGTAACATCTTTTTTATTTTTTTTAATTTTTTTTAGACAGTCTTGCTCTGTCGCCCAGGCTGGAGTGCAGTGGTGTAATCTCGGCTCACTGCAACCTCTGCTTCCTAGGTTCAAGTGATTGTCCTGACTCAACCTCCCAAGTAGCTGGGATTACTGTGCTATCACGCCCGGCTGTATTTTTTGTATTTAATACAAAAAACACAAAATTTTTGTATTTTTTAATAGAGACAGAATTTCTCCATGTTAGCTAGGCTGGTCTTGAACTCCTGATCTCAAGTGATCTGCCCACCTCAGCCTCCCAAAGTGCTGGGATTACAGGTGCCCACCACCATGCCTGGCTACTTTTTGGATTTTTAGTAGAGAAGGGGTTTCACCATGTTGGCCAGGCTGGTCTTGACGTCCTGACCTCAAGTGATCCACCTGCCTTGGCCTCCCAAAGTGTGAGCCGATGCCATCCTTGTGTGTGTGTGTGTGTGTGTGTGTGTGTGTCGTTTTTTTGTTTTGTTTTGTTTTGTTTTTTGAGACAGAGTCTCACTCTGTAGCCCAGGCTGGAGTGCAGTGGTGCAATCTCAGCTTACTTCAGGCTCTGCCTCTTGGGTTCAAGGGATTCTCTTGCCTCAGCCTCCTGAGTAGCTGGGATTACAGGTGTGAGCCCCCACACCAGGCTAATGTTTGGATTTGTAGTAGAGACAAGGTTTTGCCTTGTTGTCCAGGCTGGTCTCAAACTCCTGACCTCAGGTAATCTGCCTGCCTTTGCCTCCCAAAGTGCTGGGATTACAGGCGTGAGCCGTCATCTCTTGCCCGGTAACATCCTTTATAATAAACCAGTAAATGTGTTTCCCTGGGTTCTCTAAGCTGCATTAGCAATTAAATGAACCCAAAGAGAGGGTTGTGGGAACACCAAGTTGAAACAAGTCAGAAGTTCTGGAGGCTCAGATTTGTGACTGGTGGGAAGGGAGAGGGCTGCTTGGTGGGAGTGAGCCCTCAGTTGTGGGGCCTGATGCTGTATCAGTGAGGTAGATACTGTCAGAATTGAGGCTGGGCGTGGTGCCTCATGCCTGTAATCCCAGCACTTTGGGAGGCCAAGGCAGGTAGATTGCTTGAGTTCAGGAGTTCGAGACTAGCCTGGTTAACATGGCAAAAGCCTGTCTCTATAAAAAATACAAAAACAGGCCAGGTGCTGTGGCTCACGCCTGTAATCCAGCACTTTGGGAGGCCGAGGCGGGCAGATCACTTGCGCTCAGGAGTTTCAGACCAGCCTGGCCAACATGGTGAAACCCTGTCTCTACTAAAAATACAAAAATTATCAAAGCATGGCGGTGTGTCCCTGTAGTCCCAGCTACTCAGAAGGCAGAGGCAAGAAAATAGCTTGAACCTGGGATGTGGAGGCTGCAGTGAACCTAGACCGCGCCATTGCACTCCAGCCTGGGTGACAGAACAAGACTCCGTCTCAAAAAAAGAAAAACAAAACAAAACAAACAAAAACAGCCAGGCATGATAGCACTTGCCTGTGGTCCAGCTACTTGGAAAGCTGAGGTGGGTGGATCACTTTGAGTCTGAGAGGTTGAGATTGAGCCACTGCACTCCAGCCTGTGCAACAGAGCTAGACCTTGTTTAAAAGGAAAAAAAAAAATGCCGGGTGCAGTGGCTCATGCCTGTAATCCCAGAACTTTGGGAGGCCAAGGAGGGTGGATCACGTGAGGTCAGAAGTTCAAGACCAGCCTGGACAACATGGTGAAACCCTGTCTCTACTAAAAATACAACAATTACCCGGGCATGGTAGCAGGCACCTGTAATCCCAGCTATTCAGGAGGCTGAGGCAGGAGAATCACTTCAACCCGGGAGGCGGATGTTGCAGTGAGCCGAGATCACACCATGGCACTCCAGCCTGGGCTACAGAGACTCTGTGTCCCCCCAACCAAAAAAAAAAAAAAAAGTCGGAGGACACCCAGCAGATGTCTGATGTAGAATTGATTGGTTGCTTGGTGTGTGGGGAGAAATCCCTACACATTTGGTTACAGAAGTCTTCTGTGTCATTGTTGTCGTGGTGTTTTTCCCTTCAGTGACCACGCTGTCCAAAGTGATCTACAGATTCATTTCAATCCCTATCAAAATACCAATGACATTTTCAGAGATAGAAAAAAAAATCCTAAAATTCATGTGGAACCAAAGTGAGCCCAAATATCCAAAGTAATCCTGAGCAAAAGAAGAAAGCTAGGCCGGGCACGGTGGCTCACGCCTGTAATCCCAACACTTTGGGAGGCTGAGGCGAGTGGATCGCCTGAGGTCAGGGCTTTGAGACCAGTCTGGCCAACATGACGAAACCCCGTCTCTACTAAAAATACTAAAATTAGCTGGGCGTGGTGGCAGGAGCCTGTAATCCCAGCTATTCGGGAGGCTGAGGCAGGAGAATCACTTGAACCTGGGAGGCAGAGGTTGCAATGAGCCAAGGTCGCACCATTGCACTCCAGCCTGGATGACAAGAACGAGACTTCGTCTCAAAAAAAAAAAAAAAGAAGAAAATGGCTGGATGCAGCGGCTCATGCCTGTAATCCCAGCACTCTGGAGGGCCGAAGCAGATGGATCACCTGAGGTCAGTAGTTCAAGACCAGCCTGACCAACATTGAGAAACCCCATTTCTACTAAAAATACAAAATTAGCTGGGCGTGGCAGCACATGCCTGTAATCCCAGCTACTTGGGAGACTGAGGCAGGAGAATTGCTTGAATCTGGAAGGCGGAAGTTGTGGTGAGCCGAGATTGCACCATTGCACTCCACCCTGAGCAACAAGAGTGAAACTCTCTCTCTCTCACACACACACACACAGACACACACACACACACACACAAAGCTAGAGGCCTCATGTGGTCACTCACACCAGTAATCCCAGCATTTTGGGAGTCCATGGTGGCTAGATCACTTGAGGTCAGGAGTTCGAGACCTGCCTGGCAAAACCTCATCTCTACAAAAAAAAGTACAAGAAATCAGTTGGGGGCTGGGTGTGGTGGCTCACGCTTGTAATCCCAGCACTTTAGGAGGCCAAGGCCGGTGGATCTCCTGAAGTCAGGGGTTTGAGACCAGCCTGGCCAACATGACAAAACCCTGTCTCTACTAAAAATACAAAAAAAAAATTAGCCAGGTGTGGCATGTCTGTAGTCCCAGATACTCAGGAGGCTGAAGCAGGAGAACTGCTTGAACCTGGGAGGCAGAGATTGCAGCGAGCCGTGATCACGCCACTGCACTCCAGACTCCAGCCTGGGTGACAGAGTGAGACGCTGTCTCAAAAAAAAAAAAAAAATTGGGTGTTGCGTTGTGTCCCTGTAGTTCCATCCACCCAGGAGGCTGAGGTGGGAGGATCATTCGAGCTGTGAGCTGGGAGGTCGAGGCTGCAGTGAGTCATGATGGCACCACTCTAGCCTGGGCAACAAGATTTGTTTCAACAAAACTGTAAGTTGTAGAATGCTGAGATTCATTTTGCTTTATTACAAAACTAAGAATTTCTAGTTGGTTGTTGAATTTAATATTATTTAACCACCAAAGAAAGAGATTCTTGTTGGCCTGATACATCTTCCTTGATATGTCAAAGTGTTTTTGTCACAAAGGAGAGCAGGTATAACTGTGAAAACTGCATTACATCTATAGACTGTACCAATGTCACTTTCTTGGTTTTGATATTTAATACGTTAACATTGGGGGAGGCTGAGAGAAGGGTCCGTGGAACTTCCCTATACATTTCTTGGGACCCTCTGATGAATCTATAATCATCTCAAAATGAAAAGTTAAACACATTTTAGTTTCACAAAACTATGTAAATGAAACAGAATACCCAATGTTGATTTTTGTAATTGTGTTACATTTGAAAGGGAACGCAAAATGTGATTGTAATGATAAGAACTAGCCACAAGTTGTCACTAGTGGTCTATCATAGCCCTCTGAAACTCACAACACCCACCCCCCCGCCACGCCCCCCGCCACCCTCAAAACGAGAATTGTTTTGATGAAGAAAGGACGTGACTTTTTTTTTTTTTTTTTTTTTTTTTTTGAGACAGAGTCTCACTCTGTTGCCCAGGCTGGAGTGCAGTGCCACGATCTCGGCTCACTGCAACCTCTGTCTCCCAGGTTCAAGTGATCCTCCAGCCTCAGCCCCCGAGTAGCTGGATTACTGGTACATGCCACAACGCCCGACTGATTTTTTTATTTTCAGTAGAGATGGGATTTCGCCATGTTGGCCAGGCTGGTCTCAAACTCCTGACCTCAGGTGATCCACCCATCTCGGCCTCCCAAAGTGCTGGGATTACAGGCATGAGGCACCACGCCTGGCTGGATGTGGCTATTTTTAAACTGCCATATTTAACCATTGCTGTTTTTCTGTTTGGAAGCACTGTAAAATCCCAATATCGTATTCTTTTTTTTTTTTTTTTGAGATGGAGTCTTGCTCTGTCACCGAGGCTGGAGTGCAGTGGCGCGATGCAACCTCTGCCACCCAGGTTCAAGTGATTCTCCTGCCTCAGCCTCCCGAGTAGCTGGGATTACAGGTGCCTGCCACTACACCCGGCTAATTTTTGTAGTTTTAGTAGGGACGGAGTTTCACCATGTTGGTCAGGCTGGTCTTGAACTCCTGTCCTCAAGCAATCTACCTGCCTCGGCCTCCTAAAGTGCTGAGATTACAAGCATTAGTCACCGCGCCCTGTTTATCTTATTCTTTTATAGGTGAAAATACAGAAACCATAAGAAAGGGAATAGGGTTTTTTTGTTGTCGTTTTTGAGACAAGAGTCTCCCTCTATCGCCCAGGCTGCGGTGCAGTGGCGCGATCTCGGCTCACTGCAAGCTCCGCCTCCCGGGTACACGCCATTCTCCTGCCTCAGCCTCCCGAGTAGCTGGGACTACAGGTGCTCACCACCACGCCCAGCTGATTTTTTTGTATTTTTTTTAATAGAGGCGGGGTTTCACCGTGTTAGCCAGGATGGTCTCAATCTCCTGACCTCGTGATCCACCAGTCTCAGCCTCCCAAACTGCTGGGATTACAGGTGTGAGCCACTGCACCTGGCCGCAGGAATAGGGTTTAAAGGTGGCAAATTAGACATTCTCTAGAGGAACGTCACTTCTCAAAGTGTGGCTCCTGGAGCAGCAGCACTGGCAGGGCCTAACAATTTGTAAGAAGTGCAAAACCTCAGGCCTCACCCTAAACCTACCAAATTAGATTCTTCTTCTTTTATATTTTTGAGGTGGAGTCGCACTCTGTTACCCAGGCCAGAGTGCAGTGCGGTGATTTTGGCTCAATGCAACCTCTGCCTCCTAGGTTCAAGTGATTCTCCTGCCTCAGCCTCCCAAGTAGCTGGGATTACAGGTGTGGGCCACCACGCCCGGCTAACTTCTGTATTTTTAGTAGATACGGGGTTTTATCATGATGGCCAGGCTGGTCTCGAACTCCTGACCTCAGGTGATCCACCTGCCTTGGCGTAATCCCAGTGCAGGGATTACAGGTGTGAGCCACCATGACCAGCCAGATTCTTCACCTTTTTGGTGTGTGTGTGTATGTGTGTGTGTGAGATGGTGTCTTGCTCTTGTCGCCCAGGCTGGAGCACAATGGCACAATCTCGGCTCACTACAACCTCTGCCTCCCAGGTTCAAGCACTTCTCCTGCCTCAGCCTCCCAAGTAGCTGGGATTACAGGCGCCAGCCACCACGCCCGGCTGATTTTTATATTTTTAGTAGAGATGGGGTTTCACCATGTTGGCCAGGCTGGTCTCGAACTCCTGACGTCAGGTGATCTGTCTGCCTCGGCCTCCCAAAGTACTGGGATTACAGGCATGAGCCACTGCACCCAGCCCTGAATTTGATTCTTCTTCTTTTTTTTTTTTTGAGACGGAGTCTCACTCTGTTGCCCAGGCTGGAGTGCAGTGACGTGATCTCCGCTCACTGCAAACTCCGCCTCCCGGGTTCACGCTGTTCTCCTGCCTCAGCCTCCCGACTAGCTGGGACAACAGGCACCCACCACCACACCCGGCTAATTTTTTGTATTTTTTAGTAGAGATGGGGTTTCACCCTGTTAGCTAGGATGGTCTTGATCTCCTGACCTCGTGATCCACCCGCCTTGGCCTCCCAAAGTGCTGGGATTACAGGAGTGAGCCACTGCGCCTGGCCACCACATGGACATCTTTGAGGATCATCTTTCAATACCCCTTAGTCTCTGTGTTGTAGAACAGCAGCTATCAAGGAGCATTGTTCTTTTTTTTTTTTTTTTTTTTTTTTTTTTTTGATCCAGAGTCTGGCTGTGTTGCCCAGGCTGGAGTGCAGTGGCCAATCTCAGCTCACTGCAACCTCTGCCTCCTGGGTTCAAGTGATTCTCCTCCCTCAGCCTCCCGTGTAGCTGAGGTTACAGGTGCATGCCACTACACCTGGGTAATTTTTGTATTTTTGGTAGAGATGGGGTTACACCGTGTTGGCCAGGTTGGTCTCGAACTCCTGGCCTCAAGTGATCTGCCCACCCTGGCCTCCCAAAGTGCTGGGATTACAGGTGTGAGCCACCGTGCCTGGCCTTAACATAACTGTTTACAACAAAACTGTATAACCTGCCCGTCCTGCCTGGATGATTGATTCAGGATGCTTATGTTGATGCAGGAGAATGGGGTCTGGAGGCAGGGAACCTAAAAACTTCCTAGAACTAGGCCGAGTGCAGTGGCTCACACCTGTAATCCCAGCACGTTGGGATGCCGGGGCCGGTGGATCACCTGAGATCAGGAGTTCGAGGCCACCCTGGCCAACATGGTGAAATTCTATCTCTATTAAAAATAGAAAAATTAGCTTGGTGTGGTGGTGAGCACCTGTAATCCCAGCTACTTGGGAGGCTGAGGCAGGAAAATCGCTTGAACCTGGGAGGCAGAGGTTGCAGTGAGCCAAGATCCTACCACTGCACTACAGCCTGGGCAACAAAGTGAGACTCTGTTTTAATAAATAAACAAACAAACATACATACTTCCTAGAACTCAATAAAAGGGAAAAACCCCAATTAACTGTCTTTTTTTTTTTCTAGATGGAGTTCAGTGGCCTGATCTTGGCTCACTGCAACTTCCGCCTCCCGGGTTCAAGCAATTCTCCTGCCTCAGCCTCCCAAGTAGCTGGGATTACAGGCACCCCCCACCATGCTAGGCTAATTTTTGTATTTTTAGTAGAGACGGAGTTTCACTATGTTGGCCAAAGGTCCGCCCACCTCCGCCTCCGAAAGTGTTTGGATTACAGGCATGAGCCCTCCCCGCTCTCCCACCTCCAGGCCAAAACCCCAACTTTCTATGCCCAACTAAATAACTTTGTAACTTCACTTCAGCTATGGCAGGAAACATCCTCTTCATTTCCATGGGGTGTATGCCAAGTAAATAACTTTGTAACTTCACTTACCCTCTTCATTTACATAGGGCATACCAATGGGAAACCTCTGAAGGGTATTTAAACCCCAGAAAATTCTGTAACCAGCATTGTTGAGTCACTTCCTCTAACCTGCTCCCTACTCTGTGGAGTGTACTTTCGTTTCAATAAATCTGTGCTTTTCTTTCATTGCTTTGTGCGTTTCGTCCAATTCTTTTTTCAAAACGTCAAGAACCTGGACACCCTCCACCCGTAACAGTGTGACACAGTTCTGGCCAGAGTCAGGTCCAGGTTTTACGGAAGTATTTGTAAGAGCAAGGCTTTGTGGGAGTTGCTGAGAAAAGACCACCTAAGCCTGGAACTGCTGGCAGTTACGTTGCCGCAAGGGGTGAGTCTGCCTGAGAATGGAAAGCAGAACTGACAGAAGGAGAGAGAGTGCCTGAGTTTCTGATGATACTGACACGAACCTTACCTGGACAATTAAGTTCTATGAGCTCATAAATTTCCTTTCTTCCCCTTAGCCTTGTTTAATTAGGGTTCACTACTTAACAGTCTCTTACAACTAAAAAATTCTTTTTTTTTTTTTTTTTCAGATGGAGTCTCGCTCTGTTGCCCAGGCTGGAGTACAGTGGTACAATCTCAGCTCACCGCCAACCTCTGCTTTCCGGGTTCCACTGATTCTCCTACCTCAGCCTCCCTGGTAGCTGGGATTACAGGCGCCCACCACCAAGCCTGGCTAATTTTTTGTATTTTTAGTAGAGACAGTGTTTCACCATGTCAGCTAGGCTGGTCTTGAACTCCTGACCTCAGATGATCCACCTGCCTTGGCCTCCCAAAGTGCTGGGATTACAGGCGTGAGCCACCGCACCCAGCCAAAAAATTCTTGACATATGCACTCATAACACCTTGAAAGAAAATACCAGTGAAGTGCTTGAAAGGGAACTGGTCCCCAAAGGGTATTTGAATCACTAAGACTTGGGCAAGATTTGACTGCTTAGATTTGATATATGATATTCTAGTTCTAGGCCCGGGCGCAGTGGCTCACGCCTGTAATCCCAGCACTTTGGGAGGCCGAGACAGGCGGATCACGAGGTCAGATCGAGACCATCCTGGCTAACACAGTGAAACCCCATCTCTACTAAAAATACAAAACATTATCCGGGTGTGGTGGCGGGTACCTGTAGTCCCAGCTACTCGGGAGGCTGAGGCAGGAGAATGGCGTGAACCCAGGAGGCGGAGCTTGCAGTGAGCTGAGATCATGCCACTGCATTCCAGCGTGGGTGACAGAGCGAAACTCCGTCTCAAAAAAACAAAAAAAACACCAAAACTAGTTCGAATCTGGTTAGAACAACTTTATTGCTGGATTTTGACATCCTAGCAAAAAAGGTGCCAAACCATTGTCATACGTTTTGTGGATACATTTGCATATTTTATTATTATCTTTTTTTGAGACAGTGTCTTGCTCTGTTGCCCAAGCTGGGATGCAGTGGCACGATCTCAGCTCACTGCAACCTCTGCCTCCCGGGTTCAAGTGATTCTCCTGCCTCAGCCTCCTGAGTAGCTGGGATTACAGGCGCACGCCACCACGCCTGACTAATTTTTGTATTTTTAGTAGAGACGGGGTTTCACCACGTTGGTCAGGCTGGTCTCGAACTCCTGACCTTGTGATCTGCCCGCCTTGGCCTCCCAGTGTTAGGATTACAGGCGTGAACCACCACACCTGGCCAAATTAGCAGATTTTAAATCCTTTCGCTGATCCAAGCTGGGAAAAAAGACTTCACTGATACTGCAGAAGAGGTGGAAGAAACTAACATTTGAACTGAGAAGCACTAAGAAAGCCACCCTGAACCCAAAAGTACTGAAAACCTAGTTAGATATATTTTTGGGAAAAAAAAAAAAAGGAGATCTAAGTGCATCCTATAATAAATTTATATGAAATATGTATATGAACATTTTGTATTTTTTCTTCCAAAAGGGAATGCACGTGCACAAACACACACACATGCATGCTGAGATATTTAGTTCTCTGCACGTATACACTTTTTTTTTTTTTTGAGACGGAGTCTTGCTCTGTTGTCCAGGCTGGAGTATAGTGGGACGATCTCGGCTCACTGCAAGCTCCACCTCCCAGGTTCACGCCATTCTCCTGCCTCAGCCTCCCGAGTAGCTGGGACTACAGGCGCCCGCCACCACGCCCGGCTAATTTTTTGTATTTGTAGTAGAGACGGGGTTTCACCGTGTTAGCCAGGATGGTCTTGATCTCCTGACCTCGTGATCCGCACGCCTCGGCCTCCCAAAGTGCTGGGGTTACAGGTGTGAGCCACTGCGCCTGGCCTGCACGTATACACTTATAGTGGTGAGTGCTTACAGAAATATCTTTCGTTTTTGTTTTTGAGACAGAGTCTCGCTCTTGTCACCCAGGCTCGAGTGCAATGGCGCCATCTCAGCTCACTGTGACCTTTGCCTCCCGGGTTCAAGTGATTCTCCTGCCTCAACCTCCGAAGTAGCTGGTATTACAGGCGTCCACCACCACACCCAGCTAATGTTTTTGTATTTTTAGTAGAGAAGTGGTTTCACCATGTTGGCCAGGCTGGTATCTAACTCCTGACCTCAGGTGATCTGCCCGCCTCAGCCTCCCAAAGTGCTGGGATGACAGGCATGAGCCACCATGCCCAGCCAGAAATACCTTTTGTAATGAAGGCACATACCTTAAATATTACACTTGAAGGATGAATGATGTTAGGAAGCAGAGGTGGCTCAGTTCTTGTTTTTGTTTGCATGTCCTTCCAATTAATTGTTTGTGATATTTCACATTTATAGCACAATCAGATTACCAGGATTTTGATTTAACATTCATATTCATTCCTTCTATGCAAACGTCTTAAAAATCTGTTAAAATTTTTCTATAAATCCACCTAGAGCAGAAGAGGTAGGTCTGTGCTAAGTACATTTGTTTTTTTTGTTTTGTTTTTTTGTTTTTTTGAGACAGAGTCTCGCTTTGTTGCCCAGGCTGGAGTGCAGTGGCGTGATGTCGGCTCACTGCAGCCTCTGCCTCCCACGTTCAACAGATTCTCCTGCCTCAGCCTCCCAAGTAACTGGGATTACAGGCATGTGCCACCACACCCAGATAATTTTGTATTTTTAGCAGAGACGGGGTTTCTCCATGTTGTCCAGGCTGGTCTCAAACTCCTGACCACATGTGATCCACCTGCCTTGGCCTCCCAAAGTGCTGGGATTACAGGAGTGAGCCATCACGCCTGGCTTGCTAAGTACATTTTTTATTTATTTTATTATTATTATTTTTTTTTAGACAGAGTCTCACTTGGTCATTCAGGCTGGAGGGCCAGGGTGTAATATCGGCTCACTGCAACCTCCACCTCCCAGCTTCAAGCGATTCTCTGCTGCAGCCTCCCAAGTAGCTGGGATTACAGGTGCCCGCCTGTAAGCCAGGCGTGAGCCTCCATGCCCGACGCTAAGTACATTTTATAACAGCTTTGCAGAAGGGAAAGTGGCTTTGGATGTGTTCTCGGAAATATTTGTGTGGTTACTGAACTGAGGACTTATGCATTTTTTTATGTTTATGGTTTCTGTGAATTTCCTAATATGCCTTGATTCCCTGCCAAATTATATAAAAGACTGAGTAAAATGTATGATCCTTGAACATGTTTTTTAAAAAAGCCGTTGCATAATATTGTTGATTAGTTGAATTAAAGGAGCTCTCCAGCAGCTTCCTTTGAGGTGATTAGTATCTTTTATTTTTTATTTATTTATTTATTTATTTTCGAGATGGAGTCTCGCTCTGTCCCCAGGCTGGAATGCAGTGGCGCGATCTCCGCTCACTGCAAGCTCTGCCTCCCGGGTTCACTCCATTCTCTTGCCTCAGCCTCCCGAGTAGCTGGGACTACAGGCGCCCACCACCACGGCCGGCTAATTTTTTGTATTTTTAGTAGAGACGGGGTTTCCCTGTGTTAACCAGGATGGTCTCGATCTCCTGACCTCGTGATCCACCCGCCTCGGCCTCCTAAAGTGCTGGGATTACAGGCGTGAGCCACCGCGCCCGGCCAGTGATTAGTATCTTTTAATCTGCAGTGTCAGTGGGGAGTGATCTTCTGATTTTAAGGTTTTAAGTTGTTTCTCACTTGCACATCCTGACATTTTCACATACTGAATGACAAAGGTCTTGGCTCCTGTATCCCAACGTATCAGGTTCCCTTAATCTGTGTTTTTGCTCCTTTCTATTCTATGGTTCATTTCCCAGATCCACACCTTGGGGGATCCTCAAAGAGCATGTTTAATTTTTTTTTAATTAATTTTTTTTTTGAGACAGCATTTCACTCTTGTTGCCCAGGCTGAAGTGTAAAGGTGCGATCTCGGCTCACTTCAACCTCTGCCTCTAGGGTTCAAGCGATTCTCCTGTCTCAGCCTCCCGAGTAGCTGGGATTACAGGCATGCGCCACCACACCTGGCTAAATTTGTATTTTTAGTAGAGACGGGTTTTCACCATATTGGTCAGGCTGGTCTCAAACTCTTGACCTCAAGAGATCCACCCACCTCAGCCTCCTGAAGTGCTGGGATTACAGGCATGAGCCACCGCACCCGGCCTCACAGTGATTATTCAACAGAAATGTGATATTAAACTTTGCATGGTGCACATTAAGATTCTATCACAGATTTCCAGGAGTACTGACAAAACTCAAAGCATGTGGTCTGTCAAAGTATCCTGGGGCCATTTGGCAAACATTGAGCATGTTTTGAGTACTAAATGTTTCTTCTCTAAATGTTTTCCTAAATGTTTCTTTCATATTTTGAGTGCTAGAAATTGGAAGGTACTTCTTTTCTGGTACAGGTCTGTAATACTTGCAAACAGATCATTTTTGTTATTTGTTCTTATTTGAGGTTGGTCCTGTGGTCAACTCATTTCAGTAGGTAACATGGTGATAATGGCCCCTAGATGGTGGGTTTTATCTCCTAAGCTCCATTTTTAAGGCAGAGACTCTTGACCATTTTTCCACCTCATGGTGGAAAAGGATGAGGGATTGTGACCCTCCATCCTGCCCTTCAGGAACAATTTTTTCCAAGGCAGTCACTCCCAGGGGGACTAGGGAGCATGCCTCACAATCTCTGGGATGGGGTGTGTGTGTGTGTGTGTGCAAGTACCCCTTCCCACCCCAAAGATTACTGCTGGAAAGATTACTCCATTCATCATGGAAAGTATAATAACTGCTATGCTGGGCACGGTGGCTCACACCTATAATCCCAGCACTTCGGGAGGCCGAGGTGGGCAGATTGCTTAAGCCTAGGAGTTTGAGACCAGCCTGGGCAACATGGCAAAACCCTGTCTCTACCAAAAAATACAAAAATTAGCCAGGCGTGGTGGTGCGCATGCCTGTAGTCCCAGCTACTCAGAAGGCTGAGGTGGGAGGACTCCTTGAACTCCGGGAGGCTGAGGTTGCAGTGAGCCGTGATCTTGCCACTGAACTCTAGGCGAGAAAAAAAAAAGGATCTGCTATTTATTGAACAGTCTCTGTGCCAGGTGGTTTATATATGTTATTTCATCATCACCGTGCCAGGGGGATCATTATCCACATTTAAAGATGACCTCGAGGCTCTGAAAGATACTTGCTTAGGGCCACCCAGATGGGTAAGGAGGACTTGTCTCCATGCTTCCCAGACTCCAAAGCCCCTCTCTTTCCACAACTGTGCCACCTACTCATAGCATCTTAAACGTTCACCTTGTATTTATTTGGGAGAGCTTAAATGAGTCAATATATTTATCACAATACAAAGTACCTTTTTCCTTTGGGGGGAACTTGTGTGTGTTTGTGTGCATTCTTTTTTTTCTTTTTGAGATGGAGTTTTGCTCTGTCACCCAGGCTGGAGTGCAGTGGCACAATCTTGGCTCACCGCAACCTCCCCCTCCTGGGTTCAAGCATTTCTCCTGCCTCAGCCTCCATGTAGCTGGGACTACAGGCATCCGCCACCATGCCCAGGTAATTTTTGTATTTTTAGTAGAGATGGGGTTTCACCATGTTGGCCAGACTGGTCTTGAACACCTGACCTTAAGTGATCCGCCCACCTCGGCCTCCCAAATTGCTGGGATTATAGGCGTGAGCCACTGCGCCCGGCCAGTGAATATATTTTTAAAAAGTGGACACTTTTGCTATGTGTGCATGCCAGCTCCTGCTGAGAATCTCAGATAACTTTGTATATAAAGCTGAACTACTACTGCTATTGCTGCTTATGTGTAGAAGCTGGTATCCAGAGACCTCACGGGCCAAGGAAAAGTAACTCCCAATTTTTTGGGTGGGTGCTAGGAGATGGGTTATTTTACTGAGATACTTAATTTGGTGCCCAGCTGAAAGGAAAACCAAGGCAACCGGAAATAATCCTATTATACTGACTCCTAATACAGCTGAGAACAGGTACAACATGCAGAGGGGTGGAGGATTCAAGGTGAGCAAGAAGGCTGAAATTGCAAACTAATATACTTCAGAAAAACCAAAAGCATAGGAAAGAACAGCCCTTGTTTGCTTTTTCTTTCTCTCTTTTTTTTTTTAATTAAAGAGGCTGTGGCACAAGCCTGCAGTCCCAGCTACTTGGGAGGTTGAGGTAGGAGGATTGCTTGAACCCAGGAGACTGAGGCTGCAGTGAGCTGTGATTGTGCCATTGCACTCCAGCCTGGGCAACGGAGAGAGGCCCTGTCTCTAAAAAAAAAAAAAAAAAAAAAAAAAAAGAGAGACAGAGAAGAAAAAAAGACCAGGTGTCTGGTCATAACTTTGTCTTCCTTTTTTTCCCCCTCTCCCCAAAAAATATACACAAAATATATCTTTTATATATACACAAATATATTTGTGTGTATACACATATGTATATACACAATATACACACAAATATATATATATATATATATATATATATATATATATATATATATACACACACGTATATTTTTTGAGACAAAGTCTTGCTCTGTCACCCAGGCTGGAGTGCAGTGGGTCGATCTCGGCTCACTACAACCTCTGCCTCCTGGGTTCAAGCGATTCTTTCACCTCAGCCTCCTAAGTAGCTGGAATTACAGGCGCCCACTACCACGTCCAGCTAATTTTTGTATTTATAGTAGAGACGGCATTTCACCATGTTTCCCAGGCTGGCCTCGAACCCCTGACCTCAAGTGGTTCACCTCCCTCGGCCTCCCAAAGTGCTGAGATTACAGGTATAAGCCACCCCACCTAACCCCATCTGTATTTTTTATGGCATTCACTACAGTATCTGGTGACTACATCATAACTCCCATTAATGAATCTAGAAGGTCTGTCCTAAGATCTATCTATATCTTATTTAGTTTTTACGACAGATGTTGCAAGTGGGTGGCCCATGGGCTCACTGCTGCCTATGGACATGGCTTATTTGTATTACATAGTGTTTCTTTTTTCTACTAATTAACTTTTCAAAGTAGAGTATTTGTTGTAATAAAATCCCAATTTCTAGCTAATCTTGAAATACGCCTGGAGTTTCTGGCAAAACTGCATTTGTAGACCACATGGCAAGAACAGAGAGGCCTGGGAAGCAGTTGTTACCTTAGCTAGAGTGGACAGGGTGTTCCTGAGTCTACGCTGACCCCTGGGCAGGCTCATTAGGTTACCGGCTGGACCCCTACAGGAATGACTCTGCAACCCCTTTTGTATGACTTGGTTTCCCCATCATCTCCTTCAATTAATTAAAAAATTATTATTTGAGATGGGAGTCTCACTCTGTCGCCCAGGCTGGAGTGCAGTGGTGTGATCTCAGCTCACTGCAACCACCGCCTCCCAGGTTCAAGTGATTCTCCTGCCTCAGCCTCCCTGAGTAGCTGGGATTACAGGTGCGCATCACCATGCCTGGCTAATTTTTGTATTTTTAGTAGAGACGAGGTTTTGCCATGTTGGCCAGGCTGGTCTCAAACTCCTGACCTCAGGTGATCTGCCCACCTTAGCGTCCCAAAGTGCTGGGATTATAGGCATGAACCACCATGTCTGGCCCAAAATTAAATTTTCCCAAAAAAACACACACAAAAAAAACAAAACCCCGCTTCTTGCAGAGCAGGGCTACCCCACAAGCAGTGTGCCCAGAATAGCCTGTCACCATCTCCTTTATGGTATCTTCATAGCATTCATTGATAACCACCCTGTATACTTCTCAATCTGGCATCTATATCAGTGTCTTTAAGTACTGTTGCTTCTACGTCTCCCCCTTTCCCCACCTTTTTTGTTTGTAGCGACACTGTCTCACCATGGTGCCCAAAGTAGTTTCGAACTTCTGCCTCAGTCTCCCAAAGTGCTGGGATGACAGGTGGAGCCACTGTGCTCGGCTTCTGCCCACCCCTGCTTTTTCTTTAAACATAATACTTAGCATCCTCTAACATACTCTATGATTTACTTATATTGTTGTCTGTTTCACTCTCCTGGAATGTAAACTTCATTAGGATAGTGATCTTTGTTCTGTACTGACACATCCCATGAATTTAGAATAGTATCTGGCACAGAGTAAGTGCTCTGTAAGTATTTCTGGAGAGAATGAAGAGGTCACTCCTAGGTGGCTCCACAGACTCCTCCGCCTACCCTGGCCACCCCTAGAATCACTGATGAACACAGCCTGAATCCTTGACCTGACCGTAGGCTGGGTGAGGGCAGGAATCCTGTCTTATCCAACTTTGTACCCTCAGGCATGGGGCACATAATAGGTCCTTAGAGAGTGTACTTGTCAGTGTAATATCCAATGAAGAAACTGAAAATTTCTCCCACTAGAGTGGAAGCCTGAGGAATGAGTCAGTCTATTTTCCTCAGCACTACAGCACCTAGTGCTACCAGGGGTGGGGGAATAGGGAGTGTCATCACCTCAACAAGGGCTGGAGATGGGGATTCCAGGAAGCAGGCACACCCATACGCAGATGTCCTTTACTTTGCTCTCTGTGGTAGGCAGAATAATGGTTCCCCAAAGATGTCCACATGCTGACCCCAGTAACCTGTTACCTAGCAAAAGGGAGTTTGCTATTGGGATTAAGTTACAATCTTGAGATGAAGAGACCATCTTGGGTTATCCAGGTGGACCCAATGCAATCACAAGAGCTTTTTTTTTTTTTTTTTTTTTTGAGATGGAATCTCACTCTGTCACCCAGGCTGGAGTGCAGTGGCATGAGTGCCTCAGCCTTCCAAGTAGCTGGGATTACAGGCACCCGCCACAACGCCTGGCTAATTTTTGTATTTTTAGTACAGATGTGGTTCCGCCATGTTGGCCAGGCAGGTCTTGAACTCCTGGCCTCAAGCGATCCGCCCACCTCAGCCTCCCAGTGTTGTGATTACAGGCGGGAGCCACCGCATCAGGCTTTTTTCTTTTCTACATGCACCACTGCATTAGGATATCTCCTACTCACGCTTCTAATCAGATCTTAGCCTCAGGCTTGCTTGAGACATCCACTCCAGAAGTATTTAAGGGGTGCTACCTACTATCAAGGGGCTGAGAATATAGGACAAAAGAAACTGGTTTGGGCCAGGCGTGGTGGCTCATGCCTGTAATCCCAATACTTTGGAAGGCCGAGGTAGGTGGATCACCTGAGGTCAGGAGTTCAAGACCAGCCTGACCAACATGGAGAAACCCCGTCTCTACTAAAAATACAAAAATCAGCCGGGTGAGGTGGCGGCGCACGCCTGTAATCCAAGCTACTTGGGAGGCTGAGGCAGGAGAATCGCTTCAACCTGGGAGGCAGAGGTTGCAGTGAGCCAAGATTATGTATTGCACTCCAGCCTGGGCAACAAGAGCAAAACTCTGTCTCAAAAAGCAAAAACAAAACAAAACAAAAAAAGCAGAGTCTCTGCTCTCCTGTAGGGTTGGAGGCCGACCACAAACAAGCGCCCAAATGCCTGAGACAGGAACAGCACTGGGTGGTCACAGGAGGATGGAAAAACCCAAACAGCTGAAACAGGAACTAGGCAAATAAACCATAGGATAACAGAAAACCCAAGGGAGAGAAGATGGCCAAAACTCTGGCCAGGGTGACATGTCCATGCTTCTTCCAGCAAACCCAGATAAGGAAGAAAGGAGACAGTAATTGAGGTGGAGGTCCCTGAAATCCCCTCCCTTTCCAGAATGCCTAACGATAATTCCATCCTGTAACTAAAAGAAACACCCATAAAATTAGGAACCCAAACTCCATTGTGCAAGACTCATTCTCACGGGCATGCCTGCACTTCTCTCTTAAATGTGTATGTTCACTTTGCAATAAAAGCTTCTTGCAGCTCGGTGCAGTGTCTTACAACTGTAATGCCAGCACTTTGGGAGGTCAAGGTGGGAGGACTGCTTGAGCCCAGGAGTTTGGGACCAGCCTGGGCAACATGGCAAAACCCTGTCTCTACAAAAACAAAAAAAACCCCAAAAACTTAGCCGGTGTGGTACTAGTCCCAGCTGCTCAGGAAGCTGAGGTGGCGGGAATCACCCGAGCCCGGGAGATCAAGACTGCAGTGAGCCATGATTGCGCCTCTGTACTCCAGCCTGGGTGACAGACTGAGATCCTGTCTCAAAAAAAACAAAAACAACAAACAACAAAAAAAAACCTTCTTGCCCTTTGCTTCATTCAACTCATTCTTGAATTCTTTCTCTCCAAGGTGTCAAGAACCTGGAAACTGGCTGGGGCTGGGGTGTCACCAGTATCCAGAGACCTCCTGAGCCTTCTGGCAACAGGACTAGACGAGGTCATTTCAGATCATGATGACTGCTTGGAAGATCAGATAGGGCGCTGTGTTAGTGAGCAACTTTTAGATGGGCTGTCAGTGAAGGCCTCTCCAAGAGAGGCTACTGTAGTTGAGGCCTGAATGATGAGCAGCCTCTGGTCACGAGAATAATCCACCCCTTTCTTTTTCTTATTTTGTTTTGAGACGGAGTCTCGCTGTGTCGCCCAGGCTGGAGTACAGTGGCGCGATCTCGACTCACCACAACCTCCACCTCCCAGGTTCAAGTGATTCTCCTGCCTCAGCCTCCCCAGGAGCTGGGATTACAGGCGCCTGCCTCCATGCTTGGCTAATTTTTGTATTTTTAGTAGAGACAGGGTTTCACCATGTTGGCCAAGCTGGTCTTGAACTTCTGACCTCGTGATCCCCCTGCCTCGGCCTCCCAAAGTGCTGGGATTATAGATGTGAGCCAGTGCGCCCGGTATAATCCACCCCTTTCTTAGAGGAGCTTCCCTAAAACCACAGCCCATCAGCTCTCCAATATCTGTTGCAGCACTTACCTGGTGTTACGGACTGAAACGCTCCCCGCTCCGCACATACCCACCCCGGAGTCCGTATGTTGAAGCTCTAACCCTAATATGGCTATTAGGCATATTAGGCAGTCATTAGGGTTAAATGAAGTCATAGGACCCTTATACTTTTTTTTTTTTTTTTGGTACAGACTCTCTCTCTCGCCCAATATGGAGTGCAATGGCGCGATCTCAGCTCACTGCAACCTCTGCCTCCCAGGTTCAAGCGATTCTCCTGCCTCAGCCTCCCGAGTAGCTGGGATTACATGTGCACGTCGCCATGCCCGGCTAATTTTTTGTATTTTAGTAAAGACGGGGTCTCATTGTGTTGCCCAGGCTGGTCTCCAACTCCTGAGCTCAGGCAATCCATCTGCCTCGGCTTCCCAAAGTGCTAGAATTACAGGCGTGAGCCACTGCGCCTGGCCTAATACGACTATTTGAATACGGCCTTTTAGGTAGTCACTGGGGTTAAATGAAGTCATAGGGTGGGGCCCTAATCTAGTAAAATTGTTGTTCTTGTAAGAAAAAGGAAGACACACCAGGGATTCCTGCTCACAGAGAAAAGGTCATAGGAGGACACAGTGAGAAGGCAGCTGTTTGCAAGCCAGGGAGAGAGGCCTCACCAGAAACCAGCCCTGCCGGCACCCAGACCTTAGATTTGCAGCCTCTAAAACTGTGAGAAAATAAATTCCTGTTGTCTAAGCTGCCTGGTCTGGGGTATTTTGTCATGGCAGCCTGAGCTAATACTCTGGTTTGTAAATCTACGTCACCCAGACCCCTGGAAGAGCTACTGTAGCTAGAGTCCCCACTTCCCCTCTTGTCTCTCCTACAGCCCAATCTCTGCATAGTAGCAGGAGAGAACTTTCTAAAATATAAATGAGACCTCGGAACTCCCAATTCAGACTCAATGAATGACCCCCTTCCACACAAAACTCCAAATTAAACATGGCGGCCCCCCTGTGTCACAGATCTTTCTCCCCTCTGGCACACATCAGCTATGCAGGCCTTTCCTGTTATCCAGACACCGAACTCCAGCTTCAGGGCTTTTGCACTCATTTCCCCTCTGCCTGCGGCACACTTCCCCGAACACGGTTGCATGGCTGTCACCTCCTCAGAGGCTTTCCCAAAAGCTCCTGTCACATCCTCCTGCTTGAATTTCTTTGGTCTTCACCGACCAAAATGGTCTTCTTTGGGCTCTTGTGGGTCCTGATCTCCGCCCTCCATCCCATGGGGCAGGGACCCTGCCTCGCCCACTGCTGAGCTGAGCATTTTACAAGAAGCCGTGCCCGCAGCGGGGCACCTGGCCGTAAAATGCAGATGGACGAGGCGGCATTTGGGCTGGGCCCTGAAGGACAGGGATCCAGGCCTTCCAAGAGCCGGCAGATGGAACTGGAGGGAGGCTGTCTTTGGATCCCCGGCTGCCGTGGGGCTCCGCGCCTCCGTTCCTCATATGTAGGAATGAAGACAATCACGGTTGTTCTGAGGATGCAGGGTTACTCTTCGCAGAGCAGGGCGCCCCGGTTGAGGGCTCGTCAAGCTAAGCAGGCTCCAGGGTGGGCTTCCCGATGCCGACTCTAGCTCCTCTCCCCGCTGGACGCTGTTCTACCTCCTAGCGCTTCTGCTCAGGCCGCGGCCCAGGCGAGGCCCCAGAAAACCCCGGTGCTGGTTAATCAGTCTTGAGTCCGAGCGCGTCCAGTGCGCAACGTGGCCTTCCCATTGGCTCACCCAGTGGGCCGCGCGTCGACGCCGGGGCTCCGGATTGAACGGCGCGCCCAGGTCCCTGCCCCCAGTCAGACGTGGCGCCACCGCCCCCAGCCCGTAGCTCCGGCGCAGCCAATGGCGGCGTCTCCCGGGCGGCAAGCGCGGCCTCCCGCCGCTAGAGGGCGCCGCCGCGGGCGCAACCGAGCCGCTGCCGCCGCCGCTAACCGAGGGAGAGCTGCGAGCGAGCACCCAGGCCCCGCCGCCGCCGCCGCCACCGCTGCCCGCCTGCCGCCGCCCGCCTCCGCCTGCCTTCTGCCGCCGGCCGGCGCGTCGTCCCCACAGGTAGGGGTAGGGGGACGCCGCCGGGCATGAAGGAAACGCGCGCGCCCGCGCCCCCGCCCCCCCCGCGCGCGCCGCCGCCTCGTGCTCGCGCGCGGCCGTTAACGGACGGCGGGCGGGGCGGGGGAGGGGCGGCGGGGTCCGGGGCCCGCGGACCCGAGAGGACCCTGAGAGGAGCCGGGCCGGGGCCTGTGCGCGCGGAGGGACGGGTGGGCGCGCCGTCCCCTTCCCCCACCGAGAATAACGTGACCCACTTCTGCCTGCCATTCCCTCGGCAAAATGTCTCCTTTTTGGTGATTTCACTAAAAAAAAATTTTTTTTTTGGTTATTTCTGTCTGCTCTGGTGATCGCGGGGATCCCGATTCAGCGTCTTGGGCTTGGGGGCGGGAAGGATGCCGGCGGAGAGCTTGGCGCATTAATTTGGGGCTCATCCGTCTTTTTTACCCCCCTTTCTGATTTTTTTATTTTTTCGCGCGGGGTGCAGCCCTGGGCCGGGCGGGGAGAGGCCTTGGGGTCCGCGGAGGCGGGGGCGCCGCCCGGGAGGACCGGGACCGGGACCTGTCAGTTCCCATTAGCGGGGCTTCCGGTCAGGCCTGGGCAGCAAAGGGGTGGGGCCGCCTGAGGCCCGGCCGGGGCCTCCGAGGTCGAGCCTGAGTCGGGACTGGGTGGATTTGCCAGGAGTTGGGTATTTTCCTGTCCCCACCTGTCTAGGGATGAAAAGGAGTTGCCCGTGTTCGGTATTGAACCACGAAGGACCTTGCCATGCCCAGTACGGTGGCCACTGACCCCCCGCCGTTTGGGACGATGGAGCCCACGAAATGGGGCCAGTTTCAGTTGCGGTCCCAGCTGTGAAACGTACATCTGATTTTAAAAACTTCGGATGAGAAAGAAAGTAAAAGATGTCATTGGTAATCTTTTATACTTAAATGCATGTTGAGATGGTCATGTTTGGGACAAATTGGATTAACGAAAATAGATCATTAAAATTAATCTTGGCAGGATGCAGTGGCTCATGCCTGTCATCCCAAAACTTTGGGAGGCTGAGGCAGGAGGATCGTTTGAGTGCAGGAGTTCAAGACCAGCCTCAGCAACATAGTGAGACCCCTGTCTCTACAAAAAATACAAAAAATTAACTGGGCGTGGTGGCGCACGCCGGTAGTCAGCTACTCGGGAAGCTGAGGTGGGAGAATCTGCTACTCGGAAGGCTGGGGTGGGAGAATCCCTTGAGCCCAGGAGATTGAGGCTTCGGTGAGCTGAGATTGTGCCTTTGTGCTCCAGCCTGGGACACTGTCTCAAAACAAACAAATAAAAAAACAAAAGTTAATCTCACTGCTTTTCTTTTTCTCTTTTTTTAGTGTGGCTATTTGGAAATTTAAAATGACATATACGGGCCGGGCGGGGTGGCTCAACGTCTGTAATCCCAGCACTTTGGGAGGCCGAGGTGTGTGGATCACCTGAGGTCAGGAATTCCGAGACCAGCCTGGCCAACATGGAGAAACCCCGTCTCTAGTAAAAATACAAAAATCAGCCAGGCGTGGTGGCAGGCGCCTGTAATCCCAGCTACTGGGGAGGCTGAGGCAGGAGAATCGTTTGAACCGGGAGGCAGAGGTTGCAGTGAGCCGAGATTGTGCCACTGCACTCCTCCCTGGGCAACAGAGCGAGACTCCCTCTCCACATACATGCGTACATACATACATACATACAATGACACGTATGGCTTATTTTGTGTAATATATTTTGTACAATATTTCGACTGGACAGCGCGCAGCTGGGGCATCTGAATGGGTGGTGGCCCTGAGAAGACATGTCTATCTGCTTATCTTTCCTGCTTCTCTGATGGCATGTGGCCTCCTTCCCTTAAGCTCTCAAAGAATCCACTGCCTCTTCCTTCTCATACTGAGCCAAACTGTTGAACTGAATTGCACAATGGGTCTTGTCCTAATTTGCAGAATAATTCAAGTTAATGGACAGTATTTTCCCTGTTGAAAAATTTTCCCTATCTGCTGTATGCTGGAGGCTACAAATAGTTGTATGAGGTTTGTCTCAGGATGAGATCATGAGTTGTTGAGGCTCAATATTATCAATATTTGTGCGTGTGTGTTTGTGTGTGTGTGTTTATTCTACAAAGAGCCCGTTGATTTTCTGCCATCCAAACGAAGTGGAGAATTCCTGCCTTTCTTCATGTTACTGTGACTTTTCGTTGGGGGTTTTACACAGACCTACACCCTCTTTCCTTCCCATTCCCCAGATTCTGTCAGTTTTTGCAAATAAGAATGGTGGCTTGTCAGCCACATTGTTCCACAATTCTTAGTTTTGACTGATTTTAAAACCTGCCAGTTGGGGTGGGTTAAATTGTCATTGTAAGTGGAAGAGAATCAATTATAGAAACTCTCAACTCCAGGGATGGTGAGAGTGACTGTTGGAAAGTTTTGAGCATTTCAGTAAAGGAAGAAAGAAACAAAAGACGTCTGTATCCTGTTGCCACAGATACCCTAGAAAGGGCTTTCTAGAGACAGTATGATGTGAGCAAACTTTTGTCTTCTGGATAACGTCTGGAAGTGTTCTGTTTTGTTTTGTTTTTTTTCTAGTGAAAATATTTTTCTCCAGAATCCTTATGAAAATTACTTAAAGTGTGAGGTGTTGGCAAATCAAGAAGAAATTTTAGATAATTTTTAAGGAGGAGAGAAGTATTAAAGTATTAATCCAGAAGTTTAAAAATTACTGCTAGTGATAACGTTTTAATTTACATGTACACAAAAGGCATATTAAATGAGGTGATTTTCGTTTATGTAAAGCAACGAGGTTACTTTTTCACAAATAGAAAGCGGGAAGCTTTATGTTTTCTGAAAAGGCCTGAATTTGGAGCAGGACATTAATCTGGCACATTTGGTAAGAAGGTGAGAGTGTGTTGGGGTTACTTGGTTGGGAAGACTTCATCGGCTGGCGGTCTTGGGTACATCGTGGTGGTATCAGTGTCCCCAGGCAAATCATTTGTCATGAAGCTTTTACATGAAATATTCCTGTTGAGTTCTTCCATACAGAGGTCATAGATAAGATGAGATGTTCCTGGGAACCACCACTTAGCAGGGCGTGGGTGCCGAGGGAGGCTCTTGGCAGGCGGAGCCTCTTCGCAGAGGGAGGCTCTTCAGGCTCTTCACAGACTTTGTATCTTACTGAATCTGAAATCTGACAGCAATTTCAAAGTGAATAGTTCCTGTGGGGGGAAGAACTCCAGCCAAAATGTAACATTACCTTCCTGCTGTTGTTTGGCATACTGTCTCTCATGAAATTTTCCTTTTCAGTAAAAGGGAGAAACTGTTTCATAAAGTATCCAATAGGAGCTTCAACAACTTTAATGTCTTATCATCTGGGTTTGCAGCCTTCTGAGGCTTGCCTTGTGCCCCAGGTGCTTTTGTAAGTGTTGCAAGAGCCAGTTAATATACTGTTGCCAATTAAGGATGACAATAATGATACTTTAACTACTTTGTAGTTGTTGTTTTAAAGCTATTAATATTACACAGGCTTCAGTCTGGGGATAGAATTGAATATGGAGTGGAATGTATCATTTTTCCTCCCCCCCACCCCCTTTTTTTTGAGACAGGATCTTGCTCTGACACCCAGGTTGGAGTATAGTGGCATAGTCATAGTTTGCTGTGACCTCAAACTCCTGGCCTCAAGCAATCCTTCTGCCTCAGTCTCCCGAGTAGCTGGCACTACAGTGTACACCACCATGCCCATTTAATTTTTTAAACATTTTTATAGAGATGGGGTCTCCTATGTTGCCTAGGCTGGTCTCAAACTCCTGGCCTGAAGCGATCCTCCCACCTCAGCCTCCTAAAATGTTGGGATTACAGGCATGAGCCACTGCACCCAGCCTGTAATTTTTCACTTGAAATGTAGGGATACCTTTTTAGGCAAAAGTACAAATGCTGTGCTAGGTGACCTCTGCACTGCCTTCACTGGGAGACTTTGGTCCTGTGTTAGTACATCTTGTAAGTAAGGCTGTTTTAATATTATTTGTATTTAAATACATTATGTTCTGGGTGGAGCAGATCCCCTTGAAAGATTTTCCCTGGAGTGATGTCCAGACTCCTGGCCTACTGCATTCCTGTGAAAGCCCTCTGCTTTGTCTGAGTTGCATTAAATGACGTCTGTTGAGCATATCTTTTTGTGTACACAAGTGCACACGCATGCGTGTGTTTCTTTCATTTCTCCTGAATGGCTTTAAAGTGCCCACCTGTTCATCAGAGCCATATTTGTCTTTCAGAGCCCAGCCCAGGGCCACCCTAGACAGATGCTCACTCCCCTCCAGGCGTCTTTGGCACGTAATGTGCAGAAGAGCCAGGTGGATAGGCTCTCAGGCTTGGAGCCAGGCTGTCTGCCTTTGAAATTGAGCTCTGCTACTTCCTAGGTGTAATCCTGGGCCAGCTGCGTCACTTATCTGTATTTCAGTTTCTTTATAGTACCTGTCACTTAAGGTTAGCAGGAGGATTAAATGACTTAATACGTATAAAGCATGTAGAACAGTGCCTGGAGTCCAGTAAGAGCTACTATTTCTGTCTCAGTATGTTGCAGTCACATTTCCCTTACCTTGATGTCTTCTGTTAATGTGAGCTAGTTTCTAAAGTTACCATGTAAGGTCAAAAGCTCATGGATGTGGATTTATTTGTCTAGTTACCAACATTGTACTAGACTTTGGGATAATGAGTTTAACCTACCAGGCACTGAGTAAATAGTAAGGGAGTTCTGAAGATCCAGGATACCTTGAGATCTTACATAACTTCAAGATTAGTAACAAATTTTAAATCAGCTGATCCCAGAGAGATGATATTCCAGTTTGTAAGAGTTCAGTTAATTTAATGAAATTCTTATTTAATTGAGTTTCTTGCTTTAAAATGAACTGTTCAAAGTATCTCTCCTTGGGCCAGACACAGGTCACGCCTGTAATCCCAATACTTTGGGAGGCTAAGGTGGGTGGATTGCTTGAGCCTGGAAGTTTGAGAACAGCCTGGGCAATATAGTGGGACTCTGTCTCTACAAAAAATACAAAAATTATTCAGGTATAGTGGCATGTGCTTGTAGTTCCAGCTACTTGGGAGGCTGAGATGGGAAGATTGAGCTCTGGAGGTTGAGGCTGCAGTGAGCTATGGTTGTGCCACTGTACTGCAGCCTGGGCAACACAGGGAGACACTGTCTCAAAGACAAAACAAAAAAACAAAGTGCCTTCTTCCCTGGAATTCTTTTTTATTTAGGAGAAGAGGGGATCAGTGAAACTTGTCATTGTATATCTTGAGGAATCCCTTATGGTTTCAGGTTTTTTTCCGTCGCTGTCTCCAGGCAGTTCCCACTATATTGATTCACTTCCCACCTTGTTTCCCCAAAGGGTTGGGGGCCAAGCCCCACTATAACCAGCTCTGTTTGCATGCAGTCATTTCCTGCTGGGCACCCTCCTTCTTCACGCTTGCTTCTTGTGAATGGTTTTACCAGCTTCTATCTCCTGGGCCTCTGAACTTTGTATGAGGCATTCTCTTTACACTGGGCTGCTTACTTCATTCTTTGTTCAAGTATTTGTTGAGCTGGACCCAGATCTTGTTCTTACAATGAAGCATGAGAAGTAGCAGGTACCTGCTGAAGTGAATAAGAGGGGTGAGACTGGGGTGAGGCAGCAATTTAGGGTGGCAAGGGAAGGTACCTAACAGTGTTATTTAAGCCCACTTGTGGATGGATGAAAGGGAGGCAGCTCTGTGAAGAGCTGGGAAGTGTATTTTGGGCAGAGGGAACAACAAACACAGTGACTTAGAAGCATGGAGTGCCTGACTTGTTCTGGGAGCTCTTAAAAGGTCAGTGTGACGGGAGCCTCATGTGTGAAGCTGGGGGAGGCAGGAGCTGCGTGGCTTGGGGATGGGGGTCTGCTAGGTCACCGTACGGAGGCAAGGCTTCATCCAGCGTCCCAAGCAACTGCTGAAGGGTCTTAAGCAGAGTGCAAGCATTGGGATGTGTGTGTGTGTGTGTGTGTGTGTGTGTGTGTGTGTGTGTGTTTTAAAAATTTATTTTAGAGACAGGGTCTTGCTCTGTACCCCAGGCTGGAGTGCAGTGGTGTGATTATAGCTTGCTGAGCCTTGAAGACCTGGGCTTAAGCGATCTTCCTCCCTTAGCCTCTGAGTAGCTGAGACTACATACAAGCAGGTGCCACCAGTCTGGGCTGATTTTTATTTTTATTTTTTACTTGTTTTATTTATCTATTTATTTTTGAGGCAGAATGTTGCTCTGTGGCCCAGGCTGGAGTGCAGTGGCGCAATCTTGGCTCACTGCAACCTCTGCCTCCTGGGAGAGACCGAGGTGGGCAGATCACCTGAGGTCGGGAGTTCAAGACCAGCTGGACCAACATGAAGAAACCTCATCTCTACTAAAAATACAAAATTAGCCGGGCGTTTTGGCGTGTGCCTGTAATCACAGCTACTCGGGAGGCTGAGGCAGAAGAATCGCTTGAACCTGGGAGGCGGAGGTTGCAATGAGCCGAGATCGTGCCATTGCACTCCAGCCTGGGCAATAAGAGTGAAACTCCGTCTCAAACAACAATAATAACGACGACGACAACAACACCTTTGCTGTCAAAAATAACCAAAGTCAAAAGATTGACATCAAATTGGAAAAAATACCAATAACATCAGAAAGGACTATTTTCCTCAACATATAAAGAGCTTCCATAAATAAGTAAAGCTCAGCCTGGAAGAAAAATGAGCAGAGGGTATGAGCAAACAATTCACAGACAAGGAAGTACAGATGATTCTTAAATTTGAAAGGACGCTGAGCCTTGCTAATGATAGATTAAAACAAACATGGCCTCATCACATTGCCACACTGTTTCTCACTTTTTTGGTTCACAAGGATGCACACATTTGATGCCTGGGTGAAGTGGGGAACCAGGAATCCTCTGCATTGTTGGTGGGAGAATCATTTGGTGTATTGTGTCAATAGCTGGCAAAATAAACAAATACATATGCCCTTTATCCTTTAGAAATTCTTTTTTTTTTTTTTTTTTTTTTTGAGATGGAGTCTCACTCTGTGGTTCAGGTGGAATGCAGTGGCATGATCTTTGCTCGCTGCAGCCTGCACCTCCCGGGTTCTAGCTATTCTCCTGCCTTAGCGTCTCGAGTAGCTGGGATTACAGGTGTATGCCTCCACACCCGGTTAATTTTTGTATTTTTAGTAGAGATGGGGTTTCACCATGTTGGCTGGGCTGGTCTGGAACTCCTGACTTCAAGTGATCTGCCTGCCTCGGCCTCCCAAAGTGCTGGGATTACAGGTGTGAGCCACCATGGCTGGCCTATCCTATAAAAGTTCTTTAAAGGGATACTTAGATGTGTATGAAATGCCCTGTGTACATGGTGACCTTTAAAGATTGGAAACAACCAGAAGGTCCATCACCAGAGGCCTGGTAAAATTATGGTACAACCATATCATGGAACGCTGTGTGTTTTGAAAACGAACACACTGATTAGATACTACATAAAGACAGTGGGGTACAGAACTCACTGGTAGCTCCAGTTTGAATAAAAAAGAACATATGCACGGCCGGGCGCAGTGGCTCATGCCTGTTATTCCAGCACTTTGGGAGGCCAAGGCAGGCCGATCACCTGAGGTCAGGAGTTCAAGACCAGCCTGGCCAACATGGTGAAACCCCATCTCTACAAAAATACAAAAATTAGCCAGGCCTGGTGACGTGCGCCTGTAATCCCAGCTACTTGGGAGGCTGAGGCAGTAGAATTGCTTGAACCCAGGAAGCGGAGGCTGGAGATTGTGCCATTGCACTCCAGCCTGGGTGACAGAGCGAGAGTTTGTCTCAAAAAAAAAATAAAAACAAACAAACATATACACAGAATACTTTTACCTTTTTATTTTGAAATAATTATAGACTCACAGGAAGTTTCAAAAGTAGTACATGGAGTCCCATGAACCCTTCACCCCCTCTTCCTTCAATGGTGACATATAACTGTAGCACACTGTCACAACCAGGAAATTGACATTAGTATAATACTGTTAACCAAACTATGGGCCTCACTGGGTTTTAAGCAGCACTTGTGTGTGTGTGGTTGTGCGTGCCTGTGTGTGTATGTGTGTGTGTGTAGTATTATGCAGTTTTATCCCATGCATAAATTCATGTAACCACTCCCACAATCAAGATACAGAATCGTTCTATAGAATATCTTTGTGAGGCCGAGCGTGGTGGCTCACGCCTGTAATCCCAGCACTTTGGGAGGCTGAGGCAGGCAGATCACGAGGTCAGGAGTTCGAGACCAGCCTGACCAACATGGTGAAACCCCATCTCTACTAAAAATACAAAAATTAGCTGGGTGTGCTGGTGCGTACCTGTAACCCCAGATACTGGGGCGGCTGAGGCAGGATAATCGCTTGAACCCAGGAGGCGGAGGTTGTATTGAGCCGAGATCACGCCACTACACTCCAGCCTGGGCAACAGAGGGAGACTGCGTCTCAAAAAAAAAAAAAAAGAAAGAAAAAAAAGAAAGCAATATATTTGTCTGGACTTTTCTGAGACTGGTAACAGTGGTTGGTGGCCCTCCAGGAGGGCAAACGGGCGGAAGGGCAAATGGGTGGCTAAGTGATAGGATGGGAAGGAGACATTCCTTTTCACTGTCATGTTAAAATGAACAGTTTAGGATGTCTGTGAGAAATTCAAATGGAACTGTCAAACAGGCCAGAGGGTCTGCCTGGGGATGGACGTGAGAGTTGTCATGGGGCCCTAGATGAGGGCATTTGACATCTGATGGAGGGAGGACCTCTATGGGAGAGTATGGCTCGGGGAGATCTCAAGAGTGGGTCCTCAGGGCTCTCAAGGTGAGAGGTCTGTGGAGATGGAGCCTCAGCTTGCAGGAGACAGAGTGGCCTGTGAGGTGGGGACAGACCTAGCCCAGGCTGTGAGGTGGAAGTTGAAGGGAGGGGCCCCTGGGAGGGAGTGCTGCTGAGACTGAGTAAGAAAAGAGACTGTTGGGTTAACTTTGTAAAATTCTTTCTTTCTTTAAAATTGAGGCTAGATTTTAACAGTATCCAAAAATAAGATAGTATATTTTTAAACGTCTTTTTCTTTCTTTAAAAAAAGGAGTATGGGGCTGGACGAGGGGGCTCACACCTGTAATCCCTGTGCTTTTTTTTTTTTCTTTGGAAACGAAGTCTTGCTCTTGTCCCCCAGGCTGGAGTGCAATGACGCGATCTTGGCTCAGTGCAACCTCTGCCTCCTGGGTTCAAACGATTCTCCTGCCTCAGCCTTCCGAGTAGCTGGGATTACAGGCACCTGCCACCATGCCCGGCTAATGTTTGTATTTTTAGTAGAGACGGGGTTTCACCACGTTGGCCAGGCTGGTCTCGAACTCCTGACCTCAGGTGATCTGCCCGCCTCGGCCTCCCAAAGTGCTGGGATTACAGACGTGAGCCACTGTGCCTGGCCAGTCCCTGTGCTTTTAATCCCTGTGAAATTAAAAAAATTAGCTGAGCATGGTGGCACACTTGTAGTCTCAGCTACTCAGGAGGCTGATGAGGGAGGATCGCTTGAGACCGGAAGTTTAAGGTTGCAATGAGCTGTGATCACACCACTGTACTCTAGCCTGGATGACAGGGTAAGACCTTGTGTCAAAAACAAAACAAAACAAAAACACACACACAAAGGGGTGTGTGTTGGGGGGAGATTATTTCACAGGTAAAACTAATCAATGGTGAGGAAAAAAGAAATTACAGTAGTGGTTTGGGGAAGGGGCATGAAGGAACTTTGTAGAGTGACAGTTAATGGTCTATATCTTTTCTTTATTTAAGAGACAAGATCTTGTTCTGTTGCCCAGGTTGGGTTGTAGTGGCGCGGTCAGCAGCTCACTGCAGCCTCCAACTCCTGGGCTTAATCAGTCCTCTTGCCTTAGCCTCCTGAGTAGCTAGGACTACAGGCACGTACCACCACACCTGGCTTAATTTTTTGTAGAGATGGGGTCTCTCCATCTTGCCCAGGCTGGTTTCATACTCCTGGGCTCAAATGATCCTCCTGCCTTGGCCTCCCAAGGTGCTGATCTATATCCTGATAGGGCTCTGGGTCACATGAGTTTGTCAAAACTCACATTAAGATTTGCGTGTTTTACCTTAAAAAACAAAACTGTAAACAAATATTGATCTCTACTTAATTGTGTGTGTGCTGAGATGTTTAGGTATCTGCAGCTGACTTTGAAATTTATTAAAACAGTAAGACGGACTGATGAATGAACAGAAGGATGAGCAGATAGATAAAGATGGGCAGATGTGATCTCACAAAATATTAATTGTGGGTTTGGGCATACAGTATTATAATTGTTTTTAACTTTACTGTGTGTTTGAGAACTTTCAAAATAAAAGTTTTTGGGGAAACTTAAAAAACTACTGAACATGAAATACTCTGTCATATTATATTCAAATATTGCCTGATATTGTGATCCTAGATCTATAAACAGCTAAAGGGGTGTATTTTGTGCATTAAAAACGTCTGTATCCATTTTCCGTTTCCTTTCAATCACTTACTTGTGGTGTCAGCTCTTTGCCACACGCCTTTTGTGTATAAGGTTGAGGTTCAAGGTTCTCTAACACTTTCTGGGGAAAATAGCTTTAAGGCTATAAACTTGGCAGATATCACTACCCAGGAGTCCATTCTTAGCCAGCAGATTAACTTTTTGAGTCAACCTCAAACCAATTCCCTACCTTGGCTAGATAGAGGCTGAGAGAAAGGTACATCATTCACTGAACTGTGTGGCCATCGTCCTGGTTTCAGACATCCTTTTCTTTTGTTCCCTCCCTCTGGCCTGACTGCTCTGGCATCCTGCATACTACTCTGGGTTCCTCTGAACTCTAAAGTTCGAACTCTAAGTAAATTGCCCTGTTTTAGCTAAAACAAACAAAAGCCCGGTGGTCCCTTAAGTCATCTTTCCAAGGAAGGGCTCAGAGGATACATAAACTTTAAAAATTTGTTTAATTTTTGTACAGAGGTAATTCATTTACGTGGCTCCAAATAAAACAAAAGTTTTGAACACATAGATTGAAAAGACCTCGTCCTACCCCTTTTCCAGCCTCAGTCTTCTACTACTGCTGTAGTCTCCCATGATTCCATCTGGGACTATTTTATGTTTACACAAGCATATGTCAATATATATACCTACCCGTCACTTTAAAAAAACACAAAACGGCCAGGCGCGGTGGCTCACGCCTGTAATCCCAGCACTTTGGGAGGCCTAGGTGAGCAGATCATGAGGTCAGGAGATCGAGACCATCCTGGCTAACGCGGTGAAACCCTATCTCTACTAAAAATACAAAAAAGTAGCCGGGCGTGGTGGCGGGCGCCTGTAGTCCCAGCTACTCGGGAGGCTGAGGCAGGAGAATGGTGTGATGCCGGGAGGCGGAGGTTGCAGTGAGCAGAGATCGTGCCACTGCACTCCAGCCTGCGTGACAAGTGAGACTCTGTCTCAAAAAACAAAACAAAACAAAATGGGTCATATGGATACTTAAATGCCTCATCTTTTTTTTTTTTCCTATAATTTCTTCAGGCATTTCCTTTTTGATAGACACTGGGTTAGTTTTTTTAAAAAAATATTATTTTTGAGACAGGGTCTCACTCTCTTGCCCAGGCGGGAGTGCAGTGGCACAATCGTAGCTCACTACAGCCCTGACCTCATGGGTTCAAGCCATCCTCCTGCCTCCATCATCTGAGTAGCTGGGACTACTGGTACGCACCACCACACCCGGTTGCTTTTTTTTTTATTTTTTCGAGGCAAGGTCTCACTCTGTCACCCAGGCTGGAGTGCACTGGCATGATTGTAGCTCACTGCAACCTCGACCTCACAGGCTCTATCAGTCCTCCCAACTCAGCCTCCTGAGTAGCTGGGACTACAGGTGCATGCCACCATGCCTGGCTAATCTTTGTTATTTTTGTTTATTTATTTATTTTGAGATGGAATTTCACTCTTGTTGCTCAGGCTGGAGTGCAGTGGCACCATCTCGGCTCACTGCAACCTCCGCCTCCCGGGTTGAAGCGATTCTCCTGCCCCAGCCTCCGTAGTAGCTGGGATTATAGGCATGTGCCACCACGCCCGGCTAATTCTGTATTTTTAGTAGAGATGGGGTTTCCCCATGTTGGCCAGGCTGGTCTGGAACTCCTGACCTCAGGTGATCTGCCCACCTCAGCCTCCCAAAGTGCTGGGATTACAGGCATGAGCCACCATGCCCTGCCAATTTTTTTTTTTTTTTTTTTTGAGATGGAGTGTCACTCTTGTTGCCCAGGCTGGAGTGCAATGACGTGATCTTGGCTCACTGCAACCTCCGCCTCCCAGGTTCAAGTGATTCTCCTGCCTCAGCCTCCCAAATAGCTGGGATTACAGGCATGCACCACCATGCCCAGCTAATTTTGTATTTTCAGTAGAGGTGGGGTTTCTCCATATTGGTCAGGCTGCTCTGGAACTCCTGACCTTGGGTGATCCACTCGCCTCGGCCTCTCAAAGTGCTGGATTACAGGCGCGAGCCACTGCGCCCGGCCTCTTTTAAAATTTTTTGTAGAGATAGGGGGTCTCCCTGTGTTGCCCAGGTTGGTCTTGAACTCCTAGGCTCAAGTGATCTTCCTGCCTTTGCCTCCCAAAGTGCTGGGATTACAGGTGTGAGCTACCATGAGTGGCCTGAGTTAATTTAAAAAATCTTTTTCTTTTACAAATAGTGCTTCCTTAAATTATTTTGTACATATAAATTTTTAGAAAACATTTATAAATTAAAAAAATATATAAATTTTTTTAAAAAAGCATTTCTATTAAGGACATGGGCCAACATGTCCAAGTAGCTAGAAGGGTGGAATGAGCTTCCATGCCCCTCATCCAGCTGGAACCATTATCCATATTTTTGGCATTCTTGTTTTATTTCCACCCAGCTACCCCCCTTTTGGCTAAACTGTTTTAAAAGCACATTCCAGAAATAGTGCCATTTTACTCTAGTGTCATGGACTTCTTAAACTTCTTATTTTGTAATGTTTCAAACACATACAAAGTCCAGAGAATAGTACTGAAGAATCCCCTGCACTTCTCACCCTCCCCTGGTTATCAGCATTCTGCTGTTTCCTCCCCACCTCACAGCCCCCCCCTTTTTTGTTGTTACTGGAGTATTTTAAAGCAAGTCCCCTATGTCATATCCTTTCCCATGTAAACACTTCAGTAAAGTACCAACTTTATAGGACAAAAATATTGAGAACTGACGGTGTTTCAAAGAAGAAAGGGTTTAGCACCAGTTATCAGCATTTGGGACATTCCAACCCCCATCTCACCCTTATACTTTGAAAAAAATGAGATTTAAAAATAAAACTGTAAATGCCAAGCAATAATGAAACTAAAAAATTTCAGCAATGTACTTCAAACATGAGTGGAATTTCCCTTCCTGTCACCTGGGTCCAAATACGTGGTTTATGTGTAAGATGTTGTCTTAACTTTAGGTCTCAGTTGTTCTCAACTGGGGCTGATTGTGCTTTCCCCACCCTGACATTTAACGATATCTGGAGACACTTTTGGTTGTGAGTGGGGTTGGGGTGAGGGGCTACAGGCATAGTGGGTAGAGGCAGAAATACTGCCAATGTCCTGCAATCACAAGACAAGGAATTAGCTAGCCCAGAATGCCAAGCCTGAGGAACTCTAGTTTGGGCCACTGGGAGATGATGTTTTATCTCAGATCTCTTCTCTGTGGCTCTCCTTGAACTTGGGGAACTGCTCGGTGAACGTTGATTAGTGGAGGTGGGGCCCAAAAGAATGATATGTGTTGACATTTGCAAGTGTTATATTGAGGATAACATTTTAATATCCAGAAAATTCCAATGGAAGTAACTTTATATCATTATTTTATCTGTTGTATCAACAATAATCATTTTGGAAGTTTGTGGGACAAAATATGTATAAGGTTTAAACTTGGCTTACAAGGAAGTCAGACTCCCTCGGAGGCAAGCGGATGTGAAACCTTTTTATTTCTGGAGAGCTTCCAGAAGCAAAACAAGGCTGGAACTGTTCTAGGGACAGCTTATGCGTGCGTGTAGACAGGGAAAAACAAAACCTGAAGCCAAAGGAGGGAAGAGGAAAGGAAGGGGAGACATGACTTTTTCCTGGAGACTGCTCAGGAGGGGTATACAAAGTCTGCATAGCCATTCAGCCTTAAAGAATGTGAAAACTGGCCAGGCGCTGTGGCTCACACCTATAATCCCACACTTTGGGAGGCCGAGGTAGGTGGATCACTTGAGGTCACGAGTTCGAGACCAGCTTGACCAGTAAGGTGAAACCCTGTCTCTCCTAAAAATACAAAAATTAGCCAGGCGTGGTCGCAGGCATCTGAGTCCCAGCCACTCAGGAGGCTGAGACAGGAGAATTGCTTGAACCCTGGAGGTGAAGTTTGCAGTGAGCCGAGATCGCGAGATCGCGCCACTGCACTCCAGCCTGGGCAATGGAGCGAGACTCCGTCTCAAAAAAAAAAAAAAAAAAAAAAAAGAATATGAAAACGGTGTGCTTATGGTGTGCCGGACCACAGGGGAGCCACAAAGATGACTCCTGTACGGTCCCTGCCGTCCAGGACCCTGGAGTCAAGTCAGAAATGGATGTGTCCACAGCTGATTGTGTGACAAGGTCTGGATTTGTGGGTGTTTTCATTGGAGTCCAGGGACCCTGGTACCTTATGTGCTTTTTTGCCTTGTTTCTTTCCAGATTGCTCATTTAGAAAGTGGATGTGTGGGATAACATGTCCAATGTGTCCGAGGAGAGAAGAAAAAGGCAGCAGAACATTAAGGAAGGACTGCAGTTTATACAGTAAGAGCTTCAGAGTTCTTGTGTTCTTGCCGCGTCCTAATTCTTTGGTGTGGATGTATGTTTTGTGGAGAGGAAGAACTCTTTAGTCATGTTTAATAGGTCCAGTTAATTTGGGTTAGAAACTCCATATTCTAGCAATATTTTTTTCTTTTGTCCATTTGAACATTCTTGCATTCGGAAGCAAGTGTTACTTTTGCTGGCTTTTAGGGCTACAATTGTTAGTCTCCCCCAAAACGTTAGACTGAGAAATTTGAATTTGTTCTATGAACAGTGCTGCTGAGTGGAAAGTGACTGAAAATGAACATCTGGCGGCACAGAGGGCTTCTGTGATCAGACGTGTCTGTTCAGAAGCTCAGTGTTTAATTGGACTTCTTGAAGCATGTCAATGATGAGACAGCTGTGGTTTGGATGGACATGTCCGGGCAGAAGGGCCTCTTTGTTCCTTCCTGGGAAGGAGACATTCTCTCTATACTGCAGTAAATTGGATCAAATATTGTTAGTGGCTCTGTACTATTTTTAACCTCTTTTTTGGCAGTTGAAGAATTAGGGTTTTTAAAAAATAGAAGTAGGTTTGAAAGTAAAGTGTTGTACTTAAAAAATACTAAGGAATAGTATATATATATATATATATATATGTATATGTATTTTTTTTCCCATAACTGTAGTCATCTGTGAATAATGGTAGTAAAGGAGGAGGAAGTCTTTGAAATATGCCTTGAACCAGTGGCAAGCTAATGGAACCACAGATTTAAGATGACTTCTGGCTGAACAGGTCCCGATAAGGAGCTTGATAATTACAGTTAATTTGTTTCTTCTTCTTAGGTCACCGCTGTCATATCCAGGAACACAGGAGCAATATGCGGTAATGACTCCGGGAAGGTCTGCTTGAAAGCTCTGCAAGTGGCTTGTGAACTGTAATTTGTAGCAGGGGTTGGCAAATGATGGCCTTGTGGGCCCAATCTGGCCTGCTGTCCTTTTATTTTATTTTATTTTATTTTATTTTTTTGCAAATAAAGCTTTATTGGAACACAGCCACACTCATTTGTTTATGTATTATCTGTGGCTGCTTTTGCAACATATGGTAGTTTTGACAGAGACCATATGGCCCATGGAGCCTAAAACATGTACTGTCTGGGCATTTGCAGAAAAAGTTTGCCAACCCCTTCTATATAGGACTTTTTTTTTCTTTTTCTTTTTCTTTTTTTGCATACTTGCACAGTTGCCCTGTATTTTCTTTCCTCTATTAGGGTGGTTTTGAATTAATTTATCTTTTGAGCCACTTGAAAATTACTTCTCATGTCATTGAAAATAAGTGGGACAGAATTTATTGAGAAAGAGTGTGTGGAACATTTTTTTCTGTTAGGAGATGTTCTGACAGCAGCTAAGGGGGACTGGATACCAAGAGGGAAGAACTAGTGATCTGCTGTTTAGGAACAGGGAGAAAGCCCAGTTTATTGGGACTTTGACTGCAGACTCTTGTCTCTACTAACTATTGGTTCACCTGTGTTTTTTTTCCTCTGAGGGTTTTGAGGCTTCTAAATGTCACTTTCTTGCTGCCTCTCTCCCTCCTCCCCTTTTCTTCTCTCTTGTTCCTTAGCTCTCTACAAACAGATTTGGAATAAAAAAGTATTAGAGCCAGAAATAAACTGTAACAGTTGTTTCATTTTGCACGTGGACCTGGGGTCTAAAGATGTTAAGTGGCATGTCACGAGTTTTGTTAATAGTTGATCCGTCCAGTCTTCTAAAATAATTTAATCAGCTAAAATAATTTAATCAGCTTAGACAGGAATTCATAAAATGAGACAAAACAAGTTGAATATTTTTCTGATCTTGTGATGAAAAAGAGCTTTTAAAATACTAAATTATGGCCAGGCGTGGTGGCTCACACCTGTAATCCCAGCATTTTCGGAGGCTGAAGCAGGCGGATCACTTGAGACCAGGAGTTTGAGACCAGCCTGGGCAACATGGCGAAACCCTGTCTCTACTAAAAATACAAAAATTAGCCGAGTGTGGTGGCAGGTGCCTGTAATCCCAGCTACTCGGGAGGCTAAGACACGAGAATCACTTGAACTCAGGAGGTGAAGTCGCAGAGAGCCGAGATCGTGCCACTGCACTCCAGCCTGGGTGCCAGAGTAAGACTCTGTCTCAAAAAAAAAAAAGAAAAGAAAAAAAAGAACTAAACTAAAGCGTGATAGAAATAATGAAGGAAAATGACAAACTTTTATACATGCTAAAAGAATGTGTATACTTACTTGATAAGAAAAAAGTTTAACATCCCCCTCCCCCCAAATCAGTAAATGACCTGAGCAATTTACAGAAAAAGAAATACAAGGGGTCCGTAAAAATGTGGAATAGTTCAACTTCACTGGTAAAGACATGCACATACAAAGAGGATACCATTAAAAAAAATAAATAAACACAAAACGATACCATTTTCCACCTAGAAATTGGTAGATTTTACATATATGTGCACGGGTACCCACACACGTGTACACACACACACACTACCTAGTGTGTATGGGTGCTATAAAGTAAACCACTAGAAACATTTTTCATCATGGCCTTTTTGGAAGGCAATTTGGAAATACTGCTCAAAAGCCTTAAACTATTCATTCTCTTTGACTTGGGGCTTCCACTTGGTTTCTCTAGCGGGCACAGAATTGGAGATGTGAACAAATATTTATAAGGTACTTTGCTGCATTTTTCTTAATAGTGAGAAATTGAATTTCCCCTTGAAAAAGCAAGCAAGATTCAATCCCTAGCTGAGATAGCAGTGACTTGGGCTGCATCTCACAATTTCTTAGAGCAATGCTGCTGTTCTGTCACATTGTTTCCTGTGAAGTTTTAGGTATAAAAATTAAAATTTACTTATACCATATCTTGTTTGATAAAAGGCTTCAAGTGGTAACTTTCTTTTTTTTAGGTATATTTGCGTGCTCTCGTGAGAAATCTTTTTAATGAAGGAAATGACGTTTATCGGGAACATGATTGGAACAACTCGATAAGCCAGTACACGGAAGCCTTGAATATAGCTGATTATGCAAAATCTGAAGAAATTTTAATCCCCAAAGAAATAATTGAAAAACTATATATAAATCGTATTGCCTGCTATTCTAATATGGTGAGTTGTAATTTTTAAAATGATGTTTCTAGAGTGAAAAGAATTTTTTCAATGACTTAGTACATTAATAAAAAGTCAATTTCTTAAGTTTTTAAGAAAGTCATATTACCTGCTTTTGGAGTGGCTTGAGGCTTTTAAAAATTAGCTTTGGATTGGCCGGGCACGGTGGCTCACGCCTGTAATCCCAGCACTTTGGGAGGCCAAGGTGGGTGGATCATGAGGTTAGGAGTTTGAGACCAGCCTGGCCAATATGGTGAAACCCCGTCTCTACTAAAAATAAAAAAATTAACTGGGCATGGTGGCGTGTGCATGTAGTCCCAGCTGCCCGGGAGGCTGAGGCAGGAGAATCGCTTGAACCCAGGAGGCGAAGCTTGCAGTGAGCCGAGATTGTGCCACTGCACTCCAGCCTGGGCGACAGAGCAAGACTCCGTCTCAAAAAATAAAATAAAATAAAAAAATAAAAATTAGCTTTGGACAGAAGGTTAGGGATTTAAGAAATAATTTGTTTCTTAGTTATTGGTCCTTGATGATTCCCATTTGAGTATGGCTTTTGAAGGTGTGTCTGCTTATAAAAAAGTCATCCAGGGAAGATACAGGTCTTCACAGGTCAGTGTGTCTTTCAGGTATCCCTGTTCACAGTTAACATCTTAGTCAAGATCCAGTTGATCTTGTAAAACACTCTTGGTAAAAAACACTCTTACGAGTGTTTTTTTTTTTTTTTTTTTTTTTGAGACAGTGTCTCGCTCTGTCACCCAGGCTGGAGTGCAGTGGCACGATCTCGGCTCACTGCAACCTCCGCCTCCTGGGTTCAAGCAATTTTCCTGCCTCGGCCTCCCGAGTAGCTGGGACTACAGGCGCATGCCGCCGTGCCCAGCAAATTTTTTGTATTTTGTTAGAGATGGGGTTTCACTGTGTTGCCCAGGCTGTTCTCGATCTCCTGAATTCAGGCAATCTGCCCGCCTCAGCCTCCCAAAGTGCTAGGATTACAGGCGTGAGCCACCGTGCCTGGCGAGTGTTTTTTTAAATCAAGAAATAGTAATTAGTCTTCAAAGGAATTCACACTAGATTTTCACATTTTTAAGCTTAAAAGCTTTTGAAGTGCTTTTTTTTCTTTTTTTCCTTTTAAAACTTTTTTTTTTTTTTTTGAGACAAGAGTTTCACTCTTGTTGCCCAGGCTGGAGTGCAATGGCACAATCTTGGCTCACCGTAACCTCCGTCTCCCGGGTTCAAGAGATTCTCCTGCCTCAGCTTCCCGAGTAGCTGAGATTACAGGCATGTACCACCACACCTGGCTAATTTTGTATTTTTAGTAGAGACGGGGTGTCTCCATGTCGGTCAGGCTGGTCTCGAACTCCTGACCTCAGGTGATCTGCCCGCCTCAGCCTCCCAAAGTGCTGGGATTACAGGCATGAGCCACCACGCCTGGCCACCTTTTTTAAATTTTTGAGATGGAGTGTCACTCTGTTGCCCAGGCTGTAATGCAGTGGCACAATCTCGGCTTACTGTATCCTCTGTCTCCTGGGTTCAAGTGATTTTCCTGCTTCAGCCTCCCGAGTGCTGGGATTATAGGCACCCGCCACCACGCCTGGCTAATTTTTGTATTTTTAGTAGAGATGGGGTTTTTACCATGTTGGCCAGGCTGGTCTCGAACTCCTGACCTCAGGTGATCCACCCACCTCGGCCTCCCAAAGTGCTGGGACTACAGCTGTGAGGCACTGTGCCCAACCTGAAGTGCTTTTAATTTTCACTGTGGATACTCGGTAAAATATAACCATGAATTTAAGAAAAATATCCGTGTTGTCACCTAGCTCTTTGTTAAAGAGCATTCATTGTTTATTTATTTTGTTTTGGGTAATATATTCCTTATCAGTTAGCTGTTTGGAGTTACGTTTCTGTTTGACATCTTAATGTGCTCCAGCAAAGGGTAACTACAGAGGAGCGAATAGGAGAGGGACACATGGGGACATCAGTTAGGTCTGGAAAGCTTTATTTCTTGAAGATCTGGGGACTTTCTGACCAAATATTAGCATTTGTCTGACCTGGATGGTGTGTACATGGGTATTCATGATATTCTTTCTACTTTTTTGTATTTGAAATTTCATAAAATAATTTAAAAAATAAAAGTAATACTGCTAACTTGGAGTTTAGAGGGAGGGTAATAGGATGGGGTATTAATTTGTTTTTATTACAGGAAGGCCTCAGTGCAAGAAATGAATTGTTTGATTGCTGACTTTATTCTTTGGTCTTACACACCAGGGTTTCCATGATAAAGTTTTGGAGGACTGCAATATAGTCCTCAGTTTAAATGCCAGTAACTGCAAAGCTCTGTATCGGAAATCTAAGGCTTTAAGTGATTTAGGAAGATACAAAAAGGCTTACGATGCTGTAGCAAAGTGCTCCTTAGCAGTGCCTCAGGTATGGAATTTATAGTTTATTTGTTTACATCGTAACCATTTACATCATAATAAATGGCATTTAAAGAGTTAAATTTTCCAGTCATCCATCAACCTGCTTCAGTTGGGTATAAATGCTAATGAAGCAGGTGTCTTGATGGGAAACTTCCCTGTTTTGTCTATTCTTCTTCACCATTAGTAAATATAACCCTGTTAATTATACATACTTATTTTTTTCAGGATGAGCATGTAATAAAACTAACTCAAGAACTAGCTCAGAAATTGGGATTTAAAATAAGAAAAGCGTATGTCAGAGCTGAGGTAAGCTGGAGTTCTCTGCATAAGGTGTTTTCATTTTGTTTTAGAACTTGGAGTCAGTTCTGTTTTTAAATTAGTGTCTTTATTTTATTTCAGCTCTCATTAAAATCAGTTCCTGGGGATGGGGCTACCAAGGTAAAGTTATTTTTTCTGTCAAAATTATATTTTTTTTTAAAGGGAAGGATGGGAGCAATTCTACTTTTAGTATTTTTGGTGTGTGTTTATTTTTGGAACCTTTTTAATTCCTCAAACACGTAATTGGCAATACCCTCCTGTCACTTTATTTATTTTTTTGAGACAGAGTCTTGTTCTGTTGCCCAGGCTGGAGTGCAGTGTCCTGATCTTGGCTCACTGCAACCTCCACCTCCTGGGCTCAAGTGATCCTCCCACCTCAGCCTCCCGAGTAGCTGGGACCACAGGCACACACCACCATGGCCTGTTAAATTTTTGTATTTTTTGTAGCGATGGGGTTTCACCATGTTGCCCAGGCTGGCCTCAAACTCCTGAGCTCAAGTGTTCCTCCTGCCTTGGCCTCCCACCAAATGCTGGGATCACAGGCGTGAGCCATCTCTTCTGGCCTCTTCTAGTCACTTTACAAAAGAACATCTACAACTCAAGTAATATATTTTAGCTGTAACCAGCATTTCCTGAATGCTCCAGTGGGGCATTTTATAGGATGTTAATAGATGTTAGGTTTCAGTGCAATAAGAGTGGTTCAGGGCCAAATACTAGTTTTGGGAGTCATTTGTGATAAAATTAACAAAGGGTTTTTTTTTGTTTTTGTTTTTAATTTTAAAATTAAAATTTTCTTGGGGCTAATAGGATGCTAATGGCTATTGTGAGTTGGGCAATGATTGGTGGCCAAATTCATCCCTGTTATTCTGCTGAATAGCCTTTGAGAAATGCTGGTCCACGAGAAATAAGTGGCAGCACTGCTAGACCAGCACCTCACCTAACACCACATGTATACAGGTTTGCGTGTTCCATTCATTTCTTGGATCTTAATTGGGAGTTGAATTTCTGTGGAAACCTGCATTGTTCTCTTAGGGTGAGTTTTTTCTTTTTTTCTTTTTTTTTTTTTTCCAAGACAGAGTCTCGCTCTGTCACCTAGGCTGGAGTGCAGTGGCGCTATCTCAGCTCACTGCAGCCTCCACCTCCCGGGTTCAAGCAGTTCTCTTGCCTCAGCCTCCTGAGTAGCTGGGATTACAGATGCCTGCCACCATGCCTGGCTAATTTTTGTATTTTTAGTAGAGACAGGGTTTCACCATGTTGGCCAGGCTGGTCTCAAACTCCTGACCTCGTGATCTGCCTGTCTCGGCCTCCCCAGGTGCTGGGATTACAGGCGTGAGCCACTGTGCCCGGCCTAGGGTGAGTTTTACTGATTGTTTTATGGCTTAGAGTCCTGAAAATATTATAACCCATTGTTTGGTTTAATTTCTAGGCTTTGAACCATTCTGTGGAAGATATTGAGCCAGGTATGTTTTCACATATCATCTTAACAATTTGAATAGTGCCAGCTTTGTACCTGATGTCTTTGTATGTGATGTATTGTCAAATAATATCGCTGTGTGGTTATATTCATATTAATGTATTAATATGAAAGTGAAAATGATTTCCAATGCTCCCTTTGTGCCTTTGGATGTGCCAGTGAGTGACTGAAAAGTGTTGGATGTTAGTAAGCAATCACTGACACCCACTGTGGCCTTGCCACTGTCTGATAGCTGTGCCCAAAGAGAGATACAGGCATTTTGTGAAAGAAGGATAAGTTTTCACACGTGACTGTATCTGTTTGGAATTGCTTTACTATACTGTCAATTTTATTATTTTTATAATTGCCTTCATATTTTCATCTTTGTATCTCTATTATTGGGGATTAATGGTATTATTATGTAAGTACGATGAAAGTGACTGAGTACATTTCCATCTGTGTTACAGATTTATTAACTCCAAGGCAAGAAGCAGTTCCTGTTGTCTCTTTACCGGCACCCAGTTTTTCTCATGAAGTTGGAAGTGAGCTGGCCTCAGTTCCTGTTATGCCCTTAACTTCTATTTTGCCACTACAAGTGGAAGAGAGCGCTCTGCCATCTGCAGTGCTGGCAAATGGAGGAAAGATGCCCTTCACTATGCCAGAAGCTTTTCTAGATGATGGAGATATGGTCCTTGGAGATGAACTAGATGACCTGCTTGATTCTGCACCTGAAACTAATGAAACTGTTATGGTAAGTTTCAGTGTTACTCAAGTTTCTTCTGAAGACAGAGTTAACTTTTTAAAAATTGTAATATAACTTGATAGACTTTTTCAGTATTGCATATAGGCTGAATTTGGGGGTTTTTTTAACCTTGAAAGTTACTTTTTTTCTTCTCTACTGAAACTGGTTAATTTGATCATTTTGAAATAAAAAAAGAATGCTATCTAGTAATTAGCCAATTTTTTTCCAATTCATATTGGGATCTCATATTATGGAAAGGGCAAAGATAACATTCTGATAAAAAATAGGCGTTTGATATTTAAGAAAAAATGAATTATATAGATTAAAGACTTCTTATTCTTTTTATTTATTTATTTTTTTTTGAGACGGAGTCTTGCTCTGTTGCCCAGGCTGGAGTGCAGTGGCGCAGTCTTGGCTCACTGTAAGCTCCGCCTCCCGGGTTCACACCATTCTCCTGCCTCAGCTTCCTGAGTAGCTGGGACTACAGGCGCCCGCCACCACGCCTGGCTAATTTTTTTGTATTTTTAGTAAAGATGGGGTTTCACTGCCTTAGCCAGAATGGTCTTGATCTCCTGACCTCGTGATCCACCCGCCTCGGCCTCCCAAAGTGCTGGGATTACAAGCGTGAGCTACCATGCCCGGCCTCAGGACTTCTTATTCTTAAAGATAATCCTCTAGCAACCACATACTTTAAAGCGGGGTTCAGCCAACTGTAGCCCACAGGCTAAATCTGGCCTATTACCTGTTTTTGTATGGCTTGCAAACTAAGAATATTTTTTACAATTCTTAAATGGTTGAGAGAAGAACAAAAAAGAGAATAATATTTTGTGACATATGGAGATTATATGAAACTAGCCTGGGTAACCATAGCAAGGGCACATCTCTACAAAAAATTAAAAACAGCCTGGCATAGTGGTGCGTGCCTGTGGTCCCACTGCTTGGAAGGCTGAGGGTAGAGGATCACTTGCGCCCAGGAGGTTGAGGCTGCAGTGAGCACTGATTGTGCCATGCACTCTAGCCTGGGCAACACAGCGAGACCCTGTCTCAATCAGTCAATCAATAAAATTATATGACATTCCAATTTCTGGGTCCGTAAGTAAAGTTTTACTGGAACACATCAGTGACTATTCATTTTATGTGCTGTCTGTGGCTGCTTTTGCACTGCAACAGCATAGTTGAGTCCTTGCAACAGGGACCGTGTGGCCTACAGAGCCTAAAATACTTAGTGTCCATCCCTGTATAGAAAGCCTTTTCTGCTGGGTGCAGTGGCGCACACCTGTAATCACAGCACTTTGGGAGGCTGAGGCAGGCAGATCACCAGGAGTTCGAGACCAGCCTAGCCAGTATGGCAAAACCCTGCCTCTACCAAAAATCACAAAAATTAGCTGGGCATGGTGGTGCATATCTGTAATCGCAGCTACTTGGGTGGCTGAGGCAAGAGAATCACTTGAGCCCGGGAGGTGGAGATTGCAGTGAACCAAGATCATGCCACTGCACTCCACCCTGGGTGACAGATCAATACTCTGTCTCAAAAAAAAAAAAAAGACTTCTCTGACCCCTCCCATAAAGTAAAATAAATCAGTAGCAGCAGTGGTAGGATGATGGTGATGATAGGGAGAAATTCCGAGCTGTTTTCCAGGGGTGGTGTAATAGATGGTGTCAGTGTGCAAAAGACTGACAGAGCTGGCTTTGATTCTTACCAGCTCTGTGATACTGGGCAAGTTACTTCATCATAGTGCATCATTTTCCTCATCTGTATGATGGTGATCACAGTAGGATGTATCTGAGAGAGCTGTTTTAAGAACCAAATAGATAGCATATGATACCATAACGTAAGGTGCGTGGAAGCTCTCAGTGAGTTGCAGCTTTGATGGGGCCTGGGGAAGTTAGAGTTGTATGTTCTTGTCCAGTTGTAAGTTCACACCTCCAGAGAGGTTGTCTCAATCTTCATGGGCTTCTCCAGCTCCCGTCTCTGGATCACCTATCCTCCTGCTACACCACATATATCCCACAATTCCTCTTTAATGGTGCAAATTCTTTTTTTTTTTTTGAGACAGAGTCTCACTCTGTCGCCCAGGCTGGTGTGCAGTGGTGCGATCTTGGCTCACTGCAACCTCCACCTCCCAGGTTCAAGCAATTATCTGCCTCAACCTCCCGAGTAGCTGAGATTACAGGTGCCCGCTACCACGCCCGGCTAATTTTTTGTGTATTTTTAGTAGAGACGGGGTTTCACCATCTTGGCCAGGTTGGTCTTGAACACCTGACCTCGTGATCCACCCACCTCATCCTCCCACAGTGCTAGGATTACAGGTGTGAGCCACCATGCCCAGCCTCATATGATGCAAATTCTTATGAGCCCTGTAGTCAGGTAAGGGCAGGGAAGCATAAGGAAGTTTTGCAGATGAAACATGAATGTAACATTTGGATTATAATGTTAGACATCTAGCTGGGTGCAGTGGCTCACACCTGTAATCCCAGCACTTTGGGAGTTCTAGGCGGTTGGATCACTTCAGGTCAGGAGTTTGAGACCAGCCTGGCCAACATGGCAAAACCCCATCTCTACTAAAAATACAAAAATTAGCTGGGCGAGGTGGCGCATGCCTGTAATCCCAGCTACACAGGAGGCTGAGGCAGGAGAATCATTTGAACTCAGAAGGCGGAGGTTGCAGTGAGCCGAGATTGTGCCACTGTACTCCAGCCTGGGTGACAGAGTGAGACTCCGTCTCAAAAAAAAAAAGTTAGACATCCCACCTCAATTGTTTTTAAAAATTATTCTTGAAAAGAAGTTCTGTAGCTAAAATTGTTTTAAACGAATCTTGATTCTGATTTAAACTTTGTTTTTTTTTTTATTTTTTTGGAGATGGAGTCTTGCTCTGTCGCCCAGGCTGTAGTGCAATTGCGTGATCTTGGCTCACTGCAAGCTCCGCCTCCTGGGTTCAAGCAATTCTCCTGCCTCAGCCTCCTGAGTAGCTGGGACTACAGGCGCATGCCACCATGCACAGCCAATGTTTTGTATTTTAGTGGAGATGGAGTTTCACCGTGTTGCCCAGGCTGGTCTTGAACTCCTGAGCTCAGGCAGTCCGCCTGCCGTAGCCTCCCAAAGTGTTAGGATTACAGGCCACCATGCCTGGCCTAAACTTTGTTATGTAACGTGATCTCCCAGTGTAATAATGCTTTTATTTGCTGGTGTTGAAAGTAGTTCAGCCAAACCCATGACAGCTTCATGAATTTTAATCACATCTTTTTTTCTTCCGCAGCCGTCAGCTTTAGTCAGAGGACCCCTTCAGACAGCCAGTGTCTCTCCTAGCATGCCCTTTTCGGCATCGCTGTTAGGAACCTTACCCATTGGTGCGAGGTATGCTCCTCCACCCTCCTTCTCAGAATTTTATCCACCTTTGACTTCATCCTTAGAAGATTTTTGTTCTTCTTTAAATTCATTTTCAATGAGTGAATCCAAACGAGGTAAGAACCAAATCTAAATTGTAAACAATTGCAGTTGATTTTCTCAAAATGAAAATGTTTGTTTGGCAATTATTTAACTGACTCTAGGTAGTAGACATGTGAATTATTTTCTTTGTAGCTAAAAATATAAAGACTAAGCCTTCAGTTTTGAATTTACCTTGACTTAGCTGTGCCATTCTGGAGACCCAGGAGCAAAGGCATGAGAAGAGAAATGTGTGTGGCACTGGTGTTTCTGTAGGATAGTTTGTTAAGCTGGGAGTTTATTGTTTTGGGGGTGAAATGACAATGTATTCTCCCGTAAAGGTGTATCTCATCTTAAAGGGTCTGAGAGACAGGCTATGCTATTAAATTCTGATCTAGGCAAACACTAATTTAAGATCAGTATTTAGAATGCTAGCAATCAGATGTGTCTATTTTAGGTTTCATCTGTGGAGCTCAGCAAACCGTGGCTGCTGCTTTAACTTTACAGGAGATTGCTGAGTTTGGAGTCTGACTCCTGTTTCTGTCATCCTAGGTTTAACATATATACTTCAAACAATCACTAGAAAAATATTTTTTTGAAGGCATTGTTACGTGGCTAAAAGGGCAAAAATCTTACATAATTGACTTAAAGATTGACTTAAAGAAATTAAAATATATGGGAGACAGAAGGGCAGAGAGAAAATAATTGAGTGCTAGACTAAGAAAAAGAAAGTAGGCTGGGTGTGGTGGCTCATGCCTGTAATCCCAGCACTTTGGGAGGCCGAGTCAGGAGGATCACTTGAGCTCAGGAGTTTGAGACCAGCCTGGGCAACATGGTGAAACCCTTTCTCTACAAAAAATATAAAAATTAGCTGGGTATGGTGTGTGCCTGTGATCCCAGTTACTTGGGAGGTGGAGGTGGGAGGATTCCTTGAGCCCAGGAGGTTGAGGCTGCAGTGAGCCAAGATCACACCCCTGCACTCCAGCATGGGTGACAGAATGAGACCCTTTCTCAAAAAAAAAAAAAAAAAAAAAAAGAAAGCAATTGAAAACTTTACTGATTTTTTTTTAAATGTTATGGTCAGTTCCTGCTTTTTTTTTTTTTTTTTTTGAGACAGAGTCTCACTCTGTTGCCCAGGCTGGAAAGCAGTGGCGAAATCTTGGCTCACTGCAACCTCTGCCTCTTGGGTTCAAGCGATTCTCCTGCCTCAGCCTCCTGAGTAGCTGGGATTACAGGCGCCTGCCATCACACCTGGCAAATTTTTTTTGTATTTTCAGTAGAGACAGGGTTTCACCATGTTGGCCAGGCTGGTCTCAAACTCCTGACCTCAAGTGATCTACCCACTTTGGCCTCCTAAAGTACTGGGATTGCCAGGTGTGAGCCACCGCACCTGGCCCCATATTTTCAAAAGGAAAGGCTCTTTTCCCATTTTTGAATATAAAGAATTTTCTTGGTGTTTTTAGTAGTTGCAGTTGGTGGGCCCTGCCTTAGCTTATTTTTCTGGAAGTAGGTTTTTATTTAAATTTGTTTGACTATGCCCTTGGTTTCTAGAGGAAAGCAGAGACTCTAGAGCCCTCTTTGGGTGTCAACCTTGAGCAAGAAAATTTCTAGAAACTGGGACGGGAGAATAGCGTGGGAGGCCATAGCCAGTAAGCTACTAAGCCCTGATGTTCTTATTACGTGATCAGAATGAAAAGGTCTGTTGAAGTTTTTTTATTATTTTAGATCTGTCCACCTCAACTTCTAGAGAGGGAACACCGCTTAACAACAGTAATTCTTCCCTTTTACTTGTAAGTGCCACTTCCTCTTTTGTAAATACATCGCTTGAATTGAAAATAGTTACTTAAGTAACCGAGTTATTTGAATGAACATGACAGTCTCCCTTAAATTTTGTGTGTGCTGCAGGAAATTGTGTTAAAGTAAGACTTCTGGAACATCTAGTAATAACGGCTCTGTGTTTAAGACTTGATCTGTCATAGCAAATTAATCGGTATTGCAGACAATGTAAGAGGCTTTAGCACAGCATAAACAAATCAAGGAAATATAAGATCGGGGCATGTAAAGCGTGTGTACTTTTGCAGTAGAACTTATTACTTATAATATGGAGGATCAAAAAAGTCGGGGGGTGACTAGAAACCAAAAGAGAGAAAAATGTAGAAAGAGACAGTTTTTAAGATAGAAGAGCATTAAGGATGGAGTAGTACTGACCTCAGTTTATGAAGATTATCTTATTTTTCAGATGAATTCAGTTCCTTTCTTCAGTGATAATGCAATATTTGTTGGCTGTTTTTTTTTTTTTTCTTCTTATTTTTCTTGCAGATGAATGGACCAGGTAGTTTGTTTGCTTCAGAGAATTTCCTGGGAATTTCAAGTCAGCCTAGAAATGACTTTGGAAACTTTTTTGGAAGTGCAGTTACCAAACCATCTTCATCAGTGACTCCAAGACATCCCCTCGAAGGAACCCATGAATTGAGACAAGCTTGCCAGATCTGTTTTGTAAAATCAGGTCAGGACCAAACAAACACGCAGAGAGTATTAAACTACTTGCTCATAACCTTGAAAGTTCTTAGGAATTTGTAAATACATGTTAACAACATCAGTTATTATGGTTCTTCAATCCCTATTTTGAATTCTTCCTAAACAAGTAGCAGTTACTGATTTAGTGCCTTTGGAGTATAATAGGATAAGGCTCTGCTCTTATTTGATGTCATTTTATTTATAGAATCATGTAGAATAGAATATTTACCTATTTTTGGAAGCTTATTGAAATTTTAATGAAACTCCTTATGTTCTCAGTGTATGCTTAAGAAGTTGATTATTTTCAAGTAGAGCAAGAACTAGAAAACAGCATTATAAGACCAGTATACAATACAATGTATATGAAAATTAAATACTTTCTGTTAGCTTGTTTCATATGTTTACCGTTAAATCAAGTGACATAAACACAGTTTATTCTGATTTATAAGCCATCAAAATTCCTCTCCAGATTATTTCCCTAAAGTTAAGTAAGGGTATTTTTTTTTGGCAGGAGTGGAGTTGAATAGAACATTGTGTTGTCTGATACATTATAAAAGGCACAAATCTACCTTAGTAGCCTACTTACATTTTAGGGTTGTGGAAGTGGGATTTCTGTGGGAATTTAATAATTGATGTTCATCTGTTCATGTCTGCTTGTAAATTTACCTGTAAAATGAAATGATATTTTTTGTGCATATAAGCAATCCTCTTTACATCTTTTTCAGGCCCTAAGTTAATGGATTTCACTTACCATGCTAACATAGATCATAAGTGTAAGAAAGATATTTTAATCGGTAGGATAAAGAATGTTGAAGATAAATCATGGAAAAAAATACGTCCAAGACCAACAAAAACAAATTATGAAGGACCATATTATATATGTAAAGGTATGTACTGTAATTACTTAATTAGTATACATTACATAAGTGATGAACTACAGTCATGCTTAGCTTAATGACAGGATACATTGTGAGAAATGCATCATTAGGGGAACATCACAGAGTACTTACACAAACCTCGATGGTGTAGCCGACGACGCACCTAGCCTATCCATGACATAGTCAGTGGCTCCTAAACTACAGACTTGTACAGTTTGTTACTGTACTGAATACTGAGGCTACTGTAACACAATGGTATCTGTGTATCTAAACATAGGAAAGGTACAGGAAAAACACAGTATTAATCTTATGGGACCACCATTATATATGCAGTCTGTAGTTGACTGAAATGTCAGTATGTGGTGTAGGACTGTGCTTGCTACATTTATTATAACATCTATTAATATGTAATTTATTACATTATGTTATTATAACAGTATTGACTGTTATAAAAAATGTTTAGAGCTAATAGCAAGTTCCTTGGATTGAGATGTTAATATTTTTTATATTATTTTTACTGTTGTATTTAACTTTTTCTTTTTTGAGACAGAGTCTCATTCTGTCATCCAGGCTGGAGTGTAGTGGCGCAATCTCGGCTCACTGCAACCTCTGCCTTCTGGGTTCAAGTGATTCTCTTGCCTCAGCCTCCCGAGTAGCTGGGATTACAGGCATGCGCCAGTACACCTGGCTAATTTTTGTATTTTTAGTAGAGACAGGGTTTCACTATGTTGCCTAGGCTGGTTTCAAATTCCTGGCCTCAAGTTATCTGCCTGCCTGGGCTTCCCAGAGTGTAAGGATTACAGGCATGAGCCACTGTACTGGCCAAGGTTTTATTTTATTTATTTATTTCTCAATTTTTTGTGACAGAGTCTCGCTCTGTCTCCCAGGCTGGGGTGCACAGGCACAATCTCGGCTCACTGCAACCTCTGCTTCCCAGGTTCAAGCAATTTTCTCATGACTCAGCTACCGAATAGCTGGAATTACAGGCGTGTGCCGCCCTGCCTCACTGATTTTTGTATTTTTTAGTAGAGATGGGTTTCTTCATGTTGGTTAGGCTCGTTTTGAAGTCCTGGCCTCAAATGATCTGCCTGCCTCGGCCTCCCAAAATGTTGGGATTACAGGTGTGAGCCACCACGCTTGGCCTATGACCAGATTTTAAACAGAAGACTGTCTCAAACCTTAAGTTCTCTCTAAACAGAATCAAAACACTGAGCTAAGGCTTTGAAAAGTGTTTAAGATGCTTTTGAGAGAACTTGGTATTTTCATGTTTGTCAAACAAGTTTGTGTGAATGAGCTTAGAATGTCCCTAAATGATTTTTTTTTTTTTCAGCTGAGGTGTGGTCCATGAGAGAATCAAGGCTCTTCTCACAGTCTGTGATAAAAATAATTAAGGCTTGTGGTACTTCTCTTTTTTAGAGTTGATACGATCCATCCCCAGATAATATGCATATCATTGTTTGAGGCTGTCCATGAATTGTTAGACAAGTTCAAATGATGCCCTAAATGTTATTTATATTCATTGGCTTTAAGGAAACAATTACCATCTTTTTTTGTTTGTTTGTTTATTTTGACACTGGGACTTGCTCTGTTGCCCAGGCTGGAGTGCAGTGGCAAGATCATTGCTCACCGCAGCCTTGAACTCCTGGGCTCAAGGGATCCTCCCACCTCAGCCTCCCAAGTAGCTGGGAGTACAGGCCAATTGCCATGTTTTCAATGTCTGTCCATTCCCTGTCTTTCTAGATGTTGCTGCTGAGGAGGAATGTAGATATTCAGGCCACTGCACGTTTGCTTATTGCCAAGAGGAGATAGATGTGTGGACACTGGAGCGGAAAGGAGCATTCAGCCGGGAGGCTTTCTTTGGCGGCAATGGAAAGATTAACCTTACTGTGTTCAAACTTCTCCAGGAGCATCTTGGGGAATTTATATTCCTTTGTGAGGTGTGTTCTCCAAAACTTATTTTCCACTGTAAAGTTGAATTTGCAAGCCCAGTGGTATTGTCCTGCCATGTGATAAAACATTCACTTGGTAAATGAATAAATATTCATTTATTTATATGATAAATAATATCATATTTATGAATAAAATATTCCTCTGGTCCTCCCATGTGATAAAACATTCATTCAGTAAATGTTGGCTATTACTGTTACCAAAAAGAATATTAAAACTTCATATTGAATATTAATTTTGTAATGATATTGAAACTAGGACAATATTCTGGGTACAAAATTTATATTTTGTATTTTTTTTGATAATCTTTCTCTCTCTATTCCAGAAATGTTTTGATCATAAGCCTAGAATGATAAGTAAAAGAAATAAAGATAATTCTACTGCTTGTTCTCACCCGGTTACAAAGCATGAGTTTGAAGACAATAAGTATGTTGATAGTTTCTAATTTCTGTAATGACAAAATAGATTCTTTTTCTAGATCTGAATAAAAACTAGTAGTAATGTCTGTCCAGGCATTGCCCTTTCATCGTTATGTTGTTATTTTGAAGAACAATGACAAAATTTTAAAATGTCTTTTAGTAGATTTGGCTGGAAAGTGAATAATTAACTAAATATATTATGTAAAACAGAAAAGCATTATTGATGTATAGTTTCTCATGACATGGATTTAGGTATTTTATGGCTTAAAATATAAGTACCCCCCCCAATTAATTCAACAATTGCATGTAGTGATTTGGTTTTTTTGTTTGTTTTTTTTGAGACAGAGTCTCGCTCTGTCACCCAGGCTGAAGTGCAGTGGCATGATCTTGGCTCACTGCAAGTTCTGCCTCCCAGATTCAAGTGAATCTCCTGCCTCAGCCTCTCGAGTAGCTGGGATTACAGACACCCACCACTAGGCCTGGCTAATTTTTTGTATTTTTTAATTTTTTTGAGACGAAGTCTTTTTCTGTTTCCCAGGCTGGAGTGCAGTGGCGCGATCTCAGCTCACTGCAACCTCCGCCTCCCGAGTTCAAGCGATTCTCCTGCCTCAGCCTCTCCAGTAGCTAGGATTACAGGCACGTGCCACCACACCCGTCTAATTTTTGCATTTTTAGTAGAGACAGGGTTTTACCATGTTGGCTGGGCTGGTCTTGAACTCCTGACCTCAAGTGATCCACCCGCCTTGGCCTCCCAAAGTGCTGGGATTATAGGAGTGAGCCATCACGCCTGGACAATTTTTTGTATTTTTAGTAGCAACAGGGTTTCAACATGTTGGCCAGGCTGGTTTCGAACTCTTGACCTCAGGTGATCCACCCGTCTTGGCCTCGCAAAGTGCTGAGATTACAGGTGTGAGCCACTGTGCCCAGCCCCCATGATTTTTTTTCCGATAAAAATTTAAAATGTAGGGCTGGGCTCCATGGCTCACGCCTATAATCCTAGCACTTTGGGAGGCCGAGGCAGGCGGATCACGAGGTCAGGAGATTGAGACCATCCTGGCTAACACGGTGAAACCCCGTCTCTATTAAAAATTAGCTGGGCGTGGTGGTGGGCGCCTGTAGTCCCAACTACTTAGGAGGCTGAGGCAGGAGAATGGTGTGAACCCGGAAGGCGGAGCTTGCAGTGAGCCGAGATCGCGCCACTGCACTCCAGCCTGGGCGATAGAGTGAGACTCCATCTCAAAAAAAAAAAAGAGAAAAAAAAATTTTAAATGTATTGTCAGTGTAGAACTTTATATATATATATATATATATATATATATATATATATATATATATATATATATATATATTTGAAAAATCTATGGCAGAACAATATTAAAATGTCACTGTTTTCATCTTAGGTGCCTTGTCCACATTTTGCGAGAGACAACAGTAAAATACTCCAAAATACGTTCTTTTCATGGTCAGTGTCAGCTTGATTTATGTCGACATGAAGTTCGGTATGGCTGTTTAAGGGAAGATGAGTGCTTTTATGCCCATAGTCTTGTGGAACTGAAAGTCTGGATAATGCAAAATGAAACAGGTAGGTTTGAGTGCGACTGAGAAGTATGTCTCCTCAAGAGCAGACAGGGTTTAATGAAACAGTAATTTGGGCCTGGCGTGGTGGCTCATGCCTGTAATCCCACTACTTTGGGAGGCTGAGGCAGATGGATCACTTGAGGTCAGGAGTTCAAGACCAGTCTGGCCAGTACGGCAAAATCCCCATCTCTACAAAAAATACAAAAATTAATCGGGCGTGGTGGTGGGCGCCTGTAATACCAGCTACTTGGGAGGCTGAGGCATGAGAATTGCTTAAACCTGGGAGGCAGAGGTTGCAGTGGGCCAGGATCACAACACTACGCTCCAGTCTGGGTGATAACATGAGACTGTCTCAAAAAAAAAAAAAACAAAAAGGAATTTGGAGACCTCCCCTTCTCCATCAACCAGATGTGGTGACGCTATTGATTTTGTCCTGAGCTTCAAACTTTTGATTTTTAGAGTTGCCTATTTTGAGTGTGTTCTCATGTCATTAATTACTGATACAAGTTGATACATGCAATTGTTGGGAGGAAAGATTCCTCAGAAGGCACAAAGAGCTGTATTTGTGTATATTCCATTTCAAAAAAGAGAAACGTGGTATTCATCCTTGCTGATGGATTAGGAGGTATGAGAATAGATTGGAAGCTGAAGGTTCTCCACGTCTGACTGCACCCAGATTGGTGGGCTGTTGTTCTTATAGATATAATTTAAAGGAAGGCTTGTACATTCCCCAGGTATCTCACATGATGCTATTGCTCAAGAGTCTAAACGATATTGGCAGAATTTGGAAGCAAATGTACCTGGAGCGCAGGTATTTTTCTCTTGTGTACTTTCTGCATTTGGTGTCCTTTCTGGAATTGCGTAATAGATGTTGGTTGTTGGTGGATGCAGTTAACACTTACAGTCCAGTTACTTTCTTAATATTCATTCAGGTGAGTCATTCTTATGTGAAAAAACAATTTGCATTTTAGTTGATCATCATAAAAAAATTATGCAGCCCACAATGCTTGCCAAGAGTGTAGGACACTGTTTTCTTATTTAGTTTAATTGACAAAACAACTGGAGTTCTGGGCTTTACGGGTTCTCGGAGTAAGGGGGTTAGATTATTTTTATAGTTTAGCTTTCCACCTGGCATGTCTCGTTTTTCCATTGCTCTCCCCTCAACACCCCTGACCCAAATGAAACAATTCTAGTCATCAATTTCAAAGATGAGTTTCATAAATTAAAGTTTGGCATCTATCATCTACTTTTATGATATTCTCTTACATTTGGGGGGAGAATTGGAGATTTAGTTATCAGATATAATGGTCAAATCAAGTCAGATAAAAATGGGAAATTGTATACTATTGTGAAAAAAATGCATCTTGATTTAGTATTTTGTCATCAGAAAACTGGTTTTCTGTTAAAAAAATTAAAACGAATCTTTTAATTGTTTAAGGTACTTGGTAATCAAATAATGCCTGGATTTCTTAATATGAAGATAAAGTTTGTGTGCGCCCAGTGTCTGAGAAACGGTCAAGTCATTGAACCAGACAAAAACAGAAAATATTGTAGTGCAAAAGCAAGGCATTCGTAAGTATTGTGTGTGGAAACAATTCCTATTTTGTAATTTTCTGTTTCGTAGGTATAAAATTATACACATAAGCAAAAAGTTTAAGGCTTTGAAGAGAGGAGAGAAAAATAGATAATTTAGGATAATTACAGACACAAGGGAAGAGATTTTTAGGACCTAGTAGATAAGAATTCACAAGTAGTGTTTTTTTCCTGTATTTTATCAATTTGTTTAGAGTTTGTAGGGAGTGTTTGTAAATGACAATAGGAAGTGAAAATACAGAATCATAAGGTATTTCTTTTAGAAGCATTGAGAAAAAAATTCTCTGGTTCCTCAGGTACAAACTTTGTGCCTCTCCCTTTGTGTTATGTCTTTTGCTCGTGTGTCTTTGTTTTTTTCTGAACTCCATTTTTCTTAGGTGGACCAAAGACCGGCGTGCGATGAGAGTGATGTCTATTGAACGTAAGAAGTGGATGAACATCCGTCCTCTCCCCACAAAGAAACAAATGCCTTTACAGTTTGATGTACATACGTAATTTTTAAGCCACTTTTTTTAAATTAGGCATTTCAAATCATTAGAAAATAGTAGTAATTCAGATTGAAACTCAAGCCCTTTAAATAATATTCGTCAGTAATAATGCTATTTAAATGGTTCCTCTTTGGTTTTCCTTCCCTTTAGTATATGTATGGTTCCATAGCAGTTTTCATATTGATTGGAATTTTATGAGTTACTTGGAAAAAGTAAATAGATAGTGGATCTGAGGAAAAGTTATGGGGACAATTTAACTTATTTTTTAGATGAATTACTTTGGAGAGGGAATGAGAGCAAATTTTATTTAATTGTGATTTCTTTGGTTTGATACCAAACCTCAGGTTTTCAGTATTATGAATGCTATTGATGAGTTTGTTTTTATCATGCCTTGTCTCTTTCACTGCAGCAAGGGATACGTAGCTACAAGACACCTAACTTTATAAGACTTTCTAAAAGTAACCCAAAGAAAAATGTTCAATGTTAGAGGAACATGTTCTTCAAAAACTAGAAAATACTAGGCTAACTTAAAGTTAGGACAGTATTTCATTCACACAGTGCCACATTTCATCTTGGTACACTGTAGCACCTTACCTGATCTTGAAGATGATTGTCTGAGCAAACCACTTGAGTTGTCCTGGACTTTCCTCTTCATGAGAGAGAGGGTCTGGAGAGCATCTAGAGGCACTTCACACGTGCGTTAGCAGACAGGGACACTTGGAGCATCTACAGGTAGTAAGCTCTCTACCTGGATGGAGGAAATGTGGAGGGAACCTTTTGCCCAGAGAAGCAGGGCAGATGGACTGTAGAGTCCCCGTGTAAATGAGGCCTCTCTCTGAACTGCAAGAAGGAGTTGAAGAAGAGGTAGATGTATTTTTCACCACCTACAGTACCTTGCAGTTTTGTAAAACTTACACAAGTAACACAGCCAGCCTTTTCAAGGCGTTGGTAGGTTTGTGTTTTATCCAAAGTGGTTTTAGACTCAGATTTTATTAATGGGTTATGTAGGAGGGGGAAAGGGGTTTATTTGGAACCTTGATTTCCTGTGGTTTAAAGGATGATGGAGATAATATGTATATCAAGTACTTTGATAAAATGAGTACAACTGAGAACAACCCTGGTTCCTGAGGCAGCTGCTTAGAGTATTGGTTATTCTTTAATTTTGAACATGGTGTACTACTGTGCAACATTACAGTAGCTTATTTCCTCTTTTTTTTCCCCTGCCATACTAGGTATTGCTAAGGGACTTTTTTTCTTTTTTTTTTTTTTTTTTTTTTTCATTTTTTCTTGCTCTGTCACCCAGGCTGGAGTGCAATGTTGCGATCTCCGCTCACCGCAGCCTCCACCTCCACCTCCTGGGTTCAAGCAATTCTTCTGCCTCAGCCTCCCGAGTAGCTGGGATTACAGGCGTGTGCCACCACGCTCAGCTAATTTTTGTAATTTTTTTTTTAGTAGAGACGAAGCTTCACCATGTTGGCCAGGCTGGTCTCGGACTCTTGACCTCAAGTGACCCACCCGCCTTGGCCTCCCAAAGTGTTGGGATTACAGGCGTGAGCCACCGTGCCCGGCCCGGGACCTTTTTTCTTAAAGAAGAAATTATACTGTATGTGTGTATGTGTGTAGAGAGTGTGGTGAGGCTTAAAGACAATGGGCTTCAAAGTCTGCCAGAAGGGCCCCAGTCAAGTTATTCAGCCTCAGTTTGCTCACCTGTAATTGGGAATAATTATGTGTGATGGTGTTATGTAAACACCTGGCACAGTGCCTGGCCTTCTCCTTTACCTGCTTTTCTTCCTGCTCCTTATCATTGAGCTTTGAAAGACTATGGTAAATGTTTCCCTAGTAATATGACTAAGTACTTACTGGGGTTTGACGGGGGAAAGAATATGACTATTTTATCCAGTACTGACTTTATGCAGAAGATTTTAAGGGTGGGGTCACTGACATTGGTCCAAGGGAGGAAATGTACAGTGTTAAGGGGGCTGAGCGAGTTTTAGCCAAAACTCTGAAAAACGTGACAGATGCTAAGCATTTAATGCCACGTAAGCTAAATAATGTAGGGCCAGCTGCCGTTGAAGCACAAACTAAGATAAGCTAATAATTAGTTGTACTAGGATTTATACCTCATACAGACAAGTAGGTTGATGGTATTCAAGAATGCATTCTCCGTGATGGAGGTTTTCTTGGTTCCTGGCTCATAATTCTTAGGGAAGTCTGCGTTCTGCTGATCACGATCACTTTATTTTCCTACCAGTATCACTGTATTTACTTTGTTAAATAAAAATACAAATAACCTGAAGAGGTATTATTTGAAAGCTGTGTAACTCCATGGTATGGCTAGTGTGATAATTGTCTTCTGATAATGCATATGTAGTGAATTATGGCCGAGGTTAGTTTCCAGTACTGGTTATAAGTAAGTTAAATTTCTGAAATGTTTTGGGCACTGTTCAGTACCCTTTGGAGTAGCCTGCAGTTTCTTTACTGCTTTCAAGTGCTGATGTGGAGGAATCATTAGTGTTGGGCAGGGAAACAGGAGCTGTCAGACTGAGAGGGCCAGGGATGTTCATTGTGGAGATTAAATGTTCTGAGTAAGTGAGTTTGTAGACATTTTCTTGTAAGAAAATGTTCCATGCTTTACTCTGTTTTGGACATTTTCTTTTGAAAAATTTTGAGATAGAAACCTTAATATCATTTCATATATTTAGAGCATATAGTTAATTTGAGTAGAGTCAAATTAATCTTACTTTAGAATTTGATTACTAAGTATTAGCATGGATAATAATGCTTCTTTTGCTTAAATGTAAAAATTAGGCCGTTTTACTAGGTGTACTTTGTCTTAATCATATTCCTATTTTTTTATACAGCTGTGCAACCATATTGCTTCTGGGAAAAAATGTCAATATGTTGGAAACTGTTCCTTTGCTCATAGTCCTGAGGAAAGAGAAGTTTGGACTTACATGAAGGAGAATGGGAGTAAGTTAATCTTTTAGCTGTGTCCTTGAGCTAGCTTGCCTGAAAGTTCTTTTCCTCTCTATAAATATGCCAGCTTCCTGTGAACACAGAAAGCAGTTTGCATTCTAAACGGTTGCCCCGTTTCATCAGTAGCTCTGTTGGCGATGATGCCTGGAAAATGTGGGCACAGCCTCAGTGGGGTAGAATGTGGCGTCTGATCTGTGTTTGGTTAGGTCAGATTTGGATATAAATATATAGGTCTGCATGCATCCTTACATGTAATAGATGTATTCCTAAAAAATGGCCTGGGGAAGTTCAGTACTCCCTTGACTGTTTAAATCAGATCATCTGCTCGTATTGGAAATAGTTTGCCCTCTGAATTAACCAGGTTAGAATTGGCAGTTTCTTCAGGGAGGCATTACTAATCAAACAGGCTCAGAATCAGAGGTCCAAGGAAAGAATGTTTATTTTGGTCAAATTCCAAGTTTATTGTGGGAGCCTTTGAGAGGAGCCGCAGACAGCCTTTCACTTTTGACCATAAAATGTTTTACTACAAGGATCATTATTCTTTAATCTTAAGTAAACTGATGAAAGGTATACTGACTGCAGTCTCTGGATTATAAGAACCAACCAGATTTGACTGTTGCCTGCCATGTTTCAACCACATAGATCGTCAGTGGTGTGTGGACGGGATTCCCTCTAGCTGTCTTGCTGGGAGTGAGGCTATGTAGTCCGGCCTGACTGAAGATGCCCTTGCGCACCAGGCTTTTGCAATGACTCCTGCCACCACTGGTCTTAAGGAAGAAGCATTTCTAGTTTATCTCTAATCTTTGCCTGATGATACATTGTTAGAAACCATTAGGCAGACAACAAAGCCAAGTTTTAACCAGGTCCTCATTACCAGAGTTTTTAGCACAGTGGTTCTCAACTGGGAACAAATTTTTTTTTTTTTTTTTTTTTTTTTTTTTGAGACAGAGTCTCGCTTTGTCACCCAGGCTGGAGTGCAGTGGCGTGATCTCGGGTCACTGCAAGCTCCGCCTCCCGGGTTCACACCATTCTCCTGCCTCAGCTTCCCGAGTAGCTGGGACTACAGGCGCCTGCCACCACACCCGGCTAATTTTTTGTATTTTTAGTAGAGCCGGGGTTTCACCGTGTTAGCCAGGATGGTCTCGATCTCCTGACCTTGTGATCCACCCGCCTCAGCCTCCCAAAGTGCTGGGATTACAGGCGTGAGCCACCGTGCCCGGCTGGGAACAAATTTTGCCACTCCCCTTCCCTGTGGACATTTGGCAATGTCTGGAGATATTTTCATTGTCATGACTGGCAGAAGTTGCTCAGGCATCTAGTGGGCAGAGGCCAGGGATGCTACTCACCATCCTGTAATGCACAGGGCATACCCCCAGCAAAGAATTCTCTAGCCAGAATGTCAACCACATGGAGGCTGAGAAACCTCAGCTTTAGCACTTGGCAATAATGCAGAATACACCTGTTCTTACCATAGGAAGCAACTGGCAGCCACTGCCCAGGACTTGGTCATGGTTGTCTTGTCAGTTGCAGCCCAGCATATCCGCCCTCTGGGACTGTGGCTTGACTGATGGACTCCCATCAGGGTCAGAATCTTGGTCCAGTAGTAGTATGTTTCTCATCTTTCTCAGTAAGCAGTGAGGAGTGTATCAGCTCCAAGTCCCCCAAGCCACGTAAGTAGCCTTGTGTGGTTCTAGCTCTGACACTGAGTGTGGAACGTAGGGCGACAGAGGCAGTGGTGAGGCTTTTGTGACAATACTGTTTATAATGGTTTCTGAGTTTTAAACATCCCCAAAGTGTCGTGCAAATGCAGGGAGGGGTTAATTAATCCTGAGAACTAATATTTGCCATCTAACAGTCCTGAAAGTAGTTCTTATGCGTGAGAGTTTACCTGCTGCTTGAACTGGGTGATCTCTCCATGTCTAATATAATAGTCTCCTTCAGCCCCCTTGAGTTTCTTTTGAACTGTATGCTGACTGCTACAAAATATGCACATAGTTGCATGTATTTAAATGGAGTTTAGTTGCTGCTGCTGAAAGTAATTCATTTTTCTTTAGTACAAGATATGGAGCAATTTTACGAACTATGGCTCAAGAGTCAAAAAAATGAAAAAAGTGAAGACATAGCCAGTCAGTCAAACAAGGAAAATGGAAAACAAATTCACATGCCAACAGATTATGCTGAAGTTACAGTGAGTACCGTGCGTCATTTACCCTCTCTTTGCCGAGCCATTGATGGAGCCTTTCTTTTCCCTTTTCTTTTTTTTGAGATGGAGTCTCGTTGTGTCACCAGGCTGGAGTGCAGTGGTGTGATTTCAGCTCACTGCAACCTCCGCCTCCCTGGTTCAAGCAATTCTCTTGCCTCAGCCTCCCAAGTAGCTGGGATTATAGGCTCGCGCCACCACGCCCAGCTAATTTTTGTATTTTTAGTAGAGATGGAGTTTCACCATGTTGGCCAGGATGGTCTCGAACTCCTGACCTCGTGATTTGCCTGCCTCGGCCTCCCAAAGTGCTGGGATTACAAGCGTGAGCCACCATGCCCGGCCTTTCTTTTCTTTCCCATCTTCTCCAAAACCCGGCTCCGTCACTCACTGCCTGCCCTTCTCTGTTCTGTGTCTTCATCTTCTCTCTCTAGTGGTTTCCTGCCACTAGCTTAAGTCTCCTCATGTGAAAAAATCCTTTCTTCAATCCTTCTGACTTTGGAGCCAGAGAATCATAAGTCCAAGTCCTGGTTTCTCTCCTTACTTGCCTGGCACCCTGGGTAGATTATTTATGTCTCCGAGTGGGGTTGTCCTGATGGATTAGTGAAGTATGAGGAGTCTGTGACTCTTCCCTAGTGGGAGGCCCCAGCAGGTGGCTCAGGAATGTGGGCTGTCTACCCCGCTGGACCTTACATTCCCCGCTTACGCCTGCAGTCTGGCCTCTCCCTCTATGGTTCTTGGGGACATTAAGTTACCAGTGGTCTGTTAACTGTTTTGGTTTTCTTTTAAAAATTTCAAAAAAGTGAAGAGGATACTATAACAAATATCTTGAGCCCACCATCGCAAGTTAACTGATGTTAACAATTTGTTGTAGTTCCTATTATAAAATAAATAAATGCCACAGATAAAGTTAGAACCCCATATGTTCCCCTCCCCAGGGGAACAGATCCAGTGTGTATTTTTCCAGGCCATGTTTACCTAAGGATGACACATTTATTCTATTTTTTTTTTTTTTTTTGAGATGGAGTCTTACTCTGTTGCCCAGGCTGGAGTGCAATGCGGTAGTCTTGGCTCACTGCAACCTCCGCCTCTCGGGTTCAAGCGATTCTCCTGCCTCAGCCTTCTAAATAGCAAGGGATTATAGGCGCCTGCCACCACGCCCGGCTAATTTTTTGTGTTTTTGGTAGAGACGGGGTTTCACCATGTTGGCCAGGCTGGTCTCAAACTCCTGAGCTTGTGATCCACCCGCCTCAGCCTTCCAAAACCGTGGGATTACAGGCATGAGCCACTGTGCCCGGCCAACACATGTATTCTTTTTTTTTTTTTTTTTTTTTGTGAGACGGAGTCTCGCTCTGTCGCCCAGGCACGAGTGCAATGATGTGATCTTGGCTCACTGCAACCTCTGCCTCTCAGGTTCAAGCAATTCTCCTGCCTCAGCCTCCCGTGTAGCTGGGACTACAGGTGCCGGCCACCACGCACGGCTAATTTTTGTATTTTTAGTAGAGACGGAGTTTCACCATGTTGGTCAGGCTGGTCTCAAACTCCTGACCTTGCGTGATCTGCCCGCCTCAGCCTCCCAAAGTGCTGGGATTACAGGCGTGAGCCACCGTGCCCAGCTACATTTATTCTTAAATAATCTATAGTTCCACTTGATGTGGTTTTAAAAGTTTACATAAGCATATGTGTTACTGCCCTTATTTCTTGTTTTTTGGCACCTCCGTCTCTCTGTTGATTCAGTCAGATCCAGTTTCATTGCCCATTGCAGGCCTTGTGTGTGGCCTGGCCTTGCCCAGCGTCTCTCTGCTTGTGACATGCCCTGTGAATGTTTACCTTTGTCACATTGATTCCCTTGCTACCTTTACTTAAGTGCTCCTTGGTGTTTATTTTATTATATATATATATATATTTTTTTTTCTTCCTTTTTTTTTTTTTTTTTGAGACAGGGTCTCACTCTGTCATCCAGGCCGGAGTACAGAGGCACAGTTATGGCTCACTGCAGCCACTACCTCCTGGGCTCAGGTGATCCTCCGACCTCAGCCTCCTCAGTAGCTAGGACTGCAGGTGCTCTCCACCATGCCTGGCTAATTTTTGTATTTTTTGTAGAGATGGGGATTTTGCCATGTTGCCCACGCTAGTCTGAAACTCCTGTGCTCAAGCACTCCTCCTGCCTCGGCCTCCCAAAGTGCTGTGATTATAGGCATGAGCCACTGCGCCCAACTGCTCCTTGGTGTTTCTAGAGCAGGTCACCTCGACTTGTTGGATCATAAGGCTTACCTGGGGCCGGGCATGGTGGTTCATGCCTGTAATCCCAGCAATTTGGGAGGCCGAGGCAGGTGGATCACCTAAGGTTAGGAGTTCAAGACCAGCTTGGCCAACTTGGTGAAACCCCTTCTCCACTAAAAATGCAAACAATTAGCTGGGCATGGTGGCAGGTGCCTGTAATCCCAGCTACTTAGGAGGCTGAGGCAGGAGAATTGCTTAAACCTGGGAGATGGAGGTTGCAGTGAGCCAAGATCGCATCACTCCACTCCAGCCTAAGCAACAGAGTGAGACTCTGTCTCAAAAATAAACAAATAAATAAATAAGGCCTACCTGGGGTGTTTCATAATAAGGAGTCTTAGAGCTGGGCGTGGTGGCTTGCACCTGTAATCCTAGCCACTCAGGAGGCTGAAGTGGGAGGACCACTTGAGCCCAGGAGTTCAAGGCTGCAGTGAGCTATGATCGCACCACCATACTCTAGCCTGGATGACAGCGAGACCATGTCTCTAAAAAAATAAAGTAATAAAAAGTCTTCATTTATACCCCACAATGAATGAGTTCAAATCTGTTTTTACCCAGTGTTGCAGATAATTATTGCCCAGGACATTTGGGAAATACTATCCAACACTTATAGTTTGCATCTGTTGTAGCACTTAAATCCCCTCATAACACTTCCTTTTGTATAGGTCTGTTCCCCACAGGGGCAGTGTCTTTAAATTCCTGATGCCACAGCAGTGGCTCAGTTCACGTACACTGAAGGGAGCTGCTGCTCGTCCTTTTGGAGTTGGCATGTCCTGGTCTTTCTCATCCTTTCTGCTTTTCCTCATGGTGTTAGTTCTTCCCTGAATCCTTGTTTGTACCTGCCTCTTGTTCTCCCAGCAAACATCCTTGTTTGCATACCAGCTCCTATTGCCTCTTTACCGGAGATTTCCTGGACAGCTGGCAGCATTTGTCACCCTTCTTCTCTGTGTCCTGAGTGCTGGCTTGCTTCCCCATGCTGTGGTCCTTTCCTTGTCCCTATTTCTAACCTGAGTTTTATGTCTTGCCTGGCTCTCCCACCAGCCTGGGCTCCCTGGAATTGAGTCTGGATCTCACATCAGGTGACTAATGGGACATGTGTCTTTGCTGCACATTAGGTGGACTTTCACTGCTGGATGTGTGGGAAAAACTGCAACAGTGAGAAGCAGTGGCAGGGCCACATCTCCTCCGAGAAGCACAAAGAGAAGGTTTTCCACACCGAGGACGACCAGTACTGCTGGCAGCACCGCTTCCCAACAGGCTATTTCAGTATTTGTGATAGGTATGTAGGTTTCTACAATTTTTCCATGTCAGAATTGCTGACCTCAAATTTTCATGGACATGTCAGCTGACACGGAATACCTGGGTGTTAAAGTTCTAATGTTGCTGTGCTCTGACAGACCCTGAAGGATTCTTGGGTTTTGGCTCAAAGTGTTTCGCTGCTCATCAAACCATTCCTTTCACTCTTCTTAGGTTATATGAAAAGATTTAATAGTCTTCCAATACTAATTTGAAATGTCTTAGGATAATTGAATAGAGAAGCATGTTCATTCCAATTTGCCCAAATGACCTTTGTGTTCACAGCTGTGATTCTCAAACCCTTTGCCACAACCTTTGCTCACAGTAAATGTTCATCAGATTTGAAATGGCTTTTACATTATATTTAAAATCTAGAACTTAGATCAAAGGAAGATGTTAATATGTATCACTCCTTTGTTTAAGTTTTCTTAGAAAATTTTTCAACGCAGCCGGGCATGGTGGCTACGCCTGTAATCCCAGCACTTTGGGAGGCTGAGGCGGTTGGGTCACTTGAGGCCAGGAGTTCGAGACCAGCCTGGACAACATGGTGAAACCCTGTCTCTACTAAAACTACAAAAATTAGCCGGGCGTGGTGGCAGGTGCCTGTAATCCCAGCTACTCAGGAGGCTGAGGCAGGACAATCACTTGAACCCAGGAGGTGGAGGTTGTAGTGAGCCGAGGTTGCGTTACTGCACTTCAGCCTGGGCAACAAACAGTGAGACTCTGTCTCAAAAAAAAAAAAAAAAAAGGTTTTTCAGTGAAAAACTAAGTAATTCTGAATTGCTTATTTTATTAAATCACTGTTAATATTTAATTCCCTAATTTAGATCCATGTGATCCTTAAAACTATTGAAGACATTTTTTTCCTTGATGCCGCCTCTGATTTCTTTCTACTACATTCAGGAACAACTATAGTCTTTTTTCTCCTATCAGTCAGTACTTTTCATAGAGTATATTTAAATAAAGTACTGATTTTTCTATTGTAGATGTCATGGCTATAAAATATTTACCATTCTAGGCTTGAGATTCCTAACTAAAAGTTGTATGCAAATCATAAAGCTAGTGAAATATACAGTTTCAAGAATCATGACACGATTTTTAGAAACAACTTATATGGACACTGAGCAGCTGACTTCTCCTTACAGGTATATGAATGGCACCTGCCCAGAAGGAAACAGCTGTAAATTTGCACATGGAAATGCCGAACTTCATGAATGGGAAGAAAGAAGAGATGCCCTAAAGATGAAGCTCAACAAAGCACGAAAAGATCACTTAATTGGCCCAAATGATAATGACTTTGGAAAATATAGTTTTTTGTTTAAAGATTTAAACTAATATGCTGGCTTTTATGTATGATACCTAATCAGAGCATTGACCAGAAAAATTGAAAGTGTTCTGAGGCACATAGCAGAGGAGCTGCAGATTTCCTGCTTGTATTGGCGTATATCGTTCCTCCTGAGCAGCAACCCACAGTAGGTAGGAAAATGGGCTGTTTCACAGGCCTGGCCACGCTCTCACGGAACCACTGGCATCAGATGGTGAAGTGACTGCTACCCGGTTGCCATCTGTTGAACAGACTTTTGGATGAAGTGTGTTGGGGAAGAGGATAAGGTTATATCTAGGACAACTCTTTGAGTTGGTCCTTCATATAAGAATCGTGACGGTAAGAGAATAAACACTTGTACTGGGATCAGAATACATGATGGATGAAATTCTTTACATGTTTTAGCAGAATGAATTTGTTTAATATAATAAAGTTTGCTACTTATCTGTATGTAGGTTGCTAAAAAGGATTTTCTTAACTCAGATTTTAAGCCAAATAACCATTTAACACTAGTATTTGTTAAATGGGGTATTTTTCTGTATTTGTATGTTTCACTATAATAAGGGAATTAAGGATAATGTGCATTGAGAATATTTTGAAAAATAATTGACTCAAATTTTATTTCTTGGTCTTTTGCTGTTTAAATGATGATTTTGAAAGATTAAACCTGTACTGTTGGTATTGTGTTAGTGTATGGACCAATACTGCCTGTAATAAAGATTTTATATATAGATGCCTTTCATTTTTTCCTGTGGTCCTTTCCCACAAAGAATTGTTGAAACTGGGTACAAAAATCAAGATGGTTTTTTCAAAAACATTTTCATTTAGGCAGTGACTGACAGAATGCAAATTGGGACATGAAAGCAGCTTTTGACTTCGTCCTCCTCTCCTCCGAATTTGGGCTCCGGGACTCTTACTGATCGGCTCTTCTAGGTAGCTCTTCCTGGGGCTCCTGTGTTTCATTCAAATGAGCTACATGAGCAGGGAGAAAAAATGGTCAGCTGGTAAGACTTGGGCTGGAATACCACCAAGACGGCTGTTTGGCATAACACCTTTGATAGGGCTCAGAGACTTTAAAGTCAGGATCTACTGGGCTGTGATGTAGCAAGCCTTTAAACCCTTGAGCAAAGTCACTTCCTCATGGGAACGTTGAATGTGTGGGATGTGGGGAAACAGAAAAGGGTCTTTTTTCTGGGTGAGCCGATCAATGGAGAGAGGAGGGCATGGCTGCAAGGAGTGAGAGAAATGGAGTGACATGGGATACCATGTGTGACTCTCTAAAAATACTAGGAGAGTCTGGTTCCCTCCATGTGTCGGGGGCAGTGGAGGCCAGTCACTGAACAAGGGGCATCGGGAGTGCATCTTTTTATTTATTTATTTATTTATTTATTTAATTTTTTAGGTGGAGTCTCGCTCTGTCGCCCAGGCTGGAGTGCAATGGCACGATCTCAGCTCACTGCAAGCTCCGCCTCCCGGGTTCATGCCATTCTCCTGCCTCAGCCTCCTGAGTAGCTGGAACTATAGGCGACTACCACCACGCCCGGCTAATTTTTTTTTTCCTTTTTGTATTTTTAGTAGAGATGGTTTCACCGCGTTAGCCAGGATGGTCTCCATCTCCTGACCTCGTGATCTGCCCGCCTCGGCCTCCCAAAGTGCTGGGATTACAGGCGTGAGCCACCGCGCCCGACCCAGGAGTGTATCTTTCTTTTTTTTTTTTTTTTTTTGAGATGGAGTCTCGCTCTGTCGCCCAGGCTGGAGTGCAGTGGCACGATCTCGGCTCACTGCAAGCTCCGCCTCCCGGGCTCACGCCATTCTCCTGCCTCCCGAGTAGCTGGGACTACGTTGAGCCACCGCGCCCGGCCTCAGGGGTGCATCTTAACTGCAAAAATAATCGTGTGTTAGGGTGATGTTTGCTGTAGAATGAAATGGTAATGTTATTCTGCTGAGTTTCCCTAGTCTGATGATGGTTGTTACATTTTTTCCTTCCATGTAATTTCTCCCAAACTCCTTATATCCTCTTCTTCCAGGGAGAATAGATAATAAAAAGTTGTCTCTGGGCCAGGCACAATGGCTCACACCTGTAATCCCAGCATTTTGGGAGGCCGAGACGGGAGGCTCACTTTAGGTCAGGAGTTCAAGACTAGCCTGGTCAACATGGTGAAACCCCATGTCTATTAAAAATACAAAAATTCGCCGGGTGTGGTGGCGGGTGCCTGTAATCCCAGTTACTTGGGAGGCTGAGGCAAGGAGAATCGCTTGAACCCGGGAGGTGGAGGTTACTGAGATCAGACAGTGTCTCACTCTGTAGCCCAGGCTGGAGTGCAATGTCATGATCTTGGCTCACTGCAACCTTTGCCTACCGGGCTCAAGCGATCCTCCCACCTCAGTCTCCCGAGTAGCCGGGATTACAGGCACACACCACCATGCCTGGCTAATTTTTGTATTTGTGGTAGATATGGGGGCTTCACCAGGTAGGTCTTGAATTCCTGGTCTCAAGTGATTACCCCACCTCAGCCTCCCAAAGTGCTAGGATTACAGGTGTGAGCTACTGCACCCAGCCTGTTTAATGATTAAAAAGCCAGTTGCTTTAACCTTTGGAATCTAGGCTAAAAACAACCTTTGACGATCATATGAGTGTTGAGATTTTTTTTCCAAACTCTCCCTGCATTTTCTGTGCTTCAGCTTTCCACCTTCTCAGCAATTCTCTAAGCTCTGAACCATCTTTTTGGTAAATTCCATTTCTGCTAACTCAGCCAGTTTCATGCTCTGGTTTGCAGCTAAGAACCCTGCCTGCCACACAGCCTTGGTCTCAGCATTAGGAAGTCAATGTTAATTACTCTGGTGAGATCACACCCCCATCCTGCAAGTGCTGGGTTTACTGCAGCAGCTTTGGAGAAGAGCATGGTGCGCAGGGAGGGGATAAAAGGAAAGAGAAAAAAAAGTGAACAAGCAAACTCCAATCCCATTTTATTCGTAGAGGAAAGTAATAACTAGTGTGTCAGCTCAGGCATGTTATCTGATTTCTTTTTTAATGTTTAAAAAATGACTGAGATACAATTCACTTGACAAACTTCACCATTTGTAAGCATACAATTCGGTGGTGTTTAGCATAGCATATTCACAATGTTGTGCTATCGTCACCACAATCAATTCTAGAATATTTTCATTCCCTAAATAAAGCCCACACGCCTTAGCCATCACTCCCAGAATCTACACACTTGTCCTGCCTCTCAAACTGTGGACATCCATTAACCTGCCTTCTGTCTCCAGGGATTCTCCTGTCCTAGACATTTCGTATAAATGGAATCATAATATGTGGCCTTTTACGACTGGCTTCTTTCCTTAGCATAATTCTCCAGTGCTCACCTGTGTCGTGGCATGTATCAGTACTTCATTACTTTTTTTTTTTGACATGGAGTTTCGCTCGTCTCCCAGGCTGAAGTGCAGTGGCGCAATCTTGGCTCACTGCAACCTCTGTATCCTGGGTTCAAGCAATTCTCCTGCCTCAGCCTCCCGAGTAGCTGGGATTACAGGCATACACCACCATGCCCAGCTAATTTTTTTGTATTTTTGGTAGAGACGGGGGTTTCACCATGTTAGTCAGGCTGGTCTTGAACTCCTGACCTCAGGTGATCCACCTGCCTTGGCCTCCCAAAGTGCTGGGATTACAGGCATGAGCCACCGTGTCCGGTGGTGCTTCATTACTTTTTATAGCCACATAATACTCTACTGTTTGGATGGATCACATTTTTAAAATATCCATTCATCGGTTGATGGACATTTGGGTTGTTTCTGCTTTTTGGCTATTGTGAATATCAACAGTGCTCTGCAAGAGTTGTGACCTCAGTTTTGTTTGGCTGTAGTGAGCTGTCGCATCTGCCCTGAAGGTGTGGAAGCTGCAGGTGAATCTTTCCTACCCTCAGGGACCCCTTCTCTGCACAGTGCTCCCACCCTGTGACTGAGGTGCCCTGGGCAGGGGGCTGCTGCCCAGAGGTGCCCACCCCTCTCCATCACTCACCCTTCCTGGAGCTTCCTATCCTGTGAGGACTGTTTGCATAGAGCCCCCAACCTTTGTTTTGATTTAGTTCCAGGTACCTGCACCAATTGGGAAACTGAAGGAGAGCAGTTAGGGCAGATTTGAAATATTCTTTTTCTTTTTGGTTTTTTTAGAGACAGGGTCTTGCTCTGTCCCCCAGGCTGGAGTACAGTGGCACAACCTTAGCTCACTGTATCACTGTAGCCTCAACCTTCTGGGCTCAAGTGATCCTCCTGCCTAAGCCCTCCAAGTAGCTAGGACTACAGGCATGCACTACCATGCCCAGCTAATGTTTTTTGTATTTTATTTTTTGTAGAGTTGACATCTCACTATGTTGCCCAGGCTGATCTCCAACTCCTGGACTTAAGCAATCCTCTCACCTTAGCCTCCCAAAGTGCTGGGATTACAGGTGAGAATTACCGCGCCTGATGCCTCAAGAACATTCTTTAGCTGGCCTGGGGAGATGAGAATATACACTGCTTTATCTGATGCAAGGGATGAATGCCCATTTCTAGAAAGCCCATTCTGTGGTGATGATACAGTCTCCAAGAACAGAAACACCACTGTCCAGAGTACCCAGGCCAAGGGCCTGCCCTTTTCTTCTGCATAATCTGCTATCTTGTGTTGTTAGGCATGTCCTGTTTTGTAAGTAAAAGCTTGCAAGCTTTCAAAATTAATAAGCACTGCCAACATGGTGAAACCCCATCTCTACTAAAAACACAAAAATTAGGCTGGATGTGGTGGCTCACGCCTGTAATCCCAGGACTTTGGGAGGCTGAGGTGGGCAGATCACCTGAGGTTGGGAGTTTGAGACCAGCCTGACCAACATGGAGAAACCCCGTCTCTACTAAAAATACAAAACTAGCCAGGTGTGGTGGCATGTGCCTGTAATCCCAGCTACTCGGGGAGACTGAGGCAGGAGAATCGCTTGAACCCAGGAGGCGGAGGTTGCGGTGAGCCGAGGTCGTGCCATTGCACTCCAGCCTGGGCAACAAGAGTGAAACTCCGTCTCAAGAAAAAAAAAATCCAAAAATTAGCTGGGCATGGTGGTGTACATCTATAGTCCCAGCTACTTGGGAGACTGAGGCAGAAGAATCTTTTGAACCTGGGAGGCAGAGGTTGCAGTGAGCTGAGGTTGCACCACTGCACTCCAGCCTGGGCAACAGAGCAAGACTCCGTCTCGGAAAAAAAAAAAAAAAATCAAAATTAATAAGCATTAGTTCTCTCTGGCTGCAAGGAAGGGTTAATATTGAGGAAATACATGGCCATGCATCACAGCGACACGTTCTGAGAAATAACATTGTTAGGTGATACCAGTGTTGTGTGAACATCCATAGCGTACACTCACACAAACCTAGACAGTATAGCCTACTACCACGCCTAGGCTATTGCTATATAGTATATGGTATAGCCTATTGCTCCTAGGCTACAAACCAGTACAGCATGTTACTATACTAAATATCTTAGGCAACTGTAACACAGTGGTATTTGTGTATCTAAATTTACCCAAACATAGAAAAAGTATAGTGGGCCGGGACTGGTGGCTTACGCCTTTAATCCCAACACTTTGGGAGGCCAAGGCAGGCAGATCACTTGAGGTCAGGAGTTCGAGACCAGCCTGGCCACCATGGGAAAACCCCATCACTACAAAAAATACAAAAATTAGCCAGACATGGTGGCACACGCCTGTAATCCCAACTACTTGGGAGGCAGAGGCATGAGAATTGTTTGAACCCAGGAGGTGGAGGTTGTAGTGAGCCAAGATGGTGCCACTGCACTCCAGCCTGGGTGACAGGGCAAGACTCTGTCAAAGAAAAGAAACAGTACAATAAAAACAGTATCATAATTTTCTGGGACCACTGTCACAGCACATGACACATATATATTCCTCTGCCCCATTCCCTCCTCAAACCCCGAGCAACTTGATCTTGGTATAAAAAGTGGCCAAGAGGCTGGGCGTGGTGGCTCATGCCTGTAGTCCTAGCACTTTGGGAGGCCGAGGCGGGTGGATCACCTTAGGTCAGGAGTTTGAGACCAGCCTGGCCAACATGGTGAAACCCTATCTCTACTAAAAATATAAAAATTAGCCAGGCGTGGTGGTGGGCACCTGTAATCCCAGCTACTTGGGAGGCTGAGGCAGGAGAATTGCTTGAATCCAAGAGACGGAGGTTGCAGTGAGCCGACCTGGTGCCACTGCACTCCAGCCTGGGCGATAGAGTGAGACTCCATCTCAAAGAAAAAAAAAAAAAAAAGTGGCTATGGAAAACTCAGATACAAGTTGGTGTGGACGAGTTAGGGCTGACCTAACCTATGAAAAGTAGTACAGCCTGACCCGAAAGGCCTAGTGTATTTTGAAACAAATTTATAATTGTTTCAGAAGAACGTTCTGGGCCAGCTGCAGTGGCTCAGACTTGTGATCCCAGGACTCTCGGAGTCCAGAGCAGGAGGATCACTTGAGGCCAGGAGTTCAAGACCAGCCTGGGCAGCACAGTGAGATCCCATCTCTACAAAAAATAAAAAAGAGAACATTCTGCTGCCAGAGCAGGGCCCCAGTTGCTCAGAAAGTGAAGAGGAAAGGAGGCATTCTTTTGTTAATCCAGGGTGGTTTTCTGGTCAGTAAGACACTGCCTTGCATTTGCTCACAAAGGACTATGGGTTTTGTGAGATTAAACCACAGACAACGAAAGTACTTTGGACCTTATGAAGCCCTGTGCAAATGTCAGATGTCTTATGGAAGTGTAGGGTAAATTCTGTTGCAGCAAGCTACAGTGAATGAGGACACTGGTGACTTTTGACCATATTTATTTTCTTTAGCAATAAATTGTGTAACTCTAATCTACACAAAGGAATCAACAGAAGTATAAGTGGCAAATTAGAAGGTTAAAAAAACTCTGTAACTATATATTTTTTCTCAGCTTTTTAAAACAAGATTAACACTGTATGGTTGGGTTTGTAACATAGATAATAAGGGTAATAATAACACAAAACAGAGATGAGGGACAAGTTAAAAATAAAGGAATTAATGTTATACGAGAAAATAGCTACTTTCTACAAAATAAGGCAGTATAGAAGAAACAAAAAGATGTGACAGGTGGGCGCAGTGACTCATGCTTTTACATAATCCTAACGCTTTGGGAGGTCGAAGGGGGAAGATCGCTTGAGCCCAGGAGTTCAAGACCAGCCTAGGCAACATGGAGAGACCTTGTCTCCACAAAAAAAAAAAATTAGCTGGGCGTAGTCGCACACATCTGTGTTGCCTACTACTTGGGAGGCTGACGGGGGTGGATCGCTTGAGCTGGGGTTGTCAAGGCTTCAGTGTGCTATGATTGCGCCATTGCACTCCAGCCTGGGTGACACAAGACCCTGTATCAAAAAACAACCAAAAAAAAAAAAAAAGTGACATATAGAAAAGAAATAGCAAAATGGTCGGTGTACATGAACTCACAACATGTTGGGCCTGGGTGGTTGACACATTAAATGTCTGGCCAATTGAGCAAGACAGCCATTGATTGCCCCATTCTACATCCACAGAAGCAGAACCAGACAGGAAGTGATGAGATTTGCACGTGGGTCACATAGCTGACCTGTGGCAGAGGTGGCGTCTCAGCTACTGGCCGTTAGCTGTGCCTTCTGTTTGTGGCATAACACCATATTGCCTTAATGCCCTCGAAGTTTTATTTGTCTAGTTTGTTGTTATTGACATTGGAGGACAAGTCCTTTTTTTTTTTTTGAGACAAGAGTCTCTCTCTCTCTCTCCCCCAGACGGGAGTGCAGTGGCGCCATCTCCACTCACTGCAACCTCCGCCTCCAGGGTTCAAGCAATTCTCTGCCTCAGCCTCCCAAGCAGCTAGGATTACAGGCGCCCGCCACCACGCCCGGCTAATATATTTGTATTTTTAGTAGAGACGAGGTTTCACCATGTTGGCCAGGCTGGTCTTGAACGCCTGGTCTCATGTAATCTGCCCGCCTTGGCCTCCCAACGTGCTGGGATTACAGGCTTGAGCCACCGCGCCCGGCCGTGTTTTTTTTTTCTTCAGTTAAGTTGGGATAAAAAACGGCACCTACGTGCTTCGGGGCCTGTAGTGAGAATGGTGGACACGATTATTGTCGTTACGGCTCCTAAAACCCAGCGCGGCGAGAGCAGACTACAGCGGTGTCAAGGTTCCAAGTATTCCCCGCGGGCCTTATCCCAAGGGAGCAGCTTCTCCACGCCCCGCGACGGCGCCTGCGCAGACTCCGTGAGCGGGGTCGTGACCGGTGGGGCCAAGACTGGGCTGCGGGCGGGGAAGGCTTCCGTGCATTTACGTAGGGTGCAGGGCGTGGCCCGTTGGGGGCGGGGATTTGGGCGGTGTCGGTGCCCGCCCGGACTCCGTGAGCGGTGGGCGGAGCTGCGTGCTCTGGGGTGTGAGGTGGGGCGGACCCCGCGGCGGCGGCGCGGCTGACGTGGAGCGTCCGGGTTAGCGGGTGCGGCGAGCTGCGGGATTGGGGAGCAACGGGCCGGGCCGGGCCTTCGGGCCCGAGGCGGCGGCGGCGGTATAAAGCCGGCGACTGGGAGCATGTAATGTCGGAATGCGGAGGCCGCGGCGGCGGCAGCAGCAGCAGCGAGGACGCCGAGGACGAGGGAGGGGGCGGCGGCGGCCCCGCGGGCTCAGACTGCCTCAGCTCGAGCCCGACCCTGGCCACAGCGTCCTCGGCGGGCCGGCTCCGTCGCGGGCTGCGTGGCGCCTTCCTCATGGCGCGCCAGCGGCCGGAGCTGCTCTGCGGGGCCGTGGCGCTCGGCTGCGCGCTGCTCCTCGCCCTCAAGTTCACCTGCAGGTGAGGCGGCCCGGACCCTGGGGCCCCGCTAGGGCGCTCCCCTTGCTCTGCCGCCTGGAGCCTGCAGGGCCGGGTCGCAGCGGCCTCAGCCGGGGAAGTCGGGCCTGACCTTGCCCAGGACGGCTGACCCCTCCCGGAACCTGCGGCCACGGCTTCCCACCTTCTCCTCGCCCCGGCCCGCCCGCGGACATTATGGCGAGGCTTCCGGGTGGAGCCCTGCGCCCTATCGTCCCGCTTTAGTGCCGAGGGAGGCGGGTCGGGGGTGCTCCTCACCTGTTGGAGTCACTAGGGGTGGACCTGTCACTTCGGCCCGGGCTGTAGGACCCTCATTTCTCACCGATTTCATTCCCCTTAAGCTTCAGGTGTAGTGATCCACAACCTTGCGAGAGTTCCAGACCCCTTTTAGAATTCCCGCACTCATTGATCTAACGATTATTTTTATTTTGAGACGGAGTCACGCATTGTGTCCCAGGCAGGAGTGCAGTGGCGCGATCTCGGCTCACTGAAACCTCCGCCTCCCGGGTTCAAGGGGTTCTTCTGCCTCAGCTCCTGAGTAGCTCGGATTACAGGCGCGCGCCACCACGCCTGGCTAATTTTTGTATTTTTAGTAGAGACAGAGTTTCACCACGTTGGCCAGGCTGGTCTCGAACTCCTGACCTCACGTGATCCACCCGTCTCGGCCTCCCAAAGTGCTGGGATTACAGGCGAGAGCCCCGCACCCGGCCTGATCTAACGATTATTTATCTGCACCTACTATGTGCCGGACGCTCGTCCGGGTGAACTTTTTGCTCCCTTGAGTGGATGGGACAGTGAACAAGTAAATATAATTTTTTAAAGCTTCAGTGCTATGCAGGGCATAGAAACGATGGCGGTGGGGAAAGACTTCCTAAGGAAGTGACATTTGAAGCTTATACAAAAAGGAGAAGGGACCAGCGCTGGGAAGATCCCGGGGGAGCGTGTCCACGGTAGAGCGAACAGCAAATGCAGAGTTTCTGAGGCTGGGCAAGCTTGGTGTTTCCCTGGAATTGATAAAAAGGCCTGACAGTAGGCTGGGGTGTAGGGGGTAGGAACATGAAAGTTCATGTGTGTCTTTTCAGGAATGTACACACATACAAAATTTGCTGTATATTTCAGGTGTACTTCTGGTCTCCCAAATCCACAGTGGGTCTTTTGGGATTCCAGTTTATAAGATCTGTATTGCTACTATGATATCTGTGATTTCACCTCGGAACATTTTTGAGTTTATTTAGCACGATATGTGGCCAGTTGTCAAAGAGGTGTCAAAAGATCGGGGATTTTAGTGGAAAGATAAATTATAATAACTCTCAGTGAGCATTTTCCATAGGCCAGGTACTGTCAGCAGGGTTTCTCCGTCTTGGCACTGTTGATATTTTGGGTCAGATAATTCTGTGTTGTGGGGGCTGCCCTGACTACTGTAGGATGTCTAGCAGCATCCCCGGCCTCTACCCACTAGATACCAGTAGCACACCCCACAAGATGTAACAACTACAATGGCTTCAGACATTGTTAGATGTCCCCTGGGAGCAAAATTGCCTGCTTGGGAACCACTGTTTCCATGAAGCATTTATTCATTTAGTACATAATTGAGAGCCTAGTATGGGTGTCATTTAAATCTTACAATCCCCATTAAAGTTTGAATATACTGTTATCTTTCCCAGTGCACAGATGAAGGAGTCCAGCCTTCGTGATGTTTCAGAACCTGCTCCAAATCACACCTACGTGATAAGGGGCTGAGCTGGAATTTGAATCCTTTATTGTCAGGACCTCCTAGATTCTTAACCTTGTACTTTATTCTTGTCTCCCACAAGGACAGTATACAAAGTATTTTACAAGGTAGAGTGTTGCGAGGTGACATTTAGGTTCAAATTAGGAAGAGAGGTTTCCCCCTCCAGGGGTGAAGTTTATTTACATCGGTTTGTTAAAGTCTAGAAATAATGGTTAATGTTTGTTCTGAGACAGCATGGCTTAATTGATACAGAAGTCCTTTGAGATTGAAAAGGAAGGAAGAGAGTAAATCCAGTTACTAGAGTAGGCAGAATGAGATCCTTTCTTGCTTCAGGCAAGGAGAATGAACCAGTAAATGGCTGCTGCTTCATCTTCTTTCTGTGTCACTGGCAAATTTGACAGTCTTTTAATAGACTCGGATTAATTTTTTTAGGGTCATCTTTGATTGAATGGTGTCATGATACTGTTTATTGCTGTGCAACTGGCTAACATTTCTACCCCCGCTTTTCCTCTTTCAGTTTTAAGATCTTTGCTTTAATAAGGAGATAGGCTTAAGGGAGAATAGGATTTTTTTTTTTTTTTTTATCTTGGCTCACTGCAACCTCTGCCTCCTGGGATCAAGTGATTCTCCTGCCTCAGCCTCCTGAGTAGCTGGGATTACAGGTGCGTGCCACCATGCCCAGCTGATTTTTGTATTTTTCGTAGAGACGGGGTTTCACCATGTTGACCAGGCTGGTCTCGAACTCCTGACTTCAGGTGGTCCTCCTACTTCGGCCTCCCAAAGTGCTGGGATTACAGTGTGAGCCACCGCGCCTGGCCTAGGATTTTTTTTTTTAATTTAATTTTTATGAACAGCTCCAGGCTTGAAATAAATGTCTGCTCTTTTCAATGTCTGTGGCTTGGCTGAATTCAAACCAGCTAATATGGAAAAGGTTGATTTGAGGTTGAGCCACAGTGAATAATCGTGCGTTTCTGGGCATCTAATCTTTACTTACCTGTGTCTCTTCATCCTGCTCACCTTTCTTTTACCTTGATTTAGAGGGAAAAAAAATTGTCTGTGTGTAGATACATATGTATGTATACATGTATTTATTTTGCTTTATTCCATTTTGTAATTTCAAAGCTGCCTCGAATGGTCTTTGCAAGGAAGTGATGTAGGGTGTGAATTTCATAGGAAAATTGGGGTTTCAACAGGCCTTTTTTCTATGTTGCCCCGGCTGGAGTGCAGTGGCTATTCACAGGTGCAATTATGGCATGCTGCAGCCTCAAACTGCTGGGCTCAAGTAATTCTCCTGCCTTAGCCTCCTGAGTATAGTAGCTGGGACTATAGGCACATGCTACTGGCTCAGCAACAACAGGCCTTCTTATTTGCAACCAACTCGAGTTTTTTGTACCCGAGACATACCCCTCATAGCTGCAGGAAATCTTTGCTCTATGTATAGTTTCTCTAAAGCGTGAAGCAGATTGATGAGTTAAATAGAAACTCACCAGTGTTTCTGATGGAGTAGAGGCGAGCGTTTCTTCTCCCTGGCCAATATTTGATTTTTGATTGGCCTTGTACTTTATCTGGCTCATTTAGGAATGCTTCTGAATATGCAGAGCAAAATTACTGAGTTGCTCTTTATCCTTTCGTTGACTGTCAGACCTACATTTTTCCTCAGATTGCATTATTTGATGCTTACATTGCATTTTTTTTTTCTTTTGAGATGGAGTTTTGCTCTTTTTTCCCAGGCTGGAGTGCAATGGCGTGATCTTGGCTCACTGCAAACTCCGCCTCCCGTGTTCAAGCGATTCTCCTGCCTCAGCCTCCCAAGTGGCTGGGATTACAGGTGTGCACCACCATGCCCAGCTAATTTTGTATTTTTAGTAGAAATGGGGTTTCCCGGTGTTGGTCAGGCTGGTCTTAAACTCCTGACCTCATGTGATCCACCCGCCTCTGTCTCCCAAAGTGCTGGGATTACAGGCGTGAGCCACGACTCTTGGCCATGTGCAGTTTGAATGGTAGAAAAGTAATTTCTCCAAAGAGCAGAATTTTGGATCTCTTGAAAACGTGTCTTTTTTTTTTTTTTCCTGTAGTGCCCTCCCCACCTCTTAGGTGGCTATCTTCTTGTCATTCAGGTCTCAGAGCTTAAATTATAGCACCTCCCAAGCCACCACTCCATCAGAGGAGCTACCATGCCCTTCTGTACATCACCTTGTTAAATTTTTCACATAGTGAGCATTTAGTATATTTTTATTGTTTACACATTTGATGTTTTTCCTGTCTTCCTCCCCTAGAAAGTGGTCTCCTCGACAACACGCAGTGCTAGCTGCCGCAGCCTTAGTGCTTGTGCCCAAAGCACAGTCACAGCTGCTCAGTAAAGAATTTTTGAATAATTGTGTAAGTGATTTTTTCAGGTTATGAAGGCATTCTGCATAGACTGAAAGCTCTCTGATTGAAGGTTAAAATATTAGTTTGAGTGAATAAATAGGTGACTTGCTCCGTTGGATACTTCTGCCTGTTCTGGAATTTCATATAAATGCAGTCATAGTGCATGTACTCTTTAGCACTTTTTTCACTCAGCATAATCATTTTGAGACTCATCCAAGTTATAGTACATATGAATAGGTTTTGCTTTTCGTTTTTATTGTGGAGTAACATTTAAGTAAATGGGTAAGAATATACCCCAGTTTATCATTTTACCTCATGAGTCATGCCAGATTTCTTATGCTCACTATTTACATAGTTTTTCTTTTCCCATCCTTATGCCTTTATCCTGTGTCTTTATATTTAAGATATATCTCGTTTAGATAGTGCATAATTGGGTCTTGCTTTATCCTGTCTGGCAGTCTGCTCCTCCTAATTAGGTTGCTTCCTTTTTTTTTTTTTTTTTTTTTTTGAGAGACGTAGTCTCGCTCTGTTGCCGAGGCTGAGTGCAATGGCATGATCTTGGCTCACTGCAACCTACACAATTCTCCTGCCTCAGCCTCCCGAGTAGCTGAGACTACAGGTATGTGCCACCACGCCCGGCTAATTTTTTGTATTTTTTTCAGTAGAGATGGGGTTTCACCATGTTAGCTAGGATGGTCTTGATCTCCTGACCTCGTGGTCTGCCTGCCTCGGCTTCCCACAGTGCTGGAATTACAGGCATGAGCCACCGCGCCCGGCCTCTCCTTTTATATTTAACGTAATTGTTGAGGTAGTTGGGTTTAAGTCTACCTTCGTGCTCCTTGTTTTCCATTTGTACCGTCTGGCTTTTGTTCTTTTCTTGTTCCTTTACTTACTTTCTTTCTTTTTTTTTTTTTTAGATGGAGTTTTGTTCTAGTCACCTAGGCTGGAGTGCAATGGTGCAATCTCGGCTCACTGCAACCTCCGCCTCCCGGGTTCAAGCGATTCTTGTGTCTCAGCTTCCCGAGAAGCTGGGATTACAGGCGCCCATCACCACGCCCAGCTACTTTTTCATTTTCAGTAGAGACAGGGTTTCACCATGTTGGCCAGGCTGGTCTTGAACTCCTGACCTCAGGAGATTTGCCTGCCTCGGCCTCCCAAAGTGCTGGAATTACAGGCTGAGTCACCACGCCTGGTCTCCTTTACTTTCTTTGGGGTTAATCTCATCGCGTTTTAGGTTTCCATGTTTATGTTCTCTATTTATCTCGTTTAGATAGTGCATAATTGGGTCTCATTTGTTTCTTAGCAAAGCTGCCCTAATGGTTTGTGGTATGTGAGTGTAGATGCATGGACAGCTCAGGGTGTTTACTAGGGCCCTTCTACTTGGTGGGATGCAGCCTGGGCCTAGATCTTTAGGTCTTGATGGGGAAAGTTACTTCTGACCACTTGTTTGTTCAGCGTTCTTTTCTTTTTCCTCCTGATCTGTTTCTTGTGGGAAGCTCAAGTGTTCAAAAAGCCCATTTTCCAGTTAAATAGGCTGTTGCTTTGTTACTTATCTTCATTAGTCTTAGGATTATGATATATATCTGGAGGAATGTATATTATTGTTTAATTGTTACTGTTACCTGAATGCCCTGGATAAGTACAAGCCAACTCCAGCTAATAAGCTTAATGTTTTCTCAAAGTTGAGTTGATTGTAAGCATCTCCCGTGGAAATCTTGTTAATGGTAGTTTACATGCTCCCTCACCGTAATTCTGAGCTTGCATGCTGGTGGCTCTAAAGCCCTGGAGATAAGTGGCTTTTGTGGAGAGCCAGGCTGCAGAAAAAGGAGGATGAAGTCTTTGGGATGTGGGGAGCAGGAATATGGATTATTCAGAGACATCCTTCTCTGCTCTCCACTGCCCTTCCAGCCTACACCTAGGGGACAGAATCTCAGAGAATTGTTTCCAACGTATTATTCATGTCTTGCATTTGCTCAGCCAGATGTTGCCTTTCTAGGGCAGTGATTTTGGGACTCCATTTTCTTATTCAAAAGAGGATTTTCCTTTTAAGCTTCATTCTACTTCCACAGAGCTATTTTTAGAAGAAGATAAACTAAGCAATCTTTTCTGTGTTTGCTCTTTTTTAGTCGAGCAAAAGATGTGATAATACCAGCAAAGCCACCTGTCAGCTTTTTCTCCTTGAGGTCTCCAGTCCTTGACCTCTTCCAGGGGCAGCTGGATTATGCAGAGTACGTTCGACGGGATTCAGAGGTGGTACTGCTCTTCTTCTATGCCCCTTGGTGTGGACAGTCCATCGCTGCCAGGGCAGAAATTGAGCAAGCAGCAAGTCGGCTTTCAGATCAGGTAATGCTCACATTCAGCTTAAGAATCAAATGACTGTCAGTCCTATATGTAGGGCAGGATGTCCCCACAGAGACACCTTGCCCAACGGGCAGACTTTGCCAAGGTGAACTCCAGGAGTCGTTTCTAAGTTACAGAGCTTTCTATAAAGCAACAGAAAGGATTTCCAATTGTGGCGATTGTACTCCAAGGCAAGTGTGGGAGCAGATTCTGAATCTCATAACACAAGCCAATGCTTATCCTGGGGTGCCATACTGTTTGGTTTCAGCATTGAAAAAGGTAGAGGGACTGAAAATCCTAGTTCTTGCATATCCATTTGATACTTGCTAGTTAGGTATTTTAGGTAAGAAAATGTATGTATGATATGACTGCATTGTAACAAGGCCGACCTTTTTAATATATGGACCAGAACTATATTCAGCAGATAAGGAATGCCACCTTTGGGCTAGGTAAGAAAGATATATAGGCAAATAAGTCACCTGTTATGGCAGTGGTTTTCAGCCCAGTGGACCCCAGTTGTGCTTTAGAAAATAAGTATTTTATGATGTCCCTTTTTCTTCCTAAAAAGGAATTCATAGATGATAAAGTTTTCCTATACATGTAATTTCAAAATAATCTAATGCACGGATTGTAACATAGAGGTGAGGGGGGAAGAAAGTAATTTGTAACTAAATGATATATATTTTAGTATGTAAGTGCACAGTCAGAACAGGTCCATATACCTTTATGTAGAATCACTGAATGGGATAGTTACAAACGTAGACTGATAAAGGTGATATGTTGGTGACTTACCTGCCACATGGACATTGCTCTTAGTAATTGATTATCCTAAATGGTGAACAGTCTTGGTAAAATCCTGAACTATGCAAAGCCCTTTCTGCTCTCAGTTTACATAGAAGTTGCATTCCTGAAAAATTCAGTGAACACAAAAAGCATGCTTTAGATTCACATGTAAAATGGAGCTAGGTACTGGGCTTTGATAATAACAGGTTTTCCCCAACATCAGTGTTTGGCAGGCGTTTTGAACTCCTCTGGAATGCTATGGACGACTCTTCCGTGTGCAAAGCAGGTTTGAGTGTAGCAGGACATCTACCAACACCCCTGCCCTACGTATGCACTGTAGCTTCCCCCAGTCATTGTAGCAAGCCAAAAGCATCCCACAGATTTCTAAGACTCTCCTGCTCAGAACCACTGATGTGAAGTAACGTGTGTAGGCAGCTGAGTTCCAGAAGTTCATTTGGAACTGTCATTTGGTTTTTCTTAGAAACTGTGGAGCCTTCCAAATTTAGAGAACAAAGTTCACGTTGCCCATGTTGGGCACAAGAGGGATATCTATTGTGTTTTATTAATAAGTGTGAATTAGCTACCTTACTGTCAGCCTAAGCAGTATGTCCTTCTGAGTGATGGCATTAGTATAATAATAATGATATTCTGGTGTGCCAGGCCCCATGCCAATTCTCAACCACTTTGCAAGGCGATGCTGTCAGCCCTGTTTTTCTGAAGCAGGACTGCAGGCATAAGGGGTGAAGCAGTTTGTTTACCATCACGTAGTGGTGGGGGTTGTAGTGCAATCCAGGGACTGCTGCTTTTTTTAAAAAAAAAATTTCAGCTCCTTCCAAATTGAGAGCTTACTATTCCATGTACTCAGTAGGGAAAAAAGTGGGTTTATTTTTGGAAACACACAGAAATCTTTTGAACTGTATTGCATGGTAAGATTGGTAAACACGGTCCAAGTCCTGCCTGGACATCATAGATAAGAGTATGTCTTTCTTTTTTGTTTTAGTGATAAATTATGACCTTTGAAAACTCAAAACAGTTTTTTTCATAGTTTCTGTTTCAGTGAGAGAGGAATCATTCTATTTTTAAATTTCATCTTTTAAATCTTGGTAACTTTTCAGTTGTTATTCATAGTCATTTGAAAACCTTTTTTGGCTCTGCAGGTGTTGTTTGTGGCAATTAACTGTTGGTGGAACCAGGGGAAATGCAGAAAACAGAAACACTTCTTTTATTTTCCTGTAATATATCTGTATCATCGGAGGTAAGAACTTTTTAAATAGCGTCTCTCATTCCAGTTTAGTTTGCCAGTTTATAAATGAATTTTGCATTTTTTCTATATTAAAGTATTAGATATTCACTATAGAAAATTCAGATAATACAGATAAGCAAAAATTAAAAAAGAAAGATCTGGATAATCCACCCCCCTTTTTAAAGCTAAACATGGGATCAGGCAGTAATACTATTTCCTAAACTGCTTTTCTCACTTTTTTGAGCATCTTTTCATGTCATTACACATTTTACAGCATTGTTTTTAAAAGTACGAATTACTCCAATGCATTTCAGATATCGTAAGAGTGTTTTGTAAAAATACACAAAATTTCTTATCGTTTCATCTGGAGGCATAGCAGAGTCCAGAGTGTATCTTACCATCTATTCTATTGGGAAGAAAATTACTACAAGTACACAGTCCCATGTCCACAATTCTTTTTTTTTTTTGAGACGGAGTCTCACTCTGTTGCCCAGGCTGGAGTGCAGTGGCGCGATCTCCGCTCACTGCAAGCTCGGCCTCCCGGATTCACGCCATTCTCCTGCCTCAGCCTCCCAAGTAGTTGGGACTACAGGCACCCACCTCCCTGCCCAGCTAATTTTTTTTGTATTTTTAGTAGAGACAGGGTTTTACCGCCCATGTCCACAATTCTAAAGTCACAAAGAGGGCTGAAAAACGGAAAGAGTTTTATTTTATCTTATTTTATTTTATTTTATTTTGAGACAGAGTTTAGCTTTTGTTGCCCAGGCTGGAGTGCAGTGGTGCAATCTCGGCTCACTGCAGCCTCCGCCTCAGGGTTCAAGCCGTTCTCCTGCCTCAGCCTCCCGAGTAGCTGGGATTACAGGTGCCTGCCACCACGCCCGGCTAATTTTTGTATTCTTAGTAGAGACGGGGTTTTACCATGTTGCCAGGCTGGTCTCGACCTAGGCTGTACTAGAGTACAGCCCAGACCCTGCTGTGAATGATAAGTAATGTCTAAAAATCTGACTCAAAGAGTTTTGGAGATAGGAGATAGGACTTTGGACTTTGTTCAGGGTGATTGGCTTGAAGTTTGTTGAAAGTAAAATGGGTAAAGGAGATTTGATCAGTAGAGAGCTTTCCTTTTTCCTTCTAAAGTTCTTGGGCCATAATCAATGGGGATTTATAGCAAACATGCACAAACAGTGATTTGTGGGTTCTCTGTCACATTCCATCCCATTTCCGTGTCTGTAACATAAACTGTTGTCTGGCACATAGTATTGACTCCCAGGAACTATTAGGTAGTATTTGGGCAAAAACACACTTTTCTACCCCATCTCTACCCCCACATTTTCCTCTGGATATTAGATGTTTGTATTTTAATATTTGTAGTAAGAAGCCAGTTTTTGCTTAGGGACCACTAAGACCATTTTCAGATTTCTTCCCCACTTTTTGGCCAGTAACTTGGAGGTTCTGCCTTTACATGGAAGGTTCAAGTACAGGTTTTTTCGGATACAGGAATACTTTCTCAGAGTTACTGTTTTTGTTTTAAAGGTAAGTGTAAGGTGGTGTACTTAACTCTGTGCTCTGTAACGGGATGGTGAGCTTGCCCTGCTGAGGTCCTTGCATTTCTTTTTGGCTTTGAAAAAAGGCATGGAAGCCTAGTGGGGGGGTGTAGTCCTTTCAGACTGCTCAGAGGTGGACATAACGTGATGTGACATTAAAATCAGAAGAGTTCCATGGAATCAAGTACAAGTGTCATTTTGGGATATGCAGGTATACAGTATTGTCATATATATACTATTTGCTTGCTTAGCTTTTGCAGAAAGATTGAAGGGACCTCAAAGGAACTTTAGAAATGTGTCCAACCTTCTTATTTTACAGATGAGGAATTTGAGGTGGTACGCACCTTGAAATGCCCGCCTCCACACCCCTGTCTTTGCATTGTTAGCTTTTACAAGTCACTAGAACCCTTGTAACATCACAACAGGAAAACTCATCAAAGCCTCTTGGCCTGAGTGGTTGAGGTTTCCAGATTGGTAGCTCCTTTTTCTGGAACAAAATAAGTTAGATGCTTTTTTGATTTCTTCCTTTAAATTAAAAATTATTGGTGGTTGATGGGGTTGGTGGTGGTGGTAATTTTTAAACGGAACTAATTTGTAGTAAGTCTTGATTTGGTAGAATTATTAACTGTGTCCCAGCTGTACATGTAGAGAACGCTGTTTTTCACTTTTTTTCATGCTAATATTCCTTTAACATCATTCTGCAGTGCACATGGAAGAATTGTGTTTATCCCATCACGTGTGTGTGTGTGTGTGTGTGTGTGTGTGAATTTCTGTAACCATGTATTATGGTATTATAATCACAGCCTTTATAAAATTCTTCACTGGGCTCTTGTTGCTGTTAACAGTAAGCTTAATGTCAATTTCTGTTTAGAGAAAAGAACGATTATGCAGTTGTTGAATTTCACCATAACCCCCCAACCCTTGCCACCTACCATCCAATTATATTTGGGCAGTGTCTGTATTGTGTGAGACTGAAGAGAGGCACGTGAGAATTCTGATTAGCTTAGGAGGATAACTGAATAGTGGTGGTATCACTTAGCGGCACTGAATCCAATTCTATGTGTCCCCAGGCACAACTGGAGGGGAAAGGAAGAAAGATTATTTAAACAGGTCACTGACTTCAGACCTTCACATAATTTGTTATTGTTGTAATAAAGCTTCAAATAGGTTTAAGGTTCATTCAGTGATCCTTTGTCTGCCTGTTTCTTTTTAGTAGGCCAAGGGCTGACTGTTCAACCTGTCCCTTACCTCACAGTGACTAGTAGAAGGAAAGTCTGCCCGCCTGCGTTGAATTGTATAGTTAAATCCTGGAATCCCTTAGCATGTGGTCAATTTCCAGGGTTGTCTCTCTGTTTTGTTTTTAAAAGAACTACTGTGGGAATTAATTTTTTTTTCAGAGATAAGAGTAAATGTTCCTTGTTTGGCAATTCAGTTTGCAGTTGAATTCAAGATCATAGAAGGGTAGGGGCTGCTTGTGCCTCTCCTCACCCAAAATGCTTGTTCTTAATTCTCTGGTCACCTCCTGAGCAAAGCAGGCTACTGATCTGTGACTTGGTTGGATCCCAAAGCAAGACACTTTCATTTTGTGGTGGTGATGATTTTAGTTATACATTACAGGCTTAATGCATGGTGTATTATTTTTATTATTTTTATTTTTATTTTTATTTTTTGGTACTAGTTTTGGACCAATCGAATACAAAGGCCCCATGAGTGCTGTTTACATTGAGAAGTTTGTCCGCCGGGTGATGAAACCACTTCTCTACATCCCATCTCAATCAGAATTACTAGATTTTCTCTCAAACTACGAGGTACTTGTCTTTCATATCTCCTCCTCCATACTCAAGGCCTTTCACGGGGTTGTATTGGATTGTTTGTTTTAAAGGGGTTTAAAAAAATACCTCCTGAATTGCAGCAAGTAAAAGGTCATGTGATAGATCAGCCCCAGTTAAATGCTTTTTGAGATACTGATTATAAGGATGGTTTGTCCAAGAGAGTTTTAAGAGAATAGAGTACTAGCAAAGTCTTTGTTTTTCGTTAGGGAATTTTCAACAGATTTTCATCTTGCCTTACAGTTAACTTAGAGTAGATGAGAATTAACTTACAATTTATGTGCAACTGCAAATTTCTAAGAATATTACTTGACACTTCTCATAGCATTGTACTATGAGATACCTGGTTTCTCTTGTCAGTTGTAGTTTGGTTTTTTTGAAAACTGGAAATATGTTCCCTTCCATATTATGAAGTATATAACTATTTGAAGGTCTTAATTGCAGAAAGTTTTCTAACTTTCCTGATGTAGCTTCTTTCCTGCTTCCCCACTGCCAACTTCAACCCCTGGTAAATTATTTTTATGGTATTTTCTTTTTTGAGACAGAGTCTTGCTCTGACACCCAGGCTGGAGTGCAATCTCAGCTCACTGCAAACTCCACTTCCTGGGTTCAAGTGCTTCTTGTGCCTCAGCCACCCAAGTAGTTGCAATAACAGGCAGTGCCACCACGCCCAGCTAATTTTTGTATTTTTCACTAAAGAGGGTTTCACCATGTTGACCAGGCTGGTCTTGAACTCTGGGCCTCAAGTGATCTTCCCATGTTGGCCTCCCCTCACAGTGCTGGGATTGCAGGTGTGGGACGCCACGCCCAGCCCTGTAGGATCTTTAATGCATGTTAAGAATGGCTTATTGTGAGGCCAGTATTGGGATTATTGAAAGATGTAGCCTCAAAAAATTATAAAAGTAGTTCTGCAAAAAATTCACTGGAGCAAGTGTAAAATCATACTTGAGTACAAGTAAAATGATACTTAGGTACAACAAAATCAAGACCATAAATACCTGACAGAGATTAAAAAACCATGTATATCCAGACCTTCCTGACAGTTTAGAATTGTGGCTAGTTGAATTTTACTGTTCGCACTATTTATATTCTGTATAGATTGGATACACATTTTTTCACCAGAACATCAGTATAGCTTTATTCAGTCATGTTGGAAACTACATATGTGTTAACTATTAGCAGAGATTCCCCAAGCAGCAGTATATCTAGTTATTCTGCTTTTAGTTCTTAGCTATGCATCAGAGTAAATATTCCTTAATTACATAGATAGCAGATGGATGTCTGTGCACCTCAGAGGCCTGCCTCTCATTTTCCCTGGGCAGGCTGGTGGGTGAGGGCTATATTAAGAGGCAGGGTACTGGGGCCTGATCCCTTTGGCACACTCACTGGGTTTGTGATTTGGGGCGGGTTACTCACTTCCTGGGCATCAGGGGCCTGGGCCAGGGTATCCTTGAGATTCCTTCTAACAGTAAAGTTGTGGTAAGTGGGTTTTGACATGGTTCTTCAGTGGGTTACAGCCAGAGCCACTCGGGATGGCACAGCAAAATGGTGAAGAATCAGGAGTCAGACAGACCTGCTTTTAGCAGTACTCCATTGATTGATTGATTGATTGATTGATTGATTTAGAGATGGTCTCACTCTGTTACCCAGGCTGGAGTGCAGTGGCATGATCTTGGCTCGCTGCAATCTCCATCTCTCAGGTTCAAGTGATTCTTCTGCCTCAGCCTCCTAAGTAGCTGGGATTACAGGCATGCACCATCATACCTGGCTAATTTTTTGTATTTTCAGTAGAGATGGGGTTTCACCATGTTGGCCAGGCTGGATTATTTTATTTTTTTGAGATAGGGTTTCACTCTGTCACCCAGGCTGGAGTGTGGTGGCATGAACTCGGCTCAAGCGATCGTTCTGCCTCAGCCTCCCAAAGTGCTGGGATTACAGGTGTGAGCCATCATGCCCAGCCCAGCAGTACTTTAAAAGACTATCCTCCAAGTATTGGTGTGGAGTTCATGTTAGACTCACTAATCTACTGACGACATTACTGCTGATGACATTTAAAACATTACATTAAGTTTTTTGGCAGCCCACTTAGAGTGATGTACAACAGTGATTAAACTGGACTGCCTTTAAAATGGGAACCACAAGAGTGCTACCAAGATGGGGTCCCTAGATCACTTCTGTCAGCCTTTAAAATGACTTCCTCCCAAAAGCTGTGGCTTTTATCGGGTTAGTATCATCTTTTGCTGGGCTTGTCACTGAGATGAGATTGTCTCATTGGCAAGAGATAGATAGTACTTTATTAATTGTGAAACAACTCACTAGTCAAGCCCATCGTGACACTTGTGAAACCATTTGTCTTGCAAAATATACCAAATAGCACAGCCTAGAAAATGTATCAGTTTCACACACACTGCCTATAAGATAGAGACAGAATTCTAGATCCAGAAATGAAACCACTGTCATGGTTTTGATGGTTGAATAATTAGGAAAGTTAAGGAATTTTTGGAGTCCCTGGAGTAGAACACAGTAAGCTTTTGAATATTCTGCTAAGTTAGGGTTTCTCAACCTTGGCGCAGTTGACGTTGGAGGTCAGATAATTCTGTGTTTTGGGGGGCTGTCCTGTGGTTTGTAGGATATTTAGCAATATCCCTGGCCTCCACCCACTAGATGTTGGTAGCACCCTTTTCTCCCCTCATTTGTGACAACCAAAAATATCTGCAGACCTTGCCAAATACCCCTCAGGGGGCAAAATTCCCCCATTAAGAACTACTGCTCTGAAGAATTGAGTTTTCCCAATTAAGGCCTTAAGAGGAAGAAAACATGTCTTTTATCATGGGGCTCTCAAAGGCATTCATTTAATAGTTAAAAGTTTATCTGCTTATAATGGTGGCAGTAGAGAGAAGATGAAAATTAAACAGTGCCTTGACTAGAGAATGGTGGAAGGTTATGGTGGGGTGGGGGGGGCGGGTGGAAATTATAGCTAGGGGTGAGTTAGAGTGTCATCAGTAGAGCTGTCTCTGATACTCAACTTTTTACTCAAACTACTCACTTTTTCCAAAAAACACAAACAAAAAAACCCTATACAGTTTAAATATGTGAAGGAACTTGCTAATTTAAAGACATCTTACTATGAAAGATACTTGTTTTGGTCAAGAGCCTTATCTCAGTTTATATTTTTTATCAATATGGATTTCAGTATCAAGTGTGTTTAAATTTAAGTATATCAAAATTGGGTCAAAATAATTAATGTTTTCATGGCACTTCTGAAGTTTGACATAATGAAGGATTGGTTTTTTTTTGCTTGACTTAGTGTCTGTTAGATATGTTTGTAACATCTTGTAGGAGTATGTGTGATAATTTCCTCCTTGTTTTAAAAAAAAATTTCTTGCGTAGGATCTGGATTTTAAGGAAGGAAAAAAAAAGAAAAAAAATTGATTAATTATAAATTTGTCTCTAATCTAGATATTTGTGAGCATTTTGGACCATTATAAAATTATATAGTTAGCATTCATTACTTGGGAAGTGATGATGTCCTGAAATACATAATATTCTCTATTGACATAAACTTGTTTTTGAGACAGAGTCTCGCTCTGTCTCCCAGGCTGGAGTGCAGTGGCGCAATCTCGTCTCACCGCAACCTCCACCTCCTGGGTTCAGGTGATTCTCGTGCCTCAGCCTCCTCAGTAGCTGGGATTACAGGCATGTGCCTCCACGCCTGGCTGTTTTTGTATTTTTAGTAGAGATGGGGTTTCACCATTTGGCCAGGCTGGTCTTGAACTCCTAGCCTCAAGTGATCAGCCCACCTTAGCCTCCCAAAATGCTAGGATTACAGGTGTGAGCCACTGTGCCCCGCTGACGTAAAATTTTATTATATGTATATGGAACTCTATTCATGTATGCTTATTCTATTGTTAGAAAAAGAAATGTACTAATTGTATCTTGGTTTTAATTTTTAGAAGTCCTATAGTTGAATCCTTTCAAAGGCCTATTCAGATGATTTGATACTGAATTGCTTAGAGTGGAAATTTTTTTTTTTTTTTTTTTTTTGAGGTGGAGTCTCGCTCTGTTGTCCAGGCTGGAGTGCAGCGGCGTGATCTTGGCTCACTGCAGCCTCCACCTGCCAGGTTCAAGTGATTCTCCTGCCTCAGCCTCCTGAGTAGCTGGGACTCAGGCATGTGCCACCATGCCCGGTTAATTTTTGTATTTTTAGTAGAGATGGAGTTTCACCTTGTTAGCTAGGATGGTCTCTATCTCTTGACCTCGTGATCTGCCTGCCTCGGCCTCCCAAAGTGCTGGGATTGCAGGCGTGAGGCACCGCACACGGCCGAAGAGTGGAAGTTTTTAACCAATGGAAAATATTTTATTTGGCTTAGATATCTCAGACCTACCAATATCACATTGCGCTAATCATTAACCATGGTTTTATGTTTGTAAACTATGACTCTAAGAGGCCTGGCGAGGTGCTTCATGCCTGCAACCCCAGCACTTGGGAGGCCAAGGTGGAGGATTGCTGGAAGCCAGGAATTCAAGACCAGCCTGGGCAACAAAATTAGACCCTGTGTCTATAACAAAATGTTAAAAATTAGCCAAGCATGGTGGCACATGCCTGTAGTCCCAGCTCTACTTGGGAGGCTGAGGCTGAAGGATTGCTTGAGTCCAGGAGTTTGGCGTTACAGTGAGCTATGATGGCACCACTGCACTCCATCCTGGGCAACAGAGTGAGACTCCATCTCAAAACAAAACAAAGACAAGACTCTGAGACCAGAAACAATTTCTAGGACAACAGTTTTGCCTTTAAGTTACTTAAACATCACAGAAAGCCATTAAAGGGTGAGTACTAAAAATTCTTAACTTTGTAAACCCTGAAATACTTCAGTTGTTATTAGCAAAGAAGTAATGCATAAACTATGCATGGTGAAGTGCTCTTCAGTTTTCAAGTGCTTATTTCTAAATGTTCCAAACAGCTGGGTGAGGTAGATGGAAACTGTGGATCCTTCCAACAGATTAAGAAGCTAAGGTACAGGGAGGCTGTGATTTACCTACATGGAGACTGGACGACAGCCCAGCCTTGTGGCTCCCCAAATTCTTGTCTATCATGTTCCTTCCTCAAAGAAATATTTAAGGTTCCTGAATTGAAACTTCAGTATCTACCCAGGGGTTACAACTTCAAATATTTATTTAATGTCATTTTTTGAAACTTTTTTCTTTTATGGTAGAACATTTTGACGATGTTGGCTCCTTAATTTGGCTGTTAGCTTTTTTTTTTTTCTAAATGAATACTTAAAAGAATAAATATGGATGAAGGATGATGCCATGGCTCTTAAGCAGCAGAGTTTTGCCATTTCCTGTTATTAATTGGGTCATTCACATTTATTCTGCAGAACTGGGATTATTTTGTGTATGATAGTCACAATATTCAGGCAGGGTATGGTCTATAATTTTCTACCCAGGTAAGCACTACAATGATACTTCCCTTGTAAATAATGAATGTAGCTAAAAACTGAAATGAACTTGCCAGGAGATCCCATAAAGGGAGATTAAGAGCTCTATATAATTTTCTTGCAAACCATGTTAAGAAATTTGACTGGGCCCCGTGGCTCACACCTGTAATCCCAGTACTTTGGGAGGCCGAGGCGGGCAGATCATGAGGTCAGGAGTTTAAGACCAGCCTGGCCAACATGGTGAAACCTCGTCTCTACTAAAAATACAAAAAATTAGCCGGATGTGGTGGCGGGCGCCTGTAATCCCAGCTACTCGGGAGGCTGAGGCAGGAGAATTGCTTTAACCTGTGAGTCAGAGGTTGCAGTGAGCGGAGATCACGCCACTGCACGCCAGCCTTGGCGACAGAGAAAGACTCTGTCTCCAAAAAAGAGAAAAAGAAATTCTACTTACTTCAGTTACTCCAGTTGTGGAATCCCTCTTCCTTGAATGTTCTTCCTGCCAATTTAAATAGAGAGAGGAAAATGAAGTCGATTACTGTGGACAACGTATACTAACAGAACCAGTGTCATTTTTATTTTTATTTTATAGAGATGAGGTCTTGCCATGTTGCCCAGGCTAGTTTGGAACTCCTGAGGTCAGGTGATCCTCCCATCTCAGCCCCCAAAAGTCCTGGGATTATAGACATAAGCCACCACACCTGGCCGGTGTCATTTTTATTTCAGTGGACATTAAGTTGATTGGAAAGGGAATAGGACTGAGCAATAGTCATTTAATTTTCAGTGACTAATTTTCTGGCTCCTCTAATTTCAGTATTGTTTGGACATCATTTGTGTTAGGTATTGGTAGCTTCTACATCAGTAGTGCTTACTTTCTTATTTATTTGTTTGTTTGATTGTTTTTTTGAGACAGAGTCTCCCTCTCTTGCCCAGGGTGGAGTGCAGTGGTGCGATCTCTGCTCACTGTAGCCTCCACCTCCCAGGTTCAAGCAATTCTCCTGCCTCAGCCTCCCAAGTAGCTGCAACTACAGGTGCCCACCATCACGCCTGGCTAATTTTTGTGTTTTTAGTAGAGATGGGATTTCACCAGGCTGGCCAAGGGTGATCTTGAACTCCTGGCCTCAAGTGATCTGAGGGGATTACAGGCGTGAGTGCTGCTGGCCTCTTTTTTATTTTTTAAAGCACTTGACAGATTCATTTGACTTGTACTTTATAATTTACTCACCAAATGCTAACAGTATTATTATTTCAAACTCTTCTATCTGCAGGCAAAATATTTTAAGAATCTTTCCATGAATTTCTGTATCCATTTAAGAACACTTATTTAGCATACATTCATTCATTTATTCCTAACAGCTTGGTAACAAAATTGTTTTAAATTTAGATGGGATGGGGAAAGGCTCGGGAATCTTTTAGGGGGAAGAAGAGAGTTAAGTAAAATTGCCAGATGACAGAAAACATGAGCATTTTGACAGAATTGTAGAATGCTGGTACCCAACATTGTCATATTGTTTGTAAAATTCTACTCTGAATGTTGTGCACATAGGTACTGTTTCTGTTAGTTCATAGTTTTGTGGGTTTTTTTTTTGTTTGTTTTTTGTTTTAAGATGGAGTCTTGCCCTTTTGCCCAGGCTGGAATGCAGTGGCACGATCTTGGCTCACTGCAACCTCCACCTCCCTGGTTCAAGCAATTCTTGTGCCTCAGCCTCCTGAGTAGCTGGAATTACAGGCGTGCACCACCATGGCTGGCTAATTTTTTTATTTTCAGTAGAGACAGGGTTCCACCATATCGGCCAGGCTGGTCTTGAACTCCCGACCTCAAGTGATCCACCTGCCTCAGCCTCCCAAAGTGCTGGGATTACAGGCGTGAGCCAGGGCAACAGAGTGAGAATCTGTTTCTTTTTTTTTTTCTTTTTTTTCTTTTTTTTTGAGATGGACTCTTGCTCTCTCCCCCACCTGCTGGAGTGCAGGGGCATGATCTCAGCTCACTGCAGCCTCCACCCCCTGGGTTCAAGGGATTCTCTTGCCTCAGCTTTCCGAGTATTTGGGACTACAGGCATGTACCACCACACCTGGCTAATTTTTGTATTTTTTAATAGAGACAGAGTTTTACCATGTTGACCAGGCTGGTCTTGAACTCCTGACCTCAAATGATCCTCCCTCTTAGGTCTCCCAAAGTGCTGCGATTACAAGTGTGAGCTACTGCACCCAGCCTAGATGTTAAGTTTCTATCAGAATGAAAACCAATTGATTCATTTACAGTTGAATCTTACAACAAGCAAGTGGTTTAGATTGGAAAGATAGTATATTCTACTACAGATCAAAAGTTTCCTCTTTTTTATAACATATTGATTTTAAACTTTACCAACAGATCAAATTTCCACCAAATTTTGGATGCAATTTTGTTTCAATGATCAAGTTCATTTCCACAATGACTTACTAATATAGAGTGTAGTGCCAAGTGCTTTTGGGCTCAAAAGGATTCTTTTCATTTGCCTAGTGCTTTACGGTTCATCAGGCTTGCTCTTTGCCTAACCCTGTGAAGAATTGTTCCTATTTCCACATCAGGCAACTGAGGTTTCATATTGAAGGGTTCTCCCGAGGCTGTTCATTCAGCCACTAGATCTCAGACTTGAGCTTAGGTCTTCTGACTCCAAGTCCAGCACTCTTTCCTCAGGGATCTCAAAATTTGACTTTTAAGACAGATACGATTATTACAGAATAAAACCTGACTGAATGAGTGCCACAGGGCCTTCCAAGAAGGAAGAAGTGATTGTAAACAGGAAGGCAGAACATATCTGGTAGGGGACAGTTAATTGGTTTGGCAGAATGAAGGGGCATTCTACGCCCAGCTTAGAGAAGTGGAATGAGCAGGTGGAAATGAATGTGTAGGGTGGAGGAGCCAGAGGGCCAGAGGCGGGTCCTCTGCAGATCTGAGGGAAAGGAGAGTTGCCACTGTGGAATGCTGGGTTTTGGCGGGGGTTCTGTGGTTTGTTTCCTGTTGAAGGGGCTTGATTACAGGTGAAGATTAACCCTGATTTCCAGCAAAGTGTGAAGGTATGTTTGGAGTCAATGAGAGAGAGAGATTCAAGAAGAAACTTAAGAAAGGTTAAAAGAAAATTATTGCCATTGCTTGTCTGGAGTTGTTAAAAGCGATTGAGGACATAACTTACTGATAAAGTTTTGAGCCTGGGAGAATTGTACTGTCAACAAACAGGGTGTGGAAAGACCTACTCATGGGGACAGAAGGAAATTTCAGCTTTGAATGTCCCTGAATGACCACTGTACAATCCTGTCAAAGCTACTGCAACTCCATCCCTTACCCTGTTTGTTGTTTAAATGGAGGGGATGTTCAACCCCAACCTGAAATTTTTATCATGTGCTTAGGCTTTTTGAAAAAATGAAAGGCAACAAGATGCATTAATTGTCAAATTGTAATATGTCTTGCTTTAAAATATCCTCCATTACACTGTGGCTGACAGTGCCTCAGTTACCTAATTCTGCTCTTTTTCCTGCAGCCTGGAGTACTCGGGTACTTTGAGTTCAGTGGCTCACCCCAGCCTCCTGGTTATTTGACCTTCTTCACCTCAGCATTACATTCATTAAAGAAAGGTAAAAAATGATTCATATTAAGACATTGTTACTTCAGTAGAATTGTTACTTACATCTTTTCCATGTGTTATTATGAATATATATTCTAATTTGCTTGATTCCTTTTCTCAACGTATTTTTATTTATTTTATTTTTTTTTAGATGGAGTCTCGCCCTGCCGCCCAGGCTGGAGTGCAGTGGCGTGATCTTGGCTCACTGGAATCTGCCTCCCGGGTTCAAGCGATTCTCCTGCCTCAGCCTCCTGAGTAGCTGGAGTTACATAGGTGCCTGCCGCCATGCCTGGCTAATTTTTGTATTTTTAGTAGATATGGGGTTTTGCCACGTTGGCCAGGCTGGTCTCGAACTCCTGACGTCAGGTGATCCACCTGCCTCAGTTCCCAAAGTGCTGGGATTACAGGCATGAGCCACTGCGCCCAGCCGTCAGTGTATTTTTAATAATTACATTGTTTAGTGTTCCATCATTAGCAAACAGGAAATACTGTTCTGTTTCACATATAGTCTCGCAAATGTTTTGCTTTTTAAAAATATAGCTTGAGGCTGGGCGCAGTGGCTCATGCCCGTAGTCCCAGCACTTTGGGAGGCTTAGGCGGGTGGATTGCTTGAGTCCAGGAGTTTGAGACCAGCCTGGCCAACATGGCAAAACTCCGTCTCTACAAGGAATACAAAAATTAGGCACGTGTGGTGGTACACACCTGTAATCCCAGCTAGTTGGGAGGCTGAGGTGGGAGACTTGCTTCAACGTAGGAGGCAGAGGTTGCAGTAAACCGAGATCGCGCCACTGCACCACTGCACTCCAGCCTGGGGGACAGAGTGAGATCCTGTCTCAAAAAAAAAAACCATATATATATATATGATATGAATGTCGGGCACGGTGGCTCACGCCTGTAATCCCAACACTTTGGAAGGTCAAGGCGGGTGGATCACCTGAGGTCAGGAGTTCGAGAACAGTCTGGCCAACATGACGAAACCCCGTCTCTACTAAAAATACAAAAATTTAGCCAGACATGGTGGCACGTGCTTGTAGTCCCAGCTACTTGGGAGGCTGAGGCAGGAGAATCGATTGAACCCGGGAGGCGGAGGTTGCAGTGAGCCAAGATCACGCCATTGCACTCCAGCCTGGGTGACAGAGCGAGACTCTGTCTCAAAAAAAAAAAAAAAAATTATTACATCATAATCTTTTTTTGTGTGTATAGTTAAAAGTTTTGGTCAGCATTTTTAGTGGTTATTTTATCTGTCAGATAGGTTGTAATTTAGCAATACATTTCTTCTGAGAAGTATTTTTATAGGTATAAAACGCATGTCACATTACAGCATAGGCTACTGCCAGCTTCTCACATCTGTATTTTTCTTTGACTTAGTTGAATTGTATATTGTTTGGTGTCCTGGTTTTTAAGTGAAAGGTCATATTCTCCCAATTGTTTTATGTTGTTGTATGCTCTCTCTCAGTCCTGACTCCACAGCTTGTCACTTGTGTCAGATCCATTCTCATCTGCTCGCTTGTCTCCATCCCCTTTGTTACCACTCCAGTCTGCGCCCCTTCACCCACACCTGGACCAGACCAGTGGACACATAACTGGTATCCACTCGCTTCTCCTTCCTCAGACTGTGGCCTTTGCATATGCTAGTCCTTCTTCCTGGAATGTGCCTCCACCCCTAGGGCTCAGTTCTCCACCTGTCAGGGCCCAGCCCAAATATCGCTTCCACAATTAAATAACTGAAACCACTACCCCAGTCTAACTTGGGTACCCTGTTGTTTTTTTGTAGCACTTAACACAGTTTGCATTTATGTATGTGGTTACAAGATGATTTATTTAATGTCTTTTTCCCTAGACTGTAAGATTTCTGAGGGTAGGGACCATGTTCCTCATGTTAGTGTTCTTTCTGTATAGCCTGGCACAAAGCAGGGTCTCAGTCAGTCTTTGCCAAGCAAGTGATCACATTAATGACCCTATTACCTTCCCCCAGGAGATCAACCAAAAATATGTAACTATTCTTTTATTATTTTTATTTTTGGAATATTAAAACAGTATATATGAAACAATTATATGACTGGCAATTTTAATATATACCTTGAAGGTTTTATGGACAGAGAATCTACTATATTCACATTGTTTGTCTGGGAGACATAGGGGGAGAAAAGCTGTCATATAAGTATGTCTGTCTAATTGAAAGACTTTGAGCTGCACAGTTTCAAGTGACTAAGCAGACTTAGCAAATGGAAGTTTGAACTTTGGAAACAAAATACTGCCAGCTTAAATAAGCTTAAGAAGCATCCATTCAAAGCTCTTCATGGAAAATTAAATAAAGCCCTTCACAGAAGACAGACCTTAATGAAGACTATATAAAAGGGTAACCTAGAGTCATTCACTAAAGTGATGGTAGCATTCAAGTTTGTGAGCTGAAGAGGCCATTTCAAGGTCGTAGAAGCATGTTTTGTTATTTGATTGGCTTATATTGTGTGCTGCTATGCCGTATTAGAAATACATTACTCATCTTAAATTATTTTTTCATTCAGAGGTTTCTAAAAAGGTGTTCCTTTTAGGAATACCCTTCTAATAAGAGGCAGCAGCCTTTTTCTCCTTTCTTTCAGCAAAAGAAGGGTAAATAGTGATAAATAAAATAGATATAAAATAAGGTTGAAAGGGATAAATGGTTAAAAATTACTCAAAGGTTCAAAATGAACCTCCTTGGTCAAATCACTAATTTTGACAAGTTTATGTGCTAGTTGTTTTCATAATAAATGTGGTCTGATTTACTTTCTCTACATCTCTTCCCTATCCTGTGATTCTGGTTGGAGCTTGTAAAATTCTGTTGCATATGCAAGTTTGCAGGAGCTGAGATTAATTAATTAATTAATTCTAATTAATCCTTTTCACCCCATTTTTTTGTGGCTAAATTCACACAATTGGAAATGATGATTTTCTGTAATATGTGCACTATGAAGGATTCCCTAAAGTAAATCTTGCCTTGGGCATCTGGGGTTTTTCTCCCTTTCTTCTACCCTGAAGTCAAATGGTGTTTTCCTTATTATTAACAGCAGATGTGCAGTAAGAGGTAGGAGAAACACATGCACATTTAAAAAAAAAAGATACAGTTTCAAATTAAATTCTAGGTCAATGTCATGTTTAGATTGTATGTACAGATCAAGGCTGGAGAAACATTTGACACATATAACATTTAGTTATAGAGAACTGAACTGAAGAAGTGTTTAGACTGTTGTAGTAGAAAGCAGATGCCTTGGTTCAGCTGGCTACCAGCATTTATACAATACACATGCCTTTCCCCTGCCTTAATGATTTTTTTTTAAATTGTCTTAGAAATAGCCAGGCCACTTCAAAGTTCTACATTTGTTTTTTGAAGCTAGCTGGTCATCAGTGCATAAATAATTTGCGAGAGTACCATGTCTGAAGCATCACAGGGCTGTAGGGTGTGCTGTGAGGAGAGCTTATTCCTGGCCCCCAGCATGCGAGGCTTGGGTTATAAGATCGGGTTCTGTGGTCCTTTACCCCCCACTTAACGCAACTTGTCAAACATTTGCTATTTTTACACATTAAAAGAAAGGAAATTCACTTACCACCTCAGCACTCTAATAGTAACTGCCTTCTCTTGTTGTTTTAACTGTTTCCTTTTTTCTCCAGGGCTCGGCCTCAGTGCTGATCTGTCAGTTTACCTTGGTCCACCTGTTAAGGTGTTGTGGACAGGAACTCTTGTGCATATTTCTGTCCATTATTGTATTAGCCTTTCTTTTTTTTTTTTGAGACAGAGTCTCTCTCTGTCGTTCAGGCTGGAGTGCAGTGGCGAAATCTCTGCTCACTGCAACCTCTGCCTCCGAGGTTCAGGTGATTCTCCTGCCTCAGCCTCCCGAGTAGCTGGGATTACAGGCGCCTGCCACCACGCCCAGCTTATTTTTTGTATTTTTAGTAGAGACGGGGTTTCACCATGTTGGCCAGGCTGTTCTTGAACTCCTGACCTCATGATCCGCCCGCTTCGGCCTCCCAAAGTGCTGGGATTACAGGCGTGAGCCACTGCGCCCAGCCTGTGTTAGCCTTTTTTACTTCTGTTATTATTATTTATGTAGTGCTTTCGTATTTTCTTTAAAAAAAAGTTAAATCTCTGGTTCTTTTTTTTTTTTTTTTTTTTTTCATTTGGAGTCTCGCTCTTTTGCCCAGGCTGGAGTGCAGTGGCATGATCTCAGCTCACTGCAACCTCCGCCCAGGTTCAAGGGATTCTCATGCCTCAGCCTCCTAAGTAGCTAGGACTACAGGCGCCCACTACTGCGCCCACTACCACGCCCGCCTAATTTTTGTACCGTTAGTACAGACAGCTTTTTGCCATGTTGGCCAGGCTGGTCTCAAACTCCTGACCTCAAGTGATCCACCTGCCTCGGCCTCCTAAAGTGCTGGGATTACAGGCATAAGCCACTGCGCCTGGCCTTCTGGTTAGTTTTTCTTGCTTTTTTTTTTTTTTTCCTGAAAATCTGATGACTATATTAGTTTATTTTCTTCTTTTTTAAATTTAAAAATTATTTAGCACTTTATGCTCCCTGGCTTTACTTTGGCTTAAAATATAGAGCACAGTTGATTTTTCCCTCTCTCATTTATAAAATGATGTTTCCTTTCTTTCTAATCTTGATGATGCCTGCTTTAACTACAGAACATATTTTTCCATGGATTTGGGTCTATTTCTGTGATTTCTTTTGGTCTGGATACCTATTTTTGTCTGAGTAAACATAATCTAAGTTCTTACTTTGTAAATTGTTATTACTTGGTCAAGTCTGGACTTCTTGTAGTTCTTGTGTTTTGTGGAATATTCTTTTATGTCCATCCGTGCCTTTGGCTGGAATTTTGTTGAAATTATGTTAAATATATAAATTGACTTGAAGATAATTGACATGTTCATAACATTTAGCTTTCCTTTCTAGGTGCACAGCATGATTATTCATTTATTCAAAACTTCCTTTTAATTTTTTATAGTAGGTCTTACATATCTCTCATTAATGTTTAATCATTTCACAGTGCTAGATGATTAATTGTGGGCTGGCAATCTTTGTATATGTTTCAAAAGCCTGGAGGAAATCAGCTCTCTTGTACTTTACTCCTCCAGGACTGCAAAGCCTGTTCCTCTTGTAACATTTTTACATTTGATCTTGGCAGAGAGGCTACTTTATTGCCAAAAGAAAATTTGGTAGAGGGGTCATATTCTGAAGTTGCTTGCTTGATTTTTAAAAATCTGATGATTATTTCATTATTTGCTGTAAAAATGTGTTCTGGTAACATTTTGTCATACTCTGCTATAATTCAGTGGCTTTTTTAAAAGAGAAGATTTGCAGCAAATTTTGACCCCATTTTTCATCTGATCTACAAAAGGACTTGCAGTGCAGTCTAGGGAGAAAAGCAGTGGGCTGGGAGGCAGCAATGCCTGGTCCTTACCCTTTGTCTGCTCCTGGTGAGGTCTGTAAACTTGGAACAAAATATTTAACCTTTCTGTGTTTGTGTTTGTTTATCTTTAAATTTGGGGAGGGTAGAGGTAAGTATATAAATCCTTATTTTATAAGGTCAAATCATGAAATACTTTGTGTGTGAGTAAAGTAATAAAGCGAGTAAAGAAATACTTTGCGTGCAAGTAAAATAATAGTCTTTATACCTTAATTAGAAACTAAGCCATCTGGTTGAAAGCACCTCAGATAAGTATTTTACCTATTCTAGTGAAAAAATCCACACAAGAAATGATGTCATTGACTGACCAGCAGGCCCAGTCTTTCTCTTCCCCTTTCCCGTGCACCTCCTACCTGCTTCTATTTGTAACGCATGGTTTTCTCCCTGTCCAATGGACTGAATCTCTCTGCCACCAGAATAGGAGCTAATTTTTCAGATAATATTTACTGAGGACCTTGATGGCAGGGTTTTGTTTTGTTGCTCCTACAGCTCCACACCGTGCTTGGTGAATGTATGACTGGTAAAGGACGCGTGAGAAAGATTTTAGCTACGGGATTTTAAATGTCACTTTGGATCCCCTCTCACTACCTTCTCCACTTCTTGTGCCTGGCCCTTCAGGCTCAATAGACCATAGTGTAGGAATTTCCCTGCCTGGTTCATTCTTTTTTTTTTTTTTTTTGCCGTGACAGGGTCTCACTTTGTTGCCCAGGCTGGAACGCAGTGGTAACCTTGAACTCATGGGCTCAAGCAATCAGATTCTGCCTCAGCCTTCTGAGTAGCTAGAACTACAGGTGTGCACCAACACACCAGCAAGTTACAACAATTTTTTTTTGTAGAGATCAAATTGAAATTCACATGGTACCTAAATACCATCTTGGAAATACACTAAACTATTTTTTTGTTTTGTTTTGTTTTGTTTTGTTTTTGAGACATCCGTTCTCTGCTCACTGCAACCTCCGCCTCCCGGGTTCAAGCAATTCTCCTGCCTCAGCTTCTCGAGTAGCTGGGACTACAGGCACACGCCACTAGGCCTGGCTGATTTTTGTGTATTTTAGTAGAGACGGGGTTTCACTGTGTTGCCCAGGCTGGTCTGGAACTCCTGAGCTCAGGCAATCCTCCCGCTTTGGCCTCCCAAAGTGCTGGGATTACAGGCGTGAGCCACCACGCCCGGCCACACTAAACTATTAACCAAAATATTGTTTCCACTCCCTTCTACCACCTTTGGGAATTCCTAAACTCAGTTGATGAGGAAACCTTGTAGCATTAGTAGCATTAGTTTTCTAAGGAACTCCCTTTGGGAAATAGTGTTTTAGAGGAAAGGTATTAAATGGAGGAAGAACTTTGATTCCAGCGTAGTGTCCCTGTACTCCACCAGGTGGCGTCTGATGCTGCCGAGATTTGCTTGTAGAACTGAGTCGGTACGCATAAAAAGTGCCCTCCTCCAAGCGAAGAAAGCTTTTCTGGAGTATTGTTCTGTCAGATTGGAAATTTTTTTTTTTTTTGAGACGGAGTCTTGCTTTGTCGCCCAGGCTGGAGTGCAGCCGCGCGATCTCGGCTCACTGCAACCTCCGCCTCCCGGGTTCACGCCATTTTCCTGCCTCAGCTTCCCGAGTAGCTGGGACTACAGGCGCCCGCCACCACGCCCGGCTAATGTTTTGTATTTTTTAGTAGAGACGGGGTTTCACCGTTTTCGCCAGCATCGTCTTGATCCCCGACCTCGTGATCCGCCCACCTCGGCCTCCCAAAGTGCTGGAGTTACAGGCGTGAGCCAACGAGCGCGGCCAGATGGTGAGATTTTATACAGCATCAAAAGATCTTGGCGGGGCACGGTGGCTCACGCCTGTAATCCTAGCACTTTGCGAGACTGAGGCAGGTGGATCTCTTGAGCTCAGGAGTTTGAGACCAACCTTTCGCAATGTGGCGAAACCCCGTCTCTACAAAAAATACTAAAAATTAGCCTGTAGTTGCAGCTACTTAGGGGCTGAGGTGGGAGGATGGTTTGAACCTAGGAAGTCAGGGCTGCAGTGAGCTGAGATCATGCCACTGCTTTCTGGCCTGGGTGACGAAAGTGAGACCTTGTCTCAAAAAAAAAAAATCTGAAGGATAGGGTTTTCTTGCTCAGTATGGGACATTTTAAAAGGCATTGAAAAAACAAGGGACTGACAAGCAAGGATGGCTTGGAGATTGCTTTATTTTCTCAGGTTTTTGGACCTAACTCTTGGGTCTTTGGACCAGACATTGAGTTTAACAGTTCTCGGCAAATGGCATGGGTTCTAGGATCGTTTTTTTTTCTTGGGTAATTTCATTTGTTGTCACTATACTCACTCATGGGGGAGACCTTTTTCTAACTATCTGCCTGCATTGAGACCCTTCTGGGTACTGACTAATATAGATTAAAATAAACATATTAAAAATTCCATACTTTGGGCCGGGCGCTGTGGCTCATACCTGTAATCCCAGCACTTTGGGAGGCCAAGGCGCATGGATCACCTGAGGTAAGGGGTTTTAGACCAGTCTGACCAACACGGAGAAACCCGGTGTTTACTAAAAATACAAAAATAGGCAGGCATGGTGGCACATGACTGTAATCCTAGCTGCTTGGGAGGCTGAGACAGGAGAATCTCTTGAACCTGGGAGGTGGAGGTTGCAGTGAGCCAAAATCATGCCATTGCACTCCAGCCTAGGCAACAAGAGCAAAACTCTGTCTCAAAAAAAAGGAAAAAAAATTCCATACTTTATGTCCCCACACCTAAAACTGACTGTTTAATTCAGTTGACATTATTTTAGCAAAGGAATCCTTGTATATTTTGTGAGAGATGCTTTTATTTCCATTATGATTTCTTTTCTTTTTTTTTTTTTTTGAGACAGAGTCTCACTCTGTGCCCAGGCTGGAGTGCACAATCATGGCTCACTGCAGCCTCAACCTCCCCAGGCTCAGGTGATCCTCCTACCTCAGCCCCCCAAGGAGCTGGGACTACAGGCATGCACCACCACGCCTGGCAACCTGGCAATTTTTTTTTTTTTTTTTTTTCCTGAGACAGAGTTTCACTCTTGTTGCCCAGGCTGGAGTGCAATGGCACGATCTTGACTCACCGCAACCTCCGCCTCCTGGGTTCAAGCGATTCTCCTGCCTCCCAAGTAGCTGGGATTTACAGGCATGCACCACCATGCCCAACTGATTTCTGTGTGTGTGTGTGTGTGTGTGTGTGTGTTTTAAGTGGAAATGGGGTTTCTCCATGTTGGTCAGGCTGGTCTTGAACTCCCGACCTCAGGTGATCCAACCACCTCAGCCTTCCAAAGTGCCGGGATTACAGGCGTCCACCACTCCTGGCCAAATTTTTCTATTTTTTTTGTAGAGATGTAGTTTCACCACGTTACCCTGGCTGATCTTGAACTCCTGGGTTCAAGCAGTCCAGCCACCTCAGCCTCCAGAAGTGCTGTGGTTAAAGGGGTGAGCCACTGTGCCCCACAATGACTTATTTCTTAAGTCTTATAAATAAGAACTAAGGCCAAAAAAGATCCTCTCAGCACGTGAGGTTAGAATCAGAAGTACGATTTCTTATTAAATAATTCAACAACCATTTGAGGATCTGGTATGTGATATAGCTATAATGATGAATGTATCTCATTTCCTGCCATCAGCAGGAGCCACCAGCCAGTGTGGCCAAGAAGTAGGGTTGCTCACAATGAGAATTTAGTGATGGGTCTGTGACAGCCTTCCTTAGGTGGAGACGGGAAGATGGCTCAGTGGAGATGGGTGCTGGGGGGTGGGAGGCTTAGCCTGCAGCTAAGTATGGAAGAAACCGCATGCAGAGTGGAAGGTTGATGGGGCTGGGGAAAGCAACAGGTGTGTCCACTTGTGCCTTGGCTTCAGGAAGCTCAGAGCCAAATTTAGTGTTCATTTAGAGAGATTTTGATCCCTCGATCCCAGGTATTTGAAAAATTGCACCTTCACTTTCTAATTATGTAGTGATATTTTCTACCCTTTTAAATTGACTCTTTTAGAGTATTGGTGTGGGTGTTGATCCTGTTTCTCCAAGTTTGTTTTTTTCATGTTTGGAAGTTGATAAGACTCCTAGATAAAGAACTAGAAGCATTACAATCTTAGAAAATAATCTTAGGGACATAATAAAGTCACAAACTTACAGTCAAACAGCTCCGTGCAGACAAGCCCAGTTCTGGTCTGTCCTTGGCCACCTTTTATATACAGTTGAACCAGATAAGCTGATACTTGACTGAGCACTTCCATGAGCCAGGCACTTTACCTGAATGACACAGTCTTCACTGTCACCCTTTGAAGTAGGAAGTGTTTATTCCAGTTTCACAGATGGAGAAACCGAAGCTCTGAGGGGTTGCTAACTGGCTCAGGGTTAGTGTGGTAGGCAGGGCTCATAAGGGCTCCTTAAAAAGCTCCGCTTCTTACTCAGTAGAACCTGCGAATAGGTTATATACATGGCAAGGGGGAATTAAGGTAGCAAATAGAATTAGATTGCTAATCAGCTGACACTGAGGTTATCCTGTGTTACTGGGGTGGGCTCAGTGTAATCAGAAGGATTCTTAAGAATCAAAATTGGAGGCAAAATAGCAGAGTGTAATGTGAGATGGACAGTCTAGTTGTCACTGGCTTTGAAGGAGGAAAGGGCCACAAACCAAGGGATGTGGGTAACCTTTGGAGCTGGAAAAGTCAAGGATTCTCCCCCAGAGCCTCCCAAAGGAACATGACTTGCTAACAGGCCAGGGTTGATTTTAGCCTAGTGAGACTCATTTTGGACTTTTGACATCCAGAACTTTAAAATACATCTGTGTGTCTGCCATTATTTGTTACAGCAACAACACGAAGCCAGTACCGTCACATGCCAGTAAATACAGGAGCTGAGATGAGAACCCTGGTGCAGAGCTCACTCACTCCACCCTTACTCTGTTTTCTCTGCAGCTCCTCTGCTCTACTGAGGTGCAGCAGGTGATATGATATGGTGATTCCCTCTTGGCTTTGCCTGTGATACTGCTTTAAATGTAATGTTTTTCCCTGCCTAATGTCTGCCTTCCTAATTTTTCAAGGCCTAGGGGAAGTTCTATGGATTAATAACTCTTGACTATCTAGCATGACGTCCGGCACACTGGACGTCCTGTGATTTTCATCACCCCAGCTTCTTTCTTGGAGCTGCTGTTGCACTAATAGACAATAGGCCATGTCTTCCGCTTAGCAGCCTGTCTTGGTTTCTAGTTTTCCCTGGGCTTTAGTGGTATCTTCCTAACAATAAGCATAGATAGACAGGGGCCAATGAGTCCTGAAGTCATTTTATTTTATTTAATGTTTATTTATTTATTTGACAGGGTCTCACTCTGTTGCCCAAGCTAGAGTGCAGTGGCACAGTCACGGCTCATTGCAGCTTCAAACTCCCGAGGCTCAGGTGATCTTCCTGCAGGCTCACGCCATCACACCCAGTTAATTTTTGTAGAGATGAGGTTTTGCCATGTTGCCTAGGCTGCTCTTGAATTCCTGGGCTCAAGCAGTCCACCCACCTTGGCCTCCCAAAGTGCTGGGATTACAGGCATGAGCCACTGCGCCTGGCTCTAGTCATTTTAATAGCAAGTATCCTGGTATAATCATGGCCCAGCGGCCTTTTCTCACTGGCCTTCAGGTTTCAGGTTCCCCATCTGTTAAATAAGGGAGCTTTGCCCTAGTTATCTGTAAGGGACACTTCATCTTGAAAATGCAATGGCCCTTGGCCTATTTTTGTAGGCCTGGGAGCTAAGGATGTTTTTTACATTTTTAAAGCATTGTTTGGAGGGGAAAAAGAGAACGTGACAGAGACCTCATCTAGCTGACTCCTGTGTTAGACCTTAAGAACAGCCTGAAATGGGGTGGAGGAGGTTTCTCAGTGGATATATTTAGTTTGCAGAGTCCTTCCTTCCCCTGAGGGCTACCAAAAAAAAAAAAAATTAATTGAAGTGCATACAAGGGAAGTTTTTCAATTGATCATTTTATTTTTTCTTTTGAGATGGAGTCTTGCTCTGTCACTGAGTCTAGAGTGCAGTGGTGTGATCTTGGCTCGCTGCAGTCTCTGCCTCCTGGGTTCAAGCGGTTCTCCTGCCTCAGCCTCCCGAGTAGCTGGGATTACAGGCATGTGCCACCACGTCTGTCTAATGTTTGTACTTCTAGTAGAGACGGGGTTTCACCGTGGTGGTGTGAGCCACTGTGCCTGGCCTGAATTGATCATTTTAATATGGTGCTTTAGACTTACTAAATGAGAACAATTGGTGTGAGGGTGTTTATTTTACTGTCAGGTTAAGTATATGTAACAATGCGTATTTAGTACTACAGTTTATTTTCTCCTAAAATCATGTACTTGGAACTACATTTCTCTTTCCTTCCTACCTAGCTCACATACAGAAAGAATCACAGCTGCCAGGCGCGGTGGCTCACGCCTGTAATCCCAGCACTTTGGGAGGCCGAGGCGGGCGGATCACGAGGTCAGGAGATCGAGACCATCCTGGCTAACATGGTGAAACCCCGTCTCTACTAAAAATACAAAAAAATTAGCCGGGCATGGTAGCGGGCGCCTGTAGTCCCAGCTACTCGGGAGGCTGAGGCAGGAGAATGGCGTGAACCCGGGAGGCGGAGCTTGCAGTGAGCCGAGATCGCGCCACTGCACTCCAGCCTGGGCAACAGAGCGAGACTCCGTCTCAAAAAAAAAAAAAAAAAAAAAAAAAAAAATACAAAAAATTAGCTACGCATGGTGGTGGTGTAATCTCAGCTACTCGGGAGGCTGAGGCAGGAGAATTACTTGAACCTGGGAGGCAGAGGTTGCAGTGAGCTGAGATCACGCCATTGCGCTCCAGGCCTGGGCGACAGTGCGAGACTCTGTCTCAAAAAAAAAAGAATCACAGCTTATAAGTTACATGTTAGTTTAGTAATATCTTGGCAAACACCACAATGTATCTGTGATGTCCAAATGCCAGATTTTTTTTCTAAATAATTGCTTTGTGCTTTATATTAAGAAGTTTGAAACTATGCACATTTCACTGTCTCATTTCTAGGGGGAAAATGCAAGTAATGATAGTTTATACATTGAAAACAAGCATTTCTGTAATGTTACATTTCTTCGAAGGTTTTTTCATTTTAATGGACACTTTATTGGAAATATATAACATCACCAGGAAATGGTTATGAAGAACTTGAAAAGTGAATCACTATGTAAATATTAAAATTAGAGGGGTTGTTTTAATCCCTTTTTAAAATAATCCTATTTTTCTCCTTTTTCTGACTTTGGAAAGAAGAGTGGGAAAGTAGAAGTTAAAATTAACAGACTAAAATGAGAATTGTTTCCCAACAGATGGAAGGTACTATGATACAGGTTTGCCTTTTGGTATACCACTATTTTCAGTTTAAAGAAATGAGAAGAATTTCCCCATGGAGTAAATGACTTCTTATCCATGATGATTAAATGCCATGTGACTTAATCCAGTGGTATTTTGTTTTGAAGCATATGTTGGTTTGTTAGCAGTTACCTTTATAAGCATTTTTCTTGACCCGATATTCCATTTTGTTCCATGATGCCTTAGAGATGAGCTCATGCAGAAGTCTCCATGATAGCAGATGACCTTCCCTAATGTAAGGAATTCCACATTGTTCAGACCTGGAGTTTCTCTCTGTTCTTTCAGTGTATCCTTGGGTACTTTGTAGTACACCAAGTGCTATTTACTATAGGCCTCTGAGAGAGAATTAATTTCAGAAGCTCAGGCTAGAGTCATAGGTCTAGAGCCCCACTTTTTCCTTTTTGAAGAAAAGGGGACACGTTCTTAAAGATAATTATTCTTTGCTGTTGGATGGATTTTCATGAAAAAAATTCAAGAAACATTGTCTCATGTGATCTTACCAGATAAGTGCCAATTATTAAGACTTGCTGGCTGCTGGATTTATCATCTCAGGCTAATTGTCTTCCTGAGATAAATGAATCTTGCTTTTTCATCATTACCACTCTGGCATAATCTAATGGAAATACAATATGAACCACATAGCTAATTTAAAATTTTCTTTTTTTAAGTTTGTTTTTTGAGACAGGATCTCATATTGTTGTCCAGGCTGGAGTGCAGTGGTGCAATTATAGCTCACTGCGGCCTTGACCTCCTGGGCTCAAGCATTCCTCCTGCATCAGCCTCCCAAGTAGCTAGGACTATAGGCTTACATCATCACGCTCAGCGAATTTTTAAAAATTTTTTTAGAGCTAGGGTCTCACTCTCTTGCCCAGGCTGGTCTTGACCTCCTGGCCTCAAGTGATCCTCCTGCCTCAGCCTCTCAAAACTGTTGAGATTATAGATGTGAGCTACCATACCCAGCCTAATTTAAACTTTTCTAGTAGCTACACTAAAAATTAAAAAGAAGCAGGTGAGGCTGGGTGCGGTGGCTCAGGTCTGTAATCCCAACACTTTGGGAGGCTGAGGCAGGCAGATCACTTGAGGTCAGGAGTTCGAGACCAGCCTGGCCAACATGGTGAAACTCTGTCTGTACTAAAAATATAAAAATTAGCTGGGCATGGTGGTGCACGCCTGCAATCCTAGCTACTCAGGAGGCTGAGGCAGGAGAATCGCTTGAACCTGGGAGGTGGCGGTTGCAGTGAGCCAAGATTGGGCCACTTTACTGCAGGCTGGGTGACAAAGTGAGACTCTGTCTTTAAAAAAAAAAATTGGGAAAAATAAAAGAAACAGGTGAAATTAATATTTAACCCAGTGTATCCAAATTATTTCAACATATAATCAGTATAAAAATCATGGAGTTTTTTTTTTTTTCACCTCCCACATTTAAGTGATTCTCCTGCCTCAGCCTCCCAAATAGCTGGGACTACAGGCGCCTGCCACTAAGCCTGGCTAATTTTTAGTAGAGATGGGGTTTCACCAGGTTGGCCAGGCTGGTCTCGAACTCCTGACCTCAGGTGATCCACCCACCTTGGCCTCCCAAAGTGCTGGGGTTACAGGTGTGAGCCACCGCATCCAGCCCTAAACTGACATTTTAATATTTAAAATTAAATTTAAGTCATATGATACTAAACTAAAATACAGTTTTCCCTTGGTATAGATTGGGGATTAGTTCTAGGATCCCCAAATATACCAGAATTTGCATACTCAAGTCCCACAGTTGGCCCTTCAGAGCCTGCCTGTATGAAAATTGGCTCTCCATATAGGTGGGTTTTAAATTCTGCAAATACTGTATTTTGGATCTGTGTTTCGTTAAAAAAAATATGCATGTAAGTGGACCCACGCAGTTCAAACCCATGTTGTTCAAGGGTCAGCTGTAGTCATATATTAAAACGTTGTCCAAAACCAAAAAGCTTTTATCCAAACTAGAGGATAGTGAGCCAGATGAATGTGAGTGGAAACCAGATGGAGTTTCAGGTCTTTCAGGAACCCTTGGTAGCTGTCATGAGGTGAATGGTGACAGCGGTGCACGGGAGGCACAAGAAGGGCAGCCAAAGCTATACTTGGGGAGGGTGTGGGAAGCAAGAGAAGAACATTCTGTTAGGGGCAGAGAAGAATCCCACACTCACAAGAGATGACCAGGAGTAAACCTGCCTGCCTGCCAAAAGTAGGCAAGATTTCATGAGTCAAAGCACAAGACCATTTCTGCTCAAAGCACAGCAAACAATATTAGCATCAGCATAATAGTGCTGGTTCCCCAGCCCATGCCCATGGGAGATGTGCTGTGATGGGTCTAGATGGTGCCTGTGTGCACAGCCTTGTAGCCGACGATCACAGGGCCCAGGGCTCAGCACCCTCTGTAGCAAGCAGCCAAGGAGCACCCTCCCTCCCTGAGGGGTGAGTGGCGCCAAGAGACATGCTGGCTGTGGTCACCTTGACCTTCTTAGCCACCTGCATGAGCAGCTGTGGAAACTGGTTAGTAACTAATTCTTTACCCAGATGTTCCTTCAAGATTTCATTACATCTTGCAGTGATCATTGACACCAGTTGTCACTGTATGGTTAACAGAGATCTTGAACTGGCCAATTACCAGGCTAATGGAGAATTTTTTTTTTAATCGAATGGGATACTGCAGTTTTTAGACCTTTTTGAGTAGAGGAGGGGAGAGTATGAGTCTTAGTTTATTTTTAATTGTCCAACAAATTCCAAGTTCTTAATTAAAATATTGAAAATTCATTACTTTTAGGACAAAATAATTCATTTTATAAATGACTAAGACTTCTGTCGTAGAAAGCCCTGGAGCTCTGCTTATCAGAAAACACTCTGGATAAGGAGATGTGACATGCTGGTTTTTTGTGTCATCTTTACGCTATAAACTTCCTCTGCTAATCTAAGTATTCTTTGTTCACGTGAGACTGCAAATTTAAGCTGCTGCTTCTAGCAAGATTTCCACCATATGCTAGAACTTAAATAGAAGCGTGTTTTTTGTACATTTCTGTTATGTGTGAAAAATAAAGTTTTGAAATTATAATATGTTTGAGCATGTTAGAATTTGTTCTGTATGGGCAGACTGTCCATTCTTATTAAGGCAGTTAAACAGGTTTTTGAATGGCCCCTTTTAACTTTTGGGTCAGGCTGTCACTTCTTATTTCTCTGCTCTAATAAATCACGATGGTGACTTTGGCAGGCTATCAAATGAATTTCCTTACTGGCTGCTTTTCCTTCTCTTCTTTTAACTGTGACTGTCCTCCAAGATCAGCTGCTTCTGGAGAGTGGTGTTTTGGTCCTACTAAATCACGTCCTCTCTTTGGTCTGTTTCTTCTGACAGCTTTGGGATCTGGACTTATATGCCATGCCCTTTAAACAAAGTTTTTAAAAATCTTCAACTAATTCTATACTTAGAGAAAAGTTGCAAAAATAAAACAGAGAGTTCCATAATTGCCTGTCTTTAGCCAGTTTCCCCCATTGTTAACATCTTACATAACCAATTGTTAGGTGGTTTTGTACAAACTAAGAAGTCAATGTTAGAGTTGGGTGTGGTGGCTCACACCTGTAATCTCAGCACTTTGGGAGGCTGAGGCCAGGTGGATCACTTGAGGTTAGGAGTTCGAGATCATCCTGGCCAACATGGTGAAACCTTGTCTCTACTAAAAATACAGAAAAATTAGCTGGACATGGGGGTGCATGCCTATAATCCCAGCTACTCGGGAGGCTGAGGCAGGAGAATCACTTAAGGTTGCAGTGAGCCGAGATGCACCACTGTACTCCAGCCTGGGCGACAGAACAAGAATCTGTCTCAAAAAAAAAAAAGAAAGAAAAAGAAGTTAACATTGGTTCGGTCCTATTCACTAAACTGCAGACCTCATTTGAATTGTCTCCATGTTTCCACTAGTGTCTGTTTTTGTTTCAGGATCCAGTCTGGGATCCCATATCGCAATGTGTTGGTTTTTTTCTCAGTTTCCTTCAACCTATGACAAATCCTCTGTCTTTCCTTGTCCTTTATAACCTTGACACTTCTGAAGAATATTTCTCAGGTATTTTGTAGAAAATTGCTCAATTTTGTCTGTTTTCTTGTGACTGGAATAGGTCATGTCTTTTGACAGCAATACCATAGAAATAGGTACTTCTCAGCACTTCTTATCAGGGGGTTCATATGATGTCAGTGTGTCTCCTACTGGTGACATTAACTTTGATCAGTTGGTTAAAGTAGTGTCTGCTGTGTTTCTCCACTGAAAAGTTACTATCTCTTCCTTTGTAATTAATAAATAAATACCTTGGGGGAAGATCATTTGACACTATGTAAATATATCCTCAAACTTCTGCTCATGAATTTTAGCCTCCATCAGTGGATCTTGCCTGCAACAATTACTCTGGTGTTCAAATGGTTATTTTCTGTTTCTTTCATTCTTTTTTCATTATTAGTGGAATTCTCCCTTAAAGAAGAGCTGACTGTTCTCATTAATATTATTATGGAGTCATGGGTATTTATCTTATTCTGTGTACTGTCATTGTTTATTTTGTTGCTCAAATTGTTCCAACTTTGGCTACTAGGAGGGCTTCAGCTTGGCTCCTGGGTCCTTTGGACAAACCCCCATCCTTTTATGAGCACTTCTTTACTTCATTTATTTTTTTTGAGACGGAGTTTCACTCTTGTCACCCAGGCTGGAGTGCAATGGCAAAATCTCGGCTCACTGCAACCTGCACCTCCCGGGTTCAAGCAATTCTGCTGCCTCAGCCTCCCAGATAGCTGGAATTACAGGTGCGTGCCACCACATCCGGCTAATTCTTGTATTTTTAGTAGAGATGGGGTTTCACTATGTTGGCCAGGCTGGTCTCAAACTCATGACCTCAGGTGATCCACCCGCCTTGGCCTCCCAAAGTGCTGGGATTACAGGCGTGAGCCACCATGCCCAGCCCACTTCTTTACTTCTGATACAAGATATTTCAGGCTTATCTTGTACTTTCTTCACCCCAGCTCTGGAATCAACCTCTTCTCCAAGGGCCCTGGTTTCTTTTACTGGAGAATGGCATTTAGAAACCAAGATCTACGTGCTAGGTATGCTCTTTGGTATTAGGATGTCATTACTTCTAGGTCTTCTCAGTAGATAGAACTAGGAAGTGTATTATACCCACACATGTGCATATATCTGTATTTCTCTATCCATCCCCTCTCTCTCCCTCTGTGTGTGTGTGTGTGTGTGTGTGTGTGTGTGTGTATCAAAAGCCTTAAGTTTATACTCATTCTCTCTGATTTCAATTTAACATCACAGGGTTTATTTTAGCCTTCTCTTATTAATATATAACTTCTTACTGCAACAGTGAGAGTCCTGGCTGTAATTATGTATAATGTACTTACCACAAAGAAGTAAATAAGTTCATAGTTTCAGAATTGCTAACTTATACCTCTTTAAGAAACACATTTACTACCTAGATTTACAGCATTTATGTACAGTTCTTTTTGCCTTTAGTTTTACAGCATCCAGTCAAGATACTGTTTTCCAGTTACTTAGGTTCTTTCTTCCTGTCCCATTCACCATGGTGTTACCCGTTTGCAATAGTTAGGGTTATTTGTACGTGCTGTATTCCACGTTGGGTTTGCCACATCTCGCTTGGTTTTAACTAATTGTTTAATTTTGGAGTGTGTGAAGGGTGTGTGATACATCACTGTGGCCCTAGGAGTCAGATACAAAAAGGCCTACTCAGTGCCAGGCCTCCTCAGCCCTGCCTTCCCGTTTCCAGTCCCCTTTCCCCAGCCTGGCTTATTTGTCCTGTATTTCTTTTGTTTTGTGCCATTTTACACTCATCAGATTTGTATGAAAAATTATTGACTCTGGCAGTAGGGACATACTCACTCCGACCTCATCCTTGTCGGCCACTCCTTACCTGAGGGAGAGAGGACCACACCACTGAAAGATGGGGTCATGGGATAAAACTGGAAACTTTATGGGTTTAACACCTCAATATTTTTATATCTTAGCTACTTGTGTATAATTTGGTAATATTTGATGTTTAACTGTTTTTTAAAAAAAAATTTATTTATTTACTTTGGAGGCAGAGTCTCACTCTGTTGCCCAGGCTAGAGTGCAGTGGCACGATCTTGGGATCTCAGCTCGCGGCAACCTCTGCCTCCTGGGTTCAAGTGATTCTCATGCCTCAGCCTCCCAAGTAGCTGGGATTACAGGTGCCCACCACAACACACCCGGATAATTTTTATATTTTTAGTAGAGACAGGGTTTCACCATGTTGGCCAGGCTGGTCTTGAACTTCTGAGCTCAGGCAATCCACCCACCTCGGCCTCCCAAAGTGCTAGGATTAAGAGCATGAGCCCCTGCGCCTGGCCTGTAGTTTAACTGATGTTTTATTTAGCATGTGCTAATAAAGCAAAAAGGGGATAGGAAAGAATGTACCTTTTTCTGCAGTATCTTATTCACCCTCCTTTAACACTAAATACTTTATAATCACACAAATATTATACTCCATGAAAAAAAATGAAAGCTTCACACATAAGGATAAGGTCCCTGTTGATGTTCGTTCTCCAACATCAAACCACTTTCATTATCCTTTTAGATTCTTTATACATTTCTAAACATATGTGCCTGTAGGGGAAAAAACATATATATATATATATATATACACATACATACATACACACACACACATACACACACATAACTTTTATAAGTGTGAGTTCTTTTTTTTTTTTTGTTAACATCAAAAGTCTACTCTTTCAGCCTCTGTTTGTGGTGTATAGTCCTGCCTCATTGTTTTTAACATTTGCAGAATGTTTCTTGGTGAATATCCTTGCATGTGACTCCTAACAAACATGTGGATGCTTAGCAGTGGAAATCCCAGCTGTGTCCATTCTTGTAGTCGGTACAGCAGCTGCTTTCCTGAGTGGCTGTGCCGTTTTGCCTTTTTCCACCAGCATCACATCAAATACTCATTTCTTTACTTTCATCAATACTTGATGTTTCCTTTGTCTTAAATTCTTGGCAATTTGAGGGTCAAAAGTAGTCTTTTGTTTTAATTTGCTTCCTTTTGGGATAGTGAGGTTGAGTTTATTTCCAGTAATTATTAGCCATGTATACATATTTCCTTTTCTGTGGTTTGTCCATGTTAACAATTTTCCTTGTTGATTTGTATAAGTCTTTATATATGCTAGATTTGTTCATTTAATAAATATTTTTTGACCTCTTAACTATACACCCCGGCACTTCTGTAGGTGCTGGGATACTAGCATGAAACAAAGTCTCTAATTTCACAGAAATTACAGTCAGAAGAGGAAATTGGGCCGAGTGTGGTGGCTCACACCTGTAATTCTGGCACTTTGGGAGGCAGAGGCAGGCACATCACTTGAGGTCAGGAGTTCGAGACTGCCCTGGCCAACATGGTGAAACCCCGTCTCTACTAAAAATACAAAAATTAGCTGGGTGTGGTGGCACACGCCTGTAATTGCAGCTACTTGGGAGGCTGAAGCAGGAGAATTGCTTGAGCCCATGAGACGGAGGTTGTAGTGAGCCGATATCGCACCACTGCACTCCAACCTGGGCCACAGAGCGAGACTCCATCTCAAAAAAAAAAAAAAAAAAAAAAAAAAGAGGACATTGGGCCAAAGGAAATCTAAATAAATGAATGAGATTATGCAAATGTTAATAAGTGCTATAAAAAATAGGGTAATTGGTAAAGGGAGTACCTGAATGGGTCAGGAGCCCAGTTTCCCTTTGTAAACTCTCTCCCCTAAATATTAGCTGTTAGGTGGGGTGGTCAAGGAAGGCTTCTCACAGAAAGTAGGAGCTGAGATGAGTAATGACAAGGAACCAGCCACAAGAAGTGTCCAGACAAAGAGAACAGCATGTGCCTCAGCCTGTCATCAATGGGGACAGGTCAGACCATCATAGGTGGACACAGGGGACTCCTCAGCACAAGTGATTGTCAGAGACGTTAGTCAGAGACATCCTCTCAGAAGCAGGCTTGACATCTGAGGGGCCGAGGTCGGTTTCAGGAGGAGAGGTTCCTCAGCGCCTCTTCCTTCCCTCTCTAGGCTAGGTTACCAGAAGGAGCTTAGCTGCAGGGGTTTGTGCTTCAAGACTTGATCACTGGGTTTTGTGGTTGTTTTAAGGCACAGGCCTTTTCTTTAATAAAGGAAAATTTTCTGTTTCAGATTACCTAGGAACAGTACGATTTGGGGTTATCACAAATAAACATCTTGCGAAACTGGTATCCTTAGTACACTCTGGAAGTGTGTATTTACATAGACATTTCAACACATCACTTGTAAGTATTTTGAAATCACGTTTATGTTAGCGCAGTGGTTCTTAACCTTGTTTAGGTCACAGACTCCTTTGAGAATTGGTTAAAATCTATGGACACTCTCTAGAAAAGCGCATATGATTTTATATATGGATGGAGAGTTCTTACAGCCCCACCCTAGAGCCCAGGCTCCAGGTTAAGAACCCATGCATTAGAGGGCTCTTGAAATTAATGTATAGAAATTCTTTATTTGTATTCTTAGATTTTGGTACAGACTTTAAAGTTTTTCTTCTTGGATAAAATTGCAGAGTTACTCTCTTGAAGAATTGTTACTCTGAGCCCGTGTTTTCAGAAGCTAGGCTTCCACTGAGTGATGTTCTGTGTTTATCTGTTTCTTTTATGATGAGTAGTAATGTGACATGCTTTTCTCCTTAGCTGATGTAATGGATTTTTGAAGTTCTTGTCAAGTCACAGTGAGAAGTTGATGGCTTCTCATCCCAGAGAGCGTCAGTTTTCCATTGTCGCCTTTGTTCCCCGATTTCATTTGCTTTCTGTGGAGCAGCCTGAACTCAGCTGCTTCTGAGCATTGACCTGTGTCCTGCTCAGTCCTATGCGTCTACTCTGTTGCTGCTTCCTAAGTCACATCACTGAGTTGACTTTCCTGAAGTATTCTGTCTCTCTCGCATCACTGTCAGTAACTTACAGGTCATATACAGATCAATTTCCCTGCACCCAGTGTACCCAGCCTTTAAAACCTGCGCCCCCCTTGGCACAATGTCTAAGTCTTGTGCCTTCGGAGGGGCTGTTGGGCCCACTCCAGGGGTGCCCCCTTGCTTGCCAGTCGCCCTGGCTTCTGCATATCTCTCGTAGCCCAGATGCTGTGCTTTACTTCTTGCAGTTTATATTCCAAAAGTCAAATGTATTTTTGTGTTTTCCGAATGGAAATGTTTGAGTGTAGTTTGAGTATGGTTTTTCAAACTCCCATCGTCCCACCTTGACAATCACTGCTGTGGTTGTTTCTCTGCTGCCCACCTACGCTCCTTGTGCCTCTGCCTAAGCTGCTTTGACATCATCTGCTTTTGCTATCTGTCATTTTCCTACATCCTTCATTTTTAGCATGTTACACAGCCTACATATATTTATTTATAGTAAAGGGTACTGAGAAAGAAATTAAAAGTAGATGGGGAAAGAAAGGTAGGACTATGAGATGGAAAAATATATCAGGTTTCTGCTTCGATTTGGTAGTGATTAAGGTTGGTTGGTTTGTGTAGCAGTAGAATTCCTTTTATCAAATGAAATAATACTGGGATACCATTATTTTTAAAAACACAAGCAGTGGTTAGTCTCTGTTATGAGTCAATTTAAATCTTCGTTTTGAGGAGTTTTAAATATCTCATTTTTCAGAACCCTCTGAAGCACCCCTTTGGTAGTTCTGTTTGAAGCCAGTGATTTAAATTGTTAGAATTTCAAAAATAATTTTATGTTCACATACATTGGTTGTTTATAGCAAAACAAAGCAAAAAATCTAGGTGTCTCTTTCATTTATTCGTACACGTAAAATATGATCCGTGGCCTTGTGCAAGTTTAGGTCATTTTTGATTGCTGAAGACATGTGTTGAGTTCCTGCTGTGTGCCTGGTGTTCGTCTAGGCCCGGAGGATACAGGTGAGCAGAACAGACAGCCTGTGCCGCACGGAGGCTCCATGCTGCCCTTGGGGGCAGCATTTGAAGGACCAAGGTCAAAATCTAAATGATCCTTGACTCTGTAGTTTCTGTTCCCTTAGATATGTCTTGGTCCTTTTATGAATACCCAGTGACGTTTAATACCTGTCCTTGGACAGGGTGATAGAGGTTGTTATCGCCACCAGCTGGCAGGGAGAATTATTTGTTGATAGGTGGGTCTGTCTCAAGGCAGAAAGATGAATCACACGATATGGAAGTCACCTCCTGCAACCACTTTTGTTTTTTCAACCACTTGTGAGGAAATGCTGTCTCTGGAGAAGCGGGTGTTAGCTGCACAGTGGGGCCAGGCCCCGCTCCACGCCTGGGTTTTCTCACCCTTAGTGGTGGGGTTGGAACAGCACTGATGTGCCTTGAGCTTGCCCCACCTCACGAGCTCTCCTTTATCCTCTGTGCCTTTGTCCTTCACAGGTCTTCCCCAGGGAGGTCCTGAACTACACAGCTGAGAACATCTGTAAGTGGGCCTTAGAAAACCAGGAGACGCTCTTTCGGTGGCTGCGGCCACACGGAGGCAAGAGTCTCCTGCTGAATAACGAGCTGAAGAAAGGACCAGCGCTGTTTCTGTTCATACCTTTTAATCCCCTGGCCGAAAGTCATCCTTTAATAGACGAGGTAAGAGCTGTGATGTGAAAAGCACCTCATGAGGAGTAGGAAAGCCTCATCTACCTGGCTCCTCTCATCCCACACTCAGTCATTTACTCTGGCAGCTAATGGCTGCCACGAGGGGCAGCTGTGGCTCTGAGCATTGCTCTTTGCCCCTCCATATGGGCAGGAGAGAGCCCGTGTCTAGGACAGGGACTGCCGCAGCCTCTCTGGCCATATTTATTGACAGCTGTTGGTGTCTGGAGTGAGTGGGAAGAGGCAGGGAAGCCACACCGTGCCCTTCTAGAGAAGGACCAAATGCCCTCTTCTGATGTGGCTGCTGTTGAGCTTCCTGTTTAGGGGGTGAAACAGGGAGTGGCAGGAACACAGGCCGAGTTTAGTGTGGCCTAGGAGATGCCATTGTCTTGGGGGTTTGGCCAGACTGCCAGCCCTGGCCATCCTCAGGACAGCAGAGGAGAGCGAGCAGCAGCAGCGATGTTGGGACACCTTGTTTCTCTGAACCTTCCCTGTCGTGCAGAAGCCAGAGTGGTTTTCAGAGGCAGCGCCATCGGAGCCTGCTGTTCCTGCCTGTCTTCGGCTTCATCTGGTGCGCCTGCTCTGGGCGTGAGTTTATTTTCCACACGGAGCATTTGGAGGCGCTCAGAGACAGCAGGCACATTTTGCAGAGCGAGCCTGGAGAGACAGCAGGCACAGTATGCAGAGCGAGCCTGGGGTGGCAAAATTGCATTTACTGAGGTTTTTATTTTTTCACTCCCTCAAGGATCCCTTAATTGGCCAAAACCAATTTCAGACAGCCAGTGTACCACTGGCCAGCTAAGCAGACCTGAGCCCCTCAGCGCTGGCCTGGCCTCCTGCCTGGAGGGACAGGGAGGCAGGACTTCTCGCCCAGGTGGATCCCTCCCTTTGCTGTGCTGGAGTCTTTTTGCTCAAGTTATGATTCCCTCTGGGGAGTATTCTGAATGAATGCTGCTCTTTGGTTTAGAGGAAGAAAGAGGAGAGAAATGAAATAGCTTTGTTTCTTCCCCTCTAATTAGGGAGGACTCAAAGTAATAAAACTATTTCTTTAGAAAATTTTCACTACATGGATATTTTGTGAACTGAGGCACCATTTCAAATGACTAGGCCTTTACTGTATCTAATATTAAGAGCCTTAAAGCTCATTGTAGGAAAGGAAGGTTTTCGGTCAAGGTGGTGTGGCTGTGGTTGTGGATTTGGAGAGTTCTCTCCTGTCTGGTTTGGGTGTGTCAGGGTCCTGGCTGGGTTGTATTTTGTGGCAGGAGCCCACAGCCTCTGCCCAGAGGGTTGTGGTTGGATTTAGGCACCTGGTGGGAAGACTCTTTCTCGCCTGTTGTTTCTGAATGAGTGTCCCCTCCAGCAGTCTGCAAATCCTCCACCTACCAACAGGCCTCCTTTTTATCATGGTTTTGCCTGTGACTCCTTTCTTTGGGGCTCCCATTGTCTCTGTGAGGTGAGTGCGTTCCCTTAACTTCAGCATGTGGGTGAGATGACCGAACACGAGGTGGCATCTCACCGTATTATGAATTACTCAGACAAGCAAAGTGCCTGTCCAGCACATTTCCCTTTTTGTTTCAGGTCAGTTTGGCAAATGTTTACTGAGCACTGTGCTGGGAAGCTCCAGGGGAGAAAGGATAGATGCGACACCATCTTGTCCTGTGGTCTTAGAGGCTTGTCCAGTACAGGGAGTGAAAGCCTGCCTATAATTCAAAGTAGAGGACGATCAGGCCCAGGGTCAGGAGGAACCAGAGGAGGGAGGGTGCCATCTCAGAAAGCGGGGTTCCGGGCAGGGGAGGAGTTAGCAGAGGCTTTGGATGGGTGAAGTATTCGAGACGGACTTGTAGGGGCAGCCAGGATCTTGATGGGTTGAGAAAAACTTACGGGAAGGAGGACCCTGAGCAGAGACATGAGGGACGGGAGTTGCTGCAGGTTTAGGTGTTAGGAAGGAGGCCGGGTTTTGTGGTCTGCAGGAAGGGCTAACTGGGGAGAGATCTTGAAAAAGCCTTTGGAGGAGAGGGCCTTGTGGACTTCTCTGAGGATTTCAAGATTAACCATAGTCATCCAAGTCTTTGTCTTCTCTTTTTTTTTTTTTTGAGTTAGGGTCTTCCTTTGTTGCCCAGGTTGGAGTACAGTGGCATGATCTCGGCTCACTGCCTCCTGAGCTCGGGTGATCCTCCCACCTCAGCCTCCCAAGTAGCTGGGACTACAGGTGCACGCCTCTACGCCTGGCTAATTTTTGTATTTTTCTGTAGAGATGGGGTTTCGCCATGTTACCCAGGCAGGTTTCAAAAGCCCTGGGCTCAAGCGATCGGTCTTCCTTGGCCTCCTAAAGTGTTGGGATTACAGGCATGAGCCACTGCACCTGGCCCATACAAGTCTTACTGACAGTGAAGAGATGCAGCCAGGGCTGTGCGTTATCATTACGAACGTTTTTCTGGCAGGAGGGTTCCAGAAAACTGCGAAGTAGTAAGAACCTGAACTTGGGTGGTAGAGGTGGAGGGTGGAAAGTAGGGTCTATGATCGGGGAAACTGTGACACAGTGACTAGAGATGAAGAAGCCTTTGGGTAAGGTGGGAAGGATGAACGCTGTACTTACGCAAGATGAGCTGTAAATTCATTAGCTTGTTGACCACGAAAGAGTTAGGTGGCTTTACTTTTTCATTACCACCTTAGGCCTAATATTGGGCAGAACTTTGAGGATGCTTGCATTGTTGAGAAGAGAGAGGTCATCTTAGAGTGAGTGGAATAGAGTTGGGGGCATACCAAGCACCAACATTCTGGACAGTTGTGCTGTGGTGCATGTAGGATGCCAGTCAGGAGTGACCATATGGTGGCCGCACCAAGCCCATAGTGGGTAGCTGCTTCTACACACATGCATACCTGCATGTGTACCCACACACACATGCAAAAGTACAGATCCTGACACTGGCGTGAGGCCACTGACACCCTGGTGTCTCTAGAGAGTTCTAGAGAGGTTATAAGACATCACAGTGTGTATTACACAACTTGTTAATCAAAGGAAATGCTTACCTCAGCCAGCAAAGAGTCTTCGTGACTTGTTTCCTATTTTAAAGGTGTTTATTTGAGGCATTCACATCGTCTGAATCTGGTAAGCAAAGGCGTGGTTAGCATGTTCAGGCTCACAGATTTCCCTGATTAAAGAAAATAGAAGGAAACATCTACTGTGCGAACAGTTATTTGCCAAGATTTCCTTAATTATTCACATGAAATAAATGACATCAAGTGATACACAGAATGTGACATGAGTTGTGTTTTCAAAACTGCCTGTTAGGTAAAAGGAATAGAAACATAAATTCCCCTTCATAGGAGAAAAATGATAATGCCTAACTCTTTAAGAGCATTGCTGGCTGGGCGCAGTGGCTCACGCCTGTAATCCCAGCACTTTGGGAGGCTGAGGAGGGTGGATCACATCACCTGAGATCAGGAATTCAAGACCAGCCTGGCCAACATAGTGAAACCTCGTCTCTACTAAAAATATAAAAATTAGCCAGGCATGGTGGTGTGCGCCTGTAGTCTCAGCTACTTGGGAGGCTGAGGCAGGAGAAACGCTTGAACCTGGGAGGCAGAGGTTGCAGTGAGTCAAGATGGTGCCACTGCCCTCTAGCCTGTGCAACTGGAGCAAAACTCCGTCTCAAAAAAAAGCATTGCTGGTCGGGCGCGGTGGCTCATGCTTACAATCCCAGTGGGATTACAGCCCTGGGAGGCCGAGGCAGGTGGATCACCTGAGGTCAGGAGTTCGAGACCAGCCTGGCCAACATGGTGAAATCTCGTCTCTCCTAAAAATGCAAAAAATTAACCAGGCGAAATAAAAATAGAAAAAATTGGCTGGGTGTCGTGATGCATGCCTGTAATCCCAGCTACCTGGGAGGCTAAGGCAGGAGAATTGCTTGAACCTGGAAGTGGGAGGTTGCAGTGAGCTGAGATCATGCCATTGTACTCCGGCCTGGGCAACAAGAGTGAAACTCTGTCTCAAAAAAAAAAAAAAAAAAAAAAAAAAAAAGCATTGCTGTAGACAGAATACTTTCTTCAATTAAAAATATTCTTTACGTGGCTGCTTTGTTTATGAGATACTGAAGCTAAAAGAGATGAAGAAAGATTTTTCAAGGAATTTTCTTCTCTATAATATAATTAATGATCTCCTACTTGGACTTCTGTAAAAGATTACAGTAAATCGTGAAGTCTTATGGAGGTTTTTGCGGGAGTGGGTGGGAGTAGTTGTCTATTACTGCGTCTTTGAATCTAAAACAGTACCAGGATGGGGCCAGAGGGCATCTGGGCTCTTCACGGATTATATAGGCTTGACCTTGTTAGTACTGCATGCTGTCAGAGCCTCATCCAAAAACCACTGAGATGTTTTTGTGCAGGGGAAATAAAATTTCAAGCACTGGCCTATCATCTAAAGTGACTTCTTTTCTTGACCCAGTAGTTTTCTGGTGGGTTATAAAGTGACTTTTTTTATGCCGAGAACTATTGAAACAATTTATTTTTGTGTACAAATATGTATGTTTTGAATTAACTATAAATATTACGTTATAAAACTTTTTTATTTTTATTTTTATAAAACTTGTGTTTTTAAATTGGAAATTACACTCATTGAATTGTTTTACACATGCAGACACACAGACACACACACACACACAGCGAAACAAAATCCTGAGTGACAGCACCCTGTAACTAACTGTGGTGAGATTTGATTCAAGTTGACAGACTCTTCTGTTTTAGAGAGTAAATGCCTTTGGATTATAACTTACATGTCTTTCTCAGGAAACCAGAATGGGAGGTGGGTAACGAAATATTCTTTTTGGAAATGGAAGAATCTTAGAATAAAATATAAATTCAAATTGCCAATACTGGCTTGACGGTAAAGTGGCAAATCTCACCAAGACAGAGGATTGTGTGCATTACCCTGAGCTGCCACTCATTCATCAGGGGTTTACTGAGCATTTGTTATGTGCCTGGCCCTGTGCTAGGCCCCGGGGATGGCAGGATAAATCCAATGTGGCTTCTGCCTGTGAGGTTCTGTAAGTTTGTGGGGAAGAGGGATGTCTCAGCAGAAGCTTGTGAGACTGTAGAAGGGGTCTCAGGGACACTGGAGGTGCAAAAACTAGCTCTTCCTGGAGTGGGAGTAGGACTAGCTTCCCTGAAGCAGCTGCCCTGGTGCTGGGCCTTGGGAACAGATGGAGGAGCCGGTGTCCCCAGCCAGGACTCCGTAAAGGTGTGGCATTGCAGGAGGGCCTGGTCTGTTCTGAAGAGGGTAGGGTGAGACTGGAAAGCCAAACGGGCCAGATTGTGTGGAGGTTTTATCTCATGGGCAGCGTACCATTTGGCCCAGGAGTGCCATGCCTGGGGTTGTATTTTTAAAAATATAGTAACCATCTCCCCCTGCACTCTCATCTACCCTGCTGCGTATTCTTGGTGATACGTTCCAAGACCCCCAATGAATGCCTGAAACCACAGATGGTACTGAACCCTGTATATACTACACACGAATTTCACTTTTCTTCACAATTTCATGGGTAGAAGATTCGTTCTTACCGAAGATCTTAACATCCTTACCTCTTTTTTTTTCCTTATTGAGACTTTTGCCGTTTCACTTAAAGGAAGCATTTTTGGCTTCTCTTTGGCATATCTGAATTGCCAGCATCACTATCCTTACACTTTGGGGGCCCTTCTAATAAATAAAGGGTTACTTGAAGACAAGCACTGTGATACTGAGACAGTTGATCTGATAACTGCGTTGGCTACTAAGTAACAGGCTGGCAGCATCCACAGCATGGACACGCTGGACAAAGGGATGGCTCGCAGTTTTTGTAATGGCAAAAATTTCATCACACTACTCAGAGCGACATGTAGTTTAAAACTTACGACTTGTTTATTTCTGGAATTTTCCATTTAGTATTTTTGAACCGGAGTTGACCATGGATAACTGAAATTACAGAAAGTGAAACGTGGCTAACGGGGTGCTAGTCCCTCAGTCATCCCCAAGCCCTTCACCAACTCTGCCCTGTATTTCAGATCACCGAAGTGGCCTTGGAGTACAACAACTGTCATGGGGACCAGGTGGTGGAGCGTCTCCTTCAGCACCTGCGGCGGGTGGATGCTCCAGTGCTGGAGTCCCTGGCCCTGGAAGTGCCGGCACAGCTGCCAGACCCGCCAACGATCACAGCGTCCCCCTGCTGCAACACTGTGGTGCTGCCCCAGTGGCACTCCTTCTCCAGGACCCACAACGTCTGTGAACTCTGTGTCAACCAGACCTCCGGGGGCATGAAGCCGAGCTCGGTCAGCGTGCCACAGTGCAGCTTTTTTGAAATGGCAGCAGCTCTGGATTCTTTCTACCTCAAGGAGCAGACCTTTTATCATGTGGCATCAGACAGCATAGAATGCAGCAATTTTTTAACTTCCTATAGCCCCTTCAGCTACTACACTGCATGTTGCAGGACCATAAGCAGGGGTGTGTCAGGCTTCATCGACTCTGAACAAGGTGTCTTTGAAGCCCCTACTGTTGCATTTTCTTCCCTTGAGAAGAAATGTGAGGTTGATGCCCCAAGCTCCGTTCCTCACATTGAGGAGAACAGGTATCTCTTTCCAGAAGTGGACATGACTAGCACAAACTTCACAGGCCTGAGCTGCAGAACCAACAAGACTCTCAACATCTACCTTTTGGATTCAAATTTGTTTTGGTTATATGCAGAGAGACTGGGTGCTCCGAGCTCCACTCAGGTGAAAGAATTTGCGGCAATTGTTGACGTGAAAGAAGAATCTCATTACATCTTGGATCCAAAGCAAGCACTGATGAAGCTCACCCTAGGTACTGCAGGCAGTTTATTTCCCCAAGCATTGTACATTTTGCTTGACTTCATATGGGTAAATTTTATTGATGGCTCTCATTACATTTAGTTGTGGGGTGATGTCACCTTCGTAGCTCATTTTAAGTCTTTAGACCACCATCAGTCATAATTTTCAAAGAAGCTAATTTTGTCTATTAAATGGAACAGAAACTTCCTCACTCTGAATTTTGGATAAGTTTGTCATTTAGCCCATGGTGGGGGTAAGAGTCCCACTTTCTAAATTGGCGATTTCTGTCACATGTCTAAGGTAGAACCAGCTGCAGGCAGTGGGGACTTGGGGACTAGAACAGGCAGGGAGGTGGAGAGCTATTCTGGTGGGATGTCCTAGGGGCTGATGAAAGTGAGCCTTGACAGCAGCTTTGTTCTAAAGGAGCTTAAAGAGAAAGCAGTGGCCGGGCGCAGTGGCTCACGCCTGTAATCCCAGCACTTTGGGAGGCCGAGGCGGGTGGATCACGAGGTCAGGAGATCGAGACTATCCTGGCTAATGTGGTGAAACCCCGTCTCTACTAAAAATACAAAAAAAAAAAAAATTAGCCGGGCGCGTTGGCGGGCGCCTGTAGTCCCAGCTACTCGGGAGGCTGAGGCAGGAGAATGTCGTGAACCTGGGAGGCAGAGCTTGCAGTGAGCAGAGATCGCGCCCCTGCACTCCAGCCTGGGCGACAGAGCAAGACTCCGTCTCCAAAAAAAGAGAGCAGTGAAGAAGGAAGTAGAGCCGCCTTGCCTCCCTTTTTGTCTCATAGGCTTAAATGTCTAAGGATCAAGGCCACCAGACCTAATTTGTTCTGCTGCTGTTTCATAATGTACTGAGTAATATTGCTGGGACCTGGGGTACCTACACTGTAACAAGTGTAAAGTGCAAATAAATAAGTGTCAGTCGCAAACCAGCAAAACCCACTTTTTGAGGAGTAAGGCTCCATGATGAGAAAGCACCCAGAGCTTGCCCCTGGGACTTGGCAGCAACATTGGGCTGACCCACCCTGGCCTGTTCCCAGGAATTTGCTGATGCCCTTGACTACACACAATGAAGTGAGAATTCAAAAGCCACGTTAGTTCAGCCTCATTGGAAACGGGAGGGAGGGTCAGTGTATGCCGAATGGAGAAAGGAGGAATTTGGTAGGGAAGGAAACCTTTCATTTCAAGTTTTAAAGTATGAACTCAACAGTAGACTCAGAGCTTCTACATATGAGTCTTTTTAGCCATCCTCTTTCAAATCTAGGTGAAGCTTGTTTCTTACATTAGACACATTTGTGAAAAGGCTTTATGTAAATATTGATTTTTCTATATCAAGTTACATATTATAAATCCAAGAGTTCCTCACTGTGTAAAAGAACCCTGTGACCAGTCACTTTTTGAAGGGCATAAATCTGTCGATATTATAGATTACTCCCAATTCATGTTATCTAAAGTCATTTTGATGTGTTGAGCTTTCTTAAAATGAAACAAGCATTTTTTTTTTAAATGGGAAAGAGACTCCAGAGAAATGGGGTCAGTGTTCCTACAAGCATGTATTTTTGAGGTAGTCTGTATTAGATTTTCCTGAATTCCATTCAGTAATGCTCAAGTGTTTAATGACCTCATAATGTGTTCACTTTGAATTTAAGGGTAATTGAAAGAAGCCTTCTTTAGATTTCTTTCCATCTTCTGTATCTTCTCTGAAATGTTTAGCCTAGCTGTTCTTTGTCCTGCAGTTAGTGACAGAATTCTTAGGGAGCTTGTAAAAAACACCTACTGTGTGTCATTGTTGGTTTAGAGACTTAACTCATAAATCAGCTGTCTCTAGGCTAGTTTCAGAATTTAGGCTTTATTCAGATTAGGAAATAATTCTTGGTTTCATGTTTCAAAAACATAGCCAACTAAGTGTTTCTCAGATGCTGATCATGAATTCTCTTTAGTATTCACATGACATTCTTCACTTCCTCTTCCATTCTGCACGCTGCATTGCCCATTGCACCTCAAAATGGAGGGAGTTAGAAGAAAGAAAAAGAACTGAAACTTTAGCTGAGTGCAATGGTGGACGCCTGTAGTCCCAGCTACTCTGGAGGCTGAGGTAGGAGGATCGCTTGAGCCCAGGAGTTTAAGGCTACAGTGAGCTATGATTGCAGCACTGTACTCCAGCCTGGGCAACAGAGTGAGACCCTGTCTCTTTAAAAAAAAAAAAAAAAGTGAAATTCAAATTAGTATTGTTTCAGATGAAGCAAAGGACTCTGAAGATGGCAGAATTTGTGGTAAAACTGTTGGTTCAAATCAGGTTTTTGATTATTATGGGTTTTATGTATTTTTCCACTACATATAATTTTTTCTTAACCTTTAAAAAAAGAAACTTAAAGAACCTTAATAAAGGAAACAAAAAACTGTAGCTCCTTGTCCTCAAATTAATGAGCATTTAAACACATTCCACACTACTGTAGCTTGTGCAGTTGTCACATTTGTGGTTAAGCTTAAAGGTCTTAGTATTATAGGGTGAAATTTCTTGAAAAGATGGTGGCTTGTTGATGATTTATACAGTCTCACTTGGTGTCTATTTGTGGACCAGTCCTTTTAAAAAAAGAATAGTCTATGAATATTAGAGCATCTAACATTGCATAGTGTTTTGTTATCCACATTACTGTCTGCTGAGTTAATACTACCAGAGCTAAACCTGATGCCACCCGGGCAGCTTTGTTTGGGGTTTTGCTGATAGGTGAAATGTTAAAAATGTGAGCCTATGAAGTCATTTGAGTTTTTAAAATGTGGAGTTTAAAAGTAGGCCAGCTATTCTCTTTGTATCTAGAGGAGAGTTGATCTCATTTTCTCTTTATTTTTAGAGTCTTTTATTCAAAACTTCAGCGTTCTCTATAGTCCCTTGAAAAGGCATCTCATTGGAAGTGGCTCTGCCCAGTTCCCGTCTCAGCATTTAATCACTGAAGTGACAACTGATACCTTTTGGGAAGTAGTCCTTCAAAAACAGGTATGGAGTCATGAGAGGCAAAAGTTAAGCCATCTGTCCCTCTTAAAATAATTTCCAAACTACAGTTGTTGGGGTGAGCAGCTGTTTTTGATGTATAGAAGAGTAACCACGTGATGGCCCAATTATGGACCGTGAATGAATTACATGTGGTTTTTAAATTTCAGAAAAGTGCTCCAGAAAGCACAGTATTGGAAAGACCTAAAGATGAAAATTTTCACTGTAATATTTGCATAGGTAGCATTTTTCGGGTGCTTGCTGGATTCTAAGCAATGAGGAAAGAAATGAAGAAGAGCCCATTTCCCGGTGCAAGTAACATCTGTCTTCCCTTTCCCACAGGACGTTCTCCTGCTCTATTACGCTCCGTGGTGCGGCTTCTGTCCATCCCTCAATCACATCTTCATCCAGCTAGCTCGGAACCTGCCCATGGACACATTCACTGTGGCAAGGTAAGCAGGCCTCTTCTGCAGCGCTTTGGGCTGTATGCCCATTTTCACTCTTATTTGCAGCTTAGCCATATGGTGTGTGAGGGTCTGCCCATTTTCCATTAACCTTTGGTAGGACTTGGCTGAATTTAATTGTCAGGTTGAAGCCATGAGCAAAGCCTCTTTGAAACTGAACTTTTCCTCATGAATTCTGAGTGTTCCTTCCATGATGTTGATGTTTAGCCCTGACTAGATTCGTAGGTGGCTGAGTGCAGTTCTGTGGGGAGAGCACTGACCTGGTTGCCAGGATGGCCCCGTGGAATACCATGGGACAGTTGCCCCAGGCAATGCCAGTGGGTCCTGGGATCCCAAGCAGATCTCTCCACCAGCCCTGGTTTATCTCATTTGTGAAATTAAAAGGAAAGACCAATAGATATCCACATTCTGGTATTGTGATTCCATGGGTACTGTATGTGCGCTTTTGAGTAAACAAAATTTTTAAAAATATTTTTTGGGAAAAGAAGGCTCAAATACAGAGTCTTTAGATGGGGTAGTAAGCAGTTTTGGGTGAGGAAAACTGTTCACATTTAACCCCCCACCTCCCCCAAAACCCTACAGATAGATAAGAGTTAAATATAAAAAAATCAAAACAAAAAATAGGATTTGCTGATTCCTCTGGGAGATGGAAACTTTCCAAAGTGGAAGCAGTTGGAAAAATAAAGAGAGAAAAATGGACAGATTCCACTAGAAATACGTGCAGTGAAAACAGGGAAAGCAGACAAAAAGGGGGACCATTAATATATTTTCCAGTGTCTCTGTGTCACCTGTTATATGCACTGTAAGTAATAATTAGAATCAAATCTGAGGAGTTACTATGTTGGGAGAGTTTTTGATATACATATTACCTGACTGAGTCCTTGCGACGCTTAGTGAAGGCACTCTAGTTAAAAAAAGAAAGTGCTATTTGTGTTGAGGAGGAAACTGAGACATAGAAAGATTCGACAAGTTGCCCAGAGTTTCAAGCTGCAAATGAGGGGCCAGGATTAAATCAGGCATTCATACTCCAGCCTCCCCGGAAATTAAAATGGTTTAGAAGATGGCTGAGACCGATTCCATTCTGAACAAAGGATGTGAGCAGGTTTTTCTTTTAAGAGGAGAGAGTAAATAAACAAGTGGGGAAATTATAACCTAATAAATGTAAATTAAAACAGTAACAAAGTATCATTTAACATATTAAAGTAATCAGTGGTTTTAAGTGACAGAATCTTGTGTTGATAAAATAAAATGGAAACTGCAGTCAGATGTATCTAATGGAATGAGTACATTGCCATAACTCTTTTGGAAAGCATTTTGGCAACATTTACAAGAAATCAACAAAAACAGTTAACACATTTTTGACCCAGTTAATTTTACTTTGGAGAAGTAATGGAATAGGAATTCCGAAGAAGCATGAGCTCATCATTATAGCATTGTTTACATCCACCAGGAGATGAATGTTTAAGTAAATTATGGCTGGGCATTTAATGGAATTTTTATCCTTCAACAGTGCTTTTCATACAGTTAATGGAAAAGAACAGAGTATGAAATATATGACAACTCTTCTTAAAAATATGTAAGGATATAGGCGAGGTGCAGTGGCTCATGCCTGTAATCCCAGCATGTTGGGAGGCCGAGGTGGGCGGATCACCTGAGGCCAGGAGTTCGAGACCAGCCTGGCCAACATAGTGAAAACCTGTCTCTACTAAAAATAAAAAATTAGCCAAGTGTGGCGGCACGTGCCTGTAGTCCCAACTACTCAGGAGGCTGAGGCAGGAGAATCACTTGAATCCAGCAGCCGGAGGTTACAGGGAGCTGAGATTGCACCACTGCATTCCAGCCTGGGCGACAGAGCAAGACTGTGTCTCAGAAAAAAAAAAGTAAGCATATAGACCAAGCCTGCAGCCTGCATAAGAAAGGGGGGCCTTATTTAGCCCAATGGAATTCTGAGTGGATTTTTACAATGTTTTAATTTTATAGTTTGCTTTCTTTGAAGTAAGAATCAAGTGAGAAAAAGCATTTAATTATGGAATATAGTGTTCACTCCCACTTGTTTAGAAAGGAACACTAATGTTTTAGGTAGGCTGGCACAGGTGAGGCAGGAGTGCTGTTTTGTTAGTAAACTTTTGGTAAATGGTTTTCATTTGGTTATGCCTTTTGTTGCTGTTGTTGTTTTTTGTTTTTGTTTTTTTTTTTGAGATGGAGTCTTGCTCTGTTGCCCAGGCTGGAGTGCAGAGGTGCAATCTCAGCTCACTATAAGCTCCGCCTCCCGGGTTCACGCCATTCTCCTGCCTCAGCCTCCCGAGTAGCTGGGACTACAGGCGCCCGCCATTATGCCCAGCTAATTTTTTGTATTTTTAGTAGAGACGGGTGGCGTTTCACCGCGTTAGCCAGGATGGTCTCGATCACCTGACCTCGTGATCTGCCTGCCTCGGCCTCCTAAAGTGCTGGGATTACAGACGTGAGCCACCACGCCCGGCGTTGTTGTTTTTTTGAGACAGGGTCTCACTCTGTTGCCCAGGCTGGAATGCAGTGGTGCAATCACAGCTCACTGCAGCCCCAACCTCCCAGGTTCAGGTGATTCTCCCACCTTCCCAAGTAGCTGGGACTACAGGCATGTGCCAGAATACCCGGCCAATTTTTTGTAGAGACAGGGTTTCCCCATGTTGCCCAGGCTAGTCTCGAACTCCTGGGCTCAAACAGTCCACCCACCTCGGCCTCCCAAAGTGTTGGATTTACAGGCGTGAGCCCCTGTGCTCAGCCTGGTTGTGCCATTTTTTGAAAAGCAAATTTCATCCTTTTGGACACATACATGACACTTACCGCACCCTCACTCCCCCCAGTTATGCTTTCTAAAAACTTCTGTCAAGGTAAAGATTGAAAACATGTTCATCTTTTGTGTGCACTGTTTATGAATAGTAGCTGAATAGCCCCTCCGCAAGGAGGATGCAGCCCCTTCCATAAAGGATGCTGTTGTGGCTCCATGTCTGCTTAGCCCGAGTGTGGGCGCCCAGCTGTGTGCCCAGCTCTGTGCCAGCTGCCCGGGGCAGGCCTCTAGAGCAGTTGCGGTTAGCTCCCACAGTGATTGAGCACAGGCTGGGTGAGTTAGTACAGATGTCATTTTCTGTATTAGAAAATTAATGTCAAATCTGCTAAGAAAATAGGCTGTTTTTGGTCTCTATCCAGATTTACAACATAAAGAGGGTATAATTTTCCATCTTCAGAGGGGCTTGATGTATTTTGCTCAATGATTTCCTTTCTTTTCCCAGAGCTATTCAGGGATTAAAATACTTGGCTAGATCCTGTCAGGTGAGGAGTGAATGACTCCTCAGGTGTCAGTGCGGCATTTTCTGCAAGTTCATTTTTACTTTCAGGACATCACATTGCCACTCAGTGGAAAGCGTCCACGTAGTAGAATGTTGTATGTCTTGGAAGTATCAGCGCCCAGCTCACACCTGGTAGTACATTCATCGAGAAGGGACTAGCCCAATGTGGGGTGTAAAAAATGCACCAGGTTCTTGAAGTTATCTGAGAAGGTTCTTTCAAGTTGGTGTTTCTTGGGCTGATCATCTGCCATTTCTGTTCTTTCCCTTTACCAGGATTGACGTGTCTCAGAATGACCTTCCTTGGGAATTTATGGTCGATCGTCTTCCTACTGTCTTGTTTTTTCCCTGCAACAGGTAATGCCAAATTTTTGTCACTGGTGGGCAGTTGGGATTCTTTTGTGGAGGTCTGAAAATGAAATGGGTTTAAGATGTAAATCATTCATTATGTTCAAAAAATGTTCCCTTAGGAACCAGGCGTGGTGGCTCATGCCTGTAATCCCAGCACTTTGGGAGGCTGAGGCAGGCAGATTGCTTGAGCTCAAGAGGTTGAGACCAGCCTGGCCGACATGGTGAAACCCCATCAGTACAAAAAATACAAAAATTAGCCAGGCATGGTGACATATGCTTGTAATCCCAGCTACTCTGAGGCTGAGGCACGAGAATCTCTTGAACCTGGGATGCGGAGGTTGCAGTGAGCCAAGATCACACCACTGCACTCCAACCTGGGTGACAGAGCGAGGCTCTGCCTCAAAAAAAAAAAAAAAAAAAAAGTGTCCTTAGGGACATAAAAGGGTTGTAGTGTCAGGATGTTATGTGTGGTATGGATCTTTTAAAGGTTGTTTTTCCCAGTCTATCTCTTACCCGAGCTTGAATGTGGCCGTGAGAATTCTTAGCTTTCATGGCCTGTATGAACATATGGAGGACGCAGAGACTGACAGGATTCTTCTGTTGCCCTGGCTGGAGTGCAGTGGTGCAATGTTTGTGTGGGGCAAAACAGCAGAGAATCTGTGGAGCCCTGCCTGCCCCAAGCCTTCCACTTGCTTGTCTCTCAGTTGGCCTCCCAGCAGCTCCTCATCCCTCTCGTACAGAGGACAGGGTGGCTTTCTTACCCATGGCACGTCCTTTTCTCGGATTCCAGGAGGCCTACAAAGGGGTTTTCTCCCATGCGTGCAGACTGCTGTGAACGTCCGCCATGGGATGGTCGCTTGATTTTTTCACACTTGCCTAATCAGTATTCCAGGTGCAGTTCTTAACGGCAACTACCCCGGAAGCCCCTGCAAGCAGGACATTAACAAGGGGGAGCGGACTTCCAGTTAGTAAACGTAGATGCAGATGTTTTAGTGGAAAAAGAAATTAACTCTTGGTCCTTTAGAGCCTAATACACTGGATGTTTGCTCCCTTTTTATAGATTCCCTTTGGTTTTTAGAAAGTTGAGTCCTTTTGGGGACCCACTCACATGACTTTGACAGTATCTTCTCTCCAGGGGAAAGTGTCTGCAGCATCATTTAGGGAGTTCCCTGGCTCGCATGTATGACGTTTGCTGTTTTAATTTCCTGCCTCCCTTTTGCGATTCAGCTTGTCATGTTTCTCTAGGAGAGTGTTTCCTTCATATCTATTGAATCATTCCCTTGGTTTTTGCTTTGTATCTCAAAGAATTTTTGCGGGAGTACTTCTGTGGTAGTAGGGTCTTGTCACATCATGCACTAAAAACAGAATGTGACTCACCCTTTTCTACTGCTGACTGAGTTGTGATGAGGCTTTTTCTTTCTAAGAAGTGTTTAAATTACCACATAGTCCAGGAATCACGGACAGTAACACTAACACTTTCATCTGTGTGGGCCAGGAGTTGGGCATGTAGTTTAATGACGTATAATTTTTGAATTCCAAGCATAGTTTGAAAAAATATGAAAATCTTAGCACCCAGCACATGCCTTTTAATGAAGAAGTTCTCAGCAGCTGGCAGAAATGCATCTGTGTAGAGAGACACAGGCGGAACAGGTGGCAGGGTGGGGCGTCATCTGGAGGCCTGCGTCTGGGCTGAGTGACCTTCGTTCTTAGGCTGCCTGGTGTGGGAAACGTGAAGATGTGCGCATTTCTCCGGCCCCATGCTGGGCACTTGCTGCAGGCCCTTACCCTTGTCGTTTCTAAATATCGAACATAAGAAGACTGTCCACTTCTCTTTTAATGTAAGGATGTTGGTAAACCAAAGCTTTATGGCTTTGGAATGGAATTTTTCTCATTTCCTAAAAATAAATGGTAGAAGTAAAGTATGCTCATCATGAGCTGGTCCCAAGCGAGTGTTTGGTTTAGCCAGAAGGTAAATGGGCAAGCAGCGTGAGCTGACAGCTTGCAAAAGAGGAAATGAAAAAGGCTGTTGGATAACATGTAGTAAGACCTTTTTCATTGTCCACCTGCTTATGCTATTTTTAGTGAAAAGAATATGAAATTGTATATTTACTGTGATAAAATATAAACTTGTGCATGTGCTAGGTGGAGATGTTCACAGAGGGGAAAATGTTGAGGTGTTAACATTGATGACTTCAGAGGAGTGAGATTGCAAGTGATTTGAAGGTGCTGCTTGTATGTTTTTACATCCCTTGCAAATTGTCTACAAAGAGCATGTCTTGATTTATAAAAATCATGAAGGAAAAAAATGCAAGAGCCTGTCCTTGGGAGGAAGAGGAAGGGGTGGGGCCTTGAGGGAGACATAGCCTTCCTGTGCAGAGGCATCTTGGAGCCACTTGCTCCACCGAGCAGGTGCTCCTCCAGCCAGCACTTGCGTCAGACTCTGTGTGACATTGCAAAATATAGGTGCTCTGGCCTGGCCCTGGGCCAGGGTGATGAGGGGGAGATGGGTGCTCCTGTCCACCAAGAGACTCTGATGTGTCCCAGGGGAAGAATCACAGTTTTTTAGAGGTGTGCCCTGCCACTCCCTCAGGGTTAGAGGAGAGTTGCATAGACATGGGGACCTCTTCCCACCATAGTTTCACATGACTGCTTTCCTGGAAGTAGACTGTTGACATTCTCTGTCCCTGCTACTTTCACAAAGTGTGGCAGTATTTTAGTGTGCCCATTAGGGACATTGATGGAGAGTGCACCAAGACCTCTTAGTTAGCAGATAGCATGCTCACGGATGTCACTGTCCTGTAAATGTCTGGAGGTAGACATCCTGAGGGATCTTGGCAGCTTTTTCTGGGAAGTAATTCACGTTTACTCTGCCTTACAAGACCAGGCTTGTGCCGCAGAACGTGGGGGCAGGTCCAGCGTCTGGTATTCTTCCATGGGCCCACTTGACAGGGCCACGATGTGTTTTCAGTTGTTGTGGGGTTTTTTGGTTTTCTGTTTTTGAGACAAGGTCTGACTCTGTTGCCCAGGCTGGAGTGCAGTGGTGCAATTACGGCTCACTGCAGTCTTGAACTCCTGGACTCAAGTGATCCTCCCACCTCAGGCTCCTAAGTAGCTGGATCTACAGGTGTGTGCCACCTTGCCTGGCTAATTTTTTTATCTTACTTTTTATACAGATGAGGCCTTACTATATTGTCCAGGCTGGTCTCAAACTCCTGGCCTCAAGCGATCCTCCCACCTCAGCCTCCCAAAGCACTGGGATTACAGGCACACAGCACCACACCCAGCTTTGTCATTTGAATGGCTGGGCCCCACTTGAAGAAAGCTTATATGTTAAGAAAACTAAGCTTTAAAGGAGGGGATGGTTGAATGTTTACCCCAAAATTATAAAACAATTTACGGCCGGGTCCAGTGGCCCTGGGCAGCCAGGCTCTGGAGTCCCTGCTGTTGACTTCCATTCTGTTAACACCTGAGGGAGACAAACTCGGCTGCCGGCCCACCTCATACCTAAGTGCATAAAGCTGGTAGTTTTGATCAATTGCAGCCAGGCTGTACAGGCACAGGTAAATAGATATGTGAGAGAAACATCATCAGACGATTAAATGACAAGTTCTGAAGAGGAATTTTCTAGATCTCTAGATCAGGACCTGGAACAAAGCTGTAGGGAAAACCCCTTTCTATGTCACCTTCCTTCCTTATTCTGTGCTCTCAGGGCTGGGCAGCCTGAATTCATAGTCCTTTGGTTGGGCTGTTTGCCAGTTATCAGGTTGCCAGGTGTGAGCCAGATGTACCTGGGGAATGGGGGTACAGTCACCCCCAGTTGAGAACCCCTGCCTTAGAGAATGTGTAATAAATGCTTGCTGAAGAAACAGACTGGGTATCTTTCAAGTTCTTCCTTTTTCTCCGGGCACTGTCAGTGGGCACAAGAGGGACATAGGTGGGACACTCCTGCCTCCCCTGGACGCTCTTCCTGACACAGCCGCTGGGCATCTCCGAGCACACAGAGGCCCCATGCCTACACACTCCTGGGGCCCTGCATCACTGGCTTTAGGCCTGGGCCTAGGAGCTCTTGTCTTTCTTGGAGGGTGTGGGTGAAGCTGAGCTCTGGCTTCAGGAACAGATAAGCCATCTTAATTACAGAACGAGCATATGGGACAGCCTCAGCTTTGTAGAGAATTTCTTGCCCAGGCAACATTTTCCTTACTTTCAGTAAGTAAAATCCACGGAACGTCTTTTCTTGGTGAGAAGTAGATGGCCTGGCCTCAGGTACAGCCTGCTTTTGGACTCATTGTGTTGGTGTGACTCCTGTCTTTGCTTCCTTTCCCTCTCTCTCCAGAAAGGACCTAAGTGTGAAATACCCCGAAGACGTCCCCATCACCCTTCCAAACCTGTTGAGGTTCATTTTGCATCACTCAGACCCTGCTTCCAGCCCCCAGAATGTGGCTAACTCTCCTACCAAGGAGTGTCTTCAGAGCGAGGCAGTCTTACAGCGGGGGCACATCTCCCACTTGGAGAGAGAGATCCAGAAACTGAGAGCAGAAATAAGCAGCCTCCAGCGAGCACAAGTGCAGGTGGAGTCCCAGCTCTCCAGTGCCCGCAGAGATGAGCACCGGCTGCGGCAGCAGCAGCGGGCCCTGGAAGAGCAGCACAGCCTGCTCCACGCACACAGTGAGCAGCTGCAGGCCCTCTATGAGCAGAAGACACGTGAGCTGCAGGAGCTGGCCCGCAAGCTGCAGGAGCTGGCCGATGCCTCAGAAAACCTCCTTACCGAGAACACGTGGCTCAAGATCCTGGTGGCGACCATGGAGAGGAAACTGGAGGGCAGGGATGGAGCTGAAAGCCTGGCGGCCCAGAGAGAGGTCCACCCCAAGCAGCCTGAGCCCTCAGCCACCCCCCAGCTCCCTGGCAGCTCCCCTCCACCTGCCAATGTCAGCGCCACACTGGTGTCTGAAAGGAATAAGGAGAACAGGACAGACTAACTTTTTAAATGATATGAAGAAATCAGAGGTGAAAATTGTACATTGGGAATATATTTATGCAAATTTTATTGAAATTTATTGTAAATAAAGATTTTCTCAGTGGTCTAGAAAATCAGCTTGAATGTCATTCAGCATTTATTGAAGAAGGATGACATCCCTTCCACTTATTGCACAAACTTGGTAGCTTTGAGACAAATACAGTAGCACAGTCCGTTTGAAGATTTGTCCAAAAAATTAGTCCATATTTTAGTGGCTCAGTGTCAAGAGTTCCCTCCCTGTGCCCCCACTGTTGCTTCTGCAGTGATACGAAGGATGAATGCTTAATTTCTTATTAGTCAGAAAACTTGAATGCAACAGTTGGGCATTCAAAAATAATCCAGAGAGGTCATAACCTACTTAGCCATTTGAGTGTGGCTCTGGTGTCTGCTAAAAAAAGTAGCTATTGAAAAAACAGTGAGAGCTATGATGTGGTTCACTCATTCTAGAAGCATTTTCATTTTCCTCCCGAAAACCCCCCCAGTGCCTCACCGAGCCCCGGACCTTCACCCAACACGGCTGCCACGCTCAAATGGGCCTGATTCAAACTCCCAGGTACGTCCCTGGCACCAGGGAGTAGGATAAGAAAACCTCCAGAAGTGAAACTGATGAGGAAGTGACATTTAATCACTTCAAAACCGAAACTTCACTGGCAAGGTCAAAACCCCAGGCCAAGGCTGACAATCGAGCGCTGGTCAGTTCCAGGGGTCAGGCTCGGAACCTGAAAATGCAGATCCTAGCTGTTGCTGCGTCCCTCAGGTGTGGAGGAAGGAAAAACAGCCTAGGTGTATGTGCTGGCTGTGGTGAGAGTCGAGGTAGAAAGCCTGGAAGTTCTGAAACGTGAGGGGATGGATCACACGCCCCAGCCTTTTCTCACTCACCAAAGCAAACTTTTACCCCCTTCTTCCAGTCGGCACCTTTGGAACTTGTTCTCCCTCCTAGGCCTGGTTTCAGTGGCCCCCACCACGTGTCCTGCCCACCCAGCCTGCAGGGCTTCTGCTGACATCACGCCTACCCCACCACCACCTCTTCTGAACTTGCCACACCATCAGTAGCCAGAGGTGTTGCCTCTCCTGCTTCCTAAGGTCTCCCAAGAGCCCAGCTGAGGTGTTTCATTACCACCTTCTGCTCAGGTGGCCCAGCCGGCTGTCCCTCTTCCACCCCAAGCTCCTACTTAATGTTTAAACCCCCAATTTAGGTGTATGCTGCTTAAACGAACAGCTCCCTACTTCTCCCGCCTCGGGGTTCCAGAACGTGGATTCATTCAACATGGTTTTTAGAAGAGGCTTGGGTGAGGCCAGAGGAGGTGCCTTTAGTCTGAGCAGGAGGCCAGAGCTCTGAGCTCAGCCATGAAGGGCCAGTGCTCTGTGGTTAAGCCGGGGCTGACCTTCCATCTATTACAGGGATGGGCAGGCACGAGTCACATTTGAATCATAAATAAAATTAGTATGTGCTTGTGGTGGGATTAAAAATCAAAGTGAGCTCACTGAAATGTACATAGGGGAGGCCTTGGAGACAGGCTGTGGAGACACTAGCTCACCAGAGAGCCACCAGCTCACCACCTGTGGGAGAGTCAAGTCCTGAACTTCAAGTTCACCTCTGCCCTGCCCCGGCTCCCTGCCGCAAGCACAGGCTGGCAGGAAGCAGTCTGGTGGCTCTTAGGGGAATGTGCACGTGAGAAATGTTCCCTGGGTCCTAAGTGCCTTTAGAGCTGGGTCAGGGGACTGGAGACCCGCTGAGGAAAGTGAAGTCAGAACCCCATAGGCGGACGGTCATCAGAGAGGAAAGGAAGCCAAGTGATGTGAAGAGGGAAGAGGAAAAGAAGAAAAAAGACAGAACCTCAACAGTCCCCTCCCCTCCAGTGCAGAAAATAGGAAACACCAACACAAAACATACAACCTTTTCTCTTTCCTGGGCCAAGTGGGTTTCAGACCAAAAGTAGCCACCACAGGCTCTATGAGGACCAAAGCAATTTCAGCGAAGCCTTCACTCGGGGTGGAGGGTTGGTGGGGGGCTTGGCGTGCTGAAGACCCAAGCGGCAAGAAACTGCTCTGCTACAAGGACGCTGGCAGCCTCCAGGACGCGTGCCCTGACTCGCCCTTCACTGGCTCCCAGGCAGGTCCGGTAGCTTCCCTGCAGTAACTCCACTCTCAACAGAACTGCTATTTAACAAGTGAGTCTATGCAGAAAGAACGGAGGGGTGCGGGGGGTGTGGTTTTTCTTCCACCCATGACTAATGAAGCAGAGATCACCCAAGCACCCCAACTGGTCAGCCTCAAGACCCCAAATTGGCATCTCACTTCCTTGACATACACGCAGATGGACACACATGAGAGACCCCTGCCGAGTGTGGCGTGGGCCTTTACAAGCCTATGACCCTCCAGGGTCTTGACTCAGCTTGTCATTAGTACAGCCAGAATACCAGTCCCGTGTGCGCTAGATGATATTTTTAAAAATCAGCAAAAGGGCTTAAGCACGTGCTTCCAGGGGCCTATTTACAGTTCACAGGTTTGTTAGTTCACGCATTACAGTAGTAGCTCCATCAAAAACAGGCTCAGCTAGACATTCAAGTAACAAAAGCGCTACAGGGCCATGAGCCCCAGCAAGGTCAGGCCTGCCCAGTGCCTGCAATGGGCAGCCTCACCTGGAGGCCGAGGGGAAGCCCAGGACAGCCAGGTCCCCGGGCATCAGTGCATGCGATGACGAAGCCCGCAGAGGCCATGCCAGCAAGTGTCAGCCCTTCCTCTCAGACAGCAGCGCATCCGTATGGTTTTGCCCCTCCCAGCGCCTCTTGGCCGGCTGCAAACAGGACCAGGAGCCTTGCATCCTGGCTCAGCCGTGGACTTCCGGGCCGTTGGGAGTCATCAGCTTGGCCTTTCTCTCCACGCACGGTCCCTTGGCCGAATACTGCACCAGCAGGAAGGGTTCCTTGGTCTCCCCATCCCCCACGATGCTCTCCTCGTCCTCTGACTGGCTGATGCGCTGCAGCCGCAGGTAGCACCAGCAGCCCAGGATCAAGGCCCCCAGGGCCGCGATGGCAATGAGGATGACGATGACTGTGACCACGCCCGTGGTGGGGCTGTGGTCCATAATAGACATGGTCAGTGCTGGGGGCTTCCTCGGCTGGCAGCACTTTGGGGGTGGCCACTCAGTGAGGCTGGAACTCAGGCTGGACACGGGAGTCCTGAAAGACAAAGCAGGTTGACGAGCTGCGGTTAGCACTTCCACGGGGTCTATTTTTAATCGTTCTCAGACCTGCCCATCCCACCCTCACCCTGACAAAAAGCATGCTGGCCGGCGTTCGAAGGCGTCTGCTCACCCACGCTCACCCAGCTCCTGTTCATGACCTTTGAAACCCCGAGTGCTGCTGTACCAGGCAGGTGAGTCACCCTCGCTGGCGGCAGAGCCGGGAACACTGCGACAGCGACAGCTGCAGCAAAGGATGCCAGAGGGCCAGACATGGTTCTGGTTCTTCAGCTGAAGGTGTGCCTTCGGGAAGCCCAGCCCCAACTCAGTGTTCATGACCACTCAGGGACTGAGGGCAACTGGGGCCTCCTAATGGCCAGAGATGGGGGTTTGAAAGCAGATAAATGGCCAGGTGCAGTGACTCATGCCTGTAATTCCAGCACTTTGGAAGGCTGAGGCCGGCAGATCACTTGAGCCCAGGAGTTTGAGACCAGCCTGGCCAACATAGTGAAACCTCGTATCTACTAAAATACAATAATTAGCTGGGCATGGTGGCACATGCGTGTAATCCCAGTTACTTGGGAGGCTAAGGCATGAGAATTGCTTGAAGCTGGGGGGCAGAGGTTGCAGTGAGCCGAGATCTCACCACTGCGCTCTAGCCCTCCAGCCTGGGCGACAGGAGCAAGAGTCTCTTCAAAAAAAAAAAAAAAAAAAGAAAAAAAAAAGAAAAAGAAATGACAATGACATCAGTCCCTCTCCCAAACAGACATCATATACAGAACAGGCAGGTCCTTTGGGGACACCTGTGAGAGGGTGTACTGGACAACAGCCTTTGTCACCAGGCACTGCATCGGGCCTGGGAAGACCCCTGGAACGCGGCACACCATCTGAGAAGGAAGCTGGGCGGTAGAGTCCCTTGTGTGGTTTGGACGGAGGCCAACCAAGGAAGCAACAGGGTAGAGTGTCCCGGGAGATGGAGACAGGCACTTGGGAAAGCTTCGGGGAGGCAGGGAGGGTGAGACAGAGGCTCCCTCCCTGATGGTGCTTAGCATCTAATGCAGGCGCCAGACTGTAACTGGTTAGTACCCCAAATGCCGGTCACTCACAATACAGGGTGCCATTGTCAGGAACACAGCAACCAGGTGCCAAGATGCTAACCTGGGTGGGCAGGTGGGAGGCAGGGAGGCGGTGCTGATGGGGAATAGTGTTCCTGGCAGGGGGCACGGTGAGGGCTAAGGCTCTGAAGGCAGAGAGGGTCCCCCTGGCAAGTGCCAGGAGTCGGGGCACCAGCTGATTTGGGTGGGAGCGGGGATGAGGCCCCTCCCAGGCCAGGCCAAGCCTGTGCTCCACATGTTGAAAGAATGACGCCAGAAGTTGGAGGGCTGGGACCACCACCTCCACCTGGCCGAGCCACGGAGTTCACCCATGGGTGGGCCTGCCAAGTGGCGGAGGACAGTGTGGCTATGGAATGCACATAAGGTCTAAGAGTCCCCAGCTCCAGGCACCCTGTCAACCCTCTAGGTGACACCCAAGGCACAGCCAGTGAGAGCATGCTGAGGCCAGGGCTTTGCCTCTGCTGCCCCGCAGTGCTGAGGCTGGCAGGTTCTCTGGAGTCCCAAGACCCTGCACTTTCTTCCCTCTCCTGCCTCGCTCGCCACAAACAGAGCAAACGCTGGCTGCACCCGGGGTCAGTGAGGATGAGGACAGGCCCGAGACGCGTTCTACACAGGACTGGGCGTGCGGTCGGCACTCAGAACGACACGTCTGGCTTTTTGTTCCCTTTGGATAAGACTGACATCAGCACAGGCAGACAGCACTGGAAGGAGGTTTTCCCTCCAAATAGGGTCGAACCTGCTGCGTCCTTGAGGAACAGCACCCTTAAGGAGAAATGATTCTTACCCAACCAGGAGTTTCCCCAGAAGCCAGGTTTGCCTGAAGGACAAAGGCAGCTAAGTCAACGCCCCCAGCGTCTGTCCAGGGACCAGGCCCGGGGAAACCGGCAGCTTCTGCAGAGGGCCCTGGGCAGAGGAGGTGCCCTCCCTCCATTCCACTGCCTTCCCCCTGACTCCAGGAGACAGGCTGCCGCAGGCGCTAAGGATCTCCCTGCCCACCCTCAGGGGCCACTGCAGCCAGGACGCCTTCCAAGTCCTCACAATGACCTGCAGGACCGAACACTACACATCCCCAATATGCCCTGCTCGCCAGCCACGCTGACCCCCGCAACGAACCCTCCTACCAGGCCCTGGCCCAGGCAGTTGCCCCTGCCCAGAACGTTCTGGCGGCTTACCCTTGTTCAGTGGTTCTCAACTGGGGGCCACTGTGTCCCCACCCTGGGGACATCTGGCCATGTCTGGAGCCACTTCTGGTTGTCACAACTGGGGGCAGGTGGCACTCCTGGCATCAAGTAGGGAGACCATGGATATTGCTGGCACCTATCGTGCACAGGGCAGCCCCCACCACGCAGATGGCCCGGCTGGAGAAAGACACCCTGACCCGGTTAATACCAGCTCTGGCAGGGAAGCTTTCCCAACCCGGCCGGGCTCCTTCCCTCCGGAGCAGTGGCCTTGGCATGCAACCCTGGCTTCTGGAGCATGGCCACCTGATTAGCGCCCACCTCTCCCTCCAGCGGGCCATGAGCTCCACGGTGGCCCTGCTCTGTCCCCTGCATGTACAGACCACCCTGGCCTCTCCCCTGCCACCATCCGGTTCCACAACCCCACTTAGCTGTTCTCTCACGCCTCCAGACTGGACAGGGGACCCCTCTGACCCCACAGACAGCCTTCCCACCATGGCTGGGTGAGCCTGTCTACACTCGTCCCAACCTCTGTGTTCTCTCCCTGCAAGAAGAACACCAACCTGCCCTGTGCCTCCCACCTCCCACCTCCCTCTCCCCTGCACCTCTGGTTCCCAGGGCCTGCTGGGGTGCCTGCCCTCCCCTGGGGTTTCTGGACAGGAAGACAAGTCAGTATCAATTCGGAAGGGGAAGTGTGTGTGTTTGGGGGTGGGGGTGGTTCAGGGACAGGAAGTAGAAAATCAAACAATGGCACCAGGACCTGGGATAGGCGGGGCAAAGCCAGGTGGGCAGGCCAGGAGGCACCTGAGTTCAAGGGCCCCAGTTCAACCACTGGCCCCAGGACTAATGAGGAAACTGAGGCACAGGCGGCCCCAGCTCAAAGGGATTCTCTAAGAGGAGTGGTGACCCCAAAACCCCGTCTGCTGCCCTGAACCCAGGCCAGGAGGCATGGGCAGAGCCAGATGTGGGGTTCTGCCCCGCCGCGAGCACAGAGCCCAGTGACTGAGCCACAGTCACGCCTGGCCTGTGGTCCGGCCCTCCCGAGTGCGTATCTGTTCCTTCATTCACTCAGCAAATGTTTCCTGAGAAACGATCTTTGCAAAAATGTGATGGCGTTCTCCCCACTCAGAATCCTCCCCAGCACCAAAGAGAATCCAAGCTCCCTGCCTCCCCAGGCGTCCCCACACCCTCCGCTGCGAGCCCACGCTCCCACCTCTGCCCTGACCGCCCCACGGCTGGCACCTTCCTATTCGGGACTTTCTCAGAAGGCGCCTCTTGCAGGCTGCCCTCCCAGACCACCCTGGACCCAGGCGCCCCTCCTCCCACACCCCACCACTACAGCCTTGCCCTACTTCATTTGCTCTCCTTGCTACCTGCCCTTCTCTAGGCTCAGGGGCTGTCCCCTGGCTGCTGTCTCACTCCCCGCACTGGACTCCAAGGCAGTCCAAGGAGGGCACCGTCTGTCCCGCCCACAGCTGTACCCCTGCCCTGCACGGGTACACAGTAGGTGCTCAGTGAATGGTCTGTTGAGTGTTCCCTCCCTGCAGATACAGTGATGAGTTAGAGGAGACCCTGTTCTCAGGGGGATCATAGGTGGGGGGGTCCCTGACACTCAGGGCACTCCCAGAACCCTGAGCACAGGTCCCCATGTTCTGTCCCAACAGACTCAAAAAAGCCGGCAGACTGCATGGGAGAAGGCTGCAGGCCTAGTGTGGGGACAGAACGGCGAGTGCCAGTGGATTAGGGCAGGCCTGAGCCCATGGAAGGGCAGCTGGCTCCATGCTTGCTGGCAGGCAGGGAGGGAAGGGGGTGGCCAAGCAGAGCCCCGGGAAACTCAAAGCGCGGAGGGCAGCAGGTCCCCACAAGCCCCTGTGCCTGGCTGGACCCCACCTGTCTGTTCTTCCTTTCTAGCCCCTCTGAGCAAAGCTGTGTCTTGCAAGCTGGGTAACCCCTCGCCCTGATCCAGTAAAGCCCACAGGATGCAGGGGACAGGGACGGGCCACAGCTTGGGTTGGGGAGATGCCCAGGCTGGCACATGGGAATCCTGGCCCACCCAACAACCATCATGACAGCAGCTCACATTCATTCCCACCAGCATCTGATCCAGAAAGGCTGCAGCCACCTTTGTTCACCCTAGCATCTCCATCTGGCAGGTGAGGAAACTGAGGCGCACGCAGGGAGGTGAAGCAAAAAGCCAGAAGGCAGGATGGGAGCCCAGAGGGGAGCCCAGCAGAGCCAAGGGGTCTTCCAAGTGCAGAGGGGCCAGGACCCAGAGCACAGCCTGGGCCTTCCATCTCTGGGCAGGCTGGAGTGTCCCCTCTGCCTGGCATTTGAAGCCCAAGGCCATCTGGATCCCCCAAACACACACCCTCCTGCTCCATGTGCCTTCAGTCTTGCCATCCTCTGCCAAGGGGGTCCTGACTCTCGGATCCCACCCACCCACTATAAAAGCAAGATCCAAGGCCCAGGCTCTCCAGAACCCCCTGCCCCAGCATCCTCAAACAACCCCAAAGGAGGTCAACTGCAGCACAGGACACACTCTGTCTCCCGGCAGAGCCCACACATGTCCCAAGGAATAACAACTGCAAGACAAGCCTGAGCCATGCCAGGTGAGCGGGGGCCTGCACCGCCCTTGGCCACTCCTCCCCAGCAGCCCAAGCTTGCAGGTGTTACTGACACTGTCCTGCCGGGTTTGCCAAGGCCCACAGAGATCCGTAACTGGGACCCAAGGAGCATGGGGGCAGAGCCGGGGGTGAACCCCACCCCGTCAGAGCCATTCAAATGGACAGTCCCTGCCCCAGCTACCAGAGAGGGGACGGGTATCCTCCTGTCCTGCTCTCCCTCCCAGGACCCCGGCTTGTCTGAGCCTGATCCCACTCCAGAGGCCACTCCATGTGCTCTAGGCCCGGGGGGCCCACAGACCGCAGTAGAGCAGGCTGGAGTCCCCTCCATCCTCCCAGACCAGCACTCACTTTTGCGGCCTGCTTCCGCCCAGCCAAGCAAGCTGCTCCTCTTGGCCTCAGTTTCTCAATGCGCAAAGCGGATACGAGTCCCTGACCTCATCTACCAGGTCGTGGGGAGGATGAGAAGTGGTAAGAAAAGTGAAAACAAAAGGGACATGAGGTCACCAGGTTTGCATGTCACCAGCCACACCTTCCTGTGTGCTACAGCAGGGACAAAGGGAGAACACTGAGCCCGAGGGATCCCCAAGCCCACCCCCAGGGCCAGAAGGGCACAGAGCCTGGCCCAGGCCCAGTGCCACAAACACCCCTTCCCCAGGGACACGCTGCCTCCTCCTAACTCAACCGGGCACATCATGAGCATTGCCGGGCTCACCACCAGCAAAACACCCCCGCCTTGCAGCCGCCACCTCCTGAGGCTCCTTGACAGACGCCAGGAGGGCTGCCCTGCTTACAGGGGACCAGCCATCCCTACGGGGCTTTCAGTACTGCCTCCCCCCATAAAGCCACCTGCCAAGGGTGCCAACAAACTCTTCAGCGAACCCCGGGTCACAAACCAGAAACGTTTCCTGCCCCAGGTTCTGACTGGGAAAACAGGGTTGTAGGGAGAAGAGGGCACTGCTGGACACAGCCAGGACGAGGCGGGACGTCCGTTCTGCCCTGGGCCTCCAGCAGCCAGTGGGACACAAGGACGCATCACACAAGGCCCCAGCCCTCCAGAAGCCAGGACCAAGAACGGCCGGATGCCAGTGGGACTGACACTGATGGGGCTGTGCCCAGCTCTCTGGCCAGTGTTATCTCATCCTCCACCCCCACCCATGACACCCCCATCCTCAGAAGAGGAAACTCGCTCCAGAATCCCCTAGGTTCCCCAGTGGCAAAAGAGGAAGCGGGAGCCCGCAGAGCTCTGAACCGGGACTGCCCCAAGGTCAGTCGGGGTCTTCCTCGGGCCAGGCCAGAGGCTCATGCCCCCACCCTGTGAATCACCCGCTGGTCATTTTCACAGGCTGCCCCAGGGTTGGCCTGTTTGGCCAAACAACTTTGCTTGTAGATGCCGGAGAAAGTTGGTGGCAATTATATGTGCCAGACACTGAGATAAACAGCTCACGCAGATGTCTCCTTTCTGCCTCAAGACAACAGGGCAGTTGAGCTATTACTGTTCCCTCTTGGCAGATACAGAAATTGGTGGCTCAGAGAAGTTAAGTCCATTGCCCAAGGTCACACAGCTCAAAAGTAGACGCGCAGGGATTCAAACCCAGGCAACCTGCATCCAAAATCCCGCATTTCGACCCTGACTCTAAAATGCCACATTCTCCCTACCTCCTCTCCCGCGTGCCTGAGGGGCCGCGGACAGGTGAACCCCAGTGTGGCCCTCGCTGGGGCGGGCTGGGCGACCTGGGCTGGGTGCTGGGGACTTAGGGGTGACAGCGCCCCGGCGGCTCCCGAGTGCTGAGCGCGGGCGGCGTGGCAGGCGCGGTGCCAGGCGCGCTCCGCGCACCCTCCCGTTCCACCCTGCCCGGCGGCGCCGGCGTCTCCCCCACTCCACGGAGGAGCAAAGCGAGGCTCCAGGGAGGAGGGGGCTCGGCCCAGGGGGCGACAGCTGGAGAGGGGACGGCAGCTGGGGAGGTAGCTCGAATCGGCCCGACGGAGGCGGGGTGTGGGACGGGGACCAGGGGAGCTAGGCATGCCCACGCCGCGCAGCCGCTGCCCACGGAACCGGGCGCCGAACGCTGCGGCCCGGCCTCAGTTTCCCTACCCGCGAGACGGGCGCCGGACGTCACCTGGACCCCTATCCCCGGAGCCCTCCCCGGAGCTCCCAGAATTTTGAAGAACCCCGAAATGCCGGGGGAAGGCGGGAGCGTAGCTGAGGACGGGCGGGGGCTGCACGGGCGGGGGCGAGCGCCCCGCGATCCCCACAAAGCGGCCTCCGCCCCCCGCCGCCTCCTTTGTCCGGATCTCGCCGCAGCGCCGCTGACAAAGAACCCCAGCCCGCGGGCGCGGCCCCTGGAACGGACCCTCCCCCGAGCCGCGCCCGCCGGGCCGCCCCTCCCCCGCCCGCAGACCCCGGCCCGGCCCCGCCGCCGCGCGCGCCCCTCCTCGTCCTGGCCTCCCCCTTCCCGCCCCCGGGCCCCGGCGCCCCCGCCCGGCCCGAGCGCGCGGCCTGCCCCGCCCGGCTCACCATGGCGCGGCAGCGGCCCGGCCCGATCGCCCCGCAGCAGCCCCGCGGGCCCGGCTCCGCCCGCCCGGTCCGGCCGCCGCGCACTCGGGACGCAGGAGCCCCGCGCTGCGGCGGGCGGGGCCCGGCTCCTCCCCGGCTGGGGACGGGGCCTCCCAGAAAGGCCAATGGGAGCCCGCGCTGGGACGGCGGGGCGGGGCGGGCCGGGGCGGAGTCACGTGTGCTCGGGGCCGGCAGGCGGTGGGGCGGGGGCTGCGCGCGGCGGGCGGGCTCGGCCCTGGCGAGCGCGGATTGGGCGCCCGTGGGTACGGGGCCCCACTACAGGCGCCCTTCCTCTGCCAGCCTCATCCTGACCCCGGCAGGCTGCCTTGGTCCCGCCTGCTTACAGCGGAGGAAACTGAGGCACGCTGCACGGAAGAGTGCTGCATACTCCTCGAGAGCTGAGAGCGGCGGGGAATCCGGGGCAGGGGCAGGGGAGAGGCGCGACCGCTGAGGTGAATGACCTTGCTTCGGGAGGAAGCTGGGCATCAGTCGTTCGCGAATTCATTTATGTATCATTCATCCGCCCAGTCAGTCGATGGCGGAACACTGACCACGTGCCTGCCACGCCAGTCGTCGTGGGAGCAGCCACGAGCCAGACAAGGTCCCGGCCCTGACGAAGCTCTCATTCCTCTGCGGGATGAGGCTGTGAGGCATTTGCACCCCTCTGCCACCTATAATCATAGTTATTTTTAGCATAATTACCCGGTGGTTTGGCCCCCACCAAATGCCTGCCCTGTATAAACAGCCCAACACATTTTATTAAGATGACTCCGGAAGAAAGAATCTTCCCATTTTACAGATGAGGAACCTGAGGCTCCAAAGAGCTGAAGTCCCACAGCCTGCTCCTGATGGAGAGAGGGTTTTGAGGCCAGGCCTGTCTACCTGGGAAGACAGAGGCTCCAGTTATTGGAGTAATCTCCACTCATCCACCCCAAGAAGGCCATCGGCGAGAGGACACCCCAGCCCTGGGGCCCACAGAAGGGGTGAGGGTGGGTCCCTCAAGGCTTCTGTGGCCCAGGGGACTTGAGAAGACAGGAGGGGGCAGGGCGAGCTGGGACCTCCTCCTGGGAACGGGGGCCTTATTTGCTGGAAACTTCTTTCCCATTCTCAAGCAGAAGCCTCTGGAAGAGCATGGCGGGTTGGGCTCACGAGGCTGAGGTGGCCAGGCCCTCACTCCCTCCACTCAGCCTCGCTGGGCTTTCTTCCCTGCGCCCAGTGCACCAAGCCTTTCCCACCGCCAGGCCTTTGCCTATGTGGCTCCCTGCAGCTGGAACTCTTCTACTTCATCTTCCCGATCTCAGCTTAAGTGCCCCTTCCTCAGGAGGGCCCTCCCTGATCGCCCAGCCAAGAGTAGCTCCCTTGGGGTTTTTTGTTTTGTTTTTGAGACGGGGTCTTGGTCTGTCACTCAGGCTGGAGTACAGTGGTGCAATCACAGCTCACTACAGCCTCCATCCAACTCCTTCCTGGGCTCAAGCCATCGTCCCACTCAGCCTATATCTATGAATGTGGGCAGATTTGACGAAGCAATTTTTTTTCTTTTTTTTAGAGAGAAGGTCTTGCTCTGTCGCCCAGGCTGGAGTACAGTGGTGCAATCATAGGTCACTGTAACCTGGGCTCAAGCGATCCTCCTACCTCAGCCTCCCAGGTAGCTGAGACTACAGGTGCATGCCACCATGCCCGGCTAATTTTTTAATTTTTTGTAGAGATAGGGTCTCTTGTTGTTGCCTGAGCTGGTCTCAAACTCCTGGGTGATCCTCCTGCCCCGGCCTCCCAAAGTGCTGGGATTATAGGCTTGAGCCACCATGCCCAGCCTACCCATTGTGAAATTGTACATTTTTGACATTGTGTGATGAACTTTTGGTCTTCTCTCCCAGGACTAGGTGTATTGCACTCACTGCTGTGTCTACAGAACAGTGCCTGCCACACAGTGGGTGCTGAATACATGGATGTTGAATGAATGAATGATCGGACTGCAGAACTCCAGGGCGGGTTCAGCGGCAGCCTAGTCAGGAAGCCAGGCACAGGAGGTGAGCTGGGAGTTGCGCAGGAAGGGAGGACAGAAAGGCAGAGGAGAGCCCAGCTTCAGCCAGCTGCCCCACAGGCCAAAGCCGGGCATCTCAGAACAGCTCCGCCCCCACATCTGCCCAAATCCTGCCCCATCAGCCACACCTAGGAGCCCAGAATGGAAGGAAATAGGTTCTTCCCACAAAGCCAGTTCCAGCAGCCTTTGTGGTCCCCGCCTCAAGTTGGCAGAGACTTCATTAGTGGTGAGGACCTGGGAGGGGCAGGCTAAGAACCCCAGAGCCAGGACTGGCAACACGATGACAGGGGAGGCAGGGACACTTAGAGGGGAAAGATTCTTGGGGGAAAATGGTGAGGGAGATTCAGCATGGCATAGAAGCTGGGAGTCAGATTGCCAGATTCCAGGCTTTCCTGCTGGGTGGTTTTGGAAAAACAGCCGAACGTTTCTGTGCCTCAGTTTTTTCGTCTGAGAAATGGAGATGAGGCCGGGTGCGGTGGCTCACACCTGTAATCTCAGCACTTTGGGGAATGCCAAGGCAGGGGGATGGCTTGAGCTCAGGAGTTTGAGAACAGCCCTGGAAATGTAGTGAGACTCCTATCTCTAAAAAAGAAAAGTTAGCTGGCCGTGGCGTTGTGCGCCTGTACTCCCGGGTACTGGGGAGGCTGAAGTAGGAGGATTGCTTGAGCCTGGGAGGTTGAGGCTGCAGTGAGCTGTGATCACACCGTTGCACTCCAGCTTGGGTGACAGTGAGCCCTGTCTCAAAATAAATAAAATAAAATAAAATATACAGCTTCTGACCCACTAGGTCTGAGCCCCAAATCCTGCATTTTTCAAAAGTTCCCGAGTGGTGCTGATGATTCAGGGACAGACTTTGAGCAGCAAGGGCGAGTTCACTTGCTGAAAGTCACAAGGTAGTGGGCTCCAAGCCTGCACTGGAGCCCATGAGATGGGCTACAGGATCCTGCGCTTAACTGCGACCCTAACTGCTTGCTGCAGCCCCACCTTTCTCTCCCCAACAAAGAGGAGGCAGGAAGTATCGCGCCCCTCCCCCAAGCCCATTTCCTCTACCTCCCTCCGTAGTGACATCTGGCCTCACGTCCCCGGGGTTCGTCCTTACAGAATGGGATGGAGGTTCTCAGATGCTCATTAGCCAGGAGGATAATTGAGGGCTTGGGATGAGCTCACCCCAGCTCCCTGGGGCTTGCTGGGGTCCAGCTGGTGTGCCCTGTACCAGCCTGGCCCTCTGCCCACTCCCCCAGCCGCTATAAGGGCTGGGACAAGGAAGGGGGTTGCTCGGCGGGGTGGAGAGGCCTCAGCCTCAAGGGAGACTCTACAGCTGGGACTCCCTGCTCGGGTGGGCGGGCCTCTGCTCCTGGGGCATCTCTATAAGGGATCCAGGCCTGAGAACAAAATGAAAACTGCGTGGCCAGAGGGGATTTTTCCTGAAGGGTGAGATGTGAACCACTGGTGAGGTCTGCAGGGTGAGGTTAGGTGGAAGGCAGAGAGGGCATCACTCACCTCTGAAACCCATAGCAGCTCCCCATTCTAGGGGCAAGGCCTCCTTTGCTGCTAGTGTGGCCTGAGCATCTCTGTAAGGCTGGCTCAGCCCCCTTATGTCCAGGAGAGAGCACAGACCTCAGGCTCAGAATCCCGGGCAGTTGACACTCTGCAGCTAGAACTGAATGATGTGTGGGTTTCTGTGTGTGTATGTTTTAGTTACCTTCTGTGTATGATGTGGGTATTGTGTTTCTGTGTATGGTAATGACATACCCATTGCTTTTTATTTCTTATTTTCTTTGTTTTTGAGGCAGGGTCTTGATTTTTTCACTCAGGCTGGAGTCCAGTGGCACAATCACTGCTTACTGCAGCCTTGACCTCCCCGGATTCTCCCACCTCAGCCTCCTAAGTAGCTAGGACCACAGGTTTGTGTGACCCCACTCAGCTTTTTGTTTTGTTTTGTTTTTGTTTGAGACAGGATCTCACTCTGTCACCCAGGCTGGAATGCAATGGCGTGATCTTGGCTCACTGCAACCTCTGCCATCTAGGCTCAAACAATCCTACCGTCTCAGCCTCCCGAGTAGCTGGGACTACAGATGTACCACCACACTGGGCTAATTTTATTATTATTATTTTCTCTTTCCTTCCTTCCTTCCTTTCTCTCTCTCTCTTTCTTTCTTTCTCGTTTCTTTCTTCTTTCTTTTCTTTCTTTCTTTCCTTTCATAGAGTCTTGCTCTTGTTACTCAGGCTAGAGTGCAATGGCGCAATCTCGCCTCACTGCAACCTCTGCGTCCCGGGTTCAAGCGATTCTCCTGCCTCAGCCTCCCAAGTAGGTGGGATTAGAGATGCCTGCCACCACGCCTAGCTAAATTTTTTTGGTATTTTTAGTAGAGACAGGGTTTCACCATGTTGGCCATCCTGGTCTCGAACTCCTGACCTCAGTGATCCACCCTCTTCGGCCTCCCAAAGTGCTGGGATTACAGGCATGAGCCACCGCGCCTGGGCTATTATTTTTTTCTGCAGAGATGGAATCTCTCTATGTTGCCCAGGTTGGTTTCAAACTCCTGGGCTCAGCGACCTGCCCACCTCAGCCTCCCAAAGTGCTGGGATTACAGGCATGAGGTACGGCGCCCAGCCCCCATTGCTTTTTTTTTTGAGACAGTCTCACTTCGTTGCCCAGGCTGGAGTGCAGTGGCGCAATCTCGGCTCACTGCAACCTCCGCCTCCTGGGTTCAGCTGATTCTCCTGCCTCAGCCTTTTAAGTAGCAGAGAATAGAGATCCCCGCCACCAGGTCCAGATAATTTTTGTAATTTTACTAGAGACGGGGTTTCCCCATGTTGGCCAAGCTGGTCTCGAACTCCTGACCCCAGGTGATCTGCCTGCCTCGGCCTCCCAAAGTGCTGAGACTACAGGTGTGAACCACTGCACCCTGACCCCACTGCTTTTTAAATCAGTGTGTTTGGGAAAAGAATAAATAAGTCAGGGTCCGCTTCCTGGTGGGCACAGCAGAGCCTCAGTCAGGACATGGGGCCATCCCACAGGTCCCTGCATCCTCTGGAAAAGTCCATCTGGGTTGTCATGTCTGAGCGGGGCCTGGGCTGGTTCTGGCCTTCACCTCTGGGGTCTTTGGGGTTCATGTGATAAGGAGAAGACCGAGGGAGGGGGAACAGCATGCCCTGCCCATGGTGCTCCCTGCCCCCAGCCTGCCCTCAGCCTGCCCTGTGTTTCCTTCTGCCTTCCCCCCTACAAACTCACTGAACAGTGGTGTCTGCTCATCATCTACCCACTGGTTCATTCATTCATTCACTCACTCAGTTATTCATCCTTTCTGCCAATCTTTTTTTTTTTTTTTTTTTTTTTTTTTGAGACAGGGTCTCACTCTGTCTTCCAGACTGGAGTGCAGTGGCGCTATCTTGGCTCACTGCAACCTCCACCTCCTGACTCAAGCGATCTTCCTGCCTCAGCCTCCTAAGTAAGTAGGACCACAGGTGTGTGCCACCACGCCCAGGTAACTTTTGTATTTTTTTTGTAGAGACACGTTTTGCTATGTTGCCCATACTGGTCTCGACTCCTAGGCTCAAGCAGTCCTCCCACCTCAGCCTCCCAAAGTGTGGGAATTACAGGCATGAGCCACCACACCCAGCCTTTTCTGTCAGTTTTAACTGAGCAACTACTATGTTCCAAGCACTGTGCTAGGGGCTGGGGAGACAGCTGTGAGCCAGGCAGGCAAAACCCAGCCCTTGTGGGGTTTACATTCTCCTGAGGGAAGACAGATGATAAATGCAGAAACAAGTGTACATGTTATGGAGAAAGGGAAATAGTAAGGTAAGAGATGGGGGGGCCCTTGCAGGACGGAAGTAGGGAGGGCCTCTCTGAGAAGGTGCCAGGCGCCAGATGGATACAACCTAGTCCCAGAACCAGAGAAGCTCACAGGTGTGGAGGTAGATGGACAATGAGCTGGCCCTGGGCAGGGAACTTTTTTTTTTGGACACGGAGTCTCACTCACCCAGGCTGGAGTGCAGTGGCGCGATCTCGGCTCACTGCAACCTCCGCCTCCCGGGCTCAAGCGATTCTCCTGCCTCAGCCTCCTGAGTAGCTGGGATTATAGCTATGCTTCACCACGCCCGGCTAATTTTTGTATTTTAGTAGAGACAGGGTTTCACCATGTTGGGCCAGCTGGTCTGGAACTCCTGACCTCAGGTGATCCACCTGCCTCGGCCTCCCAAAGTGCTGGGATTACAGGCATGAGCCACTGTGCCTGGCTGGAATCTTTTTATTTTTTTATGTAACTTTTTTCTCTCTCTCTTTCTCTATCTCTCTCTCGCCATGGCACCATCATAGCTCACTGTAGCCTCCAACTCCTTGGCTCAAGTGATCCTCCCACCTCAGCCTCCCAAGTAGCTAGGAGTACAGGTGCATGCCACCATGCACGGCTAATTTTATTTTATTTTTGTAGAGATGGATCTCACTGTGTTGCCCAGGCTTGTCTTAACTCCTCCTGGACTCAGGTGATCCTCCCACCTCAGCCTCCCAAAGTGCTGGGATTATAGACATGAGCCACCACGCCTGGCCCCCTAATTTCACATAAGGTTACATTTACAGATATGGTATTTAGACTTCTCTCTCTCTCTCTCTCTCTCTCTCTATATATATATATATATGTATATATATATGTATATGTTTATACATACATTGTGTATTCATGTGTAAATACATAGCTACGGGTACAGGCTGGGCATGGTGGCTGACGCCTATAGTCCCAGCACTTTGGAAGGCTGAGGCGGGCGGATCACAAGGTCAGGAGTTCAAGACCAGCCTAGCCAACATGGCAAAGCCCCATCTCTACTAAAACTACAAAAATTAGCTGGGTGTGGTGGCACATGCCTGTATTGCCAGCTACTTGGGAGGCTGAGGCAGGAGAATCGCTTGAACCTGGGAGGCGGAGGTTGCAGTGAGCTGAGATCGCGCCATTGCACTCCAGCCTGGGCGACAGAGCGAGACTCCATCTCAAAAAACAAAACAAAACAAAAACCTGAAACAAACTCATATGCATTTTGCTGTTATGTCCTTCTCAATTCAGACCAGCCACGTTTCCGGTGCTTGGTCACCACCTGCGGCTGGGGTTGCTGGGTCGGGCTGCACAAGTTTAGGTGCTGAAGTCAGCAGCAAACACACCCTAAAAATCCCCTGCCCTGATGGAGCGTCCATTCTCCTGGAGGAGATAGACAATAAAGAAAGAGGAAAATGTAGGCCAGGTGCGGTGGCTCACACCTGTAATCCCAGCACTTTGGGAGGCCGAGGCGCGCGGATCACGAGGTCAGGAGATTGAGACCATCCTGGCTAACACGGTGAAACCCCGTCTCTACTAAAAATACAAAAAATTAGCCAGATGTGATGGTGGGCACCTGTAGTCCCAGCTACTCAGGAGGCTGAGGCAGGAGAATGGCGTGAACCCGGGAGGCAGAGCTTGCAGTGAGCCTAGATGGCACCACTATACTCCAGCCTGGGCAACAGAGCAAGACTCCGTCTCAAAAAAAAAAAAAAAAAGAAGAAAATGCATCGTATGCTGCATACATTCGAGGGAGAAGATCGAAGGAGAGGAAGGCATGGGGGTGGGGGTAGGGGGTGCACGATCCATTTCCTCTGTGCATCCTTCCAGAGATCTTCTGCGTGAACACAGGCATATATATGTATACATATACACATTCCAATTTTAAAAACACAGATGGCCATGTTCCATACATGCTGTTCTATTCCTTCCGTTTCTCACTTGAATATATATCTTGAAGCTTACTCCCCATCGGCACACGTAGATTTCTGATTTTAACAAATAATTGGAAACATATAAAGACACGGTACTGCTGAGCTAGAATAACAGAAGCCGGAGTTTACACCAACATCTGATCCTCGCCACAACCCTGTGATGTGGGGGCCATTTCCAAAAAACAGTTCAGGTTCACACGCAACATTTGTAAACAGGTGGATAATAAAAATGACTAGCTTGAGGGCCAGGTGTGGTGGCTCATGCCTGTGATCTCAGTACTTTGGGAGGCCATGGTGGGAGGAACGCTTGAGGCCAAGAGTTCAAGACCAGCCTGGGCAATATGGCAAGACCCGGTCTCTACAAAAAAATTTAAAAATTAGCAGGGCATGGTCCCAGCTGCTTGGGAGGCTGAAGTAGGAGGATCACTTAAGCCTGGGAAGCTGAGGCTGCAGTGAGCCATCATTGTGCCACTGGACTCTAGCCCGGGTGACAGAGTAAGAGACCCTGTCTCAAAAAAGTAAAAAATCAAGACTACTAGCTTGAAGGAAATGTTAAGCCCTGGAATTTGGCACTTCCAAATGGTAGGTGAGCTCTTGTTGACGGTTAATACTAAATAATTAGTATTTTATACTAAAATACTGACATAGGTCAGGTGTGTGGCTCACGCCTATGATCCCAGGACTTTGGGAGGCTGAGGCAGGAGGATTCCTTGAAGCCAGGAGTTTGAGACTAGCCTGGGCAACATAGCGAGACCCCCATCTCTACAAAAAAAAAAAATCAAAAAATTAGCTGGGCGTGGTTGAGCACCTGTATTCCCAGCTATTCGGGAGGCTGAGGTGGGAGGATAGCTTGAGCCTGGGAGGTTGGGCTGCAATGAGCTGAGACTGTGCCACTGCTCTCCAGCTGGGTGACAGAGCAAGACCCTGTCTCAACAACAACACCAAAAAAAAAAAAAAAAAAAAACGGGAAAAAGCAAGGGAGCTGATGCTTTTGTGGTCTTCCTGAGCCCTGACGAGCCTGCCAGGCCCTGCAAGGCTCAGGGAGGGACCTTTGCTCTAGAACCAGACTGCCCCGCCTGGGACGAGCTCTCCAGGGAACATTTTTCTGGGCTCTGAGCCACACAGGCTCTGGGTTCAAGCCTGGCTCTGCCGCACCTGGCTCTGAGCTTGACTCCGCTGAGCCTGAGTTTCTCCATCTTTAGCATGGGTTTGGTGCATGGGCAGACTGAGCACCTCTGGTGGGGAGGAGCGTGGGAGGAAATGAGAACCCCTTCCAAGCAGAGCCAAGACCTCCCCAGGAGGGCGATTCCTGACTCAGGAAAAATTGACCGCCCTGCTCGGGGCCCCTGCCAAGCCCTGTCCCCTCCGCTCCGGCCCCTGAGGGAAGGGTTGGAGCCTGGTGAGCTGTCTCAGGCAGGCCCTGGCCTGTCCTGGCTGGGATTCTGGGTAGGACCAGGAAAGCTGCTCCAGGTCCCTGTTTCCCGCTGAGATTCGTGGGGCCGCTGAGGCCCCCACAGCATTTCCAACTGCCCTCGTGCCCTGTCTTCTTCCTCCTGCCTCCTCATTCCATGCCAGCCACACGGTCACCCGCTCCTTGTGTCTCCTTCGGGCTGCCAGCCTTTGCACAAGCTGCTCCCAAGGCCTGGGATTCCCTGCCCCCTCCTTGCAGGCTCCTTCTCACCAGTCAAGAGTCTGCCTGGAAAAGCCCAGCCCGCAACCCTGCTCTGTGTTCCCACAGCCCAGCCCAGATCTCACTGTGGACCTCAACAGGCTGTGAGACCCCTGAGGGCAGGGAACCAGTTTGCTAGTCTGTGCCAGCTCTGTAACCCAGGGACTGTGGATTCTCAGTAAAGGCTTTTTTTTATTTTTTATTTTTTATTTTTTTTTGAGACGAGGTCTCACCCTGTCACCCAAGCTGGAGTGCAGTGGTGTGATCATAGCTCACTGTAACCTCCATCTCCCGGGTTCAAGCGATTCTCCTGCCTCAGCCTCCTGAGTAGCTGGGATTACACATGCATGCCACCACATCCAGCTAAGTTTTGTAGTTTTAGTAGAGACGGAGTTTCACTGTGTTGGCCAGGCTGGTCTCCAACTCCTGACCTCAAGTGATCCGCCTGTCTCAGCCTCCCAGAGTGATGGGGTTACGGGCGTGAGCCATCGTGCCTGTTTGGTAAATGCTTATTGAAAGGAAATGAATGAATGGATGCAGGCAGGCAGACAGGAAGCAAATAAGGAAGGTGCCCCCCAGCCCCAAACTTTGTCTCTGAAGGCAAGGACCATGTCTCTCTCTAACACAGGGTGATGCCTGTAATTGGCGCTCAATAAATGCAGGTTCATGTTTAGTAGGTGTGGGGAGTCGGTCCCTCTCCAGTGATGTGACTTTCTACCCATTCTCTCTCTCTATTTTATTTTGAGACGGAGTCTCATTCTGTCACCCAGGCTGGAGTGCAGTGATGAGATCTCGGCTCACTGCAGCCTCTGCCTTCTGGGTTCAAGCGATTCTCTTGCCTCAGCCTCCCAAGTAGCTGGGATTACAGGTGTGGGCCACCAAGCCTGGCTAATTTTTGTGTTTTTAGTAGAGACAGGGTTTTACCGTGTTGGCCAGGCTGGTGTAGAACTCCTGACTTCAAGTGATCTGCTCACCTGGGCCTCCCAAAATGCTGGGAGGTGTGAGCCACTGTGCCTGGCCCCTTTTTTATTTTTAATTGAGATGGGGTATTGCTATGTTGTCCAGGCTAGTCTCAAACTCTTAGGCTCAAGCGATCCCCCTGTCTCGGCCTCCCAAAGTGCTGGGATTACGGGAGTGAGCCACTGTGGCCAGTCCCACGTGAAATCTGAAAGAGCTGGCTGAGATTGCTGTATAGAAAATAGTACAGCAAGGCCAGGAGAGCAGGGTGGAGGCCCCTGGAGTCCCTGAGTGAGAAAGGCTGATGCCTTGGACTGAGGCGGAGATGAAGAGGTGCTGATAGATATAGGAGGATTTGTAGCAAAGAGCCAACAGAACGGGTGATGGAGTCACTGTGCAGAGAGGAGCAGGGGATCAGGGTGAGGCCAGCTGCAGACGATCCCAGGAAAAGGGTCTGAAGAGCCTCCAAGTCCTATCCAGTGGCCAGCCGTCCGTGAAGCCATGGGCAGAGCCATGGACTTGGGGACACTGGAGGTGAAGACATGAAAACATATTCCAGGAATGAAGACCGTTCTCCCTCCTGGAAATAGGCAGGAAATAGGCCCAGGGAAGTCTTTGAGAGGAGAGGTTTGAGCCCCGCCCTGCCCTGGAGCTGTGGACTGACCATCTCTGGGGGCTCAGAGCCTGGGTGCCCTCCCAAGACCTCCTTGGGGACCTGGGGCTCCTGGAGGATTCCTCCCAGGCAGCCCCAGCCCAGGCTCAGCCACTGGGGAAGCACAAGAAAAGGCCTACAGGTGGAGCCATGCACAAGACAAGATTCCAGACCCCCTTCCCCACCGCGGTGGCTCACACCTATAATCCCAGCACTTTGGGAGGCCAAGGCAGGCAGATCACTTGAGTTCAGGAGTTCGTGATCAGCCTGGCCAATATTGTGAAACACCCGTCTCTACTAAAAATACAAAAATTAGCCAGGTGTGGTGGCAGGGGCTCGTAATCCGAGATACTCGGGAGGCCGAGGCAGGAGAATTGCTTGAACCTGGGAGGCGGAGGTTGCAACGAGCTGAGATGGTGCCTGCACTCCAGCCTGGGCGACAGAGTGAGACTCCGTCTCAAGAAAAATTCTAGCCCCCGTAGCGCTGACCTTCTAGCGGTGGAAGCCGTCAGCATAGGAACATGTAAGTTAATTAATACGTTGTGTAATGTAGTTTCAGAGAGGGACAACTCGTGGGTGGGGCTGGGACGTCAATAGAGAAGGGGCCAGGGTGGGATCCCCTGAGGACGTAGAGCTGAGGCCTAAAGTACACCAAGAAGCCACTCATGGAAAGAGCATTCCTGGGGCCCAGAGCAAGAGGCTCACACCTGTAATCCCAGCACTTTAGGAGACTGAGGCAGGAGTATTGCTTGAGGCCAAGAGTTTGAGACTAGCCTGGGCAATATAGGGAGACCACCCCCACACCCTATCCCTCCAAAAAAAAAGAAAGAAAGAAAAAACTAGCCAAGCATGATAGTGTGTGCCTGTAGTCCCAGCACACAATCCCAGCACTACCAGTCCTTGGGAGGCTGAGGTGGGAGGATCTCTTGAGCCCAGGAAGTCAAGGCTACAGTGAGCTATAACTGCACCACTGCACTCCATCCTGGGTAACAGAGTGAAATCCCATCTCATTAAAAGAAAAAAAAAAAGGCCAGGTGTAGTGGCCCACGCTTGTATTCCCAGCACTTTGGGAGGCTGAGGCGGGTGGATCACTTGAGGTCAGGAGTTAGAGACCATCCTGGCCAACATAGTGAAACCACATCTCTACTAAAAATACAAAAATTAGCTGGGCGTGGTGGCTTGTATCTGTAATCCCAGCTACTCGGGCGGCTGAGGCAAGAGAATTGCTTGAACCTGGGAGGTAGAGGTTGTCGTGAGCCGAGATTGCGGCACTGTACTTCAGCCTGGGTGACAGAGCAAGACTCCGTCTCAAAATAAATAAATAAAGAAAAGAAAAAAATAGGGAAAGAACATTCCTGGAGGAGGGAGGAGCCAGTGCAAAGGCTTGAGGTGGAACATAGAGGGCTAGGGTGGCTGGGAGGGTGAGAAGATGGGGTTGGAGGGTGTGGGCCAGGCCTGGAAGGTGAGTGACATTGGGGAGTGTGACCCTGGGGAGGCATGGAGGGTTTCAAGCAGGGGTGGTGTGTTCACCTCCCCTCGCCTGTCAGACTCTTCTCTCTGCAGCCTGGAAAACCCCTCACAGGCAGTTCCCGGTCTCTCGGGGTCTTTCCATGGTCTCTGCCTCTCCCAGCCCCAAGACAGGTACTCTTTGAGCTGGAATTTCCCCCAGGGGAGTGTGAGCAGGATCTGTGGCCAGTGGGGGATACGAATACTCACCTCCCTTAAGGCCACGGACCTCCTACTCTGCTCCAGGCATGGACCACCTACCACGCGCCAGGTCTTGTGCTGGGGGCACCGGAAGCCTGGGCCCCTCTGCCCCTCACAGCCCACCCGTCGGAGGCAGGATTCACGGTCCATTTCACAGACTGGGAGACCCAGACTCAGAGTCACTGACTCAGGACTACCTGGCTCGGAAGGCAGGAGGCAGGATTTGAACCCAGCTGCATCTGACCCCAAAGGCCTGTGAGATCTCATTCGAGCCTCACAACACCTCTGTGAAGATTGGGGCTGTGGATTCACTTGCCCCTTTCCTACCTGCCCCCTTCGGTAAATGGCACTGTCAGCTCCTTGGTCGCTGAGCCGGATACCCCAGAGCCATTCTCAATCTTTTTTTTTTTTTTTTTGAGACAGAGTCTTGCTCTGTCACCAGGCTGAAGTATAGTGGCACCATCTCAGCTCACTGCAACCTCCGCCTCCCAGGCTCAAGCGATTCTCCTGCCTGAGCCTCCCGAGTAGCTGGTACTACAGGCATGCACCACCACGCCCAGCTAATTTTTGTATTTTAGGTAGAGATGGGGTTTCACCATTTTGGCCAGGAAGGTATTGATCTCTTGACCTCATGATCCACCTGCCTCGGCCTCCCAAAGTGCTGGGATTACAGGCATGAGCCACCGTGCCCAGTTTTTTTTTGCTTTTGTTTTTGTTTTTTTTTAAGACACAGTCTCACATTGTTGCCCAGACTGTAGTGCAGCGGTGAGCTCTCAGCTCGCTGAAACCTCCATTTCCTGGGTTCCAGAGATCCTCCCACTTCAGCCTCCTGCCTCCTGCGTAGCTGGGACTACAGGCGTGGCCGCTATGCCTGGCTATTTTTGTTATTATTAGTAGAGATGGGGTTTCACCATGTTGGCCAGGCTGGTCTCAAACTCCTGACTTCAACTGATCCACCCGACTTGGCCTCCAAAAGTGCTAGGATTACAGGCGTGAACCACAGCGCCCGGCCGACACCAGAGCCATTCTTGATTCCTCTCTTCTGCTGCCCTCTATTCCGGGGCTGTCAATGGCCTGCCAGTCACTCAATGGCCCTCGATGGGCCCCGCAGCAACTTTAACACTGGCCATGTAGGCTGTAATCATTTTTCCCTCCCTCAGGACAGAAAAGAAGGAAATTAAACTGTGGCAGGTTATCACTGATCTAGAGAAAGCCACACTGAGGTCTGTGGGCACCTTTCTCTAAAGACATACTTCACGTGGTTGCAGTAACTAAACGCTCCTGGAAGCCGGGCCAGCTGGCAGCTCACGGGTGCCTTAAAGAATATTATGGGAACTGCCTGTTGGTCCCACCCCAGGGGAGCAGTGGGCAGATGGTGCCCCCATGGCCCACACCTTTGGCCATAAGAGAAATCATAAGAAGGCTGAGGGGGCTGGGTGCAGTGGCTCACCCCTGTAATCCCAGCCCTTTGGGAGGCTAAGGCAGGGGGATCTCTTGAGGTCAGGAGTTTGGGACCAGCCTGGGCAATATAACCAGACCCTGTCTCTGCCAAAAAAATAATAAGAAAATTATCCAGCCATGGTGGTACCTTTAGTCCCAGCTCTTGGAGAGGCTGAGACTGGAGGATTGCTTTAGCCTAAGAGGTTGAGGCAAAAAAGAGAGAGAAAGAGAGGTCAGAATTACCACCCACCTACCCACATTGAAGCCGTATCCTACTTTGGGGTAATATTCTAAAATTGCAGTAATGGGCCAGGCACGGTGGCTCATGCCTATAATCCTAGCACTCTGGGAGGCCAAGGTGGGAGGACTGCTTGAGCTCAGGAGTTTGAGACCAGCCTGAGCAACACAGTGAGACTTTGTCTCTACAAAAAATACAAAAAACAAAACAAAACAAAAAACCCACAAAAATTAGCCAGGTGTGGTGGCATATGCCTGTAGTCCCAGCTATTTGGGAGGCTGAGGCCAGAGGCTCACTTGAGCCCAGGAGATCGAGGCTGCAGTGAGCTATCATCATGCCGCTGCACTCCAGCCTGGGTGACAGAGGGAAACCTTGTCTCAAAAATAAAATAAAATCGCAGTGATGGATACACAAGTCCGCAGATACACTAAAAACCACTGCTGTGTACGGTTTACATGGGTGAATTCTATGTGAATTATAACTAAATAAATCTGTTAAAAATAAGCAAACCCCCCAGGTTCCCTGTATCTTCCCCCAGGGAGGGAGTCTGAATCTGTTCAGATAAACACAAAGTTTAAAAAAAAAATCATAAAAACACCCTAATATTTCCTAACAGCAAGAATCGGAACTAACATTTATTTAGTGCTTTTGACATGCTGGGCCCTGTTCTATGTTTCAAGTCCTGTAACTCTCACCACAACCCTGTCAGGCAGAGATTGTTATTCCTCCATTTAACAGGTGGGGAAACTGAGGCACACAGTGGGAACGTGAGTTGCCAAAGGTCACACTACACACTGCAGAGTTTGAACCAGGCAGGTTGGCTCTAAAACCTTCACTCCTGGCTGGGCGTGGTGGCTCACGCCTGTAACCCAGCACTTTGGGAGGCTGAGGCAGGCAGATCACCTGAGGTCAGGAGTTCCAGACCAGCCTGGCCAACATGGTGAAACCCTGTCTCTACTAAAAATACAAAAATTAGCTGGGCGTGGTGGCGGGCACCTGTAATCCTGGCTACTTGGGAGGATGAGGCAAGAGGATCACTTGAATGCAGGAAGTGAAGGTTGCAGTGAGCCAAGATCACATACTGCTGCACTCCAGCCTGGGTGACAGAGCGAGACTTTGCCTCAAAATAAAAAACCAAAAAACATAATCAACAAGTGATACCACCCTGGGGTGGACCACCACCATATTCTCACACCTGTGAGCTGCTGGCTGGCCCAGTTTCCAGACATATTCTATTTACTGTGATCATGGGAAGTGTATCTTATTTTATTTTTCTTTCTTTTCTTTTAGTGACAGAGTCTTACTCTGTTGCCCAGGCTGGAGTGCAGTGGTGAGATCACAGCTCACTGCAGCCTCGAACTCCTGGGCTCAAGTGATCCTCCTGCCTCAGCCTCCCCAGTAGATGGGACGACAGGTGTACACTGCCACACCCGGTTTGAGAGCGATCTTTTCTTTTTGTTAATTTTTTTTTTAATTTTTATTTTTTGTAGAGACAGGGTCTCACTAAGTTGCCCAGGCTGTTCTTGAACTCCTGGCCTCAAGAGATCCTCCTGCCTCAGCCTCCCAAAGGGCTGGGATTACAGGCATGAACCTCTGTGATGAAGTATATGTGATCCTCCCGCATTGGCCTCCCACAGTGCTGGGATTACAGGCATGAGCCACTGAGCCGGGCCTGAAGCGTGTCTTTTTTTTTTTTTTTTTTTTTTTGAGATGGAGTCTTGCTCTGTCACCCAGGCTGGAGTGCAGTGGCGCGATCTCGGCTCACTGCAACCCCTGCCTCCCGGGTTCAAGTAATTCTCTGCCTCAGCCTCCCGAATAGCTGGGATTACAGGTGCCCATCACCTCGCCTGGCTAATTTTTTCTATTTTTAGTAGAGATGGGGTTTCACCATCTTGGCCAGGCTGATCTTGAACTCCTGAACTCGTGATCCACCCTCCTCGGCCTCCCAAAGTGCTGGGAATACAGGTGTGAGCCAACGCGCCCGGCCGAAGTGTGTCTTTTGAGAAATGTGTAACCTTCTCTGGACAACCTTTTTTCAGCTGTACCTCACCCACTTCCTCATCTGCCCCCTGCTGAATCATTCTATTTCAGGTCTCCGGCATTGTATCATTTGATATGATTCATTAATATCGTCTAAAAATGCCATATCTCCTCCATTGTTTCCTAAATATATTTTTATGGTTCATTGGGTCAAGTCAAGAGACAAAGTCCAAATGTCACATTTGGTTGCTACATCTCTTAGAGCCCCTTTGGTCTATAACGGTTCTCTCCTTTGTATTTCCTGGCCCGTTAATTGTTAGAGAAAGTGCAGAATCGTCACTCATAATCACTAATTTGCTGCCCCTGACATGGCCTCCAGCAGAAAGGCCTCCAGCCTGGGCCTTCTGGTGAGCCTGAGGATCCCACGTTATTGGGTAATTATCTTGAAAGAAACAAAATTAGGCCTGGGTAGAGAAGGGAGTCACACCGTTGTTGGTGGCAGCTAAATATACTCATTTGTCCATTTTGTCACAAGCCCTGTCAATTCCACTTTCAAAGTGTATCTGGCATCTGTCTGCATCTCTCTTGCAGGAAGCAGATTCGGGGAGGCGAGGGAGGAGGCAGGAAGACCAGGGAGGAGGCTCCTACAGTGTGGGCAAGAGCTGATGATGGCCTGAGCTGGGGCTGGGGCTTTGGGGAGGAAGGAATGGGGACAGGTTCCAGGAATCTTCTGGAGGTAGAATTGTCAGGTGCTTTGAGAGCTGGGTCCTTTCTCGCTGGGAGAAGCAGCCTTCTTACCCCTAGTTCATCGGCTCAGATGCCTCCTCCCAGCTCCCAGCTGTAGCTGTGGGGATGACACAAACACAAAATGAGGGCGACTCACTTCTCAGCAAGGGCCACCAGCACCCCATGCTCACCCTCCTGGGAAGCATGAGCCAACAAGAGGGAGGCAATGGGGAGCCACAAGGGCGCAGTACCAGAAGCAGCCGCTTCGCAGGTGCATGAACTCGGCAGTTGGATACCGTTCTGAGCCTCAGTTTCCCCACCTGGGAAGTGGGAATGCTCGTTCCCACCTGGCTGAGCATTTTCAAGAATTAAATGGCGATCCCTATTATTAAGGGGTGGCCTTGACGAAGAGAGCCTAGGTGGCCCCAGGCAGGTCAGGAGGAGGTGAGATGTGGCTGGCAGAGAGCCTGGGTGTCATGAAAGCTTGATCAGCAACTAACCCAGATACGGGGCCGAGGCCAGGCACAGTGGCTCAGGCCTGTAATCTCAGCACTTTGGGAGACCGAGGTGGGTGGATCACCTGAGGTCAGGAGTTCCAGACCAGCCTGGCCAGCATGGTGAAACCCAGTCTATACTAAAAATACAAAACCTAGCCAGGCATGGTGGCGGGTGCCTGTAATCCCAACTACTTGGGAGGCTGAGGCAGGAGAATCCTTTGAACCCGGTGGAGGTTGCAGTGAGCTGAGATCGCGCCACTGCCTTCCAGCCTGGGTGACAGAGCAAGATTCCGTCTCAGAAAAAAAAAAAAAAGATATGGGGCCAAGCACATCCCAGCTGGCCTCTGATCCCACTGGTGTCAGCCTCTGAAAGCCCTGATTATAGGCACTGTGTACTAACAAGGCGGTAAGATTGGTGGTGTGTGTGTGTGTGTGTGTGTGTGTGTGTGTGTGTGTGTGCGCGCGCGCGCGCGCTGTCCATGGTTCTGAACCACACCCCTTTATCCCCACCATTCCCGAGTTTCTGTCAAGCCTCTGGACCTTTCCTTTCCTTTCCTTTCTTTTCTTTTTCTTTTTCTTTTCTTCTTCTTTTTTTTTTTTTTTTTTGGAGATAAGAGTCTCGCTCTGTTGCCCAAGCTGGAGTAAAGTGGGGCCATCTTGGCTCACTAAAGCCTCCGTTTCCCAGGTTCAAGCGATTCTAGTACCTCAGCCTCTCGAGTTGCTAGGACTACAAGCATGCACCACCACACACCACACCTGGCTAATTTTTGTATTTTTAGTAGAGATGGGGTTTTGCCATGTTGCCCAGGCTAGTCTTGAACTCCTGAGCTCATGCAATCCGCCCAACTCAGCCTCCCAAAGTGCCGGCATTACAGGCATGAGCCCCCGTGCCCGGCTTATTTTCCTTTTCTTTTAAATTTTTATTTGTAAATTTCTTTTTGAGACAGGGTCTTATTCTGTTGCCCAGGCTAGAGTGCAGTAGTGAGATCACAGGTCACTGCAGCCTCAGCTTCGTAGGCTCAAGCAATCCTCCCCGCATCAGCCTCCCAAATAGCTGGGACTACAGGTGTGCACCACTACACCTGGCTAAGTTAATTTTTTTTTTTCATGGAGACAGGATCTTGCTATGTTGCTCAGGCTGGTTACAAGCTCCTGTCCTCAAGTAATCCTCCCACCTCGGCCTCCCAAAGCACTAGGATGGCCGGCATGAGCTACGACAGTTGGCCTCCTTTGTTTTCCTATTCTACTTTTATGTGAAATCACCTACGTTAGTGAAGAGGAAGCTCAGAAGATGGTTAAGGCCTTGGACTCTAGGGTCAGACTTCCCGAATGCAAATATTGGCTGAGCCACCCACCAGCTTCATGATCCTGGGCAATTTTCTTAGTAATCTCCCTGTGACTCAGTTTCCTCATGTATAAAAGAAGCATAATCACGTGCCCTCCTAATAGGCATGTTATGAGGATTAAATGAGGTTAAGCATAATATTCCTAGGGGTGAGTTAATACTTGTAAAGGGCCGGGTGTGATGACTCATGCCTGTAATCCCAGGACTTTGGGAGGCTGAGGTGGATGGATCACTTGAGGCCAGGAGTTCAAGACCAGCCCGTGCAACATGGTGAAACCCTATCTCTACTAAAAGTACAAAAATTAGCTGGGTGTGGTGGCTCACCTGTAATCCCAGCTACTCAGAGGTTGAGGTAGGAGAATTACTTGAACCTGGGGGGCAGAGGTTGCAGTGAGCCGAGATCATGCCACTGCACTCCAGCCTAGGAAACAGAGTGAGACTCCGTCTCAAACAAACAAACAATCAAAAAACTTGTAAAGCACTCAGAATCATAGTCAGTACAGGAACGTCTTTGCATGATGTCCTTCACCTTCGAAGGGACCTCAATAGTCTCTGAGAGTTTCTTTGTTTTATTTTATTTTTTCTTTTCTTTTTCTTTTTTTTTTTTGAGGCTGAGTCTCGTTCGGTTGCCCAGGCTGGAGTGCAGTGGCATGATCTTGGCTCACTGCAACCTCCGCCTCCCGGTTTCAAGTGATTGTCCTGCCTCAGCCTCCTGAGAACTGGGATTACAGGTATGCACCACCATGCCCAGCTAATTTTGGTATTTTCAGTAGAGACGGGGTTTCACCATGTTGGTCAGGCTGGTCTTGAACTCCTGACCTTGTGATTTGCCTGCCTCGGCCTCCAAAGTGCTGGGATTACAGGTGTGAGCAACTGCACCCGGCCTTTTTTTTTTCTTTTTTTTTTTTTTTTTTTTTTTTTATGACAGAGTCTTGCTCTGTCTCCCAGGCTGGAGTGCAGTGGTGTGATTTCAGCTCACTGCAACCTCTGCCTCCCAGGTTCAAGCGATTCTCTTGTCTCAGCCTCCCGAGTAGCTGGGACTACAGGTGCACCACCACACTCAGCTAATTTTTGTATTTTTTAGTAGAGATGAGTTTTCACCAAATTGGCAAGGCTGGTCTCAGACTCCTAACCTCAGGTGATCCGCCTACCTCGGCCTCCCAGAGTGCTGGGATTACAGGTGTGAGCCACCAGGCCCGGCATATATCTCCTTTTTTCTAACATAGAAAATCTGGGTTTCTAACAACATTAACACAATTTCTTCCTTCCTTCCTTCCTTCCTTCCTTCATTCCTTCATTCCTGTCTTTCTTTCTCTCTTTTTGAGTCAAGGTCTGGTTGTATCACCCATGCTGGAGTGCAGTGGCATAATCTTGGCTCACTGCAACCTCTACCTCCTGGGCTCAAGCCATCCTTCCACCTCAGCCTCCTAAGTAGCTGGGACTACAGGCATGCACCACCAAGCCTGGCTAGTTTTTGTATTTTTTAATAGAGACAAGGTTTCGCCAGTTTGAGGAGGTCTCAAACTCGTGAGCTCAAACGATACACCCGCCTTGGCCTCCCAAAGTTCTGAGATTACAGGTGTGAGCCCCCGTGCTCGGCCAATTTCTTATTTTCTTTATCCTATATTACAAAGATAATCATTTCTTTTTAAAAATTTACAAAGAAAAGAGGTTTAAAAGTTCAAGATTGGGACCAGGCGTGGTGGCTCATGCCTGTAATCCTAGCACTCTGGGATGCCGAGGCAGGCGGATCTTTTGAGGTCAGGAGTTCGAAACCAGCCTGGCCAACATGGTGAAACCCCATCTCTACTAAAAATACAAAAAATTAGCTGAGTGTGGAGGCAGGCGCCTGTAATCCTAGCTACCTGGGAGGCTGAGGCAGGAGAATTGCTTGAACCCAGGAGGCAGAAGTTGCAGTGAGCCAAGATGGTGCCATCGCACTCCAGCCTGGGTGACAAAGCAAGACTCCATCTCGAAAAAAGAAAAAAAAAATAGTTGAAGATTGGGCAGCTGGATTTGGTGAGGGCCTTGGGCCGTGTCCACTCATGGTGGATAGCAAAGAGGGAGCAGGCATGTGCAGAGATCATGTGGTGAGAGAGGAAGCAAGAGATGGCAAAAACCTGACAGCTTCACTGTCAGAATGCTAATATAATCACTACCTATAAGATAACTGAGTACAGGTGAGGATTTCAATGTAGTTCTGTTTCATGGTGGTTCTTTTGTCCTTAGGGTAAAACCCACTAGAGATATATAATATCTGGTATAATACAATCAAAGTGCTATTTTTTTTTTTTTTTTTTGAGACAGAGTTTCGCTCTGTTATCCAGGCTGGAGTACAGTGGCACAATCTCGGCTCACTGCAACCTCTGCCTCCTGGGTTCAAGCAATTCTCCTGCGTCAGCCTCCTGGGTAGCTAGGATTACATATGTGTGCCACCACTCCCAGCTCATTTTTTATTATTAGTAGATAGAGACAGGGTTTCACCATGTTGGCCAGGCTGGTCTCGAACTCTTGGCCTCCCAAAGTGCTGGGATTATAGGCATGAACCACTGTGCCCTGCTCAAAATGCTTTTTTTTTTTTTTTTTTGAGATGGTGTCTCGCTCTGTTGCCCAGGCTGGAGTGCAGTGGCACAATCTCGGCTCACTGCAACCTCTGCCTCCTGGGTTCAAGCAATTCTCATGCATCAGCCTCCCGGGTAGCTAGGATTACAGTTGGCCAGGCTGGTCTCGAACTCCTGGCCTCCCAAAGTGCTGGGATTACAGGCATGAGCCACTGTGCCTGGCTCAAAATGCTATTTTTGTTTTTTGAGACAGAGTCTCGCTCTGTCACCCTGGCTGGAGTGCAGTGGCACGATCTTAGCTCACTGCAACCTCCACCTCCCGGGTTCAAGCAATTCTTCTGCCTCAGCCTCCCAAGTAGCTGGGATTACAGGCATGTGCCACCACACCTGGCTAATTTTTGTATTTTTAGTAGAGACGGGGTTTCACCATATTGACCAGGCTGGCCTTAAACACCTGATCTCATGATCTGCCCGCTTCGGCTTCCCAAAGTGCTGGGATTACAAGCATAAGCCACCGTGCCCAGCCTCAAAATGCTATTTTAAAGTCACTTTCTGTGAGCTCAATGGCAGAACACACGGACACATACAGGGGAACAACATACACTGGGGCCTTTTGGAGGGTGGAGGGTGGGAGGAGGGAGAGGATCAGGAAAAATAACTAATGTGTACTAGGCTTAATGCTTAGGTGATGAAATAATCTGTACAACAAACCCCCATGACACAGGTTGACCTATGTAATAAACCTGCACTTGTACCCCTGAACTTCAAATGAAAGTTAAAAAAAAAAAGAAGAGGCTGGGTGCAGTGGCTCACACCTGCAATCCCAGCACTTTGGGAGGCCAAGGTGGGCAGATCACCTTAGGTCAGGAGGTCAAGACCAGACTGGCTGACATGGTGAAACCCCATCCCTACTAAAATTACAAAAAAATTTGCCGGGCATGGCAATGCCTTCCCGTGATCCCAGGTATGTCGGGAGGCTGAGGCACGAGAATTGCTTGAACCCAGGAGGCAGAGATTGCAATGAGCTGAGATTGTGCCACTGCACTCCAGCCTGGGTGACAGAGTGAGACTCTGTCTGGAAAAAAAAAAAAAAGGAAAAAAGTCACTTCCAATAATCCTTCTTAGTGTGGTTATGCCAAATTGGCATATACTCAGGGTTTTTTACTTTTTTTTTTTATTTTAAGGGATCGGTCTTTTTGTCTTTGATTTTACTTTGTAATTTTGTAAAATATTTACATTTACCAAATAGAAACTCTGAAACAAGACACACTCAGAGAAGCTGAGCTTCCACCCCTCCATCACCAGTCTGCCTCCTCTTACCCTGTAAATACCCATGTTGGCTTTATCATTCCATCGTTTTTCTTTGAAAATGTGAACAAACATATACAAACCACAGGTGTATTGAGAAGGTAGGTAGCATGCTTTGCATTCATAGTTCTGATCCTTGGATACTGTTATTTATTTATTTATTTAAAATTTTTTTTGAGACAGAGTCTCACTCCATCACCCAGGCTAGAGTGCAGTGGTGCAACCTCGGCTCACTGCAACCTCTGCCTCCAGGGTTCAAGCAATTCTCCTGTCTCAGCCTCCTGTGTAGCTGGAATTACAGGCGCCCGCCACCATGCCCAGCTAATTTTTGTATTTTTAGTAGAGATGAGGTTTTGTCATGTTGGCCAGGCTGGTCTCGAACTCCTGACCTCATGTGATCCACCTGCCACGGCCTCCCAAAGTTCTGGGATTACAGATGTGAGTCACCACACCTGAACAGTTATTTATTTTTTTTTGCTTAACCATATATCCTGGAGACCACTGCATTGTAGGATAAGGAAACATTTTTTTTTTTTTTTTGAGATGGAGTCTCGCTCTGTTGCCCAGCCTGTAGTGCAATGGCGCGATCTTGGGTCACTGCAACCTCCATCTCCTGGGTTTAAGCGATTCTCCTGCCTCAGCCTCTTGAGCAGCTGGGATTACAGGCATCCACACCTGGCTAATTTTTGTATTTTTAGTAGAGACGGGGTTTTACCATGATGGCCAGGCTGGTCTGGAACTCCTGACCTCAGATGATCTGCCCGCCTCGGCCTCCCAAGATGTTAGGATTACAGGCGTGAGCCACTGTGCCCGGCCTTCTCATTTCTTTTTTCTCTTTCCTTTTTTTTTTTTTTTTTTTTTTTTTTTTGTGAGACGAGTCTCTCTCTATCTTCCAGGCCGGAGTGCAATGGCATGATCTCGGCTCACTGCAACCTCCGCCTCCCGTGTTCAAAGGATTCTCCTGCCTCAGCCTCCTGAGTAGCTGGGACTACAGGCGTGTGCCACCACGCCTGGCTAATTTTTTGTATTTTTAGTAGAGACAGAGTTTCACTGTGTTAGCCAGAATGGTCTGGATCTCCTGACCTCGTGATCCGCCTGTCTTGACCTCCCAAAGTGCTGGGATTACAGGCGTGAGCCACCGCGCCCGGCCTCATTTCTTTATATTGCTGCATAGTACTCTTCTGTGTGGCTGTGCCATAGATTATTCAACCAGTTCCTTCTTGGTGGATGCTTGAGTTTCTCACGTTATGCTATCACTAGCAGTGCCGCAGTGAAAAACCCTGTGTGTCTGTGATCTGGGGAATGGATTCCTCGTTCCCCTCAGGGGATTTTAAATCCTAACTTATGATACATGTTATGCAGGAGAGGTTCGTGGTGCTGTGGGATTTCATAACAGGGGCTCTGCCCTATCAGAGTAGTCACTAACAGCTTTTCTTGAAGAGGAGCTGGTGGTCACGCTGAGATCTGAAGGAAAAATAGGAGGTGATTAGATGAAGAGAGGAAGAAGCAGGCAGTAGCATGTGTTAAGGCTCCGCTGCCGGAGTGAGCCTGATACATTCGAGTAACTGATAGAAAGCTGGTGAGTTTGCAGCTCAGGAAGTGAGGGAAGGGATGGAGGGGACCATGTCTTTGCATGGGTTGGGGTCGGTGGAGATGAAAAGAAGTAGATGGCCGGGTGCGGTGGCTCATGCCTGTAATCCCACCACTTTGGGAGGCCGAGGCGGGTGGATCACCTGAGGTCGGGAGTTTGAGACGAGCCTGACCAACATGGAGAAACCCCGTCTCTACTAAAAATACAAAATTAGCCAGGTGTGGTGGCACATGCCTGTAATCCCAGCTGCTCAGGAGGCTGAGGCAGGAGAATTGCTTGAACCCGGGAGGCGGAGTTTGCAGTGAGCCGATCATGCCATTGCATTCCAGCCTGGGCAACAAGAGCGAAACTCTGTCTCAAAATAAAAAAGAAGAAAAGAAGTAGATGAATTGAGGTGACCAGCACGAGGCAAAATGCACAGAACTTGGTGATTTTATTAGTTGGGACACTGGTTCACCTGCCATTTTGAAGACTTAAAATAACTGGTTTAAACAACAAACGATTGTTTCCTTTTTTTTTTTTTTTTTTTTTTTTGAGACAGTTTCTTGCTATGTTGCCCAGCCTGGAGTGCAGTGGTGCAATCACAGCTCACTGCAGCCTCAGTCTCCTGGGCTCAAATGATTCTCCTACATCACCCTCCTGAGTAGCTGAGACTATAGGCGCCCACAACCACGCCCGGCTAATTTTTGTATTTTTTGTAGAGATAGGATTTTGCCATGTTGGCCAGGCTGGTCTCGAACTCCTAGCCTCAAGTGATCTGCCTGCCTCGGCCTCCCAGAGTGCTGGGATTACAGGCGTAAGCCACCACACCCGGCCTCTGTTTCCCTTTAACATAGAGTCAGTCCTGGTGTAAGTAAGTGTCGCAGCTCTGGTTTGGCTATTCCAAGGCATCAGGGACCCAGGCTCCTCCTACCTTGTTGCTCCATTTTCCCTAAACGATTGTCTTTGCTCTTATTGTCCAAATCGGATGGTCACCCTCTCCTACACTCCAACTGCCAGGAAGGGGAAAGGAGAAGGGAAGCTAATGATGGAGGTAGACCTGCCCTTTCCCTTAGAGACACATGCAGGGACCTGCGCAGTTCACTTTTGCACACATCCTATTGGCTAGAATTTAACCCCTTGGCCACACCTATATACAAGGGAGGCTGGGAAATGTGGTCTTATTTCTGGGTAGCTGTGCCCAGCTACGTATTGGAAGTCCTATTGCTTTGGAAGAAGGGGAGAGTGGATATTGGGGTGCAGAGTAGTCTGTGCTGTGCCCTGTGAGGGTTTGGGAAAGGTGGGGGGTGGGAGAGGGCAGTGGTAAGGAGGATATCTTGCTCCCCAGCTTTGAGCCTATGTGGGTGGAGGTGTCATTTGCCCAGGCAGGGGGCACAGAAGGGCTGTCTCTTTCTTTTTTGTCTTTTTTTTTTTTTTTTTTTTGAGACAGAGTCTCCCTCTGTTGGCCAGGCTGGAGTGCAGTGCTGGGATCTTGGCTCACTGCAGCCTCCGCCTCCTGGGTTCAAGAGATTCTCCTGCCTCAGCCTCCTGGGATTACAGGCATGGGCCACCATGCCTGGCTAATTTTTTTGGCATTTTTAGTAGAGACGGGCTTTCGCTATGTTGGCCAGGCTGGTCTCGAACTCCTGACCTCAGGTGATCTGCCTGCCTCAGCCTCCCAAAGTGCTGGGATTACAGGTATGAGCCACCATGCTCGGCCAGGGCTGTCTCTTTCTAACCCTGCACCACATGGTTTCATAAGAAATCTGGCCTTTGTGCACGATGTAGGGAGCAGAGTTCAGGATATTGGGGAAACTGAGGCTGAGGGATGCTCCAGTTTCAGCTGATTGGAAAGACAGGTTGAGCCCAAACCGTTCCTCAAGAAAACACAACTGCAAGACCAGCCCAAACTGGACCTACTCTGTTGATAACAGAAGGTCAAGTTACCTGGCAGATATAACTGAGCCAACACAGCAAGTCAGGTATCCCAGACATGCACAGTTGGAAAAGCTTTGATGTCTATCAACACCCAGAACTAGTGATTCCTCCGCGCAAAACCAAGAAGTCCAGGACATGCCCAGAACTTGACCACCGGAACTGTTTCAGAAGCGAGGGGTCCATTGGCTAGGAGGATCTGGGGTTATGCTTTGCCTCAACAGGCTCAGCGCGGTGGCTCATGCCTGTAATCCCAGCACTTTGGGAGGCCAAGGGCAGGAGTTAAGAGACCAGCCTGGCCAACATGGTGAAACCCCGTCTCTACTAAAAATACAAAAATTAACTGGCTGCGATGGCTCGCACCTATAATTCCAGCTACCTGGGAGGCTGAGGCAGGGGAATCACTTGAAGCCTGGAGGCGGAGGTTGCAGTGAGCCGAGATCACATCACTGCACTCCATCCTGGGCGACAAAGGGAGATTCTGTCTCGAAAATAGATAGATAGACAGACAGATAGAGAGATAGACAGAGAGATAGATAGATAAAAATAAAATTCTGCCCTTGGCCTCTAGGGGGCCATACTGGCTTGCTGCGAAGTCACGGTGTTTTTATTTTACTTGAGTGCTGTGCGGTTATTGGAATTCCTCTATCTGCTGGGTTGCTTCTGGCACCCACATCACCTGCGCATGGCCTGCTTTCTCCTGCTGATCGTGCTCGTCTGGAGCCTGCGGGCCCTTCTGCCCCCAGTGCAGTCTGTCCATCTGTCTGTCTGTCCTTCCGTCAGCATTGCTCCCTTGTTCCAGCTCTCTTTACTCTCTGAAAGGGGCTCCTGGGAATGGGGGTCAGGCAGGGGAGGCTGTACATGCCAGTATGTGGCCTTTACCCTTCCCCTCTTCCCCTCCCCTCTCTTTTTCTTTCTTTCTTGGAGACAGGGTCTCCCTCTGTCGCCCAGGCTGGAGTGCAATGGCATAATCACGGCTCACAGGAGCCTCGACCTCCTGGGCTCAAGCAACCCTCCTGCCCCAGCCTCCCATGTGGCAGATACTACAGGTATGCACCACCATGCTTGGCTGATTTTTTTTTTTAAATAGAGATGGGTTTCCTTATGTTTCCCAGGCTGGTCTTGAACTCCTGGGCTCGAGCCGTCCTCCCACCTCAGCCTCCCCAAATTCTGAGATTACAGGAGTCAGCCACTGCTCCCGGCCTGATATCATGACTGTGTTCTGTCTCCTCCACACACGGGACCTTGTTCCTGGCCACCCACAGCAAACCAGCTCTCTCCTCTCCCTGGGCTTGGCTTCCTTCTTTCCTGGCAGCATCTTTGCCAGTGTGCCGGCTTGAAAACAGCCGAACATGAGGAGGGGTGGTGTAGACTGACAGGGGCTCACTCAAACTTGAGGAGAAGCCAAGCTGGGGCTGAGTTTGGAATGCATGCCATGGTTACAGACGACGTCATTCTGCCCTTTAGCTGTGACTCAGCAATTAGGATCAGATTTCCCATCCCGAGGGTTGTCCTTGTGACCTGCCAGATGGATGATCATCACCCCCATACCAGCATCGAGTGAGAAGACCTCGAGCTGGGGCCTGCACAAGGGTGGCTGCAGCCGTGATGAAGTGGCAGTGATTTGCAGAGCCTTGGGCTGCCTCTCTGCTGCAGGGACTGTGACAAATCAAAGAGGAAGCCTTCTAGAGCCCTGCATCATGTGCACTTCTTGGCACTTGTGAAATATTTCATAATCCCAATTGCGTAGGTAGCTCCAGTTCTGCCGCCCACTGTCCGTGTGACCTCGGTGAAGTCACTTCATCTCTGAGCTTCAGTTTCCCAGGCTGCAGAACAAGTATCAGAGCGAGAACCCCTTCATTCGTTTGTTCATTCACTGACTTACACACTCAGTCGCTCCACGAACATGTGCTGAGCAGCTACTATGTGCTGGATGCAGTGCTCAGCCCTGCGGATCCAGCCGTGAATGCCTAATAAGGACCCAGCCCTGGCAGAGTGGACCTCCCTTTCTACTGAGAGGACAGTCAACAAACAAGGTTATCCACATCGACACATTGTTGGCCGGGTGCGGTGGCTCACACGTGTAATCTCAGCACTTTGGGAGGCTAAGGCAGGTGGATTGCTTGAGCCAGGAGTTCAAGACCAGCCTGGGTAACACAGTGAAACTATGTCTCTGCGAAACATACAAAAATTATCCGGGCATGGTGGCTCTCGCCTGTACTCCCAGCTACTTGGGGGGCTGAGAGGGTAGGATCTCTTGAGCTTAGGAGGCAGAGGCCCTGGCTAATTTTTGTGTTTTTAGTAGAGATGGGGTTTCACCATGTTGGCCAGGCTGGTCTTGAACTCCTGACCTCAAGTGATCCGCCCTCCTCGGCCTCCCAAATTGATGGGATTACAGGCATGAGCCACTGCACCTGGCCTAAAAAGATTATTTTAAAGATGAATCTTTTTTCTTTGCCCAGACTTTGGATGTCCTTTTCTCTCTGTTTCATTCTTTTTTCTTTTTTTTTTTTAAAAATCTTTCTTCCAAAGTTTTATTGTAAAAATGTCCAAATATAAAGAAAAGTTGAAAGAACTATACGGGGAATACCTATGTATACATCACCCAGATAACATTTTGTCCTATTTGTCCATCCATCTATCCATCCATTCATCCATCCATCCATCCACCCACCCATCCATGCATCCCACCCACCCATCCATCCCTCCCTCCTTCTAACCATCCATCCACCCATCTATCCACCCATGCATCCACCACTCACCCATTTATTCTTCCCCCCACTAATCATTCATTCGTCTACCCATCTATCCATGCCCCGTCTATCCCTCCCACCCTCTAACCACCCATCCATCCATTTATCCATCCATCCATTCCTCCCTCTAACCATTTATCCATCCATCCCTCTCTCCCTCTAACCATTCATCCATCTACCCATCCATACATCTACCCATCCATTTATTCATCCATCCATCCCTACCTCTGACCATCTATGCATCCATTCCTGTCTCCCTCTAACCATCCCTCTAACCTCTACCCATTTGTTTACTCATCCATCCATCCATCCCTCTATCCCTCTCTCTACCTAACCATTCACCCATGCATCCGTCACTCTACACATCTTACTTTTTGGATGCATTTCACAATAAGTTGTTGACGTCAGTACCCATTTCCTTGAACAATTTGTTACGCGTTTAAATAACTAAAGTTTACTATCCAGAATATTTTTTCAATGCAAAAAAAAAAATACACAGGTTAAAAAGGTAGCCAGCTATGTATATCTAAAATGAGATTGTGGAATTAAAAATACCTGTGATTCCTATTGGAAATCTACTAATATTAACATGAGAATTGCTCCATTAGGAATTAAAGTTAGATGCTAAATTTCCAGGGTTTTTTTTTTTTTTTTTTTTTTTTTTTTTTTTTTTTTTTTGAGACAGAGTCTTGCTCTGTCGGCCCAGGCTGGAGTGCAGAGGCGTGATCTCAGCTCACTGCAACCTCCACCTCCTGGGTTCAAATGATTCTCCTGCCTCAGCCTCCTGAGTAGCTGGAATTACAGACATGCACCACCACGCCCGGCTAATTTTTGTATTTTTAGTAAAGACTGGGTTTCATCATGTTGGTCAGGCTGGTCTTAAACTCCTGATCTCGTGATGCGCCTGCCTCGGCCTCCCAAAGTACTGGGATTATAGGCGTGAGCCACCATACCCAGCTCCAATGTATTTTTTCCCTCTGAGTTTGAGGACACCTACTCAGTTCTTATTTCATAAAACTCAAAGAAATCATGCTGTTACCATGTGAAGGCAAGCACTATCATCAGTGGGAAATACTGAGCACTTGTTATGTGCATTATCTCATTTAATCATCACCCCAAACCTATGGGGAAGTGGACTATTACTGTTCCCATCTTACAGTTGAGAAAACTGAGGCCAGGAGGTGATGTGATGTACTCAGGTTCCTGGCTGGCAGGTGACAGAGCTGGGCTAATCATATCTATCTATCTATCTATCTATCTATATAGATAGATATATATATATAGATAGATAGATAGATATAGATATATATATAGATATATATATAGATATATATATAGATATATATAGATATATAGATATATATAGATATATATAGATATATATAGATATATATAGATATATATAGATATATAGATATATATAGATATATATAGATATATAGATATAGATATAGATATAGATATAGATATATATATATATAGTTTTTTTTTTTTTTTTTGAGGAAGGTTCTCACTCTGTCACCCAGACTAGCATGCAGTGGCACAATCATGGCTCATTGAAGCCTCAAACTCCTAGGGCCAAGTGATGCTCCCACCTCAGCCTCTGGAGTAGCTGGGACTACAGGCACCACCGGCATGCCTGGCTAATTTTTAAATTTTTTGTGGAGACAGGAGCTCCTTATGTTGCCTAGGCTGGTCTTGAACTCCTGGGCTCAAGTGATCCTCCCACCTCAGCTGGGAATATAGGCGTGAGCCGCTGCGTGCAGCCTATGCTGTGAATAGCAGGCTTGTGCACGTGCTGTGTGCCCCTCATGGGCAGGCACTGTGCTGAGTCCTTGGTGGATTGTTTCATTTGCTCCTCACGGCAGTTTTACCAGGCCATAGGTGAGCCCAGGTCCCCAGCTGCCAGCAGCAGAAACAGACTTGGCTGATGTAAGCAGAAGAAGAATTTACAGAAAGAGGACTGAGTAGTTCTGCCCCAGCACTGAAGATGGGATAGAGAGTGAGCCACCAATGAATGCCCAGAACTGGACCACTCTACTGTGGCTCCATTCCCAGGCTGCAAGCCTGGACCCAAGGCAGCCACACTGACCCAAAGAGATGGGCGTTCCTGCCACCTACTGTGAGGCCCCTTCTCCACTTCTCTGTGGTGCTGGTGATACAGGAGATAGAAAGAAATTATTTAGGCAGACCAGGCGCGGTGGCCTGCGCCTATAATCATAGCACTGTGGGAGGCCGAGGTGGGCGAATCACCTGAGATCAGGAGTTTGAGACCAGCCCGGCCAACATGGTGAAACCCCATCTCTACTAAAAATACAAAAATTAGCTGGGCTCACTTTTACAGATGAGCACGCTGGTGGTGTGCGCCTGTAATCCCAGCTACCCAGGAGGCTGAGGCAGGAGAATCACTGGAACCTGGGAGGCGGAGGCTGCAGTGAGCTGAGATTGTGCCACTGCACTCCAGTCTGGGCAACAAAGCTAGACTCCATCTCAAAAAAAAAAAAAGAAAAATAAATTATTTAGGCAGATAGTAAGGGCAACAGAGTCCTCGGTGGAATTTCACTTTTAATAAAAAGTAGCCTCCACATCATTTCTTTTCTGACAAAGAGCAGCCTGGAAAATCGAGCTGCAGACATAGATAAGCAAGCTGGAAGATTGCACAGGTGAATGCCGGCAGCTGTGCCAATAGGAAAAGGCTACCTGAAGGCCAGGTGTGTTCAACACGGGGGCTCTATTTTCCCTTTTCTTTGTCATCGTGTGTACCGTAAAGGAACAGGCAACATTGGCATTGGCCAGGTAGAGAGCTCATCTGCATAATAAAAGATTAGGGTGGGGCAGCCAGCTTCTTCATGCACTATGCAAAAGGTACACCTAGTCCTAACCAGTTCTTCACGTGCTATGCAAATAGCACACCTGGTCTGACCAATCTTCATGCCCTATGTAAATCAGACTCCGCCTTCTCAAGCTCATCTGTAAAACCTTCTGCATTCCACTGCGGAAGCAGTAACCCATTTTCTCTGGGACCCCTTTCTTCGCAGAGAGCGCTTCTCTTTCTTTCGCCTATTACACTTCTGCTCTTAACTTCAGTCTGGTGTGTCCGCATCCTAGTTTTGCATGGCTGTCAGACAACAAATCTCGGGTATTTACCCCAGACAACGACGCTGCTTCACTAGCACCCATTCCATCTGGAGCAAGCACACCTGATTGCCCCAGCCCGGCTCCGAGGAGGCTGGAGAATTGCAAGCCTTCTAAGGAGGGAAATTTCTCCATGCTTGGGATGGAGCTCAGAGCCTGGGTAGCCCCACACAATGTTCGTGCCCAGTACAGATGGCGGTTCTTCTCACCCCCTTTTACAGATGAGCAGACTGAGCCTTGGGGAGGAAAAATAACCCAGCCTGTGATGACCCTAGTGTTTTGTTCTTCCAGACCCTCCAGCCACATCTCCTGTAAATACCCCGTGTCTTTGTGCTACCCAGAGCCCGAGTCTGGCCCCATGTGCCCGTGTAGGTGTGGAACCCTGCCACCTGCGACACAGGTCTTCGAGGAGTCAAAAAGGTACTGGGAGTGTGGCTCAGAAATGCTCCGTATGTCCCACAGAGGAAAGCTTTTAATCCACATGGTCTGGGCTGAGGCGCCGTTGACAAAAAGGGTCCCTGTGGGGACACTGGCCCAGAGGAAGGGAGACAGGTGGGAGCTGTTGCAGTTTGGGCATTTTTCTTCCCCTTGGTCAGAGAGACAGATATGGGGTCAGAGGCTACTGCGGCCCAGGGTCTCATTTCCTCCTTGAAGTGGGCACTTTGGGGATATCTGCAGTCAGGCGGACAGAAACTGGCCTGTGTGTGAGCTGGTGTATTATAACCCGAGAGGTGACAAAGGAGCCTGTTGAAGGACGTGGAAGGCTTCTTGTCCCCATGGCCACTCCCAGGTGTGTCCTGGACAAAGGTGAGCCAGGGTGGAGGGCATAAGGGAGGGGAGAGGGAGAGGAAGCACTGGAACCATCATGAACCAGTACAGGGGTTGGCTCTGGCTGGAGGGCTGGTTGCAGACATCGCCCCAGCGTTGATTGGTATCTACATGCGTGCATGCGTGTGTGTCTATGCAAGCGTTTGCACAATCACTGTGGGTGCATCTGTCTTTATGCTCTGAATGTGCATTTGTGTATCCGTATAACCACCTAATAGATTCTTTTGCCCACTGCCCAGATAGAGCTGATTTATCATGACAGGGGAATTTGCAAGGGAGAAGGAGTTTAATTCACACAGAGCTGGCTGAATAGGAGACTGGAGTTTTATTTTATTTTATTTTATTTTATTTTATTTTATTTTATTTTATTTTATTTTATTTTTGAGATGGAGTCTCACTGTGATGCCCAGGCTGGAGTGCAATGGCGTGATCTCAGCTCTCTGCAACCTCCGCTTCCCGGGTTCAATCGATTCTCCTGCCTCAGCCTCCCAAATAGCTGGGATTATAGGTGCCCACCAACACGCCCAGCTAGTTTTTGCATTTTTAGTAGAGACGGGGTTTCACCAGGTTAGCCAGGCTGGTCCTGAACTCCTCACCTCAAGTGATCTACCGCCTTGGCCTCCCAAAGTGCTGGGATTACAGATGTGAGCCACCATGCCTGGTAGAGACCAGAGTTTTATGACTCAAGTCAGTCTCCCTGAAAATTCAGAGGCTAGGGTTTTTCAAGGATAGTTCGTCTGGCCAGGGAATGGGTGCTGCTGACTGGTTGGGGATGCAATCATAGGGTTATGGAAAATGGTCCTCATGTGCACTGAGTCCTCAGTGGATCGTCAGAAATGCAAAAACCTGAGAAGACGTTTCAAAAGGCCGATCTTAGATTCTACAATAGTGATGTTATCTGCAGGGGCAATAGGGGAAGTTGCAAATCTTGTGGCCTCTGGAATAATGGCTGGTAATCATGTATGTCTACACCTTAGCAGAATTTAGCTTTCTCTCATTCCTTAGCTTCGTAACCTGGTGGCCTTTTGTTACCTTCACAAAGGCGGTTGAGTTTTGGGGAAGGGAATCATTATCATTAAACTGTACACTAAAAACAAAAGTATCACTTAAACTGTAAACTAAATGTTCCCCAGAGTTAGTTTGGCCCAAGTCCAGGAATGATGAAGAGCAGTTTGGAGGTGAAAGGCAAGATGGGGGTTGGTTAGATCAGGTCTCCTTCACTGTCACAATTTTCTGTTATAATTTTTGCAAAGATGGTCTCACCTGTGTGCATGTGTGTATAAGTGCCCATATGAGTCTCTGCACATGTGTATTCATGTCTGTGTGTCCATTTGCATGTGAGTTGTTGAGGTTCTGTATGTCCCTCTGCATGTGTCTGTGTATTGCTAAGTGGCCTTACACATGTCTGCGTGTGTGATGCCACTAATCACAGCAAACATATATGTGGCACTTCCTATGTTCCAGGGTTTGGGTGCTATCCATGCATCAATTCAGTTAATCCTCACAGCAACCCTTTCAGGTGGGTACTACTGTTACCAGAAAGGGGTCCCGATCCAGACTCCAAGAGAGGGTTCTTGGGTCTCGTGCAAGAAAGAATTCAGGGCAAGTCCGTAAAGTGAAAGCAAGTTTATTAGGAAAGAAAAGGAATAAAGAATGGCCACTCCTTAGACAGAGCAGCCCCATGTGAGGACTGCTGGTCGCCCATTTTTAAGGTTATTTCTTGACTATATGCTGAATGAGGGGTGGATTATTCATGCCTCCCCTTTTTGGACCATCTAGGGTAACTTCCTGACGTTGCCATGACATTTGTAAACTGTCATGGTGCTGGTGGGAGTGTAGCAGTGAGGAAGACCAGAGTTCGCCCTCGTCGCCGTCTTGGTTTTGGTGAGTTTTGGCCGGCGTCTTTACTGCAACCTATTTTATCAGCAAAGTATTTAGATCTGTATCTTGTGTTGACCTTTTATCTCATCCCGTGACTTAGAATGCCTAACAGTCTGGAAATGCAGCCCAGTAGGTTTCAGCCTCATTTTACCCAGCCCCTATTCAAGATGGAGTTGCTCTGGTTCAAACCCCTCTGACACTACTATTTGCAAATGAGGTGAGGGAGGCACAGAGAGGTTGAGTAACTTGCCTGAGGTTGCAGAGCTGAGATTGGAGCCCTGGCTGGCTTGCTCCAAGGCAATACTCAGGCTGGGCCACTTCCCTGTTCAGGTGGCCCTGGGCTGCCCCAGGTCCGTGTGGATGGGTGCACCCCTGGGAATATGTCTACCCATCTTGCCTCCAGCGTGATGTGTCTGGTTCCTGTGTGCACGTGTGTTGGGGGATGCACTTATGTGTATGCAGGGGTGACGGGGCTAGAGAGACCTCCTTTCCCAGGCCCCAAAGTAGGGCCTCCAAGAGGGTATCATGGGTGCAGGATCCCAGGCCGTCCTTTCCTATCTAAGACAGCAAATCTCTGGAGTGGCTGCCAGCTCAGCCCTCCCAGCCCCGGGCCTCAGAGCTGGCCTTTGTTTCCTTCACTAGGAGGCTCAGAGTGGGGTGGGCCTCTGTGGAAATTCCTGTGGAATTCCAGGCATTCGGCAGAAGAAGAAGGACGAGGAGGCGGCACACGGAAAACTCTGACCCGTGCGGGGGCTGAGGGCACCACATAGTCATGTGCATGGGGGCTGGACTCTGCGCTCAGAGCCAGCAGAGCCAGTGGCATTTGCAGAACCGAAAGAAGGGCCTGGGTGGCATCTGCCTTGGGCCTGGGGTCCAGCCATCAGTTCTTCCCCTGGCTCTGGCTCGGTGGGGCTTCCTCCAGATGGGGCCAAGGGATCCCACGTGCCAGGGAGCGCAGGCCAAAGAGCCCACAGGGGCCGGCTGGCAGTGATCTGCTCTGGGCCCGCAGAGTCAGGGGTAGCTGTTAGTTCTGAGCTGGGACCTGCGGGAGCTTCCCTGGGTTGCTTCCTCCTTTGTCAACAGGGTTTCCAGCAGACAGTGGAGCATAGTAGCCCTCTCTGTCCCTCTCCCTGTCTCTGTCCCTCTCCCTGTCTCTGTCATCTCGGTGCCTCCTTCACCTTCTCTCCAGGGTTGAGCCAGTCGTCCTCACCTTTCTCAGTCCATGTGGGGAGGGGCCAGCGGATTGCCTAATCCTGTTCCCCACGGCAGCTGTAGTTACTTGATAATGACCCCTCCCCGAAAGACACGTCCACGACGTAACTCCCAGCACTTGTGAAGGTGACCTGATTTGAAAATAGGTTCTTTGCGAGGCCGGGCGCAGTGGCTCACGCCTGTAATCCCAGCACTTTGGGAGGCCGAGGCGGGTGGATCACGAGGTCAGGAGATCAAGACCATCCTGGTTAACACGGTGAAACCCCGTCTCTACTAAAAAGACAAAAAAATTAGCCGGGCGTGGTGGCGCACACCTGTAATCCCAGCTACTCAGGAGGCTGAGGCAGGAGAATAGCTTGAAGCAGGGAGGCAGAGATTGCAGGGAGGCAGAGATTGCAGTGAGCTGAGATTGTGCTGTTGCACTCCAGCCTGTAGACAGAGCAAGACTCCGTCTCAAAAAAAAAAAAAAAGAAAAGAAAAGAAAATAGGGTCTTTGCAGATGTCATCAAGTTAAGAATCTCGAGATGAGATCATCCTGGATTTAGGGTGGGTTCTAAACCCAATGACGGGTGTCTGTGTAAGCAAGACATGGAGCTTGAAGCCACAGACACCGGAGAGAAGGCGTCCGTGTGGTGACTGGGCACCATGGCTCACGCCTGTAATCCCAGCACTTTGGGAGGTTGAGGAGGGTGAATCCTTTGAGCCCAGGAATTCGCGACCAGACTGGGCAACGTAGTGAAACCCTGTCTCTACCAAAAATATGAAAAACTTAGCCAGCTGTGTGGCATGTGCCTGTAGTCCTGGCTACTTAGAAGGCTGAGGATCACCTAAGCTCGGGAGGTTGTGGCTGTAGTGAGCTATGTTCACGCCACTGCACTCCAGCCTGGGCAACAGAGTGAGACCCTGTCTCAACAACAACAACAAAAAGCCATGTGCAGAGTGTTGCAGCCCCCAGCCCCGGGATGCCTGGAGCCACCAGAAGCTGAAAGAAGCAAGAGAGGACCCTCCCTAGATCCTCCAGGGGGAGGTGGTCCTGATGACATTTTGATTTCAAGCTTTTAGACTCTAGAACAGAGAATACATTGCTGTTTTAAGCGCCTCAGTTTGTGGTGATGTGATAATTGCAGCCACAGGACACCGATAGCTCACTTGTAAGCAGCTTCTCCTGCAGTGCACTTACCCCATGGCGACCTGGTTATTTATTTTCTGCAGCCCTGAGTCCAAATCCCAAGTCCACCACACGCTATGGGCAGGTGACTTTAACCTTGTTAAGCCTCGGTTTCTGCAAATGTAAACAGGGAAAATAATATCAAAAATAAGCAGACAGTGCTTAGATGAGTTGGGTGCAAACAGAAATGACTGCTGTTATCGTGGCTACTGCTATGCATGGGAGGCTACCTCTTGTCCATGCATCAAAGGTAATGGCAGGCCGGGCACCGTGGCCCATGCCTGTGATCTTAGCACTTTGGGAGGCTGAGGCGGGAGGATCATTTTGAGGCCAGGAGTTCAAGACCAGCCTGGCCAACATAGTGAGACCACCCCGACCCCTGTCTCTAGAAAAAAAATAAAATAAAAACATTATCTGGACGTGGTGGTGGGTGCCTGTAGTCCCAGCTATCTAGGAAGCTGAGGTGGGAGGATTGTTTGAGCCCAGGAGTTTGAGGCTGCAGTGAGCTTTGATCTCACCACTGCACTCCAGCCTAGGTGACAGAATGAGACCCTGTCTCACCACCAAAAAAAAAAAAAAAAAAAAGTTGGCCAGGGGCAGGTAGGGGAAGGCACTGCCGCCAGAGAGACCTGAAGCTGTGGAGCAACAGGGACTCCTGTGTGCCTGGAGCAGGCGGGGCACAGGAGGAGGGTTGTGTGGTTTGCAATGAGGCCCAAGAGGTGTCCCCGCCAGAGCAGGGCCTGCGGGAGGCTGGGATTTGTCATCAGGGCTTTAGGACATCATTGGCGAGTTTAAAGCAGTTTCAAAGTAGCACTGTGGCCAAGGCCAGACTGCGGGCACCTCCTGCCAAGTTGCTCCTCAGAGAGGACCCAGCTTTGTGCCCCAAACCAATCGATCAGTCATGCCAGCTGGGGGTACTTTTCCATCCATAGGGGCTGAGGCTAGGAGGGGAAGTTGGGGAAGCCAGGACTCCCAAACACAGAGGTTTGGAGCCCCCCCAACGCCAGGGGTCTGGTTCCTATCTGGACTCCCATGACCTCCGTTCTTCCGGGGTCCTGTGTGCCCGCCTTGCACTTGATGAGAAGGAGCAAAACCTGACCCAGATAGAAGTGCGCTGAGCACCTGTGGGTGCTGGAATGAGTCCAGGAAGGCACCCGAACTCCTTCTCTTCCCTCCCCAACACCTGGCGACTGATGTTAAATCTCCCACCGTAGCAGCCAGGCCTGTGACACTTGGAGATGTTTGCAGAGCCATGATTTGTTGAGCACTTGCCATGCGCCAGGCTGTGGGGGGAAGAGCGCCTACCACATGGCCTTGTTAATCCGTACCGCACTCCATGAGCTGCGCGCCCCTGGAGCTCCACGCTGGAGACTTGAGTCAACCCAGAATCATGATTCGAAACTGGCTGCCTCTGCCTCCGAAGCCCTGGGCCCTCAAGCACTGAGCTCAGCAGTGTCTGTTTAATTCTTCCCACCCCAGCTGCAACCAGTCCATGAGCTCCTTCCCCAAAAGCAGGTGTGCAGCCAAGAAGAGGAAGGAAGGAGCCGGCTGCTTCGAGTGTGGCCGCTGACTGCTCACAGCTGTGTTTCCCACCCCTCACCCACCCTTCTTGGCAGCCCAGAGGGACCCCAGAAGGACCGACTGGCCGAGGACAGGTCCTCAGCAGGGCCCCCTTGCCTCCTGGTGGGACTGACTCAGAAAACTCTTACTTCAGGCCTGCCTTGGGATCAGGCCTCCAGCTGGGACCTGTCTGCTGTTCTTCCTCCTGCACCTTGTCTCCTTACTCCCCTCTTCTGAGAACCCTCACTTCTAGAAAACCACATGCACCCACATCTCCATCACAGGCTCTGCTTCTACGGAACCTCAACTAGGATGAGGTCATGTCTGACTTCCCGGCTGAGTGCCTTCCCCAAAGTCCTCGGTGTCCTGCGGACAGAGGCTCCTTCCCTGCGCTCAGCCTTCTGAGCCTTCCTCATCTGATGCCTGTTAGGCTCCCTTTGCTGCTGAGGTCCTGGGTGCCATCCCAGCACTTGGTAAGAGGGGGCAAGCCTGAGTGCCGTGGCTTATGCCTGTAATCCCAGCACTTCGGAAGGGCGAGGCGGGAGGATTACTTGAGGCCAGGAGTTCAAGGCCAGCCTGGGCAACATAGTGAGATGCCAGTCTCTAAAAAAACTAAAATAGGCTGGGAGCAATGGCTCACGCCTATAATCCCAGCACTTTGGGAGGCCAAGGCGGGCAGATCACTTGAGGTCAGGAGTTCGAGACCAGCCTGGCCAATATGGCGAAACTCCATCTCTACTAAAATACAAAAATTAGCTGGGCATGGTGGTGTGCGCCTGAAATCCCAGCTACTAGGAATGCTGAGGCAGGAGGATCACTGGAACCCGGGAGATGGAGGTTGCAGTGAGCTGAGAACACGCCACTGTACTCCAGCCTGGATGACAGAGCAAGACTCAGTTTCAAAAAAAAAAAGAAAAGAAAAAATATTAGCCAGCCGTGGTGGCACACACCTGTAATCCCAGCTACTTGGAGGCTAAGGCGGGAAGATCCCTTGACCCTAGGAGTTTGAGGCTGAAGTGAGCTATGATCGTGCCACTGCACTCCAGCCCGGGCAACAGAGCAAGATCTTGACTAAAAGAAACAAAAAAATAAAAAAATAGAAAGGGTCAAGACCAACTTTGTTTTTTCCCTTTCATTGGATACTTTCGGTAAAAGCAAGATCTCCGGATGTCTCCTTGTGCTCTGAGAGCATCTACTGGGTGTTGATCTGGGTTGGGCGTTCTGCAAAGCGTTTACTTGGAACTCTAGAAAGAGTTCCCAGGACTCTTAGCTGGAAGAGAAAGGAGAGGAGACACGCAAACATGGAAAATCTGGGGCGGCCCCAAGTTTAGCGAGTTATCTGGGGCCACACCAACCTCAGGGCTGGTTGGGGCTGGGATGAGTCATGGCTGTTGGGCAGGATTACCTGCTTGAGAAACGAACCAGGTCTTATTTGGGTATTGATTCATTACCACAGAATGGGAAATATTTTTCCCTTCCTGTGAATCTTTCAAGGAGCAAATGTGTCTTTGTGTTCTGCAGGACTGTGCTTGTCTTGGGCCAATGGAGAATTACAGGCCTTGTTTTTTTTTTTTTTTTTTTTTTTTGACAGAGTCTCACTCTGTCGCTCAGGCTGGAGTGCAGTGACGCAATCTCACTGCAACCTCCGCCTCCTGGGTTCAAATGATTTTCCTGCCTCGGCCTCCCGAGTAGCTGGGACTACAGATGTGTGGTACCACGCCCGGCTAATTTTTGTATTTTTATTTATTTTTTGATATTGAGTCTTGCTCTGTTACCCAGGCTGGAGCACAGTGGCACAATCTCGGCTCACTGCAACCTCTGCCTCCCGGATGCAAGCCATTCTCCTGCGTCAGCCTCCAGAGTAGCTGGGGCTACAGGCGTGCACCACCACACCTGGCTAATTTTTGTATTTTTAGTAGAGATGGGGTTTTGCCATGTCGGCCAGGCTGGTCTCGAACTGCTGACCTCAGGTGATCTGCCCACCTCGGCCTTCCAAAATGCTGGGATTACAGGCGTGAGCCGCCACTCCCAGGCCTTGTATTTTTTTAAGTCTAATACATTAGTCAGGATGAATAGCAGAATGCTGCAAAAACCAGAATCCCACTGGAACTGGTTTATGCCATTGCAGAATGTATTGTGTCACTGGGAAGTGGGGAGGGCAAGAGCTTCAGGCCTGGCTGGATCCAGAAGCTCAGACCATGCTGTCAGGGATCTGTCTCCAACTCCAAGCCTGGCTGTTCTCTGTGTTGGCTTCATTCTCCAGTGGGCTTGCTCTACCTGCTGGCAAAGATGGTGCTGGGCAGCTCCGGGTTTTCATCTCACCAGCCTTGTAAAGAATTCGTCTTATTCAAGGAGCTCCAGCAAGGGTCTTGGGGTTGATTGTCATTGGCTTGGCTTGGGTCACATGCCCATTACTGGAGCAATCACTGAGGCTCAGGAGATGCTGGGTAGCCACTGGCCAGGCTTGGTCATGTGCATGACACAGCCCCTGGGGCTAGGAAGGAGGGACGCGTCTGCAGCAAAGGTAAGAGAGGCCGTCCACACCCGGGTTCCTAGGGGGATGGGATCAGACTGGAAGAAGCTTGTTTAGCCAGGCATGGTGGTGCGTGCCTGTAGTCTCAGCCACTTGGGAGGCTGCGGTGGGAGGATCACCTGAGCCCGGGAGGTAGAGGCTGCAGTGAGCCAAGATCGTGCCACTGCACTCCATCCTGAGCGACAGAGACTCCATTTCAAAAAAAAACAAAAAAAAGAAGAAATAAATTTTCACCAGTAGCACATTAAATAAAAATATAGTGGACCTAGTAGAGCTTGAAATGTTTTAAAAGGCCGGGCAAGGTGGCTCACGCCTGTAATCCTAGCACTTTGGGAGGCCAAGGTGGGCGGATCACCTGAGGGTGGGAGTTCGAGACCAGCCTGGCCAACATGGTAAAACCCCGTCTCTACTAAAAAAAAATTACAGGCTGGGCGCGGTGGCTCACGCCTGTAATCCCAGCACTTTGGGAGGCCGAGGCCAGCAGATCATGAGGTCAGGAGTTGGAGACCAGCCTGGCCAATATGGTGAAATTGGTCTCTACAAATACAAAAATTAACCAGGCATGGTGATGCCTGCCTGTAGTCCCAGCTAGTCAGGAGGCTGAGGCAGAAGAATCCCTTGAACCCAGGAGGCAGAGGTTGCAGTGAGCTGAGATTGCACCACTGCACTCCAGCCTGGGCAACAGAGCAAGACTGTCTTAAAAAAAAATTACAAAAATTAGCAGAGCATGGTGGTATGAGCCTGTAGTCCCAGCTGCTTGGGAGGCTGAGGCAGGAGAATTGCCTGAACCTGGGAGGCAGAGGTTGCAGTGAGCTGAGATTGTACCACTGCACTCCAGCAAGACTCTGACTCACTGTATAAAAAGAAGTTTTTTTTTTTGTTCGTTTTGTTTTTTTAAAGTAAAGTAGTGGGATCTTTCTCACAAACATAGGGGAACTAATTCATACCATTTATTGGAACAAGTCCTAAATTCTGGAACTTTCATCAATCAGCCCAGTCTCTGGAACTCCTGAGAAATTTACTAAGCGCATGGGATCTGGAATTGACTCCCAGGTTCAAATCCTGGTTCTGCCACTGTTCAGCTGTGTGGCCTTAGGCAGGTCACCCAACCTCTCTGTGCTTCCATTTCCTCATGGGCACTGGGGTCATGAGGTTTTCTGCCTCGTAGGACCATTGTGAGGATCAGATGAGGCTCCAAGAGCTTAGGGGGACTTGTCTGTGTCTCAGGGCTGGAGTTAGAACTAGCCTGGCTGACTCCAAGTTCTGGGCTCTTTCTGTCTCCAGCGCGGGCACACAGCAGGGACTCACTGACTGTAAAATGAATGAATAAATGAAAGATTAAAAGGGAAGGTTGATCTCTTTCTGCTCTGATTTCTGTCACTGCATTCCTTCAGCACACAACCTAGGGGAACTCAGGGTTTCTTAAGAAGCCTGTCTTAGACTTGGTTCCCCCAGAGGCTGATGCTGAGACAGAAATTTGGGTGCAAGTAATTTATCTGGAGCCAGGCACAGTGGCTCACACCTGTAATCTCAGCACTTTGGGAGGCGGAGATGGGCAGATTGCTTGAGCCCAGGAGTTGGAGACCAGCCTAGGCAACATGGCGAAACCCTGTCTCCACTAAAAATGCGTAAATGAGCCTGGCATGGTGGTACGTGCCTGTAGTCCCAGCTACTCAGGAGGCTGATGTGGGAGGATTGCTTAAGCCTAGGAGGCAGAGGCTGCAGTGAGCCGAGATCGCACTACTGCATTCCAGCCTGGGTGACAGAGCGAGACCCTGTCTCAAAAAAAAAAAAAAAGGTTTTTGGGAGGTGATCTCGGGAGACACCACCCACCATCACACCGGACCACAGTGACCTTCAGAGAGTCACGGCCACTGCTTTGTCTCCACTCTCCAAATTTCACTCATGTTCCTCTTTTGGTCATCTCTAACCAGAACCACATGGGGAGGAAATTCTGGGAAATTGAGTTCTCAGCTTCAATGAGTTGGCACAGCACAGTTCACCCAGCAGTTTGTCTCACCTTCCTGGGTCCTCCAGTCCAGAGCTGGTTGGTTGGGGCACCTTGGGTCTCCTTCACGTGACCTCTCACCCTCCTGGGGGCTGTTTGCCTTCTTATGGGGTAGTCTTATCGGGCAGTCTCAGGCAGCACGCCAGGAGGGTCAGAGTGGAAACTAAGCCTCTTAAGTCTTAGCCTCAAAATTTGTAGAGTCACTTCTACCATATTCTATTGGTCAAAGCAAGTCTCGAGGCCACCCAGATTTGAGGGGTAAGGAAATAGACTCTACCTCTTGACAGGAAGAGTTGCAAAATACTGCGACCATGTTTTTCATTTTCAGTCGATCACACTTCCCTTCCTGAAGATGTTTAACTGCAGTCTGTTGGAAATTTATCATGATAAATCTGTAAACATAGGGTGATAGTGAATATAAATGGAGACCCTGTAGAGATGTGCAGTGCACAACCTGTGCAACTGTCACGGCAGCCTTGCTGTGCAAGATGTCATAGAACTCACCTATTCTTCTCACATGCCCCACTGTGGTAGGCATTTGTTATTTTTGAATGTCAGCATCTAGGGCTCCTTCTGAGGATAGTAACTACCTATTTCCATTTCTATTCTAGTGAGGCTGACAGTCTCAGACTCCAGGGAGGGGCTTGTTATCATGAATTCTATTGCTGTAACCATAGAGATTGACCAGAGGATGGGCACGTGACCCACACCGGACCAGTGAGATTCAACCGTGGGAGTTTAGCTGGAACTATTGGAAAATATTCTCTTTCCACCAAAAATGTTTAGTTGGTTGGGGATAAGGCTGGAACTGCTGGGGGCCCTCTTTACCCCTCTGAGGGAAAGGCCTACCTGATAATGAATGATACAATCACAGAGGAGAGCAGAGGCAAGAGACGGAGAGAGAGAAATTATTTATTTATTTATTTATTTTTGGTAGAAATGGGGTCTTACTATGTTGCCCAGGCTGGTCTTGATCTCCTGAGCTTAAGTGATCCTCCTGCCTTGGCCTCCCAAAGTACTGGGATTACAAGTGTGAGCCATCACATCTGGCCAAGAGAGTGATTCTTCTTTTAAAAAAATTTTTTTTGAGATGGAGTTTTGCTCTTGTCACCCAGGCTGGAGTGCAATGGCACGATCTTGGCTCATTGCAACCTCTGCCTCCCGGGCTCAAGAGATTCTCCTGCCTCAGCCTCCCAAGTAGCTGGGATTACAGGCGCCTGCCACCATGCCCAGGTAATTTTTGTATTTTTAGTAGAGACGGGGTTTCACCGTGTTGGCCAGGCTGGTCTCGAACTCCTGACCTCAGGTAATCTGCCCACCTCGACCTTCCAAAGTCCTGGGATTACAGGGGTGAGCCACCATACTTGGCCAAGAGAGAGATCCTTTTTTTTTTTTGAGACAAAGTTTCGCTCTGTCACCCAGGCTAGAGTGCAAGGTTGTGATCTCAGCTCACCACAACCTCTGCCTCCTGGGTTCAAGCGATTCTCCTGCCTTAGCCTCCTGAGTAGCTGAGACTACAGTCATGCGCCACCTTGCCTGGCTAATTTTTGTATCTTTAGTAGAGATGGGGTTTCACCATGCTGGCCGGGCTGGTTTCGAACTCCTGACCTCGTAATCTGTCCGCCTCGGCCTCCCAAAGTGCTGGGGTTACAGGTGTGAGCCACCACGCCCAGCCTGAGAGATTCTTGATGATGGCATTTGTGCTCCTGGATTCAGCCATGCCTGAAGTCCTTACCACAGACTTTCCAACTATATGAGCAAATAAATTCCCTTTGCTATCTAAAAAATATATTCGGCCGGGCGCGGTGGCTCATGCCTGTAATCCCAGCACTTTGGGAGGCTGAGGCAGGTGGATCACAAGGTCAGGAGATCGAGACCATCCTGGCTAACACAGTGAAACCCGTCTCTACTAAAAATACAAAAATTAGCCGGGCGTGGTGGTGGGCGCCTGTAGTCCCAGCTACTCAGTTGACTGAGGCAAAAGAATGACATGAACCCAGGAGGCGGAGCTTGCAGTGAGCCGAGATCACGCCACTGCACCAGCCTGGGCGACAGAGCGAGACTCTGTTTCAAAAAAAAAATTATATATATATATATATATATATATTCATTATATGAAACTATACAACTAATTGGGTCATGATGACGATTAAATGAACTAATGATATACGAAATACCTGTTTCACAGAGGCCCATGAAAGGTCTGTTCTCAGAAATTTCTTTCCCTTCAGTGAATGTAGCTCCAACTTAACATCCACTAAGCATATTCCACAGTTTAGAGCAGGCATGGGTGGGTTTAGGTGGTTCAGAACAATAAACACACAGAACTGAAATTTCACATCACCACCTACCCCTCCAGTATCCTTCACGACACCTTGTATTCTTAATTTACATTCTGAAAAGACAGCAGAAAAGCAATGGCTTTAAATAACCCTGTTAAACGGTGCAAAAGCAATCTCGAGAGACACCGTTTTTGTTTTCTCTGCAAGAGGAAAGAAGGGGGTTGTGTAGGGAGGTGGAAATCTGCACAGACAGCCTCCTCCATCTGCACAGAATTAAAATGAAGTTCACAAGTGTGCGGTCTGCAAGTGGCTCTCCCGTGATTGCTGCCTCTTCCCGGGGGCTCTCCAGCCATCCGGGGTTTGTTTTTCCTGGGCCTGAGCTCAGATGTCAGGCAGGCAGAGGGGTCTTGGGATATCTCCCCACCCAGGGAGCAGGGGGAGGCCGCAGGCGGCTTGGGGTCTGTGTGTTTGGGAAAGCGTTCAGGCTGTTTACTCTGGGTCTCTTGACAGCCCGAGGGTGGCCGTGCCAGGCGGTCCAGATGCTTCCAGCTGGGGTCTCATGAGCAAGCCATGCCGCCTGGCTTATGGTGGCACCTCCTCTGAGCTGTCCCCACCAGGCTGCCAGGGCGGGTCCCCCAAACACACTCTCTAACCACATCCCCACTGCCTCCACCCTCATCAGCCACCGACAGCTCTGAACTGGGAAGGCCAAGGGCTGGAGCGGGCCTGCAGACGTGTTTTGTTTCATTTTGTTTTGCATTGTTTAATTTGAGCTGGCAATGAACCCTCAGAAGGTTTCACGAGAAACTTTGGATCTTGGTTTCTTTTGAAAAAAATGGGAAGGTCTTGCCTTCCCACCCAGAAGAAATGGGCTGCAGCAACGTAGGAGCTGGTTTCTTATCTTAGTTTGCATTGCCCCGGAGCTCTGAGAGCAGGATCTTAGGATCTGGGTGCCAGTGGTTTACTAGGGAGGGGATCTCAGGAAGCACAAGCAGTTGGGAAGAGAGTCGGGGCAGGGAAAGAATCAACACACACTACAAGGTGTCAGGGAGCCGGCCACTCTTGTGGGCACCTGGGGCTGCATCCTGCCGGGGAATTCAGGGGAGCTGTGTAGAACGTGGGTTGTGCTTCCTGAGGGGCAAGGGGGCTGGGATGTTCCCTTCTGACTCCTGTCTATCCTTGATGGAGGCCTGCTTCTGAGGGGGGTTAATACCAGTCTGTTCTGCACATAGGCCAAGAAGAAAACTTCAAGTAGAAAGTCATGGGTGGGCCAGGAGCGGTGGCTCATGCCTGTAATCCCAGCACTTTGGGAGGCTGAGGCAGAAGGATGGCTAGAACCCAGGAGTTAAAGACCAGCCTGGGCTACATAGCAAGACCCCATCTCTGCAAAACATATAAAAATTGGCTGGGGCTGGGTGCAGTGGCTCATGCCTATAATCCCAGCACTTTGGGAGGCCGAGGTGGGCAGATCACCTGAGGTCGGGAGTTCGAGACCAGCCTGACCAACATGGAGAAATCCTGTCCCTACTAAAAATACAAAATTAGTTGGGCGTGGTGGCACATGCCTATAATCCCAGCTACTCTGGAGGCTAAGGCAGGAGAATCACTTGAACCTGGGAGGCGGAGGTTGCGGTGAGCCGAGATCGCGCACTGCCATTGCACTCCAGGCTGGGCAACAAGAGCGAAACTCCATCTCAAAAAAAAAAAAAATTAACTGGGTGTGGTGGAGTGCGCCTGTAGTCCCAGCTACTCAGGAGACTGAGGTGGCAGGATCACCTGAGCCCAGAAAGTTGAGGCTGCAGTAAGCCATGATGGCACCACTGCACTCCAGCCTGGGCAACAGAGCGAGACCATCTCAAAATAGAAAGTCACAAATGGCGAGCCCAGTGTGCAGTGTTGACATGTCCTGGAGCAGCAGCTGCTGAGGGAGATGTGGGCAGGGCCATGACAGTGCCCGCTGCACCTGTTACATGGGGCCTTGCCCTTCAGTTTGTCACAGTCCCCACCACTCCCTATTGTCTGTCTCCCTGACCACAGGCTGAGAATAAGTTCCTAATATCATCATACTTGTGCTGCTGATTCTTTCACAGAATAGAAATGACCTATTTTTTCCATATCACCTTCAATAGTGGGAAAGTGGGCTGGCCACAGTGGCTCACGTCTGTAATCCCAGTGCTTTGGGAGGCTGTTTTAGGCATTCTTGCATTGCTGTAAAAACATACCTGTGACTGGGTAATTTATAAAGAAATGAGGTTTACTGGGCTCATGGTTCTGCAGGCTGTACAGGAAGTATGGTGCTGGCATCTGTTCAGCTTCTGGGGAGGCCTCAGGAAGCTTATAGTCATGGTGGAAGGCGAAGGGGGAACAGGCATGTCCCACGGCGAAAACAGGAGCAAGAGATAGTGTTGGGAGGAGGGCCACAGTCTTTTAAACAATCAGATCTCCCATGAACTCAGAGTGAGAGCTCACTCATCAGCAAGGGGATGGCCCAAGCCAATCATGGGGGATCCGCTTCCATGATCCAAACACCTCCCACCAGGCCCCACCTCCAACATTGTGGAGGATTACTTTTCTTTTTCTTTTCTTTTCTTTTTTTTTTTTTTTTGAGACGGACTCTCACTCTGTCCTCTAGGCTGGAGTGCAGTGGTGCCATCTCGGCTCTCTGCAGCCTCTGCCTCCCAGGTTCCAGCAATCTCCCTGCCTCAGCCTCCCAAGTAGCTGGGATTACAGGCACCCGCCACCACACCTGGCTAATTTTTGTATTTTTAGTAGAGATAGGGTTTCACCATATTGGCCAGGCTGGTCTCCAACTCCTGACCTCAGGTGATCCACTGCTCTCGGCCTCCCAAAGTGCTGGGATTACAGGCATGAGCCACTGCACCCGTCCGCAGATTACATTTCAACGTGAGATGTGGTCTGGGACAAATATTCAAACTATATCAGAGGCCAAGGTGGGAGGATCGCTTGAGGCCAGGAGTTGAAGACCAGCCTGGGCAACATAGCAGGATGACGCCTCTACAAAAGAAAAATTTTAAAAAATTAACCAGATGTGGTGGCATGCACCTGTGGTTCCAGCTGCTCAGGAAGCTGAGGCAGGATGGTGGTTTGAGCCCAGGAAGTCAACACTGCAGTGAGCTATGATCATACCACTGCACTCCAGCCTGGTCAATAGACTGAGACTGTCTCCAAAAAAAAAAACAAAAACAAAGTGGGAAAGTAGAATATAAGCCAAGAATGCCCTGTGGCTGTAATAATTATACTCAGCTTGCTTCTCCTGTTTCTGTCTCTTGCATGACCCCTGAAGAGGGCTGAGTTGGCAGCTTCTTGCCACAGGGTGAAGTGCACATGGGTCACATGACATTTGGGGCCTTTGGGGCACTGGTCTTTGCCTCATCATGCCATGTGGAGATGTGTCCTCTGAGCCCAGCAGTGCTGGGGTTTTTTTTTTTGTTTTTTGTTTTTGAGACGAAGTCTTGCTTTGTCACCCAGTCTGGAGTACAGTGATGTGATCTCGGCTCACTGCAACCTCTTCCTCCCAGGTTCAAACGACTCTCCTCCCTCAGCATCCCAAGTAGCTGGGATTACAGGCAAGCGCCACCACACCAAGCTAAATTTTGTATTTTTAGTAGAGAAGGGGTTTTGCCATGTTGGCCAGGCTGGTCTCGAACTCCTGACCTCAAGTGACCTGCCTGCCTTGGCCTCCCAAAGTGCTGGGATTACAGGCGTAAGCCACCGTGCCCGGGCAGTGCTGGGGTTTTTTTTGTTTGTTTGTTTGTTTTGTTTTTTTTTTAAGACCGAGTCTAGCTCTGTTGCCCAGGCTGGAGTGCAGTGGCGTAATCTCGGCTCACTGCAACCTCCACCTCCCAGGTTCACGCGATTCTCCTGCCTCAGCCTCCTGAGTAGCTGGGATTACAGGCACCCACCACCACGCCCGGCTAACTTTCGTATTTTTAGTAGAGACAGGGTTTCACCATGTTAGCCAGGCTGAACTCGAACTCCTGACCTCGTGATCCGCCCGCCTCGGTCTCCTAAAGTGCTGGGATTACAGGTGTGAGCCCCCGCGGCCGGCCAGTGCGGGGGTTTTTAATTTGCAGCTCTATGAAGCGCCCCCTCCCCACCCCCAGAAATGCTCCACCCACTGGGAGGCGGGGACAATGGCCAGTGGCTCCATGGCCAGAGAGAAACTATCTTGCTATTAGCCCATCGCACACAGCGAAAGCCCGGGGAGCCCATCAAGCACGCTCTCCAGATTCTCTGACACCAGCTGCATGGCCAGCAATTCAATTCAGTTCCGACAGAAGCTGCCCACAGTTAGTGCAGACTGCACGGTCAAAGGACTCAGTCCCACAGGACTGCTCCCACTTCAGACACCAGTGCAAATGGCGTCCCCAGGCTACCCCTACTTCTGCCTGGCTGATTACAAATTCAGGGCTCTCCTCCCGCCTTGCCAGGGGAGGCACCTGCTAGACTAGTATTTCTGCCTGCAATCTAGACCAGCACAGTGGCAGAACGGAATGTCTCTTCCAAGGGGGAAAAGTTTGGGCATAAATGGAGAGAAGAAACAAAAATAGCTGGAGGTAAAAGACAGAATAAATAAATGGGTTATGGCCAGGTGCAGTGGCTCACGCCTGTAATCCCAGTAGCTGACTGGGGAGGATCACTTGAGCCCAGGAGTTTGAGACCAGCTTGGGCAACATAGTGAGACCCCATCTCTTCGAACAAAAAAATTTTTTTGGAAGCTGGTTGTGGTGGCATGCACCTGTAGTCCCAGCTGCTTGGGAGGCTGAGGTGGGAGGATCGTTTGATCTCAGGGGGTTGAGGCTGCAGTGAGCTATGTTCGAGCTGCTACATTCCAGCCTGTGTGACAGAGTGAGACCCTGTCTCAAATACATAAAATGAATAAATGAATGAATGAATAAATAAATAAATAGGTTACGGAGGGAAGGAAATTTAATATTACATTAACACCTTCAAAGAGGCTTAGATCAAGAGATGGCGTTGTCCCTTGGCTCAGTTATACCAGATGCCTGAAAGATTGAAACCATATAGGCCAGGCACGGTGACTCACCCCTGTAATCCCAGCATTTTGGGAGGCCGAGGCGGGCGGATGACAAGGTCAGGAGTTCGAGACCAGTCTGGCCAATATGGTGAAACCCCGTCTCTACTAAAAATACAAAAATTAGCTGGGCGTGGTGGTGTGAGCCTGTAGTCCCAGCTACTTGGGAGGCTGAGGCAAGAGAATCCCTTGAACCCGGGAGGCAGAAGTTGCAGTGAGTTGTGCCACTCCACTCCAGCCTGGGCAACAGAGCAAGGCTCCGACTCAAAAAAAAAAAAAAAAAAAAAAAAGAGTGAAGCCATATATTGATATATTGCTGGGACTGCCCCTGCTTTCAGAACTTGATAAGACAGAATGGAAGCCTGCAAGCCTGGGCAGCCTTACCCTGGGGGACATTTTCATACATTTCATGGGATGGCGGACTGTATCGTTATTAAGGACTGATGGATTTTAGCAATGTGCTGGCATCTTTTTTATTTCTATTTATTTATTTTTTTGAGTTGGAGTCTCGCTCTGTCACCCAGGTTGAAGTGTATTCGTGTGAGCTCGGCTCACTGCAACTACTGCCTCCCGGGTTCAAGCGATCCTCCTGCCTCAGCCTCTCAAGTAGCTGGGACCACAGGCTTGCACCACCACGCCTGGCAAATTTTTGTATTTTTAGTAGAGATGGGGTTTCACCATGTTGACCAGGCTGGTCTCGAACTCCTGACCTCAGGTGATCTGCCTGCCTCGGCCTCCCAAAGTGTTGGGATTACAGATGTGAGCCACTGCGCCCTGCTGGCATCTTTTTTTTTTTTTTTTTTTTGAGATAGAGTCTTGCTCTCTTTCCCAGGTTGGAGTTAAGTAGCTCAGTCACAGCTCACTGCAGCCTCAACCTCTTGGGCTCAGGTGATCCTCCTGCCTCAGCCTCCTGAGTAGTTGGGACCACACGTGTGCACCACTATGCCCGGTAAATTTTTAAGAATTTTTGTAGAGATGGGGTCTTCCTATGTTGCCCACTCCGGGCATCTTTTGATGTTTATGATCATCTGACTGTAAGGGATTTGTGTTCAAAGGCCAGAGGGTAGCCTGTGATATTGTGATACAATAGGAAATATGTATTTGGTCTTTGCCTCACGTACCTGACAGAGCTTCTAAGGTCCTCGTAATTTCCTGAGTGGCAAAGATGAGAGGTACATCTTTTGTTATTCATCATAAGCCCCTTTCTTTTTCTTTTTTTTTTTCTTGTTTTGTTTTGTTGAGACAGGGTCTCACCCTGTCACCCATGGCTGGAGTGCAGTGGCACAATCGTAGCTCACTGCAGCCTCAACCTCCTAGCCTCAAGCAATCCTCCCACCTCAGCCTTCTGAGTAGCTGGGAACACAGTCACGTGCTACCATGCCTGGCTAATTTAATAAAAAATTTTTTTAGAGATGGGGTCTTGCCATGTTGCCCAGGCTGGTCTCAAATCCCTGGCTTCAAGGGATCTGCCTGCTTCAGCCTCCCAAAACATTGGGATTCCAGGTGGGAGCCACGGTGTCCAGCACTATTCCAGTTTATTATAAAAGATACAAACAGCCAGATGCACAGGAGCATAGGGTGGGGTCTGGAAGGGCCCTGAATGTAGGGCCACTGTCCCCGTGGAGTTGGGGTGCCCCACCTCCCAGGTAGTGGATGTATTTGGCAACCTGAACGCTCCCAGAAACCTATCTAGTGGTTCTTATCAAGGTTTCGTGACGTAGGCATAATTGATTAAATCATGGCCATTGGTGATTGGACCCAACTCCTAGTCCCTCTCCCCTCCCCAGAGGTGAGGAGTGGGTGAACTGAACCTTCTAACCCTCTAAGCATTCCAAAGCTATCTAGGTACCCCCACACTGAGTCATCTTGAGTCATCCCATTAGCATACGAAAGATACTCTAATCACTGAGGAGGGTCCAAGGGCTTTGGCAGCTCTGTGCCAGGAACCAGTGACAGGGAACAAAGACCAAGCAGATACTTTTTATTATACCACATAGGTCTTCACTTTTCTTTTTTTATTATTTTATTTTAGTTATTTATTTATTTTTAAAGACATAGTCTCACTCTGTCTCCCAGGCTGGAGTGCAGTGGTGCAATCTCGGTTCACTGCAACCTCCACCTCCTGAGTAGCTGGGATTACAGGCATGCACCACCACACCTGGCTATTTATTTATTTATTGAGACGGAGTTTCACTCTTTTTGCCCCGGCTGCAGTGCAATGGTGTGATCTCGGCTCACCGCAACCTCCACCTCCCAGGTTCAAGCGATTCTCCTGCCTCAGCCTCCTGAGTAGGTGGGATTACAGGCATGCACCACCATGCCAGGCTAATTTTTGTATTTTTAGTAGAGACGGGGTTTCGCCATGTTGACCAGGCTGGTCTTGAACTCCTGACCTCAGGTGATCCACCTGCCTCAGCCTCCCAAGGTGCTGGGATTACAGGCGTGAGCCACCGCACCCAAGGTCTTTACTTTTCCTCTGAGTTGTTGCCCATGCCATTTACACCCCAGGGTAGATGGGGCTCTGGGTGTCGCTTTTCTTCCTGGGATCTCTGTTCTTTCCTCAGCCACTGTCCCCTGGGACTTTCCTGCCTCGTTTTCTCCTAGAGCCCCAGCTTGGTCTCTCCTTCCTTCCTTTGTTCATTCATTCATTCTCCCAGTGTGTACCGACTGGTCATCCACCCCGTGCCAGCTGCTGGGCTGGGTGCTGGAGAAGCAGCTGTGAGTGAGGCACTCAGACCCGGCCCCATCTGACAGCGGGCCACAGGGTCCTGGAAGCCATGCATTCGCTGTCATGACAATCACTGAACTGACTCCCTGCCGTTAGAACTGCCTGCCGTCTAGAACAGAGCTGGTCCAGCTGCAGGGTAATGCATGCCACTGGGCAAGTTTAAATTTTCTAGTAGGCATATCAGAGGAAGTAAGAAGATATTTGTAACAGCTGAAAGGTGAAAACAGTCCGGGCACACTGATTCATACTTGTGATTCCAGCACTCTGGAAGGCCAAGATGGGAGGATCTCGAGCCCTGGAGGTGGAGGTTGCAGTGAGCTGAAGTTGTGCCATTGCATTCCAGTCTGGGTGACAGAGTAAGACCCCATCTTAAAAAAAAACCAGAAAAAGCCTGGGCACAGTGGCTCATGCCTGTAATCCCAGCACTTTGGGAGGCCAAGGCAGGCAGGTCACTTGAGGTCAGGAGTTCGAGACCAGCCTGGCCAACATGGTGAAACCCCATCTCTACTAAAAATACAAAAATTAGCCGGGCCTGGTGGTGTGTGCCTATAATCCCAGCTACTTGGGAGGCTGAGGCAGGAAAATTGCTTGAACCTGGGAGGTGGAGGTTGCAGTGAGCCAAGATTGTGCCACTGCACTCCAGCCTGGGTGACAGAGTGAGACTCTGTCTCAAGAAAAAAAAAAAAAAAAGAAAAGAAAAAGAAAGAAGAGGAAAGAAGAAGGAGAAGGAGAAGGAGAAGGCCTCCAGAAGGACCAGCCCGCTGACATCTTGATTTCAGACTTCTAGCCTCCAGAACTGTGACAATCAGTTTCTGTTGTTTTAAGCCACCTAGTTTGTGGTCATTTGTCACAGCATCCGTAGGAGGGAGAAAGGAGAGTGAGAGAGACTAGGACATCCTTCTGAGCCTGCACAAGCCTCAGCTGCCCCGTCTGTACAATGGGCACAACGGCTCCACTGTTGACTGGTGTTGCTGGGAATGAATGAGTCATGTGCAAGTGTCCAAATCTCAGGACCTGCCAGGAAGCAGAGGGACCCCACAGAACACAGGCGTTGATCTCAACTGTCAGTTCCGTTTTAGAGATAAGGAAATAAACATTCAGCGAGAGAAGTGGCCCGCCCGGTCATCTGACAACATGTGGCAGGGTGAGGCCGGCTCTCGGAGTACAGATCCTCATTTCTGAGATGTCCTTTCTGTCTGGGCTTTGCCCCAGCCACCTCTGTGCCCTCGGTTCCACCAGTGTGAACTGCCTAGCCGGCACACGCCACACCCTCCGTCCGGCTGTGCTCCCTGTAAGGACACCTTTCCTGCTCCTCTCCCACCTAACTCTGGCTTAGCCTTCAACAAGAGCCACTTCCTCCTGGAAGCCTTCCCTGACTGCCCTCACCCTCTGGGAGCTTTCATAGGAGCCCAGTTTGAATCAGCAGGGGCCCCACCCTCCAGGAGTTGTCCGTTCTAGGGAAGATTGTGAATCACCGATGTCTTCGAGGTGGGGCAGGTCTAAACAGGCGGAACAACACACTCTGGCACCTCAGACCCAGCTGTGTCTGAATTGCCCAGATGGTCAGGAGAAGGCAGCCCTGGGACCTGGCAGCTGGCTGCATTGCTTATTCCCCCAGGTGACCCAGGAGGTCTGGTCTCTCTGTCAATGCGAGTGTCCCGTCTCTCTCCATCCCATGGGGATCCAGAAGTGGAAACAAAAACTAGAGTGATCTTGAGGTCAGGCGTTCGAGACCAGCCTGGTCAACATGGTGAAACCCCATCTCTACTAAAAATACAAAAACTAGCCAGGCGTGGTGGTAGGTGCCTGTAGTCCCAGCTACTCGGGAGGATGAGGCAGGAGAATCGCTTGAACCCAGGAGATGGAGGTTACAGTGAGTCGACATTGTACCACTGCACTCCAGCCTGGGCAACAGAGCGAAACTCCATCTAAAACAAACCCCAAAAAACAAATAAAAAAAAATCCAAAGAAAAACCTAGAGTGAAGCACCTGAATGGCTGGCCTTGCCCATCAAGAGGCACCCAGGCCATCGGCTGTGCCCCAAGATGACAGCTTTTGCAGGGTTGGGAGGTCAAGATTCTAGGGGGACACAGGGTTCCCACAAGTCTTCAGGAGCCATGGGAGTCCCTGAGATGGTGCCCAAGAGCTTCTGGTGTAACCAAGCTTGGTTCCACAGTGAAATCATTCCCCAAGAGGGCGGACTCATCCTCCAAACATCTCTTTTCAGTCTGTCCTCGTCCCTCCGCCCTTCTCAAGGACGTGGACAAACAGAGATGTCAGGGGAGAATGGGGTGGGGAAGTGGGTGGCCAGTTCTGGGCTGGGAGTGGGGTGGGAAGGTCTGCTGTCTCTGCGAGGGCTCCTGCCTGGGCCTTGTTAACTTTCCATCCAGGTTCTCTGTGCACGTGAGCGTCCTGAGCTGGGCCGGCCCTGGCCGCCCGCTGGCCGCATGCAGTGCAGTTTGCTCTAACCGCAGGTGACCCACACGAGGTCAGACAGCCGTTCCCACAGAAACCTGCTGGGAGTTGCCCAATAAGGCCCTTCCTTCCTCATTCTTCACCTGCCTTCCAGAGAGCCCAGGCCAAGCCAGGGAGGGAGACACCTCTTCACCAACCCTCCAGGCTGCCCCCCAGGTGGCCCCTTTTCACAAGAATGATGAGGACGGTGCAGCCAAAGCCTGCTGCGGCTCCCAGGAGTCACAGAGTCCCTGGGCTGGGAAATGACCTGGTCTGACTCACTGGAGAGACCCCCGTTTTAGATCTGGGCTGAGCAAACCTGGCACATGGTTGGCTGTCCTGAGCTTTGGCGGTGTGGGCAGTGCCAGGAGATCCTTGGACTTTGAGACCCTGTTTCCACCCTCTCAGTGACATGGCTGTGTGGGCACCCACATAACCCTCTTTGCCAGGCGAGTGGTGATTTCCGAGCCCCGAGGGGAAGAAGGAAGAAGGAAGCCATTAAGTTGCGTTGGATGGGGGTTGTTGTCACACTCCATATCCTGTGGGACCCCACAACAGTCGAAATGGGAGGGCCAGGCGCAGCGGCTCACACCTGTCATCCCAGCACTTTGGGAGGCCGAGGTGGGCGAATCACCTGAGGTCAGGAGTTTGAGACCAGCCTGGACAACATGGTGAAACCCTGTTTCTACTAAAAATACAAAAAAACTATCCAGGCATGGTGGCGCACACCTGTAATCCCAGCTACTCAGGAGGCTGAGGCAGGAGAATCACTTGAACCCGAGAGGTGGAGATTGCAGTGAGGCGAGATCGCACCACTGCACTCCAGCCTGGGTGACAGAGGGAGACTCTGTCTTAAAAAAAAAAAAAAGAAAAAGAAAAAGAAAAGAAAGAAAGAAAAAAAAGATAGAAAAATGCTTGGAGGAAATTTGCTCCCAATTGGCTGCAATTTAGTAGCCATTTCCAGGCAATAGTAGGTGGTAAAAAGTATTGTTATAGGGATGTCCTCTAGGGGAAAGGCTGCTAGATTTAGTAAATAAAAATGCAGGATGCCTGGTTAAATTCAAATGTCAGAGAAACAACAAATGATTTTTTAGTATAAGTATATCCCATGCTGTATTTAGGACTTGCTAAAAAAGTATTCACTGTTTCTCTGACATTTGAGTTTAACTGGGCATCCTATATATATGTTTTGCAGACAGGGTCTCGTTCTGTTGCCCAGGCTGGAGTGTAGGGGGGTGATCGTGGCTCATTGCAGCCTCGAACTCCTGGGCTCAATTCATCCTCCCAGCTCAGCCTCCCGAGTTGCTGGGACTACAGGCTTGTGCCACCACGCCTGGCTAATTAAAAATTTTTTTTTTTGTCTCACTATTTTTGCCTAGGCTGGTCTTGAACTCCTGGCCTCAAGTGATCCTCCTGCTTCAGCCTCCCAAAGTGCTGAGACATGAGCCACCATGCCTAGCCATGTACTGTATTTTTTTCTGGAAACCGTATCTGGGAGGTAGGACGACTCATAGATTTTTAGGCGCCTTCTCCTTGACTTTTCCTCCCTCCTCCTACCCCTTAGATTTCGGTAGCTGGGGGAGAGGGGTCCTAAGTGTTTCAATTAGGACTGACACTGTCGTGAGGTCTTGTTCCGTCTTCCATGTACAAATTGGCCACTGATTCACATTTCCCCAGCCCCACCCAAGAGTGAAGGCTTGCTCCCATGAGCCAGCTGGTCCCCCTTCTGGTACATTACAGGTTGCCTTGAATGGTTGTCTGAGTTGTACAAAGCATGACTCCATACTTGAGAAGAGTGCCCCCTGCATTTGTGCAGTGCGCAACCTGCACAACCCAACACAGCAACCCTGTTTCCACTTCTAGATTATGACCACTGGGCGATGGTTTTTTTCCTCTTATTTACTGCTCAAGTTGGGCTCCATCCCATTGTTCCCTTGCTCGGGGGAAAACCTGAGCACTCTGGGAAGGCACTGTGGCAATGTCTGAAGACAACTGAGCTGCCAAGCCATGTGCACAGAGCTTTTGATTCTCAAGCCATCCTGATATCTGCTGGAGGGACTCTCCACTCCCTTCCCACTGCCCAGCGTGCAGGCTGGGGCTTGAAGGACCAGAATAAAGATTTCCTGCCTGCCCGACCGCCACGTCCTTTCCCGATCCTCACCCCCACCAACCCTCCAACCTAGGCATAATTTTAGAAACTTAATAGACCCCTTGCCGGACATTCTTGGCCTGGAGCCTGCGGGGGCAGGTCCTGAAAGAAGACAGACATTTCTTTCTTAGGGATTGCCGATAGAGATCCCCTGTTTTCCCCTGGGACAGGTTTCTGAGGGGCCATTGTGTGCGGAGGAGCTGCTCACACACTTGCTTCTTTATGGGGTCCCCCCACCACCCAGTCCTCCTGGGCTGGATTATTTTGCAGGGTGAGTCCCAGCTTCTCTGTGCTTCCCTGAGGCCCCCCAAAGCCATCAGGAGCAGTGGGGACTAGGGTGGGGAGGATTGAAGGCTGCAGAGATTGGTGGCCATAGGGAATCCTTTGCAAATCATTGGGGTCATTTGGTGCCTTGAAACTGTAAATGACAGGCGGGGACCTCTGGGCCTGGAGAGAGAAGGTGGGGTGTGATTTCAGCATCCAGGCCTTGGACGACAGTGAAAATTTGTTTCCATCACTGGCCAGGAAAGCCTGGTCTTTTCCGTTTGGATTTCAAGGAATTGCCCCATTCCTGCAGCAGACATTCTGGAGGCTTCTGGAGTGTGAGGGAGAAGTGGGCAGGAAGGAGGCATGCCAGGGACAAATGTTTACGGTCCCTTGAACAGCAGGCATCTCTCAACCGTAGCAGATGGGGGCCTCTGAGGCTCTGGGAGGTGAAGTAACTTGCTCACGGTCACGCAGCCGGGAAGTGGCACAGCCAGTCCTGCAGCCTGAATCCTTTGCTCCCTTTATCCCTTTTTCTTTTTTCCAAGAGTGTTTTGGATACGTAATTTACATACCGGACAATTCACCCATTTAAAGCATACCATTCAGGCCGGGCACGGTGGCTCACGCCTGTAATTCCAGCGCTTTGGGAGGCCGAGACGGGTGGATCACTTGAGGTCAGGAGTTCAAGACCAGCCTGGCCAACATGGTGAAACCTCATCTCTACTAAAAATACAAAAAAATTAGCTGAGTGTGGTGGCAGGCGCCTGTAACCCCAGCTACTCAGGAGGCTGAGGCGGGAGAATCGCTTGAACTCAGGAGGTGGAGGTTGCAGTGAGCTGAGATCTCGCCACTGCACTCCAGCCTGGGCGACAGAGTGAGTGAGACTCCGTATTAAAAAAAAAAAAAAAAGTCTACTATTCAAAGGCTTTTAGTTTATAGAATTGTGCAACTGTCACCACTGTCAGTTTCAGAACATTTTTCTACAGCTTCAAAAGAAACCTCATCCCCTTTAGCCATCGCTGTCTAATTTCCTTGTTCCCCCAGCCCTAAAACCATGAATCCGCTTTCTGTCTCTGTGAATTTGCCTGTTCTGGACATTTCACATCAATGGAACTGTATACTCGGTGCGTTTTTTTTTGTTTGTTTGTTTTGTTTTTTTTGTGTGTGTGTGAGACAGAGTCTCACTCTGTCACCCAGGCTGGAGTGCAGCTCACTACAACCTCTGCCTCCTGAGTTCAAGAGATTCTCATGCCTCGGCCTCCCGAGTAGCTGAGACTAGAGACATGCGGCACCATGCCCAGCTAATTTTTGTATTTTTAGTAGAGACAGGGTTTCACCATGTTGGCCAGGCTGGTCTCGAACTCCTGATCTCAGATGATCCACCTGCCTCGGCCTCCCAAAGTGCTGGGATTATAGGCATGAGCCACTGCGCCTGGCCCCCTGTGGCATTTCACACCTGACTTCTCTCACTCAGTGTACTGTTTCCAAGGTTCATCCACGATGCAGCCCGTATCAGTGCTTTATTCTTTTCCATGGCTGAATAATGCTCCGTTGTATGGATAGACCGGATTTTGTTCATCCACTTGTCTGTCGACGGACATTTGGGGTGTTTCCACCATTTGTGTACAGTTTCCTATGGATTTTTAGGTTTTCAATTCTTGTGGGAGTTCCCAACTCTTAAGCAAGCTGCTCAAATTCCTGCCTACGGGCTTTTGCTCATGCTGGGATTTCCCTACCTGGGAACTCCCCTCCCCTTTCCCCACACCCGGTAGAATCCAACTTGTTCCCCATGATCCAGCTACGTCCCTTTCCTCACTGCTCCCCGTTCTTCTCACCATAACGAGGGACAGGCAGTCTTTCTGCACTCTATCCTTTATCCTGGGCTGTGCTTGCGGTGTGATCTTGGGCCACTCGCTCAGCTTCTCTGAACCCCAGTGGGGTTTATCTGTGACGCAAGGATCTAATTCTGATCCCATGGGGGTGCTAGGAGGATCGAGATGGCAAGAGCTCTGTGTCCTGGAAGCCTGGAAAGGGATGATGTACTGGGGCAGGCATTAGTTTATTTCTTCAGCCAGCTGTTTCTGCTAAGTGCCAGCTTCATGCCTGAGGGGGTTTACTGTTGTAAAACCATAATGATCCTGCCTTCAGGGAGCTGGGACAGGGGTTCTTAACTGGGAGGGAATTTGGTCCTAGGAGACAAATCTGGAGATGTCATCTGGAGACATCTTTGGATGCCATGATGTGGGGAGGAGTGCTACTGGTTTCTAGAAAGAGGTCAGGGATGTTGCCAAACCTTCCATGATGCACAGGCAAGCGCCCATAACAATGAATGACCTGGCCCCAAATACTAATAGTGCCAAGGTTGATGAACCCTGGTCTGGTGATGTTATGGTTGTTCATTCGTTTTTCATGTGTGCCTGTATTTATTAAATTTTTTTTTGCATTCACAACCCTTGCCTTTTTCCAAGATGGATTCGAGGTAACTTACAGAGATACCAACAAAACAACAGGATTTTTTTAATGAGGACGTTGAGGTAGAAAACAATAAGAAGGAAGGAACTTTTTTTTTTTTTCCCGAATGATACCCATATTAAAGCACACTACTTTCAGAAGTGGGACATACATTTGGCTCTGAGCTTCCTAGTGGCCAGAGCAAAAAGAGAACCAATTAATTTCAAGATTCTCACTGACCCAAAATTGAAAATAAATTAAGAGCTTAAGGGAAGTCCAGCCTTCTTGGGTGTGAAGGGCTTTTCTCCTACAGGCCCTTATACAGGGGCCAAGGCAATGTGCTGGAGGAGACAGCACTGTTCTCGACACAGCTCTGCAGGGAACATGATAGTGAGTATCACATTGCATCCTCTGATGCAGGCCTGTGATGCAAGGCTGAGGCCAGCTTGGCAAGGCAGCTATACATGGGGCACCTGCCCTGAGAGTGGGGGTTTTACTTTCCCAACTTTGGAACAGAAAACGTGGTCCACACTGTAGGCAGTTCAGAATAGCAGTGGAAGCTGGGGCTCTGGAGCCAAACTGCCTGGGGTGAGGATGTGGATTTACTCCCAAATGGTGGTGTGACCTTGGGCCATTCCTGAAAGCTCTCTGAACTCAGTTTCCTCATCCATAATATAGGACAGGAATAGCACTTCGCTCGTAAGGTTGTTGGAAGGATACAGTGAAGTAGGCCGGGCGCAGTGGCTCACGCTTGTAATCCCAGCACTCTGACCAGCTGAGGCAGGTGGATCACCTGAGGTCAGGAGTTCGAAACCACTCTGGTCAACATGGCAAAACCCCACCTCTACTAAAAATACACAAAAAAATTAGCTGGGCATGGTGGTGGGGGCCTGTAGTCCCAGCTACTCGGGAGGCTGAGGCAGGAAATTCGATTGAACCCGGGAGGCAGAGGTTGCAGTGAGCCGAGATCGTGCCACTGCACTCCAGCCTGGGCATGTTGTAGTTTTGTGGCTGCAGGCATACCTCAGAGATACTATGGTTTTGGTTCCAGACCACCACAATAAAGCAAAAATTGCAAGAAAGCAAGTCACAGAAATGTTTTGGTTTTCCAGTGCATATAAAATTAATATCAGCAGTAAGCCTGTTTCACTTTCTTATCATTCATGTGCGTACTTTTAATTTCCTTCAGGAACTTTTCTGGCCAGGCGAGGTGGCTCACATCTATAATCCCAGCACTTTGGGAGGCCGAGGCAGGTGGATCAGTTGCGATCAGGAGTTCGAGACCAGCCTGGGCAACATGGCAAAACCTCGTCTCTACAAAAAATACAAAAATTAACTGGGCATGGTGGTGCGTGCCTGTAGTCCCAGCTACTCGGGAGGCTGAGGTGGGCAGATGGCTTGAATCTGGGAGGTGGAGGTTGAAGTGAGCCGAGATCATGCCACTGCACTCCAGCCTGGGTGATACAGCCAGACCTTATCTCAAAAAATTAAAAAATAAAAATTAAAAAAAATCCAGGGGCAGAGGGAACCATGTGGGACGGATAGCATCAGACAGACCAGATGGTGAGTAGGGTGTAGAGGTCAGTGCCATCAGCCTATCATGCCTGTTCTGTGTCTGATAGCAATAGCCCACAATAAGTTTAACGAAAAAGGATCCCTCAACTAAATCAATGATCACATATCCTGTGTGTGCAACACTTTGAAGGAAGAATGGGGGCTCCCAGAAGATCAGGCTGTGCGCAGGCCGTGGGAGAGGTTGGTCTTGATCCTAAAGAGGCAGCTATTGATAAGTTTCCGTGGGAACAGTGGAACCTACCTCCTGGTGCGGTTGTGAGAGTGACATGTGTAGTGTGGGAAGCTCTCGGGGCTCTCACGGTAACTCTCTTGCTTCTCTTTCTCTTAGAGACAGGGTCTCACTCTGTTGCCCAGGCTAGAGTGCAGTGGTGCAATCATAGCTCACTGCAGCTTCGAACTCCTGGCCTCCAGCGATCCTCCTGCCTTGGCCTCCGTGCCCGGCTGGCTGCTGCTTTACTTTTTCTTGCTTCCTCCCCTCTTCTCACTCCTTGTCCCATCTCAATTCTTTTTCTTTTCATTTCTCTTTTTCCCTCCCTTCTTTCTCCTTTTCTTCCCTTCCTTCCTTGCGGCCCCTGCCTAGGAGTCTCCCTCCTGTGCGGCTCTGGGCTGTAAAGAGAGACACGGGGCTGGGAAGGGGTCCCCCACACTGTGAAGGGAGCCCAGGGCAGTGCTAGCTGTGCTCCTTTCCCTCTTCCCAGTCCTCCGGGAGGTGCACAGGATCCCGCCTGGGAGGAATCCTGGGCCTCGTGGGGGTTTCTGAAGACATAGCCAGACCTGCGTGGCATCCCCCCATTGAATACTAGGGGCCACATTCCCCACGGGGACACAGGCACTTGTCACAGCCCCACTGGTGAAGTCCACGGTGCGTAATTCAGCTCATCCTCCATCCAGAGCTGGCTGGGGGGATGCTGAGAGCTTGGGCTCCCTGTTTGCACAGTGGAGAGAGAGAGAGAGAGAGGAAAGGACACATTCCTGTTCCTGGGAGCCCTGAGGGCCTGCACACGGGTGAGGGACCCATTCAAGTGCCCCACGTCCAGCAGTGGTCCTGGCCGATTCCTGGAGTAGGCAAGGAAGTTCCGTTCTTTCCCGCATTGCTCCAACTTCCCGACACAGGAGAACAGATGTTTCACATCCAAAGATGACCGAGATGGCAGTGGCTTCATTACACTGAGCAGGCAGTTCCTTGAACAGGCGTGGGTGGGTCCCAGCCTCTTCAGGAAGCAGTTTGACGCAGCGTTTCAGGGGCCTGGAAATGTCTATACTTTTCTCGTCAGTAATCACACTTCTGGGAATTTGCCCAAAGGAAATAACCCTAAAAAAAAAAAAAGAAAAGAAAAGCCATGTGCCCAGCAATATCTATTGCAGTGACATTTTATAATAGGGAACCATCCAGGTGACACAACTGTGGCCACCACCTAGTAGATTCTTTTTTTTTTTTTTTTTTTTTTAAGAGAGACAGAGTCTTGCTGTGTTGCCCAGGCTGGTCTCGAACTCCTGGGCTCAAGCAATCCTCCTGCCTTGGCCTCCCAAAGTGCTGGGATTACAAGCGTGAGCCATCACACCTGGCCGAGAGATTCTTGATGATGGCATTTGTGCTCCTGGATCCAGCCATGCCTGAAGTCCTCACCATGGACTTTCCAACTATATGAGCAAATAAATTCCCTTTGCTATCTAAACAATATATTTATGATACAAAACTGTGCAATTAGTTGGGTCGTAATGAGGATTAAATGAACTAATGATATATGAAATACTTGCTTCACAGGGGCTCATGAGAGGTCAGCTCTCAGGAATTTCTTTCCCTTCAGTGAATGTAGTTCCAAGTTAAAATCCACCAAGCATATTCCACATTTTAGAGCAGGCATGAATGGGTTTGGTTGATTTAGAACAATAAGCACACAGAACTGAAATTTCACATCACCACCTACCCCTCCAGTGTCTCACTATGTTGCCTAAGCTGGTCTCAAACTCCTGGGCTCAAGCAATCCTCCTGCCTCAGCCTCCCAAAGTGCTGGAGTTACAGGCATGAGTCACCACGCCCAGCCTCTAGTGGAGTCTCGCTCTGTTGCCCAGGCTGGAGTGCAGTGGCGTGATCTTGGCTCACTGAAAGCTCCGCCTCCCAGGTTCATGCCATTCTCCTGCCTCAGCCTCCTGAGTAGCTGGGACTACAGGCGCCCGCCACCACGCCTGGGTAATTTTTTTTTGTATTTTTAGTAGAGATGGGGTTTCACTGTGTTAGCCAGGATGGTCTCGATCTCCCGACCTTGTGATCCGCCCGCCTCAGCCTCCCAAAGTGCTGGGATTACAGGCGTGAGCCCCTGCGCCCGGCCTCTAGTGGATTCTTAAATGTGCATTTATAAGAAGGAGTTCTGAGAGCTCTTTGTCAGCTAAGCTGGAAACACAATTGCATGCCTGCTGAGGTGGCCGGGTTGGGATGGGGGCTGCGGATTTTCCGAACCATTTCTGATACTGCCGCATTGCTCTGTCTGCTAGGAAACCTTGCCAGGCAGCTGTGTCCCCCAGGGCGTTTCCAGCCATTCCCAGGCTAAAACTGGAGCGCCTGTTCCATTTTGGAAAATGAAGACCGACATCTCAAGGCGTGTTTCCTTTTTGGATGTTCCCCTGGATTTCTGGAGGGGAAGAGAAGGGCGCGTGGAAGACAGCCAGGGAGGCCCTTGAAACCCCTCGGGAGGCAGAGCCCCTGGGGCAGGGATTTGGTCTTTTTCACCTCAAAAGCCTGCTGACAGCTCAAACAGCACCGCCCCCATCCTGGGGATGGAGGCAGGGAAGTTTATTTTTTCTAAAAGATTGTTAAAGGTCTTTATTTTATTGCAAAAGCAATACACGCTGATTGTTTAAAAAGAAACACACAAATAGTACAGAATTGTATAATATAAAGCTCCTGCCTGCAACCCCCTCCTCCTCTTCAGAGGGAGGCACCCTTTACTGTTTGTGTTCTTCCTTTTATTTTTAAATGTGTTCTATTTTATTTTCTAGATTGCCCAGGCTGGAATGCAGTGGTGTGATCACAGCTCGCTGCAGCCTCGGACTTCTGGGTTCAAGGGACCCTCTCACCTCAGCCTCCCGAGTAGCTGGGACTACAGGCATGGGCAACCATAATCTGCTAATTTTTTGTTATTTTTTTGTAGAGATGGGGTCTCGCTGGGTTGCCCAGGCTGGTCTGGGACTCCTGGCCTCGAGCAATCCTCCCACCTCGGCCTCTCAAAGCTCTGAGATTATAGGCGTGAGTCAGTCACTGAATCCCACCTGTGTCCTTTCTTTTAGATAGTTTCCATTTCAAGGCTTTCCAATTTTTTTTTTTTTTTTTTTTTGCAACAAGCCACAGTGAACAATAGATCTTACAACCTGGTACACACGGGCACTCGTATAGAAATAAAACACAAGTGTAACTCAACCATACTTGTGGCATGGAGTGCCCATCTGGAGTTGTGTAGTCTATTCCATTCCATTCAATTACATTTTGTTTACAAAGAAAGGTGGCTCGTCATAACCCAATCAAATGATTTCATGCCCCACTGCAGGTGTGACCTGCAGACAGACACCTGCTGTAGACAGTGACACACGAGGCCAGCTGTTCACGACTCCCTGTCCTACAGCTTGGGACTCACACTGAAGAATTTAGCAGCCTGCTTTCCATAACATTTCCATAACAGCCTGCGTAGGGCTCTTCCTTCCTCCTTAACAGTGGCAGAATATCTTATTATTTATATATTTTTGAGACGGGGTCTCATTCTATCACCCAGGCTGGAGTGCAGTGGTGCGATCTCAGCTCACTGTAACCTCCGCCTCCCGGGCTCAAGCAATTCTTGACTCAGCCTCCCAAGTAGCTGGGACTACAGGCATGTGTCACCACACCCAGCTAATTTTTTGTATTTTTGGTAGAGACAGGGTTTCACTATGTTGGCTGGTCTCGAACTCCTGAGCTCAGGCAATCCGTCCGCCTCGGCCTCCCCAAAAGTTCTGAGATGACAGGCATGAGCCACTGCACCCGGCCCCATTGGGCAGAGTTATCTTATTGAGTGGTTTTTCTGGAGGTATTTGTTCAACTCCTTCTGGAGTCATTTGCATTGTTTCCACGCTGGGGCTATCACTATTGAGGTCATGTGGGACATCCCATCCAGGCACAGGAGCAAGAACATCCCATCTAGGCACAGGAACAAGCACATCCATGTGGTAGATTCCCAGGGTGGAATTCTGGACTACAAAGCCACAGGCCAGGCAGGGTGGCTCACATCTGTAATCCCGACAACATGGGAGGCCTAGGCAGGCGGATTACTTGAGCCCAGGAATTTGAGACCAGTCTGGGCAACATGGTAAAACCCCGTCTCTACAAAAAATGCAAAAATTAGCCGGGTGCCTGTAGTCTCAGCTGCTGGGGAGGCTGAGGCAGGGGAGGATTGATTGAGCCCAGGAAGTGGAGGCTGCAGTGAGCTGTGATCACACCACCGCACTCCAGCCTGAGCGACAGAGCGAGACCCTGTCTCAAAAAAGTTAATAAATAAACAAAAGCGGCTCCTACTGTGTTTCCTTGTAGGAACCAGTCACGATTTTTAAGAAAATACTATGGTTTTATAAAGAGGATATTCTTGGTTCAGAAAGAGTTTGGGTCAAGTAGCTAACCTTACCCTGGTTCTGTGTGGCCAAGAGAGAGAAGAAAATTGGAGAGCCCCCTTCCCTCTGGGATTTCCCAAATATTTCCTCTACATTTCAGGGTCTAATTGTGGTAGCCCCATGAAGGTGTTCAGGGTGGAGGAGGGAGGCCAGTGGAATGGGGTTGGGTGGGGGAATGACCTCTGTCACAGAAGGGTGGGGAGGTGGGAAGGGGAGGCGGTTTTATTTGTCTGATTTGTGGAAACCCTCCAGACATTAAGGCCTCCGAGTGACATTCCCAGGATGGGGTCTGGAGGGCCGCCTGTGTGTGTGGAGGCAGGTGCAAAAGGAGGAGTGAGGGTGGGGGGATGGAGAATCAGGATTCTCCCCATTCCATTCCTGTCCATACTACCCTCTCTTTATTCACTTTTTCATGTGCCGGTGATGCGGGATTTTTCTTCTTGGTCACTTTCCAAACCAGGGACCCCCAGTAGGCGACACCCTGCCCAGGCCTCACTCAGCCACACTGACATGCCCCGGTTTGCCTGTATTATAGCTTGTATCCATGTTTGGCAGTTCCCGAGCTCTTGTACCATGCCCGAGAAGAATGAGGATATGCGGGACATTGGAGGAGGAGGGTGGGGAAGAATTTTATTGAGTAATGAAAACGGCTTTCAGCGGAGAGGGGACACAGGGTTGGTGCCCCTACCTGAAGGCAGGGAAGTTCTCCCCCTGTGGTTGGGTCTGGGGTCTCTTATGGACTCAGAATGGGGAGTGTGGGCTGACTGGTTTGTGAGTATTGCAAAAAGGTTAAAATGAAGACACCACTCAAAGGTGGGCATGACGGTGTAGAAAACCAATTAGGAAAAGGTAGGTATATGTCAAATAGGTGAAGGGTGGGGGCCAGCTAGAGGAAAGCATGCCAAACGGGAAGACAAGCTCCCAATCCAGTCCGAGAATTTAACTTCTAGCTTGGCTTTTGGGTTTTAAACTGTCTCCCACTTGGAGGTGGGGTTGCGCTGGGGACCCGGCCCATCTGCCTAGGCATTTGGCTGCCTCCTGCCACTCTCACAGGCCTATGCCAGGCATCTGGGACACAGCAGTGACTAACACACAAGCTTTATCCTCCCAGCAGGGACCCTCTAGCTGGGAAGACAGACGTGGAATAACAACCATGATGTAGTTATTTAGGAGGTGACAAATGTGGCCGAATGCAGTGGCTGGCACATGTAATCCCAGTGCTTGAGGCCAGGAGTTCCAGACCAGCCTGGGCAACACAGAGAGATCCCATCTCTACAAAAATAAAAAATACAAAAACAAGCTGGGCATGGTGGCTGGTGTCTGTAGTCCCAGCTACTCGGGAGGCCGAGGTGGTAGGATTGCTTGAGCCTAGGAGTTTGAGGCTGCCGTGAACTATATGATCACGCCACTGCACTCCAGCCTGGGAGACAGAGTGAGACCTGTCTCTAAATATAAAAAATTAAAAAATTAAAAAGGAGATGGTAGTGCAACAGAAAAAGGTGACAGGGTGGGAGTGTTTCATGAGGGTCGGGAAGGGGAGGATAACCTCAGATAGAGTGGTCAGTGGTGTTTGAGCACAGGTTTGAAGGAAGGAGCAGGCCACATAGATACCTGGGATGCCTGCAGTCCAGGCAGGAGGAGCAGCCGTGCAAAGGTCCTGAGGCAGGACAGTTCTGAAACAGCTGGGAGGAGGCCCCTGTGGCTGGAGTGGAGTGAGCAGAGTGGAAGATGTTTTGGAGGTGAGGGGCAGAGAAGAGACGAGGCTTAGGGTAACACAGGGCTCTAGAGTTCTCAGGAAGGGCTCTGCCGCCTCTCTGGGCTTTGGGGAGACTGAGTCCAGAGCTCAGGTAGGGGGTGGTTTGTGTCATGAGTCCATTTGCTTGGCTAGGACCATTTTCTTATCACGAAGCTGTGGCTACAGCAAACAGATCAAAACTGTGATTCTGGAAACACATGAGTTCCAGCCCAGGGCTCACTCATGGGCCTTGCAGGGTTTTGTTTTGGGTGGAAGGGGAGCTTAAAGTCAATAGCAACACCATCATCATAATAGCTGAAAGACTCATACCTATAATCCTAGCACTTTGGCAGTCCGAGGTGGGTGGATCATCTGAGGTCAGGAGTTCGAGACCAGCTTGGCCAACATGGTGAAACCCCGTCTCTACTAAAAATACAAAAGTTAGCCGGGCATGGTGATGCATGCCTGTAATCCCAGCTACCCAGAGGCTGAGGCAGGAGAATCGCTGGAACCCAGGAGGCGGAGGCTGCAGTGAGCCGAGATCGCACCACTGCACTTTAGCCTGGGTGACAGAGTGAGACTCTGTCCCCCCACCCCCCCATAAAAGGCTTGGTGCGGTGGCTCACACCTGTAATCCTAACACTTTGGGAGGCCGAGATGGGCAGATCACCTGAGGTCAGGAGTTTGAAACCAGCCTGGCCAACATGGTGAAAACCCATGTCTACTAAAAATACAAAAATCAGCCAGAAGTGGTGGCGGGTGCCTGTAATCCCAGCTACTTGAGAGGCTGAGGCAGGAGAATCGCTTGAACCCGGGAGGTGGAGGTTGCAGTGAGCCGAGATTGCGCCACTGCACTCCAGCCTGGGTGACAGAGGGAGACTCTGTCTTAAAAAAATAAATAAATACATAAATAGCTGAATGAGGCACGGTGCCTGCTGCTTTATCTCATTGTCATGACCATGGGGAGGAGGCAGGGCAGCTGAGAGAACAAAAACATAGGTTCTGGAAGGGAGGCGCTGGCTCAGGTCCTGTGGCCGCTGCGAAAGAGACCAGAGGGAACTTTCAAAGCCACGTCATCATTGTCACCGCTTTCACCATTTCCTAAAAACCAAAGGGGGCCTGGCTGCACCGTAAGCCCCGGTTACCCCCTCGGGAGGTTGAGCAACCTGTGGCTTCCCGGTACCCACAGGCACGACTCCCTACCTGCGCTTCCCCTTCTGGCCTCAGGAAAAGAAACCCGCCTTGAGCCACCGCAGCTCGTGCCAGGGGTCTCAGATGATGGACAGACACTGATATGGAGGTTCAAATTTCGGGAAACACAGCAACAGCCCAGCCATGGTGCGTCTTGGAGAAAACCCTAGACAAGGAGGTTCTTTTGCAAGCCGAGTAGAAGAGTGGCATCTTGGCTTGTTGTTGTCTGGGGCAAAAAAAAAAAAAAGGCTCAGGCCCTGGAGAGACAGTGGGGCCTCAGTGGGTGCCCCAAGAGAGGAGAGAAACTTGCATGGAGACCCAAGAGTGCTGAGCTTTTGGCCGGGCACAGAGGCTCATGCCTGTAATTCCAGCACCTTGGGAGGCTGAGGCAGGAGGATCACTTGAGCCTAGGATTAAGTTTAAGATTAGCCTGGGAAACCCATCTCTACAAAAAGTAAAAAATTACCCGGGCGTGGTGGCGCATGCCTGTAGTCCCAGCTACTCGGGTGTCTGAGGCGGGAGAATTGCTGTGCTCAGGAGGTAGAGGCTGCAGTGAGCTATGATAGCGCCACTGCACTCCAGCCTGGGTGACTACACAAGACCCTGTCTCTACAAAGAAAAAAGAAAGCAAAAAAGCATGCTGGGTTTTGTCCCATTTCCAGCCTGGCTGTGGGGCCTTTAGCTCCTCAACCCCTTTCTGGGCCTCAGCTATAAAATGACGGGGCTGGAGCGGGGAAAACAGGCAGAGGGCTCTCCTTCAGACTGCGGAGGGCAGGGACTTGCCTCACCTCACACAGAACTGCTTGTTTCTGTTCTGTGAGTTGGGCTCTGTAGGACACTGTTTTGGAAGGGAAGGTTCTTAGGTTCTGTGGCCAGAAAGTCACAGATCTGGGCCATCTAGAAAGCTCTAAGCTCTCCACAGCATGGGGGCTGAGCATGGACGTAGAGCCAGACAGCTTGGGTTCAAATCCTACTGCTGCCATGTGCTGGCTGTGTGACCTTTGACAACCTGCCTGACCTCTCTGGGCCTGTATTGCTAAGTCTGTAAAGCGGAGATGATAATATTTCCCTTATAGGGTTGCTGGGAGAGAGGAGTCTGGTGGCCTATGTGACTGTGACTGTTTGTTAGGCGACTATAATTCTATGACTCATGCTCCACCCGCACTCCACTGCCCAGCCTCTCCCCACACCCCCAGTGGGTTGTGGAATGGAGCTCAAAGAATGAAATTCTTCTGTGTTATGAAGACGTGTGTTTCCTGGAGGCTACAAGGAAGAGAAAGTGCCAGTAGATGACCCCAAAGTCACAGGGTACTTGTTTATTGTGGATTTTTCCTCCCCTGCTCCTAACCAGAATATAAACTCCAGGGGAGTTGGGACCGCTATCTTGTTACCCCAGTTCTAGCTCCTGAAATGGTGCCTGGTTCCTAGGACACATCACCTGAGAGGGTGAGAAAGCTGCCTGACAACTTCACGAATCAGCCAGACCTGGTGCAAATTTTACCTGTAGTCACCTTCTTGCTCTGTGATTCGAGGCATGTTACTTTACCTGTCTGGGCTTCAGTTGCCTAATCTGTAAAACAGCTGGATTGTTGTAAGGAGAAAATGAGATGGTGGATGTAAAAGTGCTTTTACATTCCAGGGCCTGGCACCCAGTGGGTACTCAGCTTGTGTGCCCATCACTGTCTTCCTCCTCCCCACCACCTCCTCCTCCTCCCCCTCTTCTTTCCTCCTGTCCCTTCCCCCTCTCCCCTGTCCCCCTCCCCCTCCTCCTCTCCCTTCTTCTCTTCCTCCTCCCCTTCTCCTTCACTCTCACGCTCCCCCCTCCTCCCTCTCCCCCTGCTCCTTCCCCCTCCCCTCCTTTTTCCCTCCACATCCTCCCTCTCCCCCTCATCCTTTTCCCCTCCTCTCTCCTCCTCTCCCCTTCCTCCTTTCCTCCCTCCTCCCCTTCCTCCTCTCCCCCTCCTCCTCCCCTCTGCCTCCTCCCCTCTCTGTCCTCCCATTCCTCCCCCTTCTTCTCCTTTCCTCCTCCCCTTCCCCCCTCCCCCTCCTCCCCTTACTTCTCTCTTCCTCCTCCTCCTCCTCTATTGGGATTTCATTCTGCATCAGATGCCAGTTGCTGTGACCTGGGTATGTTTTGTTAAATAGAAACACAGTCATGCAGCACAATCCCTGTGGCCAAGAGGACACCTGTGTGTCATTATTAAGTGGATCAGGCCTCCCATCCTGAGAACACGCTCTTCCTGCGGTTTACAGGGCCCCTGCCCTGAAGCAGGTAACCCGGGCCTCACTCTGGGCAGGCTGGAAAGGCCCCACCTGCTATCCGGCTGGGCTGCTTCTCCTGGCCGTGGTGAAGACTGAGGCCTAGCCAGTTCTGGGATGGTCCCACACCCCGAGGGGAAGGGTTGACCCATTAATTACAGTGCTTGGGAAGCTCACCTGGGCCTCTACCTGTGCCACTGGCTGCAGGTGCCATCACCCCCAGACGGTGACCAGGGACTGTCCATGGACTTGGAGCCAGGCCGCCTGCTCACTGGGATATCCTGTCCTGGCCAGAGGCAGATCTCACGGGGAGCACTACTAGATGGAACCCAGGATGCCTAGTTACATTTGAATTCCAAAGAAATAGCAAATGATTGTTTAGTATAAGTATGTCTTACACAGTATAGGGACATATTACAAATCCACAGCATTTGGGACATACTTATACAAATGACCAACAGGCATTTGCTACTTCTCTGCAATTCAGATTAACTGGGCATTCTGCATAGTTTTACCTGTTTTTTTGTTTTGTTTTGTTTTGTTTTTTGAGACGGAGTCTCACTCTGTCGCCCAGGCTGGAGTGCAGTGGCACGATCTCAGCTCACTGCAAGCTCCGCCTCCCAGGTTCATGCCATTCTCCTGCCTCAGCCTCCCAAGTAGCTGGGACTACAGGAGTCCCCGACCATGCCCGGCTAATTTTTTGTATTTTTAGTAAAGACAGGGTTTCACTGTGTTAGCCAGGATGGTCTCGATCTCCTGATCTCATGATCCACCCGCCTCGGCCTCCCAAAGTGCTGGGATTACAGGCTTGAGCCACCGTGTCCAGCCGGCATCCTTCATAGTTATGTGCTAGATCCAGTAACACTCCCTAAAGCCTCCCTCTGCCCATGAGCTCACCCCGTTTCAGCTCCATCTTGGCAGCAGCAGAAACAAAGCGTTTGGCCAGGGTCAGGGCCAGGCCACTGAGCCAGAATTGGGGTTGGGGGTGTAACCTCAGGCAAGCCTCCTGTCCTCCTGGCCTCAGGCTCCCCATCTGCATAACTCAGCTGGAAGAATCCCAGCTGCATGGACCTTTTTTGAGGATAAAGCGTGTGATGTATGTGGGAAACATGTTTTAGAAATGGAAAGGTGTTATGGAAACATGAGTGACCGGAATTGGTCGTTAATGGGTAACACAGACCAGTCAGTGGGGGCTGTTTACTGGCAACTGGGTTCCTGTTTTGGAGATTAGTTTTTTTCAATAAGCAACTTGCATTTGTTCTTGAAACATTAGAAAATGGACAGTAGCAAAAGGACGAAAAATTCCCTAATTACATCACTCAGAGACAACTATTTATAGCCTTTATTTTATTTTTATTTTTATTTTTATTTTACTTTATTTTATTTTTTTTTATTTTTTTGAGATGGAGTCTTGCTCTGTTGACCAGGCTGGAGGGCAGTGGCATGATCTTGGCTCACTGCAGCCTCCACCTCCTGGGTTCAAATGATTCTCTTGCATCAGCCTCCCAAGAAGCTGGGATTACAGGCACGAGCCACCATGCCCGGCTAATTTTTGTATTTTTAGTAGAGACAGGGTTTCACTATGCTGACCACGCTGGTCTCAAACTCTTAGCCTCAAGCGATCCACCTGCCTCAGCCTCCTAAAGTGTTGGGGTTGCAGGTGTGAGCCACCACGCCCAGCCTCTATAGCATTCTTTTTCCTTGGAAACCTTTTCCTCCAGGTGTGTGTGTATTTCTTTTTCTTTTTAACAAAATAAGTGGGATCATAGTCTGCATTCTTTTAGGGAACCAGTTTTTCCTCCTGTGGCCACTTCATGTCTGAAGTTTCAGAGTACACCCAGAGGAAAAGCATCTTCCTTTCTGGTCCGTGTGATTCCTGGGGTATTGGCAGATGTCCTATAAAACCATAGCCTGCCTGGCCTCCTCTTGCTATGCCCACATAGATGCCTGGTTTATGTTAAAAAAAAAATTGGGATACAGTTGTTGTAATGAAGTTTAACATTTTAACTAGTTTAAACTGTACAATTCATTGGCATGTAGTGTTTTGCAGTCACCACCAGTATCTAGTTCTAGAATTTTTTTTTTTTTTCGAGACAGGGTCTCACTTTGTCACCCAGGCTGAAGTGCAGTGGCGCCATCTCGGCTCACTGCAACCTCTGCCTCCCAGGTTCAAGTGATCCTTCCACCTCAGCCTCCCAAGTAGCTGGGACTATAGCTGTGCGCCACCATGCCTGGATAATTTTTGTATATATTTTTTTTAATGTAGAGACAGAGTTTCACCATGGTACCCAGGCTGGTCTCAAACTCCCGACCTCAAGCAACTCGCCTGCCTTGGCCTCCCAAAGTACTGGAATTACAGGCATGAGCCACTGCACCCAGCCCAGAACATTGTTATCACCCTAAAAAGAAACCTCATACTCTTGGGCAGTCACCCCCCAATCCTTTCAGCACGGATCCACTTTCTCTGTCTATGGATTTGCCTATTCTGGACATTTCATGTAAATGGAATAATAGATATGTGGTTTTTGGTGTCTGGTTTCATTTTACAAAATGTGTTTGAGGTCCCTGTGTATTGTGGAAAGCATCAATGCATTGTTCCTTTTTATGGCCAAATCATTCAATTCTTTTATGGTCAATACTCCTGGTAGAGATATAGTACATTTTTGTCTGTCCATTCATTCACTGATGGACATTTGAGTTATCCCTACCTTTTAACTATTGGGAATAGTGCTGCTATGAACATTCTCGTACAAGTTTTCACTTGAGTACTTGTTTTCAGTTTTTTTGTGTATATACCTTGGAGTGGAACAGTAGCTATAGCATTTTATGTTCTCACCAGCAATGTTTGAGGGTTTCAATTTCTTCACATCCTTACCAATATTTATTTTCCATTAACTTTTTTTTTTTTTTTTTTTTTTTTTGAGACAGAGTTTCGCTTGTCTCCCATGCTGGAGAGCACTGGCGCAATCTCGGCTCACTGCAACATCTGCCTCCTGGGTTCAAGCGATTCTCTTGCCTCAGCCTCCCGAGTAGTTGGGTTTACAGGCATCTGCCACCATGCCCGGCTAATTTTTGTATTTTTATTTTTATTTATTTATTTATTTTGAGACAGAGTTTCACTCTGCTGCCCAGGCTGGAGTGCAGTGGCGCAATCTCCGCTCACTGCAAGCTCCTCCTCCGGGGTTCATGCCATTCTCCTACCTCAGCCTCCTGAGTAGCTGGGGCTACAGGCGCCTGCCATAACGCCCGGCTAATTTTTTTGTATTTTTAGTACAGACGGGGTTTCACCTTGTTAGCCAGGATGGTCTCGATCTCCTGACCTCGTGATCAACCCACCTCGGCCTCCCAAAGTGCTGGGATTACAGGCGTGAGCCACCACACCCGGCCAATTTTTGTATTTTTAGCAGAGATGGGGTTTCGCCACATAGGCCAGGATGGTCTCAAACTCCTGACCTCAAGTGATCTGCCAACCTCGGCCTCCCAAAGTGTTAGGATTACAGGCATGAGCCACCGTGCCCGACCCCAAATTTTTTTTTGTAGCTATCATAGTGAGTATAAAGAGGTATCTCGTTGTGGTTTTGATTTGTATTTCCTTGCTGACTAGTGATGATGAACATCTTTTCATGTGCTTCTTGGCCATTTGTGTATTTTCTTGGGGGTAAGGTCTACTCAAGTCCTTTGCCCTTTTTTTTTTTTCTTTTGAGACAGGGTCTTGCTCTGTCATCCAGGTTGGAGTGCAGTGACATGATCTCTGCTCACTGCAGTGTTGACCTCCCAGGCTCAGGTGATCCTCCCACCTCACCTCCCAAGTAGCTGGGACCACAGGTGCCTGTCACCATGCCTGGCTAATTTTTGTATTTTTAGTAGAGATGGGGTTTCACCATGTTGGTTAGGCTGGTCTCAAACTCCTGACCTCTGGTGAGCCGCCCGCCTCAGTCTCCCAAAGTACTGGGAGTATAGGCGTGAGCCACCGCACCCAGCCCCAGTGCCCATTTTTACACTAGGTTGTTTGTTGTTTTTTTATTGCTGAGTTGTAAAAGTTCTTTATATAATCTGGATACTAGACCCTTATCAGATATATAATTTGCAAACATTTTCTCCTCTTCTGTGGGTTGTCTTTTTACTCTCCTGATAGTGTCCTTGGGCGCACAAAAGTTTTCCATTCTGATGAAGTCCAATTTATTTATTTCTTATTTTATTGCTTGTGCATTTGTTTTCATATTTATAAAACAATTGTCAGATCCAAGGTCATGAAGATTTATGCTGTTGTTTCCTTCTAAGAGTTGTATGAGTCAACCTTTGTATATGATGTGAGGTAGAGATCCAACTTCATTCTTCTACATGTGGATATCCAGTTGTCCCAGCACCACTTGTCAGAAAGACTCTCAGCTGGGCATAGTGGCTCATGCCTGTAATCTCAGCACTTTGGGAGGCCAAGGTGGGCGGATCGCTTGAGGTCAGGAGTTTGAGACCAGCCTGTGGTGGTGCATGCCTGTAATTCCAGCTACCTGGGAGGCTGAGGCAAGAGAATTGCTTGAACTTGGGAAGTGAATGTTGCAGTGAGCCAAGATCACGCCACTGCGCTCCAACCTGGGTGACGGAGTGAGACTCTGTCTCAAAAAAAAAAGACTCTTTCTCCATTGAATGGTCTTGGCATTCATTGATCATAGATATATGGTTTATATGTAGACTCCCAATTTTATTTCATTGATTTATATGTCTATTCTTATGCCAGAACCACATGCTTTGATTACTGTATCTCTGTAGTAAGTTTTAAAATCAGAACGTGTGGGCCAGGTGCAGTGGCTCATACCTGTAATCCCAGCACTTTGGGAGGTGGAGGTGGGAGGACTACTTGAGCCCAGGAGTTCAATACCAGCCTGGGCAACATAGTGAGACCACATCTATACAAAAAATTTAAAAATTAGCTAGGCATGGTGGTGCGCACCTGTAGTCCCAGCCACTCTGGAGGCTGAGGTGGGAGGGATCGCTTGAGCCCAGGAGTTTGAGGCTGCAGTGAGCTATGATGGCACTACTACATCCCAGAATGGGCAACAGAATAAGACTCTGTCTCAAAAACAAAGTGTAAAAAACAGAAACAGTGGATCCTCCAACTTTGTTATTTTTCAAGATTGTTTTGGCTATTTGAAATCCCTTGTAATTCCATATTAATTTTAGGATCAGCTTGTCTATTTTTGCCAAAAAAGGCAGCTGGAATTTTGATAGAGATTACATTGGACCTGGGCCGGGCACGGTGGCTCACACTTGAAAGCCCAGCAATTTGGAAGGCCGAGGCAGGTGGATCACTTGAGTCCAGGAGTTCGAGACCAGCCTGGCCAACACGATGAAACTCTGTCTCTACTAAAAATACAAAAATTAGCCAGGCTTGGTGGTGCACACCTGTAGTCCCAGCTACTCGAGAGGCTGAGGCAGGAGAATCGCTTGAAACCAGGAGGCAGAGTTTGCGGTGAGCCGAGATCGTACCACTGCACTCCAGCCTGGGCAACAGAACGAGACTCTATCTCAAAAACACAAAACAACAACAACAAAAACAGAGATTACATTGGACCCGTACATCAGTTTGGGAAGTATTGCCATTTGTGATCATTACTTTTACACATCAACGTGGCTAGCCTATAGTACCCAGTTATTCAATTAAACACCAATCTAGATGTTGCTGTAAAAGTATTTTGCAGATGTGGTTTATTTTAGTTGACTTCAGGTAAAGGAGACGGTCTCCTTTACTTAATTCAATACTTTATCACAAAGTATTGAATATCTCATGTAATTTACTGAATACTATACTAAAAGTTAAAAACAGAATGGTTGTAAGGGTACTTGAAGTACGGTTTCTTTTGAATGTGTATCACCATCATAAAGTCAAAAAATCATAATTGAACCATCATTAAGTCTGGTACCATCTATATATGTATATATCTCCTCTCTCTTTCTTTGAAAGATTTCTGACTGATATACCACTTTAACTATATTAAATCTTCTGGTCCATGAATGTCTTTCCATTTATTTAGTTTTCTTTAATTTCTTTCAGCAATGTTTTGTAGTTTTCAGTGTATAGGTCTTGTTTGAACTTCCTTAGTTAAGCGTTTTCCTAAGTATTACATTCTCTCTCTCTCTTTTTTTTTTTTTTAGAGATGGGGTCTCGCTATGTTGCCCAGGCTAGATTCAAACTCTCATGCTCAAGGGGATCCTTCTGCCTCAGCCTCTTGAGTAGCTGGGACTACAGGTGTGTGCCACCATACCCAGCTTCTATCCTTTTGAGGCTATTGTAAATGGAGCCATTTTCTTAATTTCATTTTTGGATTGCTCATTGCTAGTATATAGAAATGCAACTGGCTGGGTGTGGTGCCTCACACCTGTAATCCCAGCACTTTGGGAGGCCCAGGCAGGTGGATGGCTTGAGCCCAGGAGTTTGAGACCAGTCTGGGCAACATAGCAAAGCCCTATCTCTACAAAAAATTACAAAAAAAAACTAGCTGGGCACAGTGGTACATGCCTGTAGTCCCAGCTACTGAGGAGGCTGAGGTGGGAGGATCGCCTGAGCTCAGGAGGTCAAGGCTGCAGTGAGCTGTGATCGAGCCACTGTACTGCAGCCTGGGTGACAGAGACCCTGTCTCGAAAAAAAAAAAAAAAAAAAAGCAACTGATTTTTGTATGTTAATCTTAAATCCCACAACTTTGCTGAACTGGTTTATTAGCTCTAATAGGTATTTAGTACATTCTTTAGGGTTCTTACATATAGGATCATATCACCTGTGAATAGAGATAGCTTCACTTTATCCTTTTCAATCTGGATGCTTTTATTTTTCTTGCCTAATGGCAATGGCCAGAACCTCCAGGACAATGTTGGACAGAGGTGGCCAGAGTGGGCACTTTGGCTTGTTCCTGTTCTTAGGGGTAAAACTTCCAGTCTTTTACCATTAAGTGTGTCATTAGCTCTGGGATTTTCATAGAAGCCCTAAGGTTGAGGAAGTTCCCTTCTATTTCTAGTTTATTATTATTTTTTTAATCATGAAAGCATTATTGGATTTCTTCAAATGCTTTTTCCGTCTATTGAGATGATCACGTGGCCCAGTTTACTTTTACCCCCTGGTTGGAAGCCTTGGGTTGGAAATTCAATCTCTGTGGTTTTTTGGGGATCAAAGAAAAGAGTTACAGTCTTATAGCTCTCCCCATAAATAATTGCAAGCTCACAGCCGTGGTAAGTGTTTAGGATGGATAAAAACACAAAGCTGGCTCCTGTTGCTGCTCAGCAGTTGGGGAAAGAAAAACAAATGAAGATGTGGTAGTATTCAGTAAAGGACAGAAGAAAATTCAGGCTTACTACTGCTTTTTACAGGAAGGAAGGGAGGAAGCGAGGAAGGGAGGAAAGGAGGAAGGGAGGAAGGAAGGAAGGAAGGAAGGAGAAAAGGTTGGGAGGGAGGGAGAGACAGAAAGGAAGGAAGGAAGAAAAGCATTCATACAGGGATGTTTCTTGAACGTTATCTCTGAGAGATTTTCCCTAGGTGTTATGTCTCCCTAGCAATGGTCTGTGATATTCTGTCTTAATGTCAGTATAATAATTGGTACCTTTGCAAGCCTTGGTTGCATCCTGAGAATGGAGGAATGGCAGAGGTTGGGTGTAATCCAATTTCCTGTTCTTCTCTTCTCCCTCCCTCCCTCCCTTCCTTCTTTCCTTCTCTTTCTTTTCCCTTTCTTTCTTTCTCTTTCTTTCTTCTTTTTCTTTCTTTTTTTTTTCTTTCTCTTTTCCCTCTTTCCCTCTTTCTTTCTTTGTTGCTTGCTTGCTACAGTGCAGTGGCTCGATTATAGCTCACTACAGCCTCAACCTCCGGAGGTCAAGGAATCCTCCCACCTCAGCCTCCTGAGTAGCTGGCACATGCCACCACTCCACCGCTTTATTATTATTCTTTTAATTAAAAAAATTTTTATAGAGATGGAGTCTCACTATGTTGTCCAGCCTGGCCTTGAACTCCTGGGCTCAAGAGATCCTCTGGCCATGGCCTCCCAAAGTCCTGAGACTATAGGCAAGAGCCACTGCACCCGCCCCCTTCATATTTTAAAAGCAGTAAAATGTTGCCCACACTAATAACATCTACATGGGAACCTCCTATGCTTGGGAGAACTTTGAAATCCCTTCCAACTTGGTAACTCGTCCACGGCTGAGGGTGGCCCGTCAGTGGACATGGCGCAAGGTGGCAAGAACTTGGGGCTGGGGACACTTTGCTGAGGGACCCGGGACAAGCCACACTCCCTATCTGGGCCTCACTATCTTTAGGACCTCGGGTAAAGGCATGGGATTTGGGCACCGGAGGGTTCTAAGATCCAGGTCTTTGCCAGCATGGGGCTCGGAAGCTCCCTGTCCAAATGGCGTTTGTTTGTGGATGGCCACATCATGGTTCTGCCCATCTCCTGACTCTGTGTACTCTGAAAGCCAGGCATGCTTCTTAATTCCCTCTAATGATTTCCCAGAGAGCCTGCTGGATCCAGGCTGCTGCTGTTATCACTGCAGCCGGCCGATGGGGCTCCAAGCAGACGGGCAGATGGCACCCATTTAGGGGCGGATGTGAAATGGGGCTACTGATTTCCAGAGCTTGCTTTCAGTGATGGCTGAGAAAGGCCTACCTGGCGGCACGGACCACCCTGGGGGCACAAAGCGGACAGGCAGCTGATAAGCCTTACCTAATACCTATCCTGTGCTAAAAACTTTACCATCTTCCCAGTTCACTCCCAGTCGGTCTTAGGAGACAGGACCGCTATTGTGCCCATTTTGCAGACAGGAAGCCGAGCTCAGAGAGGATGGGTAACATGCCCGAAGGCACAGAGAGTGTCTTGGTCTGTCCGGACGCGTCTGTAGAGTTACAGGAAGAGAAGGGCCGCCCTCCAGAGGGCCGGGAGCGCCCCAGCGCGGGTCCGGGGTCGAGGTTGGTGGTCCCGCCGCCTGGAAGTGGTGGAGCGGCGCGGGGAGGGGGGAAAGTGGGGAGAGCCGCGAGCGGCAAATCAGGAGGGAGGGCCAGGCTGTCGGGGGCGGACGGGTGGGGCTGGCACCGAGAGGCAGGGGCAGGATAGGAGAGTGGGGGAGACACCAGGTCCGCGCCAGGCGTCTCGGGGGTAAGCCTGGGAAGCTCTGGGGTGGCGAGCGAGCCGGGTGTGGGATGGAGCCTGGGGGCGATCAGAGTGAGGCGGGGAACCGGCGGTGGTCTCGCCTGGGGCCCAGGTGCGGGCCGCGGGGGCGGGAGAAGCCGGAAGCCCAAGCCGGCCGCGCTCCGCCCCGGCGGGTCCAGCCCCCGCCCCCGTCCCCGCCGCCCGGCCCTTTTCTCGGGGCGCCCGAGAGGCCAGCTCAGACCTCCCGGCTCGACAGGCGGCGCGGGCGGCGGTGAGTGCGGCGCGGGGACGCCGGGGCGCGGGGACCAGCGGGAGACAGCGGGGGGCCGGTGGCGCCAGCACCTGCTGGGGGCCCCGGGCACTGAGCCCTTGGCTGGGGCCTCCTGGGATGCCAGGGGGCGCGGGTCGGGTCGCGGGCATCGAGGCGCGGCGGAGGGCGTGGGGGCCCGGCCGGGGCGGGGTCCGGCCTCCCAGCGCTGGTCCCGGCCGCGTCTCCGGTTGGGTTCAGCTCCTGCGTCCCAGAGTGGCCCGATCGCGCGTGGCGGGGTCGTCCGGCCCCCACCCGAACGAGCGCCCTTCGCGGCCCGCCGCGTCCCCCTCCCCGGAGAGGACGGCCCCTGGGCTTTTTAGAAAAAGGCGCGATTCTCTCTAGTGACTCAGGTTGAGATTTCCAGAAATATCCCCCGGGGGTTCAGAAACAAAACCAAAACAAACAAAAAAACCCCAACGAATTCCCAAATGCTATTTGCCAAACATTTGACTTCTAGGGGCGCGGGTACCCGCGTTTCTCTCCCTGCCCCCGCGACTTCGCGCAAGATCCGGGAAGGACACCCGAGGCCCCTGGGAGACCCTGGGGAGGTGAAAATCAGAGAGCGAAGCGGGCCGTGGCCCCTAGGCCTGACCCCTCCCCGCGGGGTAAGGCGGGCACCCCGCGAGCGCAGGGGTCCTCTTACTGCTGATGGCACCCAGCTCTGGGCCCAGACGCCGCTCACCGTCCACCGCCGGTGCTGGGTAGGTGCTGGTGGGACCAGCTGGTGACTGGTGGCAGAAGTGGATCTCGCCCCTCCCTGCCAAGCTAGGCAAATACCCTCCCCGCTCTGGTTTGCAGGTCACTGTGGATAGGTGGTCAGTTGGTGGTGTGCCCGAAGCTCTTCGGGGTCAGGGAGAGGAGGTGATAGGGGAAAGGTGTATGTTCTGGAAGGGCCAGTCATGCTTCAGGGACCAGGCTAGTTGGACCTTCACTGGTTTTCTACTTCCCGACAGTGGAGCTGATGTCACTGGCTGTTGGACTGAGCAGTGGTCACTGGGAAATCTACAGTTTGTGGAAGCCACGGGGTCTTCCAAGCTCCTACCAGTCTTCCCAAAGAGGATGCCTCCCTCCCCTTGGCCTGGTGCACTGGTGCTGGTTCAAAGACTGTCTGAAGCCCAGCTTGGGGTCCTCTTTAGGAAAGCCATGATTTGCCTTAATGTGTGCTTGGCTGCTTCATCTGCCCTCTCACCCCCTGCCTTCTCAGAGTGACTCTTTTTAGGACTTCCTATTTAGGACTAACCCAGATGCCTACAGAGAGAAGTGCAGGCTGGTATCTGGAATTCCACCAGTGTTTTGGTTTTATCAGTTGGAGCAGGATCTAGATGGCGTGTGACTTGCTTTACCTGGCATAGAGTAACACCCATATTGCACTTGGCTTTCTTCTCCACCAGCCCTTGCTCTGGGAACTAAATGTGCACCAAACTCTCTAAGAAACATTTAATTGTAATCTACCATGAGGGAGGCCCATCTCCCTCTTTCCTGTTACTTTAAGGCATGAATAATTGATGCATTTATTCACATTTGAGAAAGTATCTTGTAATGTTTTCACAGATTAAGTGACTGGGTGATTGATCTAAGACGTAGGATCAATTTCTTTCTTTTTTTTTTTTTTTTTTGAGACAGAGTCTCACTGTCGCCTAGGCTGGAGTGCAGTGGTGCGATCTCGGCTCACTGCAACCTCTAACCCTCCCCACCCCACCTCAACCCCCTGCCTGAGTTCAAGCAATTCTAGTGTCTCAACCTCCCAAGTAGCGGGGATTACAGTTGGGTGCCACCATGCTTAGGTAATTTTTGCATTTTTAGTAGAGACAGAGTTTTGCCATGTTGGCCAGGCTGTTTTCGAACTTCTGACCTCTAGTGATCCACCTGCCTTGGCCTCCCAAAATGCTGGGATTACAGGTGTGAACTACCTCACCCGGCCCATTTCTTAAGTCTCTAAAATAGTAGATTGAAGTGTAATTCACTGTCTTTGGGGAATACATTTCCCTTTGTTACTTCCGTTCCTTTTATGGGCGGGCTGTTGAGAAATAAAGCGCTACCCTTGCCGTGTAAAGGATGCAGAAGAATGGCTCCTGGTCCTGAGGGGTTTACGCAATGGGTAGAAAGTAGAAACACACACCGGCGAAAAAGCTGGTGCTTGCTAATGCCCTTGTAACTCCAGAAAGGGCTTGAGAACAGTGGAAAGGAGGCAGCTAAGTTAGAGAAAGTTTCATGGAAAAACTGAGGCCTGAGCACATGTGGCAGAAGGAACATGAGGACATAGTTCAGACAAACAGGAGGGTCTCAGTAGAGCTGTGGAAGAGGTACAGACAAGCCCAGGTGGTTGAAGACAGTAAATGGAAAATCCACTGAGAGGAAGGAGCTGGAAGGCGTTTCCAGCCCAAGTTAATTTTCAAGAAAATAAACAGTGCATATTTTGCTGACATTACCCATCCTCACTGCTCAGAGGTGTATAATAGCACTTTGAGAATGGGCTGGTGCCGTTTTGTGACTTAAACTTCTCCCACTGAATAGGAATTTCCCCAGAGCTACAGTGAGGGTGGAAAAAAGAGGATCTGCAAGAGGAAGTCCTGTATTCTTGGCACTGTGACTTGTCCTCTATTTGTTTTCGCTTTTACAGCAGTGAAAATAGCCCCGTGGGTGAGGCGGTCTATCAGGTAAATAGACTTCCTTAGTTCTGTGTTTCTTTAGCACACATATTTTTGACGTCTCCCGGGTCTGTTTGGCCACCCATGGTCTGTTCTGAATTTGATTGATGTTTACTTGCCTAAGAATTGTTATTTGAGGTCAAGTGGCATTTTCCAGGGTCCTCATAATTTCATCTTGTTGTTTGAGCCTGTATTGATTGACACTCTGGACACAGGTGACAACAGCTTTGTAGCTAATGAAGTTGTCCCTTGGCTGCAGGTTATTTCAGTAGAAGAATTGTGTAATTTCATAGAGCTTAAGGCATGGACACAAGAAAGGAACCATTCTGGAGGGTGTCTATGTGATGGTAATTCTCTGCTCACCTCGCAGTAGGTAGGAGTTTATATACCAGGATCCAAAGCTGGAGGCTTCAGAGAAAATAATGTTGGAGAATTTAAGCTATTTAGCTCATGGAGCCTTAGATTTAATTGACAGTGTGCCTCAGGTAAGTTTAAGAGCTTAATGATGTCTTGCCTTAAACTTGAATCCATGAGGTTATTCCTAGATGATGCACTGATAGTTTGAAATTTTTTATTAAAAAATATTAAAGTGTGGAAGATAAAGAAGAAAGGCATAATCTTATAGAACGAAACAACTACCACTGGCTGTCCTTATCGGGCGGCTTCTGTCTTTTGTCTTTGTGCCTGTTTTCTATGAAATTGTCATCAGCGTTCATACAATTTTGTATCCTAATGCAGTCTCAGTCTTATTAATGATCTCCTTGCACTGTTTGATGAAAAACTGTGATTCACGTGGAAACTAGGGATGTGGTTTCACCAGGAGTCCAGAGGAAAACTGCCCACTCTGATTGTGGGGGAGCAGCCCAACTCCCCGATGGAAGCATTTTCCATTCCACAAATCACTGTGATTTGTCATTACGCCATGCTTGAACCTGGCTTTAAGATTGTGGTAACTTTATCTTTGACTTGTGGGACATACCGCCCTGCAGAAACAGCCTGAACTCAGAAGATGGAATTGGCACACATTTCTCTGAAATATTTCACTCTGAGCTTCTGTACTTTTACTGAGGTCTACTGAAACTGGAATTTGTTTGGGATCAAATAACCAAAGGCCAATTTCTCGCTTCCTTTCCCAAAGAGCTGGAGGTCCGGGTTTCCCCTTTTGTCTACCTTCCTGCTTAACCATTTATGGCTTAAGACGCACCATTCACCTTGAACATTTTCAGGAATGATAGACAGGTTAAATTCCATGACAACAAAAACCGTATTGCAGAATTATTGTAGCTTAAAACCTGCCAGGTGACCCTCCTTAGTTTAAGAATTTTAAGCAATATTCAATTTAATAAGTGTACAATTTGGATAGTTCCTGAAAGTTGATTATAGTCAGGATCCACTGTGCTCCCATTATTGGAAATAACGTTTTTCTCCAGAGACCCTAAAAGACCAGACCTTTTTGACCCTCGCAGCTGGTTCTCTTTCTTGTTTACAAACTAGGCTATTTTCTTAGGGGACCTGACAATTTGCATGTGAGTGCCCTTCTTTTGCCTAAGGAATCCCTTTTTTTATTCTGGGGTCATTTCTGCGATATACATATTCATGGGCCTAGCTTAGTGTTTCTTTTCTGGGGGCTGGGAGATGGAGACCAGAGTAGAATTGAATATTTCTCCTTTTTCTTCCTGGAAGAATCGATCTTCGAGGATTAAGTTGGTAGTTAAAAAGCCGCTTTATCTTTCTGAAGGCCTTGCCCTTTTATGTGTTGATCTGATACCCAAATGTAGAAAACAGTTCTATACACAGCTTGAGGATATATTTTTAGAAGAGTTTACCACCCACATGTGGCTAAAGCTTTGTGGGGAGTTCTTTTTTTTTTTTTTTTTTTCCGTTGTGAGTGAAATAGATATTTCACTATATCTTGCTCTTGTTTTCAAACCCTTTAAAAAGCCATTGACCATTTTCTCTTTTATTTTTAGTTGACACATAATAATCATACACATTTATGGGATAAAGAGTGATATTTTCTTATATGTCTCCAGTGTGTAATTGATCAAAGAGTAATTGGCATGTTCATCACCTCAAACACTTATCATTTCTTTGTGTTGTGAGCATTCAGAATTCTCTCTTCTAGCTATTTGAAAATATACACTGAATAATTGTTAACCATATTCACCCTACAGTTCTACAGAACAGTAGAACTTATTCCTCCCATTGAACTGTAACTTTGTACCTATCAACCAACCTCTCTCTAGCCTCTCTTCCCCTCCCCTTTGTAACCTCCAGTAACCACAGTTCTTTTCTCTACTTCTGTGAGCTCAATTTTGTCGTCCTTCCTTTGTGGAAGCTGTGAAATACCTTTCGAGGGGAGTGCGGACTTGTGGTCAGGTGTAAATATGCATTCAGCTGGGCAGAGTTTGGGAGATTCCTTTAAAACCTGTTCTTTTGCTGAAATTCTAGGTATCTTTTTATTTTATTTTATTTTTTATTTTTCACCTCATCAGTTAGAAGTGTCAGAAACTCTCCTTTACCCCCCACTTAGTCTTTGGCATTTAACCAAAATATACTTTATTTACTTATATATTTTTTGAGATAGGGCCTTGTTCTGTTGGCCAGGCTGGAGTACAGTGGCGTGATCACAGCTCCATGCAGCCTCAACCTCCCTCTCGAGCTCAAGCCATCCTTCCACCTCAGCCACCACACTAATTTTAGTGGTTTTTTGTTGTAGAGACAGGGTTTCGCCATGTTACCCAGGCTGGTCTCAAACTCTTGGAGTGAAGTGATCCATCCATCTTGGCCTCTCAAAGTATTGCCATTACAGGCATGAGCCTCACCCCAAAGCACTCAAATTTTGTTTTTTTAAATTGAACTTGAGTGCTTTGGGGTAAGACCTGCCTATTCCATTTCACCTTATAGTTTTTCTTACTCTTGGCCTATGTAGGGGAGAGAGAAGACTTTCTTTCTGCCTTCTGAAGGTACCATAATTGAGCCTATGAAATAAACTGATGATAGATTAACGGATGAAAATACATACAAATTTATTCCATGCATAAATGTGGGAGTCCCACAGAAAGTGAAACTCAAAGCAAGGTCAGATAATTGAAGTTTATGTAGTGTGCCTGAGCTACGAAAAAGGAATAAGCGGCTGGGCGTGGTGGCTCATGCCTGTAATCCCAGCACTCTGGGAGGACAAGGCAGGAGGATCGCTTGAGCCCAGGAGATCAAGACCAGCCTGGGCAACATGGCAAAGCCCTGTCTCTACAGAAAATACAAAAATTAGTCTGGCATGGTGGCTCATGCCTGTGATCCCAGCCACTCTGGAGGCTGAGGCAAGAGGATCGCTTGAGCCTGGGAGGTCGAGGCTGCAGTGAGCCGAGATAGTGCCACCGCACTCCCGCCTGAGTGACAGACAAGACCCTGTCTCAAAATAAAAAAGAAAAAGGAATAGGGGCCTGGGGCTCCTGGAGGCAGGTGGTGATAGGTTATAGAAGGGTAAGGGGAGGAAATGTATGGTGAACAAAGGTTGCCTTGTTAATGCAGATAAAAAGCCTCTTGAATGATGAAAGTTGTCTCAGAGTAGCCTCAGAAGAGCAGGTGATGGCTTGTGACCAGGTGTCGACCTTCAGTCTCCTCTCCTAAGTTAAGATCTTCCAGCCAGGCACGGTGGCTCACGCCTGTAATACCAGCACTTTGGGAGGCCAAGGTGGGTGGATCATGAGGTCAGGAGTTCAAGAACAGCCTGGCCAACATGGTGAAACCCCGTCTCTACTAAAAATACAAAAATTAGCCGGGTGTGGTGGTGGGCATCTGTAATCCCAGCTACTCAGGAGGCTGAGGCAGGAGAATCACTTGAACCTGGGAGGCAGAGGTTACAGTGAGCTGAGATCACACCACTGTACGCCAGCCTGGGCCACAGAATGAGACTCCGTCTCAAAAAAAAAAAAAACTTCACTGGTTGATGAGGGTCCTATGATAGTCACTTTCCTTTACACAGATCAAGTATCTCTTCTCTGAAATGCTTGGGACCGGAAGTGTTTCAGATTTTGGATCTTTTTTTCAGATTTTGAAATACTGCATTCTACTTACTGGTTCAGCATCTCTAATCCAAAAATCCAAAATCCAGAATGCTCCAATGAGCATTTCCTTTGAGCATCATGTCTGTGTTCAAAAAGTTTCAGATTTTGGATTTTCACATTTGGGATAATCAACCTGTAGATTTCAATTTATTGTATCAAAGGGCAGCTTTTCAGAGCTGCTCCTGTGTCTGCAGTTTCTCAGAATAATCAGCTCAATATATGCCAAAGAAATAGATCCTGAGGTGACATGTTCTAGTCTCCTGCAGTCATATTTTGGGGTAGTGTGTCCTGAGCCCCATCACCTATCTGACTCATTTATAAGTGGGATCCCTGAAAGTATTTAAATAAACTTTTAATTTTGGCATAATTTTTGATTTGCAAGAAAGTTGTGAAGTTAGTACAGGGAGTTCCTCACCCAGTTCCTGGTTCTCTCCATTATTCACATCTTACATCACACAGTATGTTTGTCAAACCAAGAAACTGATGAGGGTATGTTATTGTTCACCAAACTCCAGACTTTATCTGGAGTTCCCAGTTCTCCCACTGATGTCCTTTTTTTCTGGGCCAGGGTCCTAACCTAGGGTACTACATTGCATTGATATATTTTATTTTATTTTATTTTATTTTATTTTATTTTATTTTATTTTATTTTATTTTATTTTATTTTATTTTTTGAGACGGAGTCTCGCTCTGTCGCCCAGGCCGGACTGCGGACTGCAGTGGCGCAATCTCGGCTCACTGCAAGCTCCGCCTCCCGGGTTCACGCCATTCTCCTGCCTCAGCCTCCCGAGTAGCTGGGACTACAGGCGCCCGCCACCGCGCCCGGCTAATTTTTTGTATTTTTAGTAGAGACGGGGTTTCACCGTGTTAGCCAGGATGGTCTCGATCTCCTGACCTCATGATCCACCTGCCTCGGCCTCCCAAACTGTGTTTTATTTTTTTGAGACAGAGTTTTGTTCTTGTTGCCCAGGCTGCAGTGCAATGGCACAATCTCAGCTAACTACAACCTTGGCCTCCCGGGTTCAAGCAACTCTCCTGCCTCAGCCTCCCGAGTAGCTGGGATTACAGGCACGCACCACCACACCCAGCTAATTTTTGTATTTTTAGTAGAGATGGGGTTTCCCCATGTTGGCCAGGCTGGTCTCGAACTCCCGACCTCAGGTGACCCACCCGCCTCGGCCTCCCAGAGTGCTGGGATTATAGGCATGAGCCACTGTGCCCGGCCCCACATTGCATTTAGTCATCTTGTCTCCTCAGCCACCCTGGCTATGTTAGTTTCTCAGTCTTGCTTTGTTTTTCATAACCTAGATACTTTTTGAAGATGAGGGATTCTGTAGAATTTCCCTCAAATCAGGGTTGTCTGATATTTTTCTCATGATTACAGTGGGGTTGTGGGTTCTGGGAGGAGAAGACCACGGAGGTGAAGTGTCCTTCTCATCCTGTCACATCAGAGGGCACATGACATGCACATGACATTGCAGATGTTAATATCAAGGGAGAGAGTAAAGTATTCCTGATGTTAATTAATATCAAGAGAGAGAGTGAAAAGGAGGTATTTGCCAGATTTTCTCGCTTGTAGTTTACTGTCTTTCCCTTTTCATAGATGGAGTTTTGCTCTTGTTGCCCAGGCTACAGTGCAATGGTGCGATCTTGGCTCGCTGCAACCTCTGCCTCCTGGGTTCAAGCAATTCTCCTGCCTCAGCCTCCTGAGTAGCTGGGATTACAGGCATGTGCCTGTATATAGACATGTTTCCCCATGTTGGCCAGGCTGGTCTCGAACTCCCGACCTCAGGTGATCCACCCGCCTTGGCCTCCCAAAGTGCCGGGATTACAGGCATGAGCCACCACGCCTGGCGACTCTGTTCTTTGAAAGAGAGTCAAGGAGTCCAGCCCACACACAGGAGAGGAAAGGGAGAGATTAAATTCCACCTCCTACGAGGTGCCATGGCTCATGCCTATAATCCCAGCAGTTTTGGAGGCTGAGGCGGGTGGATTACTTGAACCCACGAGTTTAAGACCGGCCTGAGCAACATATTGAGACCCCCATCTCTATGGAAAGTTAAAAAAAAATCGCTGAGTGTGGTGGTGCACACCTGTAGCCCCAGCTACTCAGGAGGCTGAGGTGGGAGGATCATTTGAGCCCAGGAGTTGAAGGCTGCAGTGAGTTACGATCAAGCCATTGCATGCCAGCCTGGAAATAGTGGAATGAGCAAGACCCCATCTCTACAAAAAATAGAAAATTAGCTGGGCTTGTTGATGCACACCTGCAGTCACAACTACTCGAGAGGCTGAGGGAGGAGGATCGCTTGAGCCCAGGAGGCTGAGGCCATAGTAAGCTATGATGGTGCCAATGGTGCCACTGCACTCCAGCCTGGGTGACAGAGTGAGACCCTGTCTCAAAAAAAGAAAATAAAATAAAAGTGCATCCCCTGGAGAGGGAGTATCTACTCATACTATTTGGAATTTGTCAGTGAGGAAGATTTGTCTTTTCTTGTTTAAAAAATAGACACTTCTGGCCAGGTGTGGTGGCTTACACCTGTAATCCCAGCACTTCGGGAGGCTGAGGTGGGTAGATCACTTGAGGTCATGAGTTCGAGACCAACCTGGCCAGCATGGTGAAACCTCATCTCTACTAAAAGTACAAAAACTAGCCGGGCGTGGTGGTGGGTGCCTGTAATCTCGGCTACTCGGGAGGCTGAGGCAGGACAATTGCTTGAACCTGGAAGGTGGAGCTTGCAGTGAGCCGAGATTGTGCCACTGCACTCCAGCCTGGGCAACAGAGGGAGACTCCGTCTCAAAAAAAAAAAAAAAAAAATAGACACTTCTAATGAGCTGATGCCATAGATACCCTGTCATAGATGGGATAGATGTGCCATATGGGCACAGGAGACCTCAGCTGTGCAAGGATGTCAGATGCACTTGGCTTTCTCAAGCCCTCGTGGGGAAATATAGATCACATCCCTTCCCCTGGGGTGGGCAGAGAGTAACGTAATATGGTCCAGTTAGGGAAATATTAATAGAAGCTAACTTGCAGACAGGAAGCAATTAGGATGCAGGAGGAAGACATATGTCATCAAGGGCTAGATCATGTGGTGTCAGCCAGGGGATGTGAAACAGGCATGAAAAGCGCTTGACAGGCAATGTCCACCACCACCCTGTTCCCACATTATCCGTAAGTCTTGCTAAAGGCAAGATTGCTGTTTTCTGGAATTTTCAAAGACAGACAGTTGGACTACCTGCAGTCATCTGGAATTTGGCCAGAACAAAGGAAGTAAGCAAATAGAAGACTCCCAAATAAGGTATATATTTATCATCAAAGCAGATGCCCAAGCCTGTTTACCTCACTCAGAGGAGGCGCCCACGGCAACTATGAACTCTTACTTTACACAGAGTCCTTGCACGCTGGGTTCTGCTGGTGTCCAAGTCCTCAGAGGCTTTGAAGTAGCAAATTGTGTTGGTGGGATGGAGCCGCCATCAGCCCCATGTTGGACTGTTGGCAGCCTGGGACCGTGTAGAACCACAGATGTGGACACAAGCATTTTTCCTTTCCTTTCTCTTTTTCTCTTTCTCTCTCTCTTTTTTTTTTTTTTTTTTTTTGCAGATTGTAAGAAAGGAGAGGGGAATATGGGAATTTATTTATTTATTTACTTATTTATTTATTTTGAGACAGTGTCTTGCTCTGTTGCCTAGGCTGGAGTGCAGTGGTGCGATCTCAGCTCACTGCAACCTCCACCTCCCAGGTTCAAGCAATTCTCATGCCTTAGCCTCTGGAGTAACTGGGACTACAGGCATGCACCACCTTGCCCAGCTAATTTTTGGATTTTTAGTAGAGATGGGGTTTCACCATGTTGGCCAGGCTGGTCTCGAACTCCTGACCTCAAGTGATTCACCCGCCTCGGCCTCCCAAAGCACTGGGATTACAGGCATGAGCCACCGTGCCCAGCTGGGATCGATTTTAGAAAAAGATTAAGGCTGAGTGCAGTGGCTTATGCCTGTAATCCCAACGCTTTGGGAGGATCACTTGAGGCCAGCCTGGGCAACATAGTGAGACCCCGTCTCTACAAAAAATTAAAAATTAAAAAAACTAGCTAATCATGGTGGCATGTGCCTGGAGTCCCAGCTGGTCGAGAGGCTGAAGTGGGAGGATCACTCGAACCCAGGAGTTCAAGGCTGTAGTAAGCTATGATTGCGCCACTGCACTGCAGCCTTGGCAACACAGCGAGACCCCGATTGTAAAACAAAGTTCAGTTTAAGAAAGAAAAAAGAAAAGAAAAAGGTTAAGATACTTTTTTCGGGGGAATGTTTACAGAGGCTGTGGGTCAGAATGAAGCAACACCAGAAGCTATGGAGACTGGGGTTTCTGCTGTGTTTCAACTTGGTTTTTTGTGTTCTCGGGAGAAGACACCCTTGGCCGTGGGCCGTGAGACCTTTGATGTGTGTTTACGCTGACCGCGAGTTGTTGGGATGGCTTCTGCGGTGGGTGGTTCTCTTGGTATTCTCGGTTTTGAAGCTTATTTTTAGACTCTGAACTCTCCTTCTTGGCAGGAGTTGAATCCCCCTGGGGGTTTTCAAGTTGTTCTTGGACTGCTGGTTTTTGAAATAGAAGCCCCTTTGGTGGGGTCCCCCATAAACCCAGGCGCTGGTGCCCACCTTGTGATGTGAAGGCTCCTGTAACACGACCTCACTTTCCTGGCCCCGCACTACTCACCTGCCCCACGGGACACAGGTACATGGCTTCTGGGTGTCTGTCCCCGCTGTACCCAGATCTGCCCCCTTGCCCTTGTCCCCAGATCCTCCACTCGCTCCTAGGAACCGTACCCCTCCCAAAACAAAAAAAGAAACTATACCCAGTCTCCCCTTCATATCTCTCCCACATCTGCCCCTGTTGGTTGACTTTGCCTCCCTATATGGGTCCCATAAGGCCGGCAAGGGAGGGTCCACATCTCTCAATCCTTTGTCCACCATTGGTGTTTAGAACCCCCTGGAGGAAAACTGGATCATAGTGCAACATGAAAAAAAAAGAACTTTAGGCCGGGTGCAGTGGCTCACGCCTGTAATGCCAGCACTTTGGGAGGCCGAGGTGGGCGGATCACTTGAGGTCAGGAGTTCGAGACCAGCCTGGCCAACATGGTGAAACCCTGTCTCTACTAAAAATAAAAAAATGAGCTGAGCGTGGTGGCATGCACCTGTAATCCCAGCTATTTGGGAGGCTGAGGCAGGAGAATCGCTTGAACCTGGGAGGCAGAGGTTGCAGTGAGCCAAGGTCACGCCACTGCATTCCAGCCTGGGCCACAGAATGAGACTCTGTCTCAAAAAAGAGAAAAAAAAAACTTTATATTGACAAATAGGATGTTGTTAGTGCAAATTTTGGGGTTGATATAGTGGGAGTGGTAAAGGGAACGTCTTCTTACCAAATAGAAATAATTAGAAGCTTTAATCACTCTGCAAACAGGGAAGGTCCCAGGGCCAGGTGCTGGGCAGGAACACAAAGGGCTGTGATGACATCACCTTTACCCAGAGGCGGGAAGGACCCAGGATGGAGGCCTGGGGAGGGCAGAGACAGGTTTGCAGAGGAGACTTTCTTTTTTAATTAAAAAAGTATGTATTTTGTAAATATGTAATATTACTATGGCTTAACATACAAAAGACCAGCAAGGGTGTAAAAGTGACCAGTGTTTGTCACACCCCATCCCCTAGTCCACCTGGTTCCCTTCCCGACAAACACCGACCGTTAAGTTTCTTATGTATGCCTTTGGAGACATTTTTTGCATATTATATAAAGAAATACTAGGCCAGGCATGATGGCTCATGCCTGTAATGCCAGCGCTTTGAGAGGCCAAGGTGGGAGGATTGCTTTAGCCCAGGAGTTTGAGACAAGCTTGGTCAACATACTGAGACCCCGTCTCTACAAAAAATAAAAAAATTAGCTAGGTGTGGTGGTGCACACCTGTAGTTCTAGCTGCTCTGGAAGCTGAGGCAGGAGGATCGCTTGAGCCTGGGAGCTCCAGGCTGCAATGAGCTATGATCATGCCACTGCACTCCAGCCTGGGCAACCCAGTGAGAACCTGTCTTTAAAAAACCCAGTGAGAACCTGTCTTTAAAAACAACAACAAAAAAAAAACCAAAAAAACGCCGGGCACCTTGGCTCATGCCTGTAATCCCAGCACTTTGGGAGCCCGAGGCGGGAGGATCACTTGAGGTCAGGAGTTTGAGACCAGCCTGGCCAACGTGGTGAAACCCCATCTCTACTAAAAAGACAAAAATTAGCTGGGTGTGGTGGTGGGCGCCTGTAATCCCAGCTATTTGGGAGGCTGAGGTAGGAGAGGTGCTTGAACCTGAGAAGTGGAGGTTGCAGTGAGTCGAGATCGCGCCACTGCACTCCAACCTGGGCAACAGAGCAAGACTCCTAAAAAAAAAAAAAAAAAAAAAAGGATATCTTCTTCTCTCACCATACACAAATGGTGGCACACTACAAACACTCTCCTGCCTCATTAAACATGATAGTATATCTTGGTGGTGATTGCATTTCTCCAAATAAAACTCTTCCTCGTTTCAGTACCTTGTGGGGAGGGACCATCCCTGATTGGTACCCTTGCCTTGCTGGCGGACTAGGCTTCTGCTGTTACCAGCAACGCTGTAGTGAATACCCCATGTGCTTGTCATTTTGTCATTTCAGCCACATGTGGGGGTTATTGCCAGCACACATTTCTGGAGGAAGAGTTGCTGGACTTGTTCATGTTAAATTTGGTTGGCCGTTTCTGTTGCAGGAGCCTCAGTTTATCGATACCCAGGCTAGCTCTCTGTGTGTGTTACCAACATTTTGCTCTTTGCCTGGTGGATGGGTGACAAATGATATCATGATATCATGGCATTGGTTATGGGGTTTAAAAAAAATCTTTTATGGCCGGGTGCAGTGGCTCACTCCTGTAACCCCTGGCCTTTGGGAGGCCGAGGCAGGCGGATCGCTTGAGGTCAGGAGTTTGGGACCAGCCTGGGCAACATAGTGAGACCCCATCTCTACCAAAAATACAAAAAGTTAGCCAGGCGTGGTGGCACACGCCTGTAGTCCCAGCTACTCAGGGGGCTGAGGCATGAGAATTGCTTGAACCTGGGAGGCGGAGGTTGCAGTGAGCTGAGATTGCGCCACTGCATGCCAGCTTGGTTGACAGAGTGAGACCCTGTCTCAAAAAAAAAAAAAAGAGCTTGAGATGTGCAGAAAATTGGTACAATTAATACAGAGAGCTCCCATTTACTGTCACCCAGCATCTACTTCCCTATGGGACACTGGCCACAACTGCTTCTCTGACACCGCTGCGTTACTGTTTACCAAACTCCAGGCTTTATTTGGACATCACCAGTTTTTCCAACTAAGGCTTTTCTGTGCCGGGGTTCTACGTTGTATTCAGTTGTCACCTCTCTATTCATTGTCCTCTGGTCTCTGACAGTTTCTTGGACTTTCCTGTTTTCCGTGACTTTGACAGTTTTGAGGAGTGCTGGCCTGATGCCCTGTGGCCGGTTTTCTCATGACTACGTGGGGCTGCGGGTTTAGGGGAGGAAGGCCACAGAGGCCCTTCTCACCTCATCCTGTCAGTCAGCCGGTGTGTGATGTCCCGTCAGCAGGTGTGTGATGTCCCGTCAGCAGGTGTGTGATGTCATGTGACTTCTCGCTGGTGTGTGATGTCATGTGACTTCTCGCTGACGATATTCAGCCCGATCATCTGTCTCTGTGTGGTTTTAGTTGCATCTCCCTGCTTTTGAGGAGGACTGGAGCATCATTTCATGCATGAGGACTCGGGGTGTTGTCTAGGGGAGGGCTGTGGTCAGCTTGATGCGTTTGAGGTTGAGGGGTGGGGGGAACCACAAGGGCTTCGTGCAGACCCTGCGTACCTGGGGAGCAGGAAGGGAACAGGAGTGTCTTGACGTGGAAGGTGGATTTGGAGGAGAGGCAGGTCACTGGAGGGGCTGAGGACCCAGGCTAAGGCAGGAGGGGGATTTTGTTTTGATCTGTTTATTTGTTTGTTTGTTTATTTATTTATTTATTTTGAGATAGGGTCTTGCTCTTTCACCCAGGCAGGAGTGCAGTGGCGTGATCACAGCTCACTGCAGCCTCAAACTCCTGGGCTCAAGTGATTCTCCCACCTCAGCCCTGTGAGTAGGTGGGACTACAGGTGCGCACCACCACGCCTGGCTAATTAAAAAAAGAGACAGAGTTTTGCCATTTTGCTCAGGCTGGTCTTGAACTCCTGGATTCAAGTGATCTCCCCACCTCACCTCCCAAAGTGCTGGGACTACAGGCATGAGCCACCGTGCTTGGAAAGATTAAACCATTTAGGAGACCTCAGGAAAAGAGCCAGCCGAGAGGGCGTGATTGGCAAGAGGGGACATTGTCTGAGCACAGTCCCTCCCAGAGACCACAGGGCCCACTCCCACCTAGAGATGGCCACATTCACCAGATTGAAGTTTGAACCAGAGGAGGAGGGCTGCTTCTGAGCCCAGGGCGGGCAGACAGATGCCTGGGGGTTCAGGTGGGAGGTTGAGGGGGTCTGACCTCTGCCTGGTGCCCCCTGCTGTGGGAGGGGGAAGAGTGCCCATTGAGAATCTGCAGGGCCAGTGGGGAATCTGGGCAACCCAGCTATGAGGGTGGATGGATGAGTTTTCTAACTCATTACCCTGAACTCAGTGGCTTAGGTAACGTGAATGTAGTATCTTCCAGTTCTGGAGCCTGAAGTCTGCAGTGGGCTTCCTCAGATTAAATGCAATGTGTCGACTGGGCGCAGTGGCTCACGCCTGTAATCCCACCACTTTGGGAGGCCGAGGCAGGCGAATCACCTGAGGTTAAGAGTTTGAGACCAGCCTGGCCATCATAGTGAAACTCCATCTCTACTAAAATACAAAAATTAGCCAGGCATGGTGTTGGGTGCCTGTAATCCCAGCTACTCAGAAGGCTGGGGCAGGAGAATCGCTTGAACCTGGGAGGCGGAGGTTGCAGTGAGCTGAGATCGCACTACTACACTCCAGCCTGGGCGACAGAGTGAGACTTGGACTCAACAACACACAAAAAATAGCAGTGTCAGCTGGACTGTGCTCCTGGAGGCTCCTGGGGAAAATCCATGGTCTTGCCTTTCCCAGCTTCCAGAGGCCGCCTGCATTTCTTAATTTATGGCTCCTTCCTCCCCCTTCAAAGCCAACAGCTTCCTTTTTCTACATTTAAACCCAACAGAGGTCTTGCTCTGTTGCCCAGGCTGGAGTGTAGTGGTGCAGCTGTGGCTCACTGCAGCCTCAACCCCCTAGACCCCACCCCCCAACCTCCTTCTACCTCAGCCTCCCAAGTAGCTGGGATGATACATGTGCGCTATCACACCTTGATAATTTTTGTAATTTTTGTAGTGATGAGGTCTCTCTATGTGGCCAGGGCTGGTCTCGAACTCCTCTACCTTTCTCTTATAAGGACCTTTGTGATTACACCGGGCCTACCTGGTTAATCCAGAATAACCCCCTCATCTCAAGATTCTTAATCACATACACAAAGTCTGTCTTTACCACTTAAGGTCACATATTCAGAGCTTCCAGGGATTAGGCTGTGAACAATTTTGGGGAGCATTATTCTGTCGCCCACACTGCGGGTAGGGGTGGGAAGGTCAGACTGTAGGGGATTTAGCCAAACAAGTGAATGTCTACCTGTGAAGCCGTGGAGGTACTGGGTACAGAACAGGTCCCTGTGGCGGGATGAGGTCTGTGCCTGGGTCCTCCTGCCTCTCACAGTGAAGCCCCCGTGTGACTGTGGGAAAGTCACCCCCTCCCTGGGTTTTACTCTCCTCTGTAATGACAGCTGTGTGTTGATATAATAGTAACCTGCTTACCCAATGTTCCGGTGTATTTTGCTCACTACATTCTCACAGCAGCCCTCTGAAGTGTAAGTACTACTGTTGGCCCATTTTCCAGATGAGGAAACCTGAGAGAAATTTGGCAACTCACCCCCATTTGCACACCGTAGAAGTGGCAGAGTTGGGATTTGAACCAAGGAGCCTGGGTCTTAGAGTTTCTGCTCTTAAAGGTTTGACCTGCCTTAAAATTCTGCCATTTTAACTTTTTTTTTTTTTTTGAGGCAAAGTCTCGCTCTGTGGCCCAGGCGGGAGTGCAGCAGTGCGTCTCGTCTCACTGCAATCTCCGCTTCCCAGGTTCAAGCAATTCTGCCTCAGCCTCCCAAGTAGCTGGAATTACATTCAAGCACCACCACACCTGGCTAATTTTTATATTTTTAGTAAAGACAAGAGTTTTGCCATGTTGGCCAGGCTGGTCTTGAACTTCTGACCTCAAGTGATCCACCTGCCTCTGTCTCCCAAAGTGCTGGGATTACAGGCGTGAGCCACCACGCTTGGCCCCATTGTCTTACCTTTCTTTTAGCCCTTTTTATTTCCCTCTTCATGCCCTGCCTGTTCACCATCATCTGTGTCTTCTCTTCACTCTGAGTAACAGTTGGGTGTTCAGTTGACCAGGCCGTAGTCCACGCCATTCCTACTCTCCCTGAGCTATGAGTGAATCTGTGACTCTTGTAAATAACAGGGGGACACACAGAGGTGTTTCTGAAATTTCCACATGTTAAGTTATCTTGATTTAATCCCAGCACTTTGAGAGGCCAAGGCAAGAGGATCACTTGAGGCCAGGAGTTCGAGACCAGCCTGGGCAACATGGCGAGACCTCATCCCTACAAAAAAAATTAAAAATTAGCCAGGCATGGTGGCATGTGCCTGTAATCCCAGGTACTTGGGAGGCTGAGGTGGGAGGATCACTTGGGCCCAGGAGTTGGAGCCTGTGGTGAGCTATGCAGGTGCCACTGTACTCCAGCCTGTGCAATAGAGTGAGATTCCTTCTCAAAAACAGAAATTTATCTTGGGCACCAGGCAGAGATGTCCAGCCTGTATCATCTCTGAGCTTAGTGGCCTCAGTTTTCCCACCAGGCCAATTTCTGATGGGATTCTGCTCGGAAGCCCCCGCGTCCTGTTCAGCTGCTCAAGGGCAGTTCTCAGCCTTGGACACTATCCGTCCTACTCGTCCTTCCCTTTTGGGCTCTGTCTGCCTGTTGGCCATTTCACCAGAGAGGGATGGGGTCAGGGAGGAGAAAGGCCCTGAGACTCCTTTGACAGTGGTGTCAGGCTGAACACAGTGGCTCATGCCTGTAATTCCAGCACTTTGGGAGGCTGAAGCGGGTGGATCACTTGAGGTCAGGAGTTGGAGACCAGGTTGGCCAATATGGTGAAACCCTGTCCCTCCTAAAAATACAAAAATTAGCTGGGCTTGGTGGCGCATGCCTGTAGTCCCAGCTACTCAGGAAGCTGACGTGAGAGAATCGCTTGAACCCGGGAGGTGGAGGTTGCAGTGAGCCGAGGTCGTGGCACTGCATTCCAGCCTGGGCAACAGAATGAGACTCTATCTCAAAAAAAAAAAAAACAAAAAAAAACAAGGGTGTACCTTCAGTGTCACAAGCAAGCACTGAAGGTGGAGCACTTACACGGTAGCAACTCGATGTCCCCTTTCTTCTCCACACCTGTTGGCTGGAACTGTTGACGTTGTGACATCTTTGGGTACCAGCAAGTTAGAGACTCAGAATCTGCTTGATACCCATGAAGAAAGCCAGTGTCATTTCTGGGGAACGGATGACACCTTGTCCCCATTGAACAAGTGGCTTTAGGGCTACCCCAAGGACCAGGTGATGAGCGTGGAGTGACAAGTATTTCTGAATTTGATGGGGTGGGGACATTGGGGAGCCTGCTCATGACTCAAGGTTCTGAATGGATAATACAGTGGTAAGAACTACCCTCTCTCTTTTCTTTTTTTTTTTTTTTCGAGACAGGGTCTTGCTCTGTTGCCCAGGCTGGAGTGCAGTAGTGCAAACATGGCTCACTGCAACCGCTGCCTCCCAGGCTCAGGTGATCCTCCCCACTGAGCTTCTTAAGTAGCTTGGACTGCAGGTGCATACCACCACTCCTGGCTAATTTTTGTCTTTTTTGTAGAGATGGGGTCTCATTGTGTTGCCCAGGCTGGTCTCGAACTCCTGGGCTCATGCCATCCTCCCGCCTTGGGCTTCCAAAGTGCTGGGATTACAGGTGTGAGTCACTGTGCCCTGCTGGAACTACCGTCTTTATTTTTTGAGACAGAGTCTCGCTCTGTTGCCCAGGCTGGAGCACAGTGGCATGATCTCAGCTCACTGCAACCTCCGCCTCCTGGGTTGAAGCACTTCTCCTGCCTCAGTCACCCACATAGCTGGGATTACAGGGCTGCGTCACCACGCCTGGCTAATTTTTGTGTATTTATTAGAGCCGGGTTTCACCATGTTGGCTAGGCTGGTCTTGAACTCCTGACCTCCAGTGATCCGCCCACCTCGGCCTCCCAAAATGCTGGGATTACAGGCGTGAGCCACCATGCCCGGCCTGGAACTACCCTCTTGACATCTTTCCATAGCTGGAATCAGAACTGGAATGGATGCTGGCCCAAACAAGGGGTCTCCTCCGCTGAGTGATGATTTTAGCAGTGCCATAAACTTCCACCAAGGAGAAAAAAATGAACCAACCAGTCTTGAGGTTTGGAGACTGCGGCAGCTTTTCTTTCTGACTTCATTTTGTCCATGTGTACACTCCCCCACACTTCCCTTTCAACCTCTGTCCACCCATGTTTTTGTTGTTGTTTTGTTTTGTTTTGTGTTTTTTTTTTTTTCCAGACGGAGTCTTGCTCTGTTGCCCAGGCTGGAGTGCAGTGGCACGATCTCAGCTCACTGCAATCTCCATCTCCTGGGCTCAAGCAATTCTCCTGCCTCAGCCTCCCGAGTAGCTAGGATTACAGGCGTGTGCCACCACGCCTGGCTAATTTTTGTACTTTTAGTAGAGACGAGGTTTTGCCATGTTGGCCAGGCTGGTCTCAAACTCCTGACCTCAGGTAATCCGCCTGCCTCGGCCTCCCAAAGTGCTGGGATTACAGGCGTGAGCCACTGCGCCCAGCCTGTCCACCCATGTTTTATCCCGACTTGATCTCCTCCTGCCTGGACATCCTAGGGTGCCCTGTTGAGAAACAATACACTGCCCCCAGGAATCCCGGAGGAAATGAAGGACTCCAGGCTCAATTCACGGATTCCAGTTCTTGAGCATATTTGGTGATGTGCTGGCATCTGCACCATAAATCCTCGTGTTACCTTGAGCTGAACTGTGAGACCATCTATATGGAGGCTTGTCATTACATAAACATCTTCCTTTACAAATGTCGTTTTCTCAGATTCTATGTTAGAGCTATTGGAGTAAGCCCTTCCTGCTGTTTCATGTCTACTCCTAAATCTTTTTTTTTTTTTAACCCAAGGTAGAGTCTTCCTCTGTCCATGCGCCCCCCTACCCCTGCCCAGGCTGAATTGCAGTGGCACTATTATAGCTTACTGCAGCCTCAACCTCCTGGGCTCAAGTGATCGAGGGATCCTCCTATCTCAGCCTCCGAGTAGCTGGGACTATAGACATGTGCCATCACGCCCAGCTGATTTGTTTGATTGTTAGTAGAGATGGCATCTCACTATGTTGCCCGGGCCGGTCTCGAACTTCTAGGCTCAAGCGATCCTTCTGCCTTGGCCTCCCAAAGTGTTGGGATTTCAGGCATGAGCCACCACGTCTGGCCTGCTCCCAAATCTTCATGCCTTTCCAGATGGATCTTGGTGTCCTGTTTTCATACCTAGGTATTGCTTTCTACAAACTGTTGAAGTACCAGAGTGACCAACTTGTCCCAGTTTGCCTGAGACTTTCCTAGATTTAGCACCAAAAGTCCTGCATCCAGGGAAAAACCCCTCTGTCCAAGGGAGACTGGGACATTGGGTCACCCTATGAAGCACCCATAATGTTTTGGCCCTCTTTCTAGGTGCTGGGATGCAGATTTTAGTGTCAGTTCCTGCTCTTATGGGGTCTATGACCAGATAGGAAGACAGACAAGTGAAGAAAACTGCTTTATGACAAATACAGCAAACAAACATGAGTTAATAACAGCTGACACATACCGAGTGCTTATGTGTTCCAAGTTGCTCTGGTCCTTTTTTGCAAATGGATTCATTTCATCCTCTCAAGAGCCTTATGAGGAAGAAACTATCAGTGTACCCATTTTACGGATGGGAAAACTGAGGCACTAAAGTCATGCCCTGGGGCATGGGGCGCCTGGAGGAACCCAGGGGGTCTAGCTCCAGAGTCTGTGCCCTTGACCTCTGCACCATATAGAGAGGCTCCAGGAGGAATGAATTCTCCCGGGGGCAAGCAGAGAGGGCTTCTTGGAGGAGGTGACACGCAAGCTAAGCGGAATTTGCCAGACCCATCAGGAAGGAGGCAGACGGAAGAAAGAGCATGCCCGTGACATGTTTGGGAACATCCAAGCAAGGCAGGTGTGGCGGGAGACGCCACGAGAGACTGTGCGGTTGGTAGGGGCACCAGTGCATCCTGGGAATCTTCTCAGTCCCCACAAACCCGGAGCAGGGAGTCGCGCTAGTCAAGAGCACAATGAGGGGTGTCAGAAAGACCCACGTGGCTTGATTTTAAACAAACGGGCCCGGGATGGACTGAACCAAGACCAGCAGCCAACTTAGAGGCTCAGTTTTAAGGCCTTGACTTGGGATAGTAAGATTAGAGATTTCCAGCAGTGTCTCCTCCCCGCACCTCCCCCCACCCCCCCGCCCCCCGCTTTTTAGTGAAGAGAAAGTCACATAAAGATAACCATTTAAAAGTGAGTAATTCAAGGCCAGGCGCGGTGGCCCATGCCTGTAATCCCAGCACTTTGGGCGGCTGAGGCAGGTGGATCACTTGAGGTTAGGAGTTCGAGCCCAGCCTGGTCAACATGGTGAAACCCCGTCTCTACTAAAAATATAAAAATTAGCCGGGTGTGGTGGCAGGCACCTGTAATCCCAGCTATTAGGGAGGCTGAGGCAGGAGAATTGCTTGAGCCTGGGAGGCAGAGGTTGCAGCGAGCCAAGATTGTGCCACTGTACTCCAGCCTGAGCGACGGAGCGAGAATCTGTCTCAAAAAAAAAAAAAAGATAATTCAGTGGCATTTAGTAAGTTCTGTACTCCAGCCTGAGCGACAGAGCAAGACTCTATCTCAAAAAAAAAAAAAAAGATAATTCAGTGCATTTAGTAAGTTCGTAGCATTGTGCAACCATCAACTTCCATCTGGTTCCAGAACATTTTCATCATCCCCAAAAGAACCCCATACCCATTTCCTCCCACTGCTGTACACCCATCCCTGGCCACCAGTGATGTGCTTTGTATCTCTATGAATTCACCTATTCTGGGCATTTCATCTCAGTGGAATCATTTGATCTGTAGCCTTTTGTGCTTTCGAGGTTCATTCCAGGGCTGTCGTGGAGCCGGAATGATCAGTGATAAAACTGCTAGGCTGGCCACCCCGGGCTTCCCGAAGTCTGATCTTTTCCTTTGCATTTAGGATTCAAGGTCATACTTAGTTAGCAGGAGCGATACCATAATCATGAACGTGGTTTTCCCAGGGTGAGGCTTATCCTTGCACTCCCCTGCAATCTCCCCATTAAAAAAAAAAAATTCAAGATTCTATCTAGAACACTGTACCTTTTGACCTGCAGGTTTGATTGTGCAAACGTTGAATGAACCCGTTTTGGGCGCGCAAGGAGTAGGATGACACCCAGGACCTTGTGAGTGCCCGAAGTAGCAGCTTGCACTGGCCTATTCCAGAGAATTCTGAGGCTGTTGAGGCTGAATTGTTTAGAAGCAGATCTGTTGCTGAAAGTGAGGTCCCTCGTGGAGTTTATTTCCACGTCCCGAGGATTCCAGATCGGTGCATTAATATCAGTTAAGGGCACGGATGATCGCTGGGTCTGACACTGTGGCTTCTCCCTGCGGGTTCCTGGGTTTTTTGCCTCCACTTTTAACAAAACTGAGGCCGGGCGCGGTGGCTCACACCTGTAACCATAGCATTTTGGGAGGCTGAGGTGAGTGGATCACTTGAGGTCAGGAGTTCGAGAGCAGCCTGGCCAACATGGTGAAACCCCTGTCTCTAGTAAAAATACAAAAAAATTAGCTGGGTTTAGTGGCACGTGCCTGTAATCCCAGCTTCTCGGGAGGCTGAGGCAGGACAATCGTTTGAACCTGGGAGGCAGAGGTTGCAGTGAGCTGAAATCATGCCACTACACTCCAGCCTGGGTAACAGAGTGAGACTCTGTCTCAAACAAAAACACAAGCAAAACTGAGATGGAGATGCTGTCTGGGTTGACAAGCACGCCCCCCACCCCAACCCTTTGTCTTTTGCTAAGGGCTTGAAGCAGTAAATATGCAGCTTTGGGCACCCTGCCTCCAGGGAAATTCTGAGCTCTCTCAGAATTTCATTGTTTTTCTTCTCAATATGAGAGGGCTGAGCTTTGTGACTTTCCATCCTCGGCTGATCATTAACGTTCTATTGCCTGTTTACTAAGAAGCAGGTCACCTTGAATTGCAAGGTGCCCAGTGACAGAATGAGTTGGAACCCATCATTGGCAGGTATTTTTTGCATGGCATCAAGTATGTGGCATAAAAGTGCACAGTAAACGCACTTTCATGTATTAGGGAGGCAGAAAGAGAGGTGATCCCTCCAGAGTTCAAATGTGTTGCTTCCACTGAGGGTGTATTTTCCTTTCATGATTTTTCTGGTTTTTAATAATTTCTGGCCAGGCGTGGTGACTCACGCCTGTAATCCCAGCACTCTGGGAGGCCAAGGCGGGCTGATCATCTGAGGTTGGGAGTTTGAGACCAGCCTGGCCAACATGGTGAAACCCTGTCTCTACTAAAAAATACAAAAATTAGCTGGGCGTGTTGGCAGGCACCTGTCATCCCAGCTACTCGGGAGGCTGAGGCACGAGAATTGCTTGAGCCTGGGAAGCGGAGGTTGCCATGAGCCAAGATCACGCCACTGCGTTCCAGTCTAGGCGACAGAGTGAGACTCTGACTCAAAAAAAAAAATTATTATTATTATAATTTTTTTGTGTAGAGATATGGTCTCACTCTGTCACCCAGGCTGGAGTGCAGTGGTGTGATCACAGCTCACTGTAACCTCAAGCTCCCAGGCTCGAGCAAATCCTCCGACCTCAGCTTCCTTAATAGCTGGGACTACAAGTTTGTGCAACCGTGTCTGGCTAATATATATTTTTTAATTAAAAAAAATTTTTAAAGATTGTCTTTATATATGATTTTGTGACTCTATTTTTTTTTCTTTTGTTTTGAGACAAGGTCTTGCTCTGTCACCCAGGCTGGAGAGCAGTGGCGTGATCCTAGCTTATTGCAGTCTCAAACTCTTGGGCTCAAGTGATCCTCCTACCTTAGCCTCCAGAGCAGCCAGGACCACAGGCATCTGCCATAACGCCCGGCTAATTTTTGTACCATTTGTAGAGACATGGTCTGAATTTGTTTCCCAGACTGGTCTCAAACTCTTGGGCTCAAGTGATCTGCCCACGTCGGCCTCCCAAAGTGCTGGGATTACAGACGTGATCCAACATGCCTGGGCAAGAATACCTTTCGTTGAGCAAATTGTTGAGAGGTAGAATGAGGAAAACTTTTGGCTAAAAGGGACCCCAAGATATCCCAAGTGGCATATTTATAGATGTGAAAGTGATTCCACAGCTGGGCATGTCAGATCAAAATTCTCCATGGATCAGGAATGCCTCCTTTTCCTTTTCTGTCACCACCGGTCACATTTGGCTACTTAATTTCTGGGCTCCAGTGCAGCATGGAAACGCGAGGCCCTTTGTTCAAAAAGTGTTCGAATTTCTTTTCTTCCTTCTTTTTTTTTTTTTTTTTTTTTTTTTGAGACGGAGTCTCGCTCAGTCACCCAGGCTGGAGTGCAGTGACACGATCTCGGCTCACTGCAGCCTCCATCTCCCAGGTTCACAGTGTGGAGAGGCAGGGCACGGTGGCTCATGCCTGTAATCCCAGCACTTTGAGAGGCTGAGGCAGGAGGATCACTTGAGCCCAGGAGTTTATGACCATCCTGGGCAGCTTAGCAAGACCCTGTCTCTAAGTAAAATTAAAAAGTTATAGCCAGGTATGGTGACACACACCTGTAGTCCCACCTACTCCAGAGGCTGAGACAGGAGGATTGTTTGAGTCTACGAGTTTCAGGCTGTGGCGAGCTATGATCATGCCACTGTACTCCAGCCTGGGCAATAGAGTGAGACCCTGTTTCTCTCTTTCTTTCTCCCTTTCCCTCTTTTTTAAAAAAAAGACATTGTGGAGAGTGTGTGTGTGAGTTTAGGGTGAGGGGGACTAATTGCTGTTCTAAGAGTTTCGTAGTTGGGGGGGTGATAAGGAGGGGATGGGGGGTGATGAGGAGAGGGATGGTTGGTGGGTGGGCCTCTTATCCCAGGAGATAAGCCAAATTGAAATGAAGGCGCAAAACAAGGGAAACAAAATGGGACTAACCGTGGTGGCATTTCCTGGCCTTGGGGCCTGAGGGAGGGAAGACTGTGGAATTTATTTAGAAAACTTCCAAACCAGCGGTTATGAGTCTTTTTTACTATTCTGGCCTGTTGCTCTTGTTCTTTTCAGAATTATAAATGTGTTTGTGTGGCTGTTTGATCTCAAAGCAATGCTCAGAAGATGCAGTGTCTCGAAATCCCAGAAGATAAGATGTTACCACATGAAAGATGGTCTCAATAAAGGGGGAGAGGCGGTGGCCGAGGCCTTAATTTCCAAAACGAGAAACTGGGGCCCACCCATCTTTTAAAGGTCGTCAAAAGAAAGCTCCCATCCTCCCATCCCCCACACCTGTGTGTTGACTCTGTAAAGATGCAGTTTCCTCACTTTGGGAGGAGAGGCCGTGGTTTTTGCAGGAATTGCGCCGCTGCCGAATTCAGCCATTGCCTCTTGGAGGTTTAGGATGCCCCAGGCCTTGTTTTCCCTCAAAGCATTCCATTGGCAATCACGACCAACCATGCTCCTTGAGGATTTCTGTACACACTGGCTTTTCCTGGTCTTGTAAGTTTTTATACGAGTCAGTTTTCACCATAAATCATGGAGGTGGGTCTGGGGCTGTGACGGCGAGTCCTCGACGTTCAACCCGGATGTAGGTCACTCCAGACCCCCAGGGTGCCCTGTCGTTCCCTTTGCTGGAAGTTTCAACAAAGCCAGAAGCAGATGTCAGGGGTTCCCGGGGTCATCTGGGAGGGATGTCCGCTGAGTTTAGGGGCAAGCTGGGACTGCTGCATTTCTGTTCCTGTACGTCAGAGGAAACTAGCAACACGCCTCAAACCACTTTACACCATGTCTCAGTGTTAAACCAGAGCCTGTTTTCACAAACACCTCCTGCGATCTCATTACAGCCCCACCCTGCCCTCCTGCTTCTGTGGCCTTCTCTACTTTGCTTCTTGCTCCTCTTAAAGACCTTCTGTCTCATCTGTCTTTTCTGGGGTTGGGCCTTTCCCCTTCTCTATAACCTTCTGTGACTCCCACGGCTCACAGCTTTGCTGTATATTAGGAGCAGAAAGCAAGCTTCATTACATCATTTAAAATTTTTTAGTAGCTACATTTTTTTTTTTTTTGAGATGGAATCTCGCTCTGTGGCCCAGGCTGGAGTGCAGTGGTGTGATCTCAGCTCGCTGCAACCTCTGCCTCCCAGGTTAAGTGCTGGGATTACAGGCGCACGCCACCAGACCTGGCTAATTTCTGTATTTTTAGTAGAGATGGGGTTTCACCATGTTGGCCAGGCTGGTCTCGAACTCCTTACCTCAAATGATCCACCCATCTCAGCCTCCCAAAGTGCTGGGATTACAGGCATGAGCCACCGTGCCTGGCCGCCACATTTAATGTATTTATTTATTGATTTTTGAGACAGAGTCTCACTCTGTTGCCCAGGCTAGAGTGCAATGGCGCAATCTCAGCTCCCTGCAACCTCCACCTCCCGTGTTCAAGTGATTATCCTGCCTCAGCCTCCTGAGTAGCTGGGATTACAGGCGCCCAATATCACACCTGGCTAATTTTTGTATTTTTAGTAGAGACGGGGTTTCACCATGTTGGCCAGGCTGGTCTCAAACTCCTGACCTCAGGCGATCCGTCTGCCTTGGCCTCCCAAAGTACTGGGATTATAGTCGTGAGCCACTGTGTCTGGCCTCTTTTTTATTTATTTTGTTTTTATTTATTTATTTTTGAGACAGTCTCGCCCAGGCTGGAGTGCAGTGGCGCAGTCACGGCTCACTTGAACTCCTGGGTTTAAGTGATTCTCCCACCTCAGCCTCCCAAGTAGCTGGGACCACAGGGGTGCACCACCATGTCTGGCTAATTTTTAATTTTTTTGTAGAGACAGTGTCTCCCTATGTTGCTCAGGCTGATCTAGAATGCCTGGGCTCAAGCCATCCTCCTGCCTCAGCCTCCCAAAGTGCTGGGATGACAGGTGTAAGCCACCATGCCCGGCCTAGTAGCCACATTTTGAAAGGTACAAAGAAACAGGTGAAATTAACAATACATTTTACTTAACTTCATATATCTAAGCTGTGGTCATTTTAATATATCAATATAAGAAATTATTAATGAGATATTTTACATTCATTTTTTCCTACTAAGTTTTGAAACCCAGGGTGTATTTTTACATTGACATTCTATCCCAAATTGAATGCTAAATTTTTATCAAAAAACATTTTGATCTATATTCAGTGTTCATCAAATTTACCATTGAAAAAATGATTCATATATTCAAGTTGTCCCAGACTTACATAAAAGCTTCCCAATAATTGAATTGTTAGTTTTCACATTTAAATTGCTTAAACTTAAATACAAGTAAAAATTCATTGGCAAGTAAAAAGATGAAAAAGAAGCTAAAACAAAAAAAATTCAGTTCTTCACTCACACTAGCTCATTTCTTTTTTTCTTTTAGACATAGAGTGTCGCTCTGTCACCCAGGCTAGAGTGCAGTGGCATGATCATGGCTCACTGTAGCCTCCACCTGCTAGGCTCAAGTGATCCTCCTACCTCAGCCTCCTGGGTAGCTGGGACCAGAAGTGTGCAACACCATGCCTGGCTAATTTTTTTAATTTTTAAAATTTTGTAGAGAGAGGGTATCACTATGTTGTCTAGGCTGGTCTTGAACTCCTGGGCTCAAGTAATCCCACTGCCTCGACCTCCCAAAGTGCTGGGATTGCAGTCATGAGCCCCCGTGCCCGGCCACAAGCCACATTTTAGACGCCCAATAACCTTACGTGACTGGTGGCTGCTATATTGGGCAGCAGATACAGAGCATTTCCATCCTCACAGAAGATTCTGTTGGACAGCACTCTGATAGAAAGAAGTCTTGAACACGTGTTCTCCAAGGGACTTTCAAAGTTTTCTAGAATGCAGCCCCAACCTATCTTTACTTACTGACTTTCTTTTTATCACGTTCACTCCCCCGCCTCTATTCCACTTTGTTTCGTTTGTTTGTTTTTGAGACAGAGTCTCGCTCTGTTTCCCAGGCTGGAGTGCAGTGGAGTGATCATGGCTCACTGCAGCCTCAACCTCCTAGGATTAAGCAATCCTCCTGCCTCAGCCTCCTAAGTAGCTGGGATTACAGGTGTGTGCCACTACACCTGGCTACTTTTTTTATTCGTTGTAGAGACAGGGTCTCACTATGTTGCCCAGGCTGGTGGTGAATTCCTGGGCTCAAGTGATCCTCCTGCCTCAACCTCCCAAAGTACTGGGATTACAGGCATGAGCCACTGCACCCAGCCCTTTTGTTTTGTTTTGTTTTAGAGATGGGGGTCTCACCATGTTGCCCAGGTTAGTCTTGAGATCCTGGGCTCAGGCTATCCTGCCACCTCGGCTCCACAGAGTGCTGGGATTACAGGTGAGCCACCGCACCTGGTCTCTGTTTCCACTTTGAGGTGAATACCCTTTCTTCGGTTCCTCCAGAGAAGTCTCCTCTTTGGGGCTTGGTTTAGAGGCAGGGCTTCTGAGAAGGACTCTACCCTTCTCCCTGCAGTGGGATTAATTGCTGCCTTGGCTTCCCACGAGTTCTAGAAAATGAGGCAGACAGTGTCGGGAGAGGGGAGTGGTGGTTGTGGCTCGCTGCCCCGGAGCCTCATTTCCCATTTCTCCCGAGACAGGTTTGAATGGCTCTTCTAAGGCAGCCTGAACCCTGCCCAGTTAGAAAAACAGCCACACAAAGAACAGCACTGTGTCTGCTTCCAGCTGCCCCATGGCTGCTGGATCATGGAACATCAGACAGGAGCACACTCTGGGTGCAGGGTGTAATTCTAGGCGAGCAGCAGCTCTGCCAGGGCTGGAGGGAAATCCTTTCTTTGCCCTCACAAAAGAAAATGTGTGCCTGGCTGCTCTGGTGCTCATTTTTCAAAATGAGAACTGGAGTCTATGTGTATTTCCTTCTTAAAAAGCTATAACACAGAGGCTGGGCGCGGTGGCTCATGCCTTTAATCCCAGCACATTGGGAAGCCAAGGCGGGAGGTTCACTTGCCCCCAGGAGTACAAGACCAGCCTAGATAGCAAAGTGAGACCCCCATCTCTACAAAAAATGAAAACATTAGCCGGGCGGGGGGGCACATGCCTGTAGTCCCAGCTACCTGGGAGGCTGAGGCAGGAAGATCACCTGAGCCTGGGTGGTGGAGGCTGCAGTGAGCTGAGATCACACCACTGCACTGTAGCCTGGGTGACAGATCTTGTCTCAAAAAAATAAAACAAAACAAAAAACAAAACTATAACACACATACAAAAAAGTATATACATTTTAATTGTACAACTGAGATTTTTACAGACTGAACATACCTCTGTAACCAGCCCCCAGGTGAAGAAAGAGAACAGGACCCGCCCCCCGCAAAGGCCCCCTCATACCCCTTTCCAGATTCTTCTTCCTCTTCCAAGAGTAACCGCTCCATGGATTCATTTTGCCTATTTCTGACCTTTATTTAAATAGCATCATACAGTGTGCATTTTGTGGCATCTGGCCCCTTTGCTATTTGTGATAATTTGTGGTTGGTTTTTGAATGCCTTTATCTTTTCCGTTACCTGAAACAGTTAGTGAAAACCACAGTGGTTTAAAAACCAAAAAAACCACAAAAAAACAAACAAAAAAAAACAACGAAGAAGAAACACCAGATATGGAAGGTACGTAGGTCATTGTCTGGTAATGGTTTAAGATGTGAAGAAGAAATGACCCTTATTTGGTTGATGTTTCCACTTTGGATTTTCCAGGTTTTGGTGATTTTGGGTAGTAATTATTTACTTTTTGATTAATTCTGGGGTCTTGAAGGGACATTAACCCTCTTCCTAGCTTTTGGACAAAGCTGGATGGAAGTCATTTTCTCAGAATTTCTGTTTGCCAGAAAGAAAATTGAAGACTTAGGTGAAAAAGAGAGGGAGAGATCAACTGAATTTCTTATCTGGTATGTTCTGTTTCTGTTTTAGGTAAAATGTCGGTTCCAGGACCTTACCAGGCGGCCACTGGGCCTTCCTCAGCACCATCCGCACCTCCATCCTATGAAGAGACAGTGGCTGTTAACAGTTATTACCCCACACCTCCAGCTCCCATGCCTGGGCCAACTACGGGGCTTGTGACGGGGCCTGATGGGAAGGGCATGAATCCTCCTTCGTATTATACCCAGCCAGCGCCCATCCCCAATAACAATCCAAGTACGTGTGGCCTCCCAGGCCCCCCTTACCATTCCTTGGCCCTCCACCCTGGGAATCAGGAGAGTGACCGAAGTGACTCTGCCAAAGAGTCTAAGTGAAGTGCCAGTACGTTCCAGTTTTACCCCCTTACCTTGAAATTCCACACGCAGTCTTTTAGATTCCATGTTGGTGAGGCTCACAGCTTTTCCGTAATAAAGTATGGTTTAGGATCTTTCCCATGGTCATCATATACGAATCTTTTGGCACATCTCTTGGAGGCACAACCAACTTTCTTCTGAGAATGGGAGTTTGTGTCTTAAGGGCCCGCACACTTCCTCCTGAGGTCTGATGCAGAACTTCTGCCCTGAGGCCAGGGCCGAGGTAGGAATAGGGAGGAGAAGAAACCGTCCTGAGCAATGTGTGATTGTGTTTTCATACCAGCTCACCCTCAATGCAAGTTGCTCTTCTGCTTTTGAGCAACTAGATGGTCCCTGTCCTTTGGTGCTTCCTTCCGCCCAAGGGTGCCCTGGTATGTCACTGCTTTAGTATCACAGGTAGTTCTGAAAGAAATCTTTAGCTCAGAGAGGGGGCCCGTGAATCAGACTGCCTGGGTTCACATAACCTCCTTGTGCCTCAGCTTCCCCATTTGTAAAATAGGTTTCATCAAGTACCTATTTATAAATATCAGTGAGTTGTTAACATGAGAGGAAGTTGTGTGTGCCAAATACAGAGTACTCGTTTGATAAAAGTGAACTCTTATTGTTGTGTTCAAGTTATTTTGAGCTGGAAGAGGATGAGATAATGACTTTAGATTCTTAGACCATCCTGTGATCAATAAATAGTTTCTTTTTCTTTTTCTTTTTTTTTTTTTTTGAGACAGGGTCTCACCATGTTGCCCAGGTTGGAGTGCAGTGGTGCAGTCATGGCTCGCTATAGCCTGGACCTCCTGGGCTCAAGTGATCCTCCCACTTCAGTCTCTGGAATAGCTGAGACTACAGGCATACAGCACCACACCTGGCTAATTTTTAAATTTTTGTGTAAATCGGGTCTCACTGTTTTTCCAGGCTGATCTTTAACTCCTGAGCTCAAACGATCTTCCCACCTCCCTTGGCCTCCCAAAGTGTTAGAATTATCAGCATGAGTCACAGAGCCTGGTCCAAATAACTTATTCTTGAACCCCAAAAACACTTAATAAAATGTATGAACAGGGTGTGGTGGCTTGCGCCTGTAATCCTAGCTACTGAGGAGGCTGAGGCAGGAGGATCACCTGAGGCCAGGAGTTCCAAACCAGCCTGAGTGACATAGTGAGACATTGTCTCTATGAAAATAAAATTAGCTGAGTGTGATGGCTTGTACCTGTAGTCCCAGCTACTTGGGAGGCTGAGGTGGGAGGATTGCTTAAGCCCAGGAGGTTGAGGCTGCAGTGAGCTATGATTGTACCCCTGCACTCCAGCCTGGGCAACACAACAAGACCTTGTCCCCCCTGCCAAAAAAAAATTACACGTAAGTGCTAAAGTATGATTTAATACTACTTTTCTGGAAGGAGGGTCTTTCTATGAGTATTACTAAGTTCAGTTAACTCTAGGCAGTAATTTCCCCCTAATTCATTTGTTATATAAATGACATTCTAACGTAAAAAGGAACAGAAGGAAGTTGCTTTAACAAAAATATGAGCTTAACAACTGAAGTGCTTGATGATTTTCATCACCCTGGGTTCTCTCTTTTTTTTTTTTTTTTTTTTTTTGAGGTAGAGTCTTGTTCTGTTGCCCAGGCTGGAGTGCAGTGGCATAATCTCGGCTCACTGCAACCTCTGCCTCCCAAGTTCAAGCAATTCTCCTGCCTCAGCCTCCCAAGTAGCTGGGACTACAGGCACGTGCCATCATGCCCGGCTAATTTTTGTCTTTAGAAACAGGGTTTCACCATGTTGGCCAGGCTGGTCTTGAACTCCTGACCTCTGGTGATCCACGCACCTCGGCCTCCCAAAGCCAAGGGATTTGCTGGGATTACAGGTGTGAGCCACCGTGCCCGGCCTGGATTCTCTTCTGATTCTTGAGAATGTTCGAACATGTTTTCACATAGCTTTTTCTTCCTAGCATTATTTTATATTTTCATTTCTTGTATCAACACAGTTCACTAGCTTGTTGTCTTACAGAGTTGGCCTGCGTTTCCTGGCTTGGTAAACTCTACCCTTATCATTGGCTGTCAGAGTTTATCAAAGGGTTTGTGTAAAGAGAGTGGATTATTTATCAAGAGCTGCTAGGCACAGTGTGAGGCTGGTTAAAATTTATTTATTTGTTTTTGGGACTGAGCGTCGCTCTGTTGTCCAGGCTGGAGAGCAGTGGCGCAATCATGATTCACTGCATCCTCAATCTCTCAGACTCAACTGATCCTCCCACCTCAGCCTCCTGAGTAGCTGGGACTACAGGCGTGTACTCCCACGCTGGGCTAATTTTTATATTTTTTTGTAGAGATGAGGTCTTGTCATGTTGCCTAGGCTGATCTCAAACTCCTAGGCTCAAGCAGTCCTCCCACCTCGGCCTCCCAAAGTGTTGGGATTACAGGCATGAGCTACCGCGCCCGGTCCTCCTTTCTTTTTGAGGCTGAATCATATTCTGGTGGATGGATAAACTTCGCTGTGTTAGTTTATTGGTCCGTCGATGGACACTGGTGTTCCTTCCCCTTTTGGCTCTCATAGATAGCCAGACGATGAACGCATGCTATGAACACAAATGTACAAATATAATATTTGCTGGCATCCCTGCGTTCCTCTCTTTGTCCTGTAGTGAATGCTATTGGCCTTGTTTCCTGAGCAACCTGTGTTTGTCCCTCTCCCTTTCATCAGTTACCGTGCAGACGGTCTACGTGCAGCACCCCATCACCTTTTTGGACCGCCCTATCCAAATGTGTTGTCCTTCCTGCAACAAGATGATCGTGAGTCAGCTGTCCTATAACGCCGGTGCTCTGACCTGGCTGTCCTGCGGGAGCCTGTGCCTGCTGGGGTGAGTCTGCCTCCCACTTGGCCCCAAGCCATCCTGCCCTTCTCTCTGGGTGCTGGCGGGGGTGGGTTCTCAACTGCACCATGCTTGACATTCAGGGCCAGACATTTGTGTTGTTTTTTTTTGAGATGGAATCTGGTTCTGTCGCCCAGGCTGGAGTACAGTGGGGCGATCTCGGCTCACTGTAACCCCCACTGCTCAGGTTCAAACGATTCTCCTGCCTTAGCGTCCCGTGTAGCTGGGATTATAGGGGTGCACAACCACGCCCAGCTTATTTTTAGTAGAGCTGGCATTTCACCATCTTGGCCAGGCTGGTCTCAAACTCCTGACCTCAGGTGATCTGCCCACCTTGGCCTCCCAAACTGCTGGGGTTACAGGTGTGAGCCACTGTGCCTGGCCTAAGGCATTTCTTTCTTTTTTTGTGATGGATTCTCACTCTGTTGCCCAGGCTGGAGTGCAGTAGCACGATCCCGGCTCACTGCAACCTCCGCCTCCCAGGTTCAAGCTATTCTCCTGCCTCAGCCTCCTGAGTAGCTGGGATTACAGGTGTGCACCGTCAGGCCCGGCTAATATTTTGTACTTTTAGTAGAGATAGGGTCTCACCATGTTGGCCAGGCTGGTCTCGAACTCCTGACCTCAGGTGGTCCACCCGCCTCAGCCTCCCAAAGTGCTGGGATTACAGGTGTGGGCCATCATGCCTGGCCCAAGACATTTCTTTATTGTAGGGGGTGTCCTGTGCATTGTAGGATATTGAATAGCATCCCTGGCCCCCACCCGCTTAATGCTAGGAGCACCACGCTCCCCAGTGTTCTGAACAAAAATGCCCCCTGGGAGGCCAAGTCATCCCTGCTGCTCTTAAGCGTATCCGTCCCCAGAAATTGGTCTTCCGTCTTTTCTTCTTGCTTATCTGCTGAAACCACGCCCTGCATGTAGGGACAAGCTTCACAGCTGCTTCCAGCTGTGTACAGGGCAATATCCTCAGGGATTCCTTTTTCTTCTAGAATTTCATGACCTAAATAATAATGTTTTGCTCGAGCCCGAGGGAAGCTTTAAAGAATCTGTACATTAAAATTCTTCATAGGAATTGCTTCAAAACTTCTTATCCTTTTATGACCCGAAGTATTTTTCCCATTGCCCATGCAGGGAAATTATATAAATTTTATGTCTGCACCAAAGGTATTATGTTTAAAGAGATAACAGTTTCTGTTCTGGGAGAAAAATCTGAGGAAACACAATCAATTTTTTGTTTCCCACCAAGCAGGTAAAAGTAGCTTCCTTATACCTGGCCACGTGAGCCACTCAGAAAACCCCAAGGGGCTCCATTCTTTTCCTTGAAGGAAACGGTGTTTGTGAGTTTCAGGAGCCTCATGCAACCGGCACGTTCCTCCACATTGTCCTTTGGTGACTTGAGGTTGAGAAGGAACAATATTTCTCTTCCTAACTTCAATAAGAGGCTCAGAGTCCCAGAGAGTTTAGTTAACTTCCTTGAGGTCATGTGTTAAATAAGGAAGGAAGGAGACAAAACAGCTTTCTGGGCACCTGATTCCCCCTCTTGCCCACAGGACTCTGCTGTTGTTTTCATTCTGTGGGCAGAAAATGCTTAAAAAAAAAAAAAGTCCATTGCCTCTGGATATTTGTATTAAAACAAATTTTTTATCTTTGGAATCAGGGAAAGATGGAATAGAAACTTGTTTTGTTTTGTTTGAGGCTGAGTCTTGCTCTGTTGTCCAGGCAGGAGTGCAGTGGTACGATCGTAGCTCTCCGCAGCTTTGATCTCCTGGGCTCCTGCAATCCGCCCAGCTCAGCCTCCTGAGTACCTGGGACCACAGGTGTGTGCCACCATACCTAGCTAATTTTTAAATTTTTTTTTTGTGTGTGTGGAAGCAGGGGTTTTACTATGTTGCCCAGGCTGGTCTTGAACTCCTGGACTCAAGCAGTCCTTCTGCCTTGACCTCCCAAAGTGCTGGGATTATAGAGGAATAGAAACTTACATTGAGTATTGGCCTCTGCCAGTCTGGCTTTAGAAATTGAGGCAACCTTTCTTTCCCTCCCTTTGTTCCTTCCTTAAACATGGTAGAGTGGGTTCAAATCCTGCCTCTCACTAGCTGTGTGGCCATGGGCAAGTGACTTTACCTCTCTGTGCTTCAGTTTCCCCATCTGTAGACGGGGGTGCGGGGCAATAACGCCCACCTCAGGGCCTGCTGAGGATGAAATATGTGTGTGTGCTGCCTGGAGCCGTGCCTGCACCTGTAAGCCATAGGTTAGGATTCCTGCTGAATGGATTGACTGCCCTTATTTGAGCTCTGGAAAGCTTAGGCAATAGGAGGAAATTTCTTTCATGAGATAATTTCCTCATCAGAATATTTCCAAATTCTGCTTTATGTAAACCAGCGTCTTCCTGTGAAGGGTTGAGTTTTAACTCCATTTTTGGCAAACATTGGTTGTCAGGCGGTCTGAGGTTCCTGCCTGTGTGTGCCAAAGGTGGATTATGTAGGTTAAGAGGCATTATTTGGGGAACTCTACTTGGTTGCTGTAAGAAGCAGCCTGTCTATATGGAAAAGAGATCAGTAAGACGGGGGTTGGCAAAACGACCCTGGAGCCAGGCGCCTGTTTTAAGTTTTACGGGAACACAGCCACGCCTGTTGGTTTTTGGATTCTCTGTGGCTGTCTTCTCATTCCAAGGGCAGAGTTGAGCAGTTGCAACAGAGACGCCATGGCTCATCAGGATGAAAGTATGTGGCCGGGTGTGTGGTGGCTTCCACCTGTAATCCCAGCAATTTGGGAGGCGGAGGTGGAAGGATCACTTGAGGCCAGCAGTTCAAGACCAGCCTGTGCAACATAGCAAGACCCCATCTCTACAAAAACAAACAAAACACAGCAACAAAAAGACTAAAAGATCTACTATCTGTCCCTTTGCAAAAAAAGTTCACCAAGCCCATCTAAGACTTTGAAAGACTCCCAAATGACCCCAGATTTGAAAATAATACTCAAAGGGGCTCTGTCTGTAGGAGGAGCCTTGGCATTGGCTGGCATGTTAATTTCCTAGGGGTGTCATCACAAATTACAACACACCTAGTGTTTAAAACAACAGATATTAACTCTCACAATTCTAGAGGCCAGAAGTGCAAAATCAAAATGTCAGCAGGGGCCGGGTGTGGTGGCTCTCGCCTGTAATCCCAGCACTTGGGGAGGCCAAGGCGGGTGGATCACTTGAGGTCAGGAGTTTGAGACCAGCCTGGCCAACACGGTGAAACCCCAACTCTCCTAATAATAAAAAAATTAGCTGGGCCTGGTGGCATGCGCCTGCAATCCCAGCTACTCAGGAGGCTGAGGCAGGAGAATTGCTTGAACCCAGGAGGAGGGAGAATTGCTTGAACCCTGGGCGACAGAGCGAGACTCCATCTCAAAAACAAAACAAAACAAAACCAAAAACTAAAATGTCAGCAGGGCCACGCTCCCTCCTAAGGCTTCAGGGAGAATCATTTTTTGCCTCCTCCAGCTTCTAGTAGGTCCAGGTGTCCTTGGCTTATGGCCTCATCACTCCAGCTTCTGCCTCTGTCTTCACATTTCCTTCTGCCCTCTCTGTATCTCTGTGTGTCCTCTCCTCTTCTTCTAAGGTCATTGGGTTTTAGGGGTCCGCCTGGATAATCCAAGATGATCCCATCTCAAAATTCCTAATTATACTGGCAAAGACCCTTTTTACAAAGAAGGACATGAACATGGTTTTGGCAGCCAGTGTTCACCCTGTTGTGATCAGTAACGCGCTCCGTGTGTCTCTCTCTCCTCCCAGGTGCATAGCGGGCTGCTGCTTCATCCCCTTCTGCGTGGATGCCCTGCAGGACGTGGACCATTACTGTCCCAACTGCAGAGCTCTCCTGGGCACCTACAAGCGTTTGTAGGACTCAGCCAGACGTGGAGGGAGCCGGGTGCCGCAGGAAGTCCTTTCCACCTCTCATCCAGCTTCACGCCTGGTGGAGGTTCTGCCCTGGTGGTCTCACCTCTCCAGGGGGCCCACCTTCATGTCTTCTTTTGGGGGGAATACGTCGCAAAACTAACAAATCTCCAAACCCCAGAAATTGCTGCTTGGAGTCGTGCATAGGACTTGCAAAGACATTCCCCTTGAGTGTCAGTTCCACGGTTTCCTGCCTCCCTGAGACCCTGAGTCCTGCCATCTAACTGTGATCATTGCCCTATCCGAATATCTTCCTGTGATCTGCCATCAGTGGCTCTTTTTTCCTGCTTCCATGGGCCTTTCTGGTGGCAGTCTCAAACTGAGAAGCCACAGTTGCCTTATTTTTGAGGCTGTTCTGCCCAGAGCTCGGCTGAACCAGCCTTTAGTGCCTACCATTATCTTATCCGTCTCTTCCCGTCCCTGATGACAAAGATCTTGCCTTACAGACTTTACAGGCTTGGCTTTGAGATTCTGTAACTGCAGACTTCATTAGCACACAGATTCACTTTAATTTCTTAATTTTTTTTTTAAATACAAGGAGGGGGCTATTAACACCCAGTACAGACATATCCACAAGGTCGTAAATGCATGCTAGAAAAATAGGGCTGGATCTTATCACTGCCCTGTCTCCCCTTGTTTCTCTGTGCCAGATCTTCAGTGCCCCTTTCCATACAGGGATTTTTTTCTCATAGAGTAATTATATGAACAGTTTTTATGACCTCCTTTTGGTCTGAAATACTTTTGAACAGAATTTCTTTTTTTTAAAAAAAAACAGAGATGGGGTCTTACTATGTTGCCCAGGCTGGTGTCGAACTCCTGGGCTCAAGCGATCCTTCTGCCTTGGCCTCCCGAAGTGCTGGGATTGCAGGCATAAGCTACCATGCTGGGCCTGAACATAATTTCAAGAGGAGGATTTATAAAACCATTTTCTGTAATCAAATGATTGGTGTCATTTTCCCATTTGCCAATGTAGTCTCACTTAAAAAAAAAAAAAAGAAAAAGAAATGGATAATTTCATCTACTGCCTTTACTTGGGGTTAATGTGATTCTTAAACACCTTCATCATGGAACTCTCAGAGTGGGGTCCGTTTTGGTTTCCTGGTGGTGGGTTTTGAAAGATAAGGGAAAGCACATTTTGAGCATGTCTGGGTACCATGGTGCGGATGCTTGGGAACCAGAACTGTTTCAGAGGAATCTAAAGTCTGATTTTAGTTTTCAGAGACACAGCTTGTTGTAAAACATGAGAAGACATGATTTCTAGGACTCAAGCAGCAAGCCAGGATTCTAGGTTGGCTGCTGTGTCATCTTTGAAGTCAAGACAAAGCTGGGCTCGACCTTCAAGGGTCCTCGTTTTGATAATACTTCAGAATAGGGAACTCATGTGAATACTACTATGTAGAAATAAAACCTAGACCTTGAGCGAACATCTGTATATTGGTTGAAAACGATAGTGGTAACCATTGATCCCCCTTCATTTGATGTTTGGAAAATTCCAGTAATTATCATTTTTGCAACGAATATGGATACCACATAGTACTTTGGTGTTACCTGCTTTTGAAAAATAAAGTCTTTGGTTCACCCGGTGAACTATTTATGAGTTCTTTTGGTGTGAAGAAAGGGCTCATGTTGCATTTCCAGCCATTGCTACAAAGAACCTTTATTTGTTCAGTAACGGTAGAAAATCCTTCCCGATTAAAAACTTCAGACTTGCTGAATATCCTGCAATGTCAAGATGACCGATGTTGAGTTGGGTGGATTTGCTAACGAGTCAGATTTGAACATGAGGCTATTGGAACCCAATAGGCGTCATTGATGGCGGCAAGCCATAGCTTTCAAGTTTTAATAAAATGCACAAAAGAGAACTGTCCCCATTCATTCTCTGAACAAAACATGCTTTGTGAGATGCTAAAAGGAGGGTATTGTAACATGTCAGGAATATGGATGCCGCCTTCCCCCGTCCTTTGCTACCTGATGATACAGCTTCATTTTGCTAGATGCAAGGAAATAATGTCATCTTGGTGTGGCTTAATTGTCATTTAAACCCTAAATTACAGTCTTGAAAAACTGCTGCTTTCCAGATCTTGATTGTGTAGTTTCGGGGCCATGCATATTTAGCAGTTTGGCTCAGATGGTGGCATGTACATGATCTCAAGCTATTATTAATTACATATGCAAAGTCTTCAAAACAAGAGCCCTATTTCAGGATCGTAAAAACATGTCTTATGCGGAACTTTCATGTCAGATGCCTGGAGTGTGAAGTGTTCATTGGACATTCCATTTTACTGTTCGAAGTATGGACTTACATATCAAATTAAAAGGCTCTTTTGTTCTGCCACTGTTTGGTGGGGACTTGAGAGTCTCTTGCAAACACTGGTTCACATTCAATTAATGAAAGGGCTTTATACCTACCTACTTGGACCGCAAAGAGGAATTTTACCAATCTGAAACCAAAAGTGACTGTATATCTTATATTCTGTTATGTCCATCTAGGCGAGGTGGCCTTCTAAGAAGTGTTGGTTTGTGGCTTAACAAAATCATTCAGCTACTGCATCTCTTGAAGCCAGACTTAAGCATATGATGGATTCTTTGCTGACCACAGTGTTACCCGTGAAAATGTTTTCTCTGGGACAACTGACTTCCCAGTTGCTAACGAGAACCCTTCTGTTGGATACTGAACTATTTATAAACATGGCTTCATATATGCACACCATTTGGCCTCAGTTTTCTCCCCAGTGAGAGCCTGTCGTGTTTGGGATGTTAAAAATCCTTCTCTGACTTTCTGGGCTCAAGATTTCTGTTAGGAGTAAATCTAGACGTTGGAATTTTACTTGCAGAATTCTGATTTGCCTTTTGGTTCCTTGGTCCTCTCCTCCCTGTATGACTCAAATGTTTACAGTGAGTCGCCTGTTTTTTTGCAGGCACATGAGTGAATTGGAAGTAGATCTAGCAAGGGCCATGAAAGAGACATCAAGAATAGTTTTGCTTTTTATTTTTTTGAGAGGGAGCCTCGCTATGTCGCCCAGACTAGAGTGCAATGGCATGATCTCAGCTCACTGCAGCCTCCACCTCCTGGGTTCAAGCGATTCTCCTGCCTCAGCCTCCCGAGTAGCTGGGATTACAGGTGCCTGCCACCGTGCTCAGCTAATTTTTGTATATTTAGTAGAGATGAGGTTTTGCCATGTTAACAAGGCTGGTCTTGAACTCCTGACCTGCCCACTTCGGCCTCCCAAAGTCCTGGGATTACTACAGGCATGAGCCACTGTGCCTGGCCTTTTTTTTTTTTTTTAATCTAAGAATTTTAAATAAGATTCTGGAGCTCAGATTAAAATGAATAAATAAATAAATAAATAGCTCACCACCACGTATAGAGTCTACTGCATGTAACTCACCACCTTGTAACTGATCTCTGCAGTATTAAAAAGATGTTCTCCCAATTAAATACCTTTTCTCCTTTTCTTTCCCTTTCTGTTCCTTTTTTTTTTTTTTTTTTTTTTTTTTTGAGATGGAGTCTCGCTCTGTTGCCCAGGCTGGAGTGCAGTGGCACAATCTTGGCTCACTACAACCTCCTCCTCCAGGGCTCAAGTGATTCTCCTGCCTCAGCCTCCTGAGTAGCTGGGACTACAGGTGCGCTCCCTCACGCCAGGCTAATTTTTGTATTTTTAGTAGAGACAGGGTTTCGCCGTGTTGGCCAGGCTGGTCTCAAGCCTCTGACCTCAAGTGATCCGCCTGCCTCGGCCTCCCAAAGTGCTAGGATTACAGATGTGAGCCACTGTGCCTGGCCTCAGCATTTAAGTATTCTTAAAGCTCTTAGTACTGCAGCGCCTCTTAAGTGATCTTGGCCGGTTTCCCAAATGGGCAAAATCAACTTAATGGGTTCATCAAAAGTCACAGTGCATTACTCATAATAGATCTGAGTATTATTTGTAAAACTTGGATATATAGATGTGTGTGTTTGGGGGAGGGGTCACGGTGTAAAGTAAGTGTGAAGGGTAACATCTGGAAGCCTCTGGTTGGTGTCTGTGGATTTGACATTGTTTATCATTGATTAACTCCTGCTGTGTTGCAGCCATTGTACAATTGGGGTAGAAAACACGACCCTGCCTAGGAAGAGTGAACAGTGGGCTTAGCGCTGCCCTGCCAACATTTCTGCCCCCTTCCTCTTCTCTCCTTCCTTCTTTCCATCTAAAATTCACCTAATGTTAAAGTACATAATTAGGTGGCTTTGAGTACATTCACAGTGCTATGTAACCATCACTTCTACCTGGTTCCAAAACATTTTCATCAGCCCAAAATAATACCCCAAACCCATTAGCAGTCACTCCCCATTCCCTCCTCTCCACAACCCCTGGCACCCGTCAGTCTGCATTCTGTCTATGGATTTACCTATAGTGGGTATACTATATCCATGGAATCATAGAATATGTGATCTTTGCATCTGGCGTCTTTTGCTGAGCATCACATTTTCAAAGTTCATCCACATGGTAGCATGGACCAGTGGTTCATTCCTTTTTGTGGGTGAATCATACTCCGTTGTGTGGATAGACCACGATTGGTTAATCCACTCATCCCTCGATGAACGTCTGTGGTTTCTACCTTTTGGCTATTGTGAATAATGCCGCGGAGAACATTTGTTTACAGGCTTCTGTGTGGACATATGTTTTCAGTTCCCTTGGGTGTATACCTAGGAATGCAATTGCTGGGTTATAGGGTAATTCTACCTGTATGGTTCATTCATTCATTCATTCATTCATTCATTTATTGAGACCAAGTCTCACTCTTGTCACCCAGGCTGGAGTGCAGTGGCATGATCTCGGCTCACTGCAACCTCCACCTCTCGGGTTCAAGCGATTCTCCTGCCTCAGCCTCCTGAGTAGCTGGGACTACAAGTGCATGTCACCACGCCTGGCTTATTTTTTGTAGAGACAGTGTCTCACTGTGTTGCTCAGGCTGGTCTCGGAAGTCCTGGGTTCAAGCCATCCGCTTGCCTCAGCCTCCTGCGTAGCTGGGATTACAGGCACACGCCACTACACTCAGCTAATTTTTAAATTTTGTGTAGAGTTGGGGTCTTCTATATTGCCCAGACTGGTCTCAAACTCCTGGGCTTAAGTGATCCTCCTGCCTTGGCCTCCCAAAGTGCTGGGATTACAGGCGTGAGCCACTGTGCTTGGCCTTCCCATTTTCACTGAAGGTTTTCTTTGTGGTTACATTGGTTTGCCTTTCCCTGCATTAGTTGTTTGTCTAACTTAATGGCCTCCTCATTTTATGTTCTGCCTGCCTTCTGTCTTAAAGTCTTAAATCCGTTCAGGCCTTTATCAGTGAGCAGATAGTGTCCACATGTGTATATGTGAGGGGGTGGTCTGGGTGTCTCTATAGGTGTGTGTGTGTGTGTGTGTTGGGGGCTGTGTATGGGGGGATATGTAGGAGTGTGTCTGTGTATGTGTGGGTGTGTCTGTGGGTGTTTGTTGGAGGGCCTAGGTGTCTGTCATGTGTGTGAGCTGGGCTCCGGGTGTCTCCGTAGCTGTCTATGAGTGTCTGGCCCCGTGTGAGCGTGCATCCACATGTGTATGTGTCTCTGGGTGCATGGAGCGTAAGGGGAAGGGGCCAAGCTGCCCGGAGCTGCACTGGCCTGGAAGCCTTCAGTCCTCCTGGAGTCCTGCAAGGACTTTCAGGCCAACGACCCCCAGGGGGAAGACAAATGACTGTTGCCTCACTGATCTCAGGGACTAAAGGGTAGGAATGATTGTTCCTTCCATTGTTATGCAGTGTGGAGGGGACCATGCCTGGCCTCCCGACCTTGTCAATCACGGCTATGTCCAGCTGCTGGTGGATGATTCCAGATGGGAAAGATTCTTACTGAATCCTGTACGACAGGGCCAGGGCCACTGTCCTCAGACCCCACGCTGCACCTTAGAATCCCCTGGGGGAGGCTGGATGCGGTGGCTTCATGCCTTTTGGGGAGGCTAAGGCAGGAGGATTGCTGGAGCCCAGGAATTAAAGACCAGCCTGGGCAACATAGTGAGACCTTGTCTCTACAAAATTAAAAATTAAGTTTGAGCGTGGTGGCTCATGCCTGTAATCCCAACACTTTGGGAGGCCAAGGCGGATAGATCACCTGCAGTCGGGAGTTTGAGATCAGCCTGAGCAACATGGAGAAATCCCGTCTCTACTAAAAACACAAAATTAGCCGGGCATGGTGGTGCATGCCTGTAATCCCAGCTACTCGGGAGGCTGAGGCAGGAGAATCGCTTGAACCCGGGAGGCGGAGGTTGTGGTGAGCTAAGATCACGCCATCGCACTCCAGCCTGGGCAACAAGAGCGAAACTCTGTCTCAAAATAAATAAATAAATAAATAAAATTAGTTGGGTGTGGTGGTGTGTGCCTGTGGTCCCAGCTGCTCTGGAGGCTGAGGCAGGGGCATGGCTTGAGCCCAGGAGTTCAAGGCTGCACTGAGCCGTGATCGCACCACTGCACTCTAGTCTGAGCAACAGAGTGAGGCCCTTGCTCTAAAAAAAAAAACAATGAAAAAACAATCCCCCGGGGGAACATTTAAAAGGCTCCATGCCCATGCCATGCCCCAGATCAACTGGATTAGGAACTCTCAAGATGCCACCAGGCATCAGTGCCGACCTATCCCTGGGCACAGCCATACTGGGGCCACAGAAAGTCTTTAATTTTATCATTTTTTTCCATAAGAGGGAAAAATGCCTGCATATAATAATGAATCCAGCCTGGATTATATTTCTCTTTATACCAACACAGTCATAAAATACATGTTTAAAAATATTTTTATGGAGGAAGTGGCCCACTGAAGTGCTAAGGCTGCCCCGATCAGCCTGCAGCTGCAGCGTGCCCCCAGGTCGCTGGCCCGGCCTGGGGGTTGGTGTGAGTGTGTGAGGCTCCATCACTGATGCTGTGGTCCCCAGGGCCTCTGTTCAATCAGTAAGTGCGTATTGGGTGTGTAACATGTTCCCAGGATGCAGCAGCAAATGGGAGAGTCAGGCTCCTTGCTCTTGGGAATCTAAACTGGAACGTCATCATGTTATGCTTGCTTTGCATATTATGATAACGTGATCTTGCATATAAACGCTTCCTCAAATACTGTCTCCACCAATCCTGCCAAGAACTCTTCCAGATAAAAAGGAAAAACATGATCATTTTACAAGTAAAAGAAAGGAGGCATGGAATAAGTGAGATTTACACAGTTGCCAAGAAATTCATAACAGAGTAACTTCTTCTGGTCCTACAATTCACCTTGGCCTTGTTAAAAATACAGATTCCCAAGCTACGTGGCTGGAGATTCAGATTTGAAAGGCTTGGGAGGGGGCCCAGGAATCTGCATTTTTAAGAAAAGGCAGGGTGTGGTGGTGCCCGTTGTAGTCCCAACTGCTTGGGAGGCTGAGGTGGGAGGATTGTTTGAGCCCAGGAGTTAGAGGCTGCAGTGAGCTATTACTGTGCCACTGTACTCCTGCATGGGCAACATAGGGAGACCTCATCTCTTGAAAAAGAGTGAAAGAAAGAGCAAGAAAGAGAATGAGAAAGAAAAAGAGAAAGAAAGAGAATGAGAAAGGAGTGCCGGGGTGTTTCCTAAGGGCTGGCAATGTTAAGAAATGTTGTTCCATGGGGCCTGGGGATCAGATCAGCCAGACAGAAGGAACTGAAATCAGGGTTCTTGACCTTGGCACTATTGACACCTTGGGGTAGATCATTCCTTGTTCTGAGTCCATCCTGTGCATTGGAAGATGTGTAGCAGCATCCCTGGCCTCTACCCAGAGATAGATGCCAGTAGCAGTCCCCAGTTGTGACAATCAAAAATATTAATACTCCAGGCCAGGCAGAGTGGCTCATGCCTGTAATCTTAGCACTCTGGGAGGCCAAGGCAGGTGGATCACCTGAGGTCAGGAGTTCGAGACTAGCCTGGCTAACATGATGAAACCCCATCTCTACTAAAAATACAAAAATTAGCTGGGCGTAGTGGCGGGCGCCTGTAATCCCAGCTACTCGGCAGGCTGAGCCAAGGAGAATCGCTTGGACCCGGGGGCAGAGGTTGCGATGAGCCAAGATCGCGCCACTACACTCCAGCCTGGGCGAAAGAGTGAAACTCTGTCTCAAAAAAAAAAAAAAAAATACTCCAGACATCACTAAATGTCTCTGGAGAAACAAAATCAAATCACCTCATTGAGAACACCTGGGCAAAGTGCATGGGTCAAAGGAAACATTTCCAATGTTTGGGGATCGAGTGTCTGTCACTGACCCAAACATGGTTAAAATACACCAATTTCCATAACAAGGAATGCAGCACTAACACATACTACAGTGTGGATGAGCCTTGGAAACGTTATGCCACGTGAAAGAAGCCAGGCAGCAAAGGTCACCTGTTGTATGATTCCATTTATGTGAAATATGCAGAATAGGTGATCCATAGATACAGATGACAAATTGGTGGTTGTCAGGGGCTGGGAAGAGGGGAGAATGGGAAGTGACTGCTTCATGGATCTGGGGTCTCCTTTGGGGGTGAGGAAAATGTTTTGCAGTCCAGGCGTGGTGACTCATGCCTGTAATCCCAACACTTTGGGAGGTCGAGGCAGGAGGGTCGCTTGAGCCTAGGAGTTTGAGACCAGCCTGGGCCACATGGTGAAACCCTCTCTCTACAAAGACATGCAAAAAAAAAAAAAAAATAGATTGGTGTAATGGCAGGCACCTGTAGTCCCAGCTACTGGGGAGGCTGAGGTGGGAGGATCGCTTGAGCCTGGGAAGTCAAGGCTGCAGTGAGCCATGATTGTGCCACTGCACTCCAGCCTGGACGACAGAGTGACACCCTGTCTCAAAAAAAAAAAAAAAAAAAAAAGAAAAAGAAAGAAAAAGAAAATGTTTTGCAACGAGATAGAGGTGGCAGTTGTACAACAATGTGGATGTGCTGATGCCACTGAATTGGTCACTGTAAAATTGTTTAATTGTACTAGGTGAATCTCACCTCGATCAAAGAAAATACACCAATTTGTATTGTTTCATGTGACAATTGGTAAAATGAGGATAGAGTGAACTGTGGATGCAGCGTAAATCAGAATGGAGGTTTCAGTGAGGTAGTAACCATTACCAACTGTGTTAAGACTATAATATAATGGCCAGGCACGGTGGCTCACACCTGTAATCCCAGCACTTTGGGAGGCCAAGGCAGGCGGATCAACTGAGGTCGGGAGATCGAGACCAGCCTGGCCAGCATGAAGAAACTCCATCTCTACTAAAAATACAAAATTAGCCAGGCGTGGTAGCACATGCTTGTAATCCCAGCTACTCGGGAGGCTGAGGCAGGAGAATTGCTTGAACCTGGGAGGCAGAGGTTGTGGTGAGCTGAGATCACACCATTGCTTTCCAGCCTAGGCAACAAGAGCGAGACTCTGTCTCAAAAAAAAAAAAAAAAAAAAAAAGACTATAATGTATAATTAAATAATACTTATAAAGCAAATGGTAGAATCTGAGGACAGGACCTCAGTATCAACATCTTTGGAACCAGTACAATGTTGGGTTAAAATGTATAGGACATGCTTGTTGAATTAGGGAAGAAAGTAAAGTGAAAGCATTTGATTCATCAAGAACCATGACTGAGCTACTTGCAACCTGCTGCAGGGCTGGGACAACTCATTTGAGCTTCCCACACCGAGTTCCTCTCCTTTCGAAGAAGAGGTAGGCTGATTCCTCCAGCGCTAAATGTCTGTGTTGGGAAATGGACAGGTCTAGGGGAGAAGACAGTACCTGCTGGAACATTCCAGAACATGCTGGAATATGCTAGGGGCTTGCTGTTTTGGCCTATGTTGTGCTGAAACCCTGTTAGTTTCACTAGGGAGGTAACAAGTTCAAGAGGCTGAAGAAGAAATGCAGAGCCAGCAAAGGAGACATTGGGTTTGATTCGGGACTTAGACACAGGGGAGAGAGTGCAGGTGCTGGTGGGCTGGAGAGGGAAACTGCAGCCACTTGCAAACAGCATGCAGTTTATTCAGCATTTTCACTTAACACCCTCCCCTTAACGACCTCCACCTGGCAACCTTCATGTAACCTAAAACTCAGAGCCTCCATCCCTTGGAGGGCCTGTGTTTCATGGGATGGGCCAGGGGCTCAGATGTTTCTCATAGACAGGAAACAAATCTCCAGGTTGGCCATTCCCGGATTCCGTAGCTGGGACTCACATTCAGGTGAGTCTGCCATCCAGGTCATCCTAAGGATGTGCGCAGGTTATTGCGTTCAGGTGCGTTTGCCCTACAGCCCACCGGAGCCAGCTCTTCGGTAAACTAGGAAACCCTTGAGACACAGGTCTCAATGAGCACCAGGCTGTGGTCAGCTTTGATACGCAGGAGCAGAGCAAGCCAAGAAATGACACTCAACTTTGCAAGAATCAGCCCCCTGTGTCTCCTTCCCACTGTCTGCTGCCAGGGGCGGGCGTCTGTATTCACACATCTGGCTCAGGTGAGGATGGGGCCAGGAGCCACCTTTGCAGGTCATTCGAAGGCCCCCACATTCCTTCCACCGGTGGGCCCTGGGGGCTGCCTCCCTCCCTCCCTGAGCTGAGAATCCCATCTTTGGAGTGAGTCTTGCGTCTACAGATCTAGGGCTGCACGTGTGTCCTGCTCAGGGCATGGCTAATAGGGCCCATTCCCTGGAAGCAAGGGCAGGAAGGGGACTGGGCACGGGGCTGTCGTCTTTACATAAGGGCTCATTACCACGGAGGCCTTAGCAGCTAGGGTACCTGTGATCCTGGGCAGGCGTATTTCTGCTTGGAGGACGTGGGGATTGGAAGCAGGGGTCGATTATAGAGCTGAGCCACAGGTGAAGTGGCTGGTGCATCTCTGAGTAGCCAAGAAATGGGAAAAGTGCCGGGAGAGGCAGGCCTCCTAACGCAGGGAGAAGGTTTCAGACCCCATCGTAGACTCTGCTGTATAACAGCCACTCACACAGGGCTTTGCGGTAAGAACTTTTTGGCTTCTTTGGCAATAGCTTTATTGAGATGTTATCTACATGTCACACAATTCACCCATTTAAAGTGTACAATTCAGCCGGGCGTGGTGGCTTACACCTGTAATCCAGCACTTTGGGAGGCCAAGGTGGGAGGGTTGGTGTAGGCCAGAAGTTGAAGACCAACCTGGACAACAAGGTGAGACTCGGTCTCTTTAAAAAAAAAAAAAAAAAAAAAAAAAAAAACGGGCCAGGCGCGGTGGCTCACGCCTGTAATCCCAGCACTTTGGGAGGCCGAGGCAGGTGGATCACGAGGTCAGGAGATTAAGACCATCCTGGCTAACACGGTGAAACCCCATCTCTACTAAAAATACAAAAAATTAGCCTGGCGTGGTGGTGGGCGCCTGTAGTCCCAGCTACTCGGGAGGCTGAGGCAGGAGAATGGTGTGAACCTGGGAGGCGGAGCTTGCAGTGAGCTGAGATCGTGCCACTGCACTCCAGCCTGGGCGACAGAGCGAGATTCTGTCTTAAAAATGTCGTTGGGCGTGGTGGTGCGTGCCTGCAGTCCCAGCTACTGAGGAAGCTGAGGAAGGAGGATTTTTTGAGCCGCGCCGAGGTCAAGGCTGCAGTGAGCTGTGATTGCACCGCTGCACTCCAGCCTGGGCAACAGGAGCAAGACCCTGTCTCTAAAACATAAAGTTTTAAAGCATAATGATTTAATCGGTTTTTATTATATTCACAAAGTTGTGCAACCATTACCACAATCAAGTTTAGCATTTTCATCAGCTCAAAAAGAAACCCCGGGCCAAGTGTGGCGGTTCACGCCTGTAATCCCAGCACTTTGGGAGGCTGAGCTGGGCAGATCACCTATGGTCAGGAGTTCCAGACTAGCCTGGCCAACATGGTGACTTGTCTCTACAAAAATACAAAAATTGGCCGGGCATGATGGCAGGTGCCTATAATCTCAGCTACTCAGGAGGTTGAGGCAGGAGAATTGCTTGAACCTGGGAGGCAGAGATTGCAGTGAGCTGAAATCATACCACTGCTCTCCAGCCTGGGTGACAGAATGAGATATGGTCTCAAAACAAAACCAAAAATCCCGTACCCTTTAGTTGACGACTCTCAATCTCCTCTCCCTGCCACTCCCAGCCCCTGGCAATCAACTGATCTACTCTCCAGCTCTATAGATTTGCCCATTCTGTACGTATCATGTAAAGGGAATCATAGCATATGTGGTCTTTTGTGCCTGGATTTTTTTTTTTTTTTTTTTTGAGATGGAATGTTGCTCTGTCACCCAGGCTGGAGTGCATTGACGTGATCTTGGCTCACTGCAACCTCCGCCTCCCAGGTTCAAGCAATTCTTCTGCCTCAGTGTTCCGAGTAGCTGGGATTATAGGTGTGTGCCACCACGCCTGGCTAATTTTTTTTGTACTTTTAGTAGAGACGGGGTTTCACCATGTTGGCCAGGCTGGTCTCAAACTCTGGAACTCATGAATCGCCTGCCTCAGCCTCCCAAAGTGCTGGGATTACAGGTGTGAGCCACCACGTCTAGCCGATGCCTGGCTTCTTTTACATGGCATAATGTTTTCAAGGGCCACCCACGCTGTGGCAGGTGTCATTGCTCCATTGCTTTTTATAGCCAGATTGTAGTCCATTGTGTGCATAGATGACATTTTGTTTATCTGTTGAAGGTTATCTTTATATCTTTAAAAAGTCTGTGGCTCTATCCTTGCTACTCATTGTACCAGCTATTAAAAAAAAAAGAAAAACCACTGTGCCATTTTTCAGTAAAATGATTTAGACAATCTTCTTCTATATTAAAAATTATAAGGGTAAGCCTAAATAGGACATGTCAAAGACAAAAGGGCAGCTGTTAATGAGTAGGCCGGGCAGCAGAATTGAGGCTGTCCTGGGCACGCCCAATGTGTGGACACCCCACTCCTGGGCCAGGTAACAGCAATGCACTGTCTCAATGCTTCAGGCCTTGGATAACACAGCAGAGGAGCGTGGCCCCTGGTTAAAAACCCACATGTGGCCAGGTGTGGTGGCTGACACCTGTAATTCCAGCACTTTGGGAGGCTGAGGCGGGTGAATCACAAGGTCAGGAGTTGGAGACCAGCCTGGCCAATATGGTGAAACCCCCATCTCCACTAAAAAGTACAAAAATTAGCTGGGTGTGGTGTCACGCACCTGTAGTCCCAGCTACTTGGGAGGTTGAGGCAGAATCGCTGCAACCTGAGAGGCGGAGGTTGCGGTGAGCCGAGATCGAGCCACTGCACTCTAGCCTGAGTGACAGAGTGAGACTCCGTCTCAAAAAACCAAAAAACCCACATGTGATTTTTTTTTTTAAGGCCTGACCATAGGCAATTCCGAAAGCGTTTACCTGGCAGGCCTTAGGGGAAGCTGCCCTCCCCACACCAGACTTGGGGTACAGCCAGTACCCTGTGATCTCCAGAGGGGGTTGCATCGTGGTCTCAGTCCCCACGGCTCTGCTCTGATGCATGTCTACATTTTTAGCCCTGCTGCCTGCCTTCCTAGGTCTCCTGATCTGAGGCCTTGGGCAGGGATCTTCTTCAGGGTTCTCTTATGACCAGAAGGAGGGAAAAGAAGACCCTTTTCCCCACCCTGGCTTGTTACTCAGTACTTTTCCAGTCCTAGCCCCCTCTCTTGCCCCCTACCCAGGTCCATAATACTGTCAGGAGCCTTTTGCCTGGTTCCCCCACATCTGGATGATACACCAGATCCTCAACTGATGCCCTGTTCCGTGGGGAAACGGGAGAAGGGCAGTTGGTGCTTTCTCCGGTTTTAACCTCCTGCTTGTACCATCACGGTGAGTGATCACGGGCGTAACGCTGTCATTTTTGGCTTATTGCTTTGCCACCTGACAGCTCAGCCCGCCCTCTTGCAGCTCAGCTGAGCTCCTGACAGCTATAGGAATTGGCACTCGATCTTTGATTGTGAAATGATGTCAACCTGTAAACAGTAAAGGTAAATTAGTGAGTAAGCTTCTGGATGCCAGGAAGATAATGACCAATGACTGTAGATCACCCCAGCACAGAGCAGCAGTGAGTATCTGTTGAGTGCCTGCCATGGGCGGGGCACATTCTGTTATTGAATTTCACAACGATTCTGTAAGATGAACATCCCCTCTCCATTTTACAGACAAACTGAAATTCTGACAGGTGAAGTTACCGGTCCCAGGTTCCAAGCTGGGATTCCTCAGCTAACATGTCAATCCTCCCAGAGGCATTTGTGTTTTTGTGCTTGAACTTTTTCCTTGTTTGCACTCATAAACTACATGTTTTATTTCCCGGGCGATAGGCAGCACCTATGGTCCGCCTGTGAAAGAAACATGGGTGTTTTCAAATGACACAGAGGTGGCCACCAGCTCATCCTCACCCAAGCCAGGTGTGCTGATGCTGACCCACACCCGGGAGTCCACGATGAGAAGGGGACACAGGTGGCTGCTGCTTGCAAAATTGAGTGTCACTTGCTTGGCTTGTTCCACTCCTGCTTATCAAAGCTGAATATGACCTGGTCCTAATGGAGACTGGCTCATAGGTGCCAAGCCTGTGTCTCGAGGCGTTTCCTGGCCCCCTATACGTCTGCTCCTGAAAGACAAGCTTCTTTGTCATCTTTTCTTGTTTCTTATTCATAGAGATGGGGTCTCACTGCGTTGGCCAGGCTGGTCTCAAACTCTTCATCCTCTCACCTCGGCCTCTCAAATTGCTGAGCTACCACACTCAGCCTATTTGTCTTGCTTCTGATCTGTCTTCCTGCACTAGAAAGTCAGCTCCTTGAAGGCAGGGGCTTTCATCTGTCTGATGCTGTATCCCCAGTAAACAGTGACTGGCACACAGTAGATGTTTGCATTTCAGGAGGGGCCCGAGATCACTCTCGGCCTCTATGGTTTTCTAGAAGGAATCACAGAGCTCAGAAAAGACATTGCACTCATGGCTGCTGTTGATTACAGGGAAAGAGAGTAAAATCAGTAAAGGGAAAAGGTGCATAAGGCAGGGAGGCCAGGCACAAGCTCCCAGATGTCCTCTCCCTGTGGACTCGTGGACAGTACTTATTTCTCCCAGCCATAATGTGTGGCAATGTGCACAGAGCATTGCCAACCAAGGAAGCTCACCAGAGCCTTGTGTGCAATGTTTTTATTGGCAACCAGTCATGGCCAATGGCCCATAGTTGACCTCAGTCTCCAGCCCCTCCAGAGGTCATGCTGGTATCACCTGGCCCAAACCCCCCACCCTAAATCATGTCATTAGCAGAGACTGGCTGGCGTGGTTCCAGGCCCCCAGGTAAACAAAGACACTGACATTACCATCAGGCAGCACATTCCAAGGGCCTGGAGTTTCCTTCCAGGAGCAGGACAAGGTTAACTTTTTTTTTTTTTTTGAGACGGAGTCTCCCTCTGTTGCCTGGGCTAGAGTACAGTGGTGCAATCTCGGTTCTTTGCAACCTCTGCCTCCCAGGTTCAAGCAATTCTCCTGCCTCAGCCTCCGGAGCAGCTGGGATTACAGGCGCACGCCACCATGCCCGGCTAATTTTTGTATTTTTAGTAGAGACAGGGTTTCACCTTGTTGGCCAGGCTGGTCTTGAACTCGAGACCTTGGGTGTTATGCCTGCCTTCGCCTCCTAAAGTGCTGGGATTACAGGTGGGAGCCACTGTGCCCGGCCTGGGTTAATTTCTAGAAGGGGAATTGCTAGGACAGAGAAAATGTGCCTCCCCTTCCCTACCCAGCCAGCGTTTTTATGGCCACAATGTGAAGGTGTTATGAGCAATACAAAAGGGAGGATAGTCTTTGCCCTTGAAAAGATTAAATTGCTTGAGTTTCACGTACTCCAAATATGAAGTGATCTACCATTCACCTTTAACCTGCAAAACCTCAATGTGCTGTTTCCTCTTTCTTTTCCCTGAGGGCCCATGTCCTGTTTCTCCACTAGTCGCCAATTACTTCATCCAGGCTTCATGGCCTTTTCACTTAATTTTTAAAATTTCTTCTTCTTCTTTTTTTTTTTTTTTTTTTCGGATGGGGTCTTGCTCTGTCTCCAGGTTTAAGTGCTGTGGTGCGATCTCAGCTCACTGTAACCTCGGCCTCCCGGGTTCAAGCAATCCTCCTGCCTCAATCTCCCAAGTAGCGATCCGCCTGCCACAGCCTCCCAAAGTGCTGGGATTACAGGTGTGAGCCACCGCACCCAGCCTGAGTTTTGTAGCTTCAATTTGCATTTCTTTTTTAGTGGAGTGATCTTGGCTCACAGCAACCTCCATCTCCTGGGTTCAAGTGATTCTTCTGCCTCAACCTCCCGAGTAGCTGGGATTACAGGCGTGTGCCAACATACCAAGCTAATTTTTGTATTTTTAGCAGAGACGGGGTTTCACCATGTTGGCCAGGCTGGTCTCGAACTCTGGACCTCAGATGATCTGCCCTCCTCAGCCTCCAAAAGTGCTGGGGCTATAGGCGTGAGCCAATGCACCCAGCCTAATTTGAATTTTTTTAATGTCTAAGGTTGAGCCTCTTTGCCGAAACTCTATCTGTGTCTTTTTTTGTGTCCTTTTCTGTGAACGGGATGCTCGTATACTTTGTCCATCTTTGAATCTGTTGTTCTCCCCAACTAGATGCAATGCTATTTTTATCATGTGCCTACTCCTGTGTGTACTTGGTTTCTTTCTGAACTCTCTGTTCTCCACTTGAACACAACATGGAGCCAGAAGACACTTTGTCAGGAATTTCTAGCCCCTTTATTTTGCCAATGAGTAAAGGAGTCCAGAGAGGTTAAGTAACTTTTCTAAGGTCACACTGCTAATTGAATAAATAAGCAAAGGGATGAACCATCCCTCCCTGCTCTCTCGCATCCACTCCCCACCTTCTTCCATCCACCTGACTTTTCCAACCTTACTAGTAAACAACAGGGAGCCAATTTCTCTGTCAATCTTTTTTTTTTTTTTTTTGATACAGGGTCTCACTCTATTGCCCAGGCTGGAGTACAGTGGCGTGATCTCAGCTCATTGCAACCTCCCCTTCCTGGGTTCCAGCAATTCTCTTGCCTCAGCCTCCCGAGTAGCTGGGACTATACAGGTGTATGCCACCATGCCTGGCTAATTTTTGTATTTTTTGGTAGAGACAGGGTTTCACATGTTGGCCAGGCTAGTCTCGAACTCTTGACTTCAAGTGATCCGCTTGCCTCAGCCTCCCAAAGTGCTGGGATTACAGGCGTGAGCCACCTAGCCCAGCCTCTTGTTCATCTTTTGTGTTGAAGATAAGGTGGCAGTAGTGAGTGCTTCATGAAGGCCAGGCGAGAGGAGCTCACTGCCCCCTGCTGGTTACTTCTTCTCTATCATGGGGTATCTGTGGCTCTCTCACCCGCTTACCCTAGCTCTGCAAAATATCTTTTGGTGGTTTAAAAAGAAAGCTGCTTCAGGCCGGGTGTAGTGGCTCACACCTGTAATCCCAGCACTTTGGGAGGCTGAGGCAGGTGTAGGTCACTTGAGGTCAGGAGTTTGAGACCAGCCTGGCCAACATGGTGAAACCCCTATCTCTACTGAAAATACAAAAATTAGCTGTGCATGGTGGTGGGCACCTGTAATCCCAGCTACTTGGGAGGCTGAGGCAGGAGAATCGCTTGAACCCGGGAGGCGGAAGTTGCAGTGAGCTGAGATGGCGCCATTGCACTCCAGCCTGGGTGACAGAGTGAGACCCTGTCTCAAAAAACAAAACAAAACAAAAACAAAAACAAAAAAACCTGCTTCATTCTGAAAAGAATTGAAGAAACACTGTAGGATTCCAACTCTGTGACATTCTGGAAAAGGCAAAACTGGAGACAGTAAAAAGATCAGCGGTTTTGGGGTTGGTGGGGGGCGTGGTAAGGGAAAGGGAAGGATTAATAGGCAGAGCAGAGGGATCTGGTTGTTTAAGAGTGTGGTACCTCTGCCATGCCTCTCTCGGTCCTGCGCCTGCCATGTAAGACGCCTGTTCCCGCTTTGCCCTCTGCCATGAGTGAAAGCTACCTGAGGCCTCCCCAGAGGCAGGTGCTACCATATACTTCCTGTACACCTTCCCGAACAGTGAACCAATTAACCCACTTTCCTTTATAAATTACCCAGTCTCAGGTCTTTCTTTATAGCAGTGTGAGAACAAGCTAATACACAAATGAAAAGGCTGCCTTTTTTTTTTTTTTTTAAAAACAGTCTTGCTCTGTCACCCAGGCTGCAGTGTAGTGGCGTGATCACAGCTCACTGCAGCTTCAACCTCCTGCGCTCAAGAAATCCTCCTGCCCCAGCCTCCTGAGTAGCTGGGACTACAGGTGTGCACTACCACACCCGGCTTTTATTTTTGTAGAGACAAGGTCTCCCTGTGTTCCTCAGGCTGGTCTTGAACTCCTGGGCTCAAACAATCCCTCTGCCTCAGCCTCCCAAAGTGCTGGGAGTAAAGGCCTGAGCCACTGCACCCACCAAAAGGGCTTCTGAACTCTGGTGACTCTGACCTGAGCCTGATGGGCTTCAATCCATACTCCGGCTGAACTCACACTGACTGGAAGGAAGCTCGATCCCCAGTCGCTGGCAAACCCAACCCCAACCCCGTAAATTTTCTCTAGGTAGAAGCAGGACTTTCTTTGGTGGGAGGAAGAGGAGGTGGGAGGCTGGATCTATGGTGGATGGCTTGTATAGGAGGGTCTGAGTCTTTGTGAATCGAATCCTGTGTCCCCATGTTCTATCAAACCACCTTACTGGGTTTTGGGCCTGTGACAATGTAGACACAAAGTGAGGCCAGCGGTACAGAGACCCTTCCCAGGCAGACTCGGGTAGGCTGGGGCAATGCAAACACAGCTGGTCATCAGAATGGCCTGGAGGGAGGGCCCCACCCTAGGGAGTCTGATTGTCCTGGTCTGGAATGGGCCTGGGAATCTGCATTTGTAGCCAATACCCACTGTGATTGGCGAGAAGCCATCGCATTGAGAATTGCAAGGTCTCTGCTCAGGCTCCTGACTTTGAATGGGGGAGGAATTCAGGCCTGTGGTCAGAGACTTGAGTCTCCTGGGGGAGAAGACGGAGAAAGAAAGTGATGGACCAAAGCTGCCAGAGCTAACAGAGCAGGGACTCTGGAGCCAGATGGGGTTAAAATCCTCCTGAGCTGTGTGACTTAGGGCAAGTGTCTTAACCTCTCTGTATCTCTGTTTCCTCATCTGTACCATGGGATGACCTAGTTCACCTTGCAGGGATTTTGCAGGAGAAGTTGATGAATGAGTCAATATACAAGGAATGCTTTGCCTAGTCTGATAGTTTCCTAACAACAATGCCATCTATTCTTTGAGATCCAGGGAAATCTCTCCTTTGTAAACTGCTTCCACGAGTTCCTGCCAGAATAACTGTTCCTTTCTCTGCGTGAGGTCTGTCTGTGGTGTGCTGAAGATCTTCTGCCTGTGCATCTCGTTTCCCCACTGACTCCTCCAAGCCAGCACCCCCCCACTCGCCCCCCAGGATGCTCTTCCCCACAGCATTTGGCAGCCACGCCCGAACCCATCGTAGTCCCCAAGCAGCTGTGAGCTGAAGGGTCTTTTAGGTCTTTATCCCTGTGGGTCAGGTGCTCCTGAACCCTGCTAGAGAAAATGCTTGAGCTGGGGGCCAGGCTCAGTGGCTCATGCCTGTAATCCCAGCACTTTGGGAGGCCGAGGCAGGTGGATCACCTGAGGCCAGGAGTTCGAGACCAGGCTGGCCAACATAGTGAAACCCCAGCTCTACTAAAAATACACAAAATTAGCCAGGCGTGGCGGCACATGCCTGTAGTCCCAGCTACTCGGGAGGCTGAGGCAGGAAAATCGCTTTGAACTTGAGAGGTGGTGGTTGCAGTGAGCCGAGGTTGCGCCATTGCACTCTAGCCTGGGCAACAAGAGCGAAACTCCGTCTCAAAAAAAGAAAATAAAGGAAAATGCTTGAGCTTGGGAAAAGGGAGGTAGAATCATTGATTTCAAAATATGAAAAGAAAATGGGCCAAGTCTAAAAGCATAAATGATTAAGTTTTCATAAAACATGGTGTGCCAACCAGTCAACTGTGTCTTAATTTGACTCTAAGAAAATTCCATTAAAAGTACATTTAACTGTCCATCACGAGATAAATGGCTACATAGAAAGTGGTCTATCCTTTCAGTGCATTATTCAGCCACGGAAAGGAATGACACACTATTTCACGTTTCGTGGCTGAGCCCCAAAACTGTCATGCTGAGTGAAAGAAGCCAGACAAAGGCCACCTACTAAACCATTCCATTTATGTGAAATGTCCAGAATAGACAAATCCATAAGGACACAAAGCAGATCAGTGGTGGCCAAGGACTGGGGTCAGAGGCACCAGAGGTGATTGTTTACTAGGTATGGGATTTCTTTTTGCAGTGAGGAAATTATGAAATTGGTTGTGGTAATGATTGCCAAACTCCCTTACTATCTTAAAAACCATTGAGTTGTATGCTTTATTTTAATTTAATTAATTTATTTTTTTGAAATGGAGTCTCACTCTGTCACCCAGGCTGGAGTGCAGTGGCACAATCTCGGCTCACTGCAACCTCTGCCTCCTGGGTTCAAGTGATTCTCCCGCCTCAGCCTCCCAAGTAGCTGGGATTACAGGCACCACCATGCCCAGCTAATTTTTTGTACTTTTAGTTGAGACGGGTTTTCACCATGTTGTCCAGGCTGGTCTTGAACTCCTGGCCTCAAGTGATCCACTCGCCTCAGCCTCCCAAAGTGCTGGGATTACAGGCACATGCCACCGTGCCCTGCTAATTTTTGTATTTTTAGTAGAGACAGGGTTTCACCATGTTGGCCAGGCTGGTCTTGAACTCCTGATCTTGTGATCCACCCATCTCGGCCTCCCAAAGTGCTGGGATTACAGGCATGAGCTGCCGCGCCAGTTGAGTTTTGTGCTTTAAATGGGAGAATTGAGTCAAGTAGACCCAGCTACTTGGGAGGCTGAGGTGGGAGGATCACTTGAGCCCAGGAGGTTGAGGCTGCAGTGAGCTACGATCACACCACTGCACTCCAGCGTGGGCAACAGAGTGAGAGCCCATCTTTAAAAAACAAAACAAAACAAAAACAAACAAACAAAAATCACACCTTGAAAACCAAAAGGTGTGGGTGGAGGTGAGTTTGAGGGAGAGAGGCAGAGATGTGGGACCTAGAATGAACGCTGAGCAGGTGTGAGCAGACCTCTGGCCTCCCGAATTACTTCCTTGTCCTCTTGGGAGGCCTTAAACCTGGAGCTTTGAAAAACCCGCTGCTGCTGTGATAAGAGCCATTTCCAAAGGCCTTGCTAAGTCAGGCCTCCCGTTGGCTTTTCCTAACCTGAGCACTGGGAAAGACAAACCCAATGTCAGACTACACAACTAGACAGTAGTGATGGTTGCGCAATGTCATGAGTGGACACGACGCCACTCAACTGAATACTTAAAAGTGGTTAAAATGGGCCGGGTGCCGTGGCTCATGCCTGTAATCTTAGCACTTTGGGAGGCTGAGGCAGGTGGATCGCTTGAGCCCAGGAGTTTAAGACCAGCCTGGGCAACGTAGTGAAACTCCGTCTCTACAAAAAATACAAGAATGAGGTGGGCGTGGTGGCACAGTGCCTGTAGTCCCAGCTACTTGGGAGGCTGAGGCAAGAGGATTGCTTGAGCCCGGGAGGTGTAGGCTGCAGTGAGCCATGACCACACCACTGTACTCCAGCCTTGGTGACGGATTGAGACCTTGTTGTTGTTGTTGTTTGTTGAGACGGAATCTAGCTCTTTTGCCCAGAGTGCAGTGCTGGAGTGCAGTGGCGCGATCTTGGCTCACTGCAAACTCTGCCTCCCGGGTTCAAGCGATTCTCCTGCCTCCACCTCCCGAGTAGCCGGGATTACAGGCACTCGCCACCATGCCCAGATAATTTTTAAATTTTTTGTAGAGATGGGGTCTCACTGTGTTGGCCAGGCTGGTCTCAAACTCCTGACCTCGTGATCTGCCCGCCTCGACCTCCCAAAGTGTTGGAATTACAAGCGTGAGCCACCGCGCCCAGCTGAGACCCTGTCTTTTAAAATAAATGAAATGGTTAAAATGGTCAGTTTTATGTTTTTAAAATATAATTATACTGCAATTAAAAAGAAACAACCACTACACCGTCTTGCCTTCTGACCTGAGATCTCTGTTTACAAGGCTAGGAGAGTAGTCAAGCTCCTTTTTTTTCCCCTCTAGGCTTTTTTTCCCCTCATTGGTCAGGAGCCCCCTCCCCTCCTCTCTGTCGGGCGGGGTGCTAATAACTTTATTGGAGGCTTCTGACTGGCTGGATCTCTGTTCTGAATGCCCCCCACCTCCCCTTCTACCCTCCTGGGCTGGGAGAGTGGGTTAAAGCTGAGCCCTCCTCTTTGGGGAAAAAGATTCCTTTCAGGACCACGCTGAGCTGCTCTGGAGCCTGAGGCTGGTGGCACGGGGCTGGCCCAGGAAGTGATGCCGGCCCCCGTGGGACTCCTCGGTCTGGTCCTGCTCTGGCCGCTGATGGCAGTGACTGCGGAGAGTAAGTAAAACTGCTGCGCGTTCCTGGTCCTGTCTGGAGCGAAGCAAGGGGCAGTCCAGATGCGCCGGGGATTGCGCTTTTGTAGCCAGATGCCTGTTGACCTGCCTTTCCGCTGCCACCTTTTGTTTTGCTTTTCATGGGGAAGAGGAGCGAGAGATGACAGGTGAATCCTCATCTCTCACTCACATGCTCCACCAGCATCCTCTGGAAACTCAGACAAGGCAGGGATTGGGGAGCTGCAGAGACCAGATCTGAAGCCCTGAGTGAGAAAATGCTGCCTTCTGGACCCACTGAGCTTGAGCCCAGCAGGTCGAGGCTGCAGTGAGCCGAGATCATGCCACTGCACTCCAACTTGGGCGACAGAGTGAGACATTGTCTCAGCAACAAAAAAATGCAAGTAATATTAATTTTCCTAGTACCCACACATACAAATTTTTAAAAAGGCAGGTGAAATTAATAACATTTTACTTAACCCAATATATCCAATATATAATTAGAAAATGTAATCAATAGGAAGTATTAATGAGATTTATTTCCCATTCAACATTTAATGTGTATTTTATACTTACGACATATTTCAATTCAGATGCTAAGTTTTCATTGCAAATACTTGATCTGTCTTTAGATTTCTTAAAACTTAGAGTTGAGAAAGTAGGTTTACCTACTGTGCCAAGTTGTTTCAAACATATTTGAAAGTTTTCTTTCTTTAAAAAATATTTTTTGTGGAGACGGGGTTTCACCATGTTGCCCAGGCTGGTCTCAAACTCAAGTGATCCTCCCAGAGTGCTGGGATTACAGGCATGAGCCACTGCACCAGGCTGAAAGTCTTATAATAAGTGAATTGAGTATTGGTTTTTTGTTTAATTAAAATTAAATGAAAAGTTTCTCTGTAACCAGTAACATTTTAGATGCTTCATAGCCACATACTGGAGAGCGCGGGCCAGATTGTGGGGTCTTTTATTTGTTGTAAATGATGTAATTGTTTTGATATTTGGGCTTTTATTTCAGCATAGAACACTGTCTGGCATGCTATAGGTACTTGGTAAATTGTGTTGGTTTCATAAAAGAATGCACACTGATCAGAATTGACAGCTGAGAAAGCTGAAATGGGACTTGATTTCATTTGCTGGCTAGAGATGACACTCATTTCAGTCCATTTCAGATCTCTTCCTGGAAGTGAGTAGGATCTGATTGAAGAATTTATTACCTCCAGTGTGCAGTGTTTTCCCATCCTTGGTTAATCTGTTAAGAATTTATCATGACATGAACTTCATTTTTCTGAAATTTAAAAAATATTTTAAATGTGTTCAAGCGTTCAGGAAATGGAAGGGGTACAGGCTTAATTCAAGCACAATGCTCTCAGACCTCAGCTCACTTCTGCAGGTCATGGTGGCTGGAGGCTGGTGGGCCAGGCTGCTTTGTAGCCTAGCTGAGCAGTGAAGCAGATGTAGGGATTGTCTGTTGAGCAAACAAGCAGGATGCTGGGCTTGTGCACAATCGAGAACGTAATGATTACGCACACATATGTTTAATTTGGTGCCCAGTGTCCGAGTGATCAAAGAGTTGAAGGAAAGTTGGAAGGGAAATTGATTGGGTTGAATGTCTTTGAAATGTGGTTTTATCTGTTGATATTCTACTTGAATGCAAAGAGGGTTTTGTTAGATGTGCCAAAATATTTAGGAGAAAAAAACCCTGCCAGATATCTTACCATGTCCAATGTTTTAAAGGGTGTAAACAAAATAGTATATAATGCACCCTACCTCCACCCCTCCCCGTTTTGGGGAAATGATTTGTTTTTCCTTTTTTTTTTTTTTTTGGGACAAGGTCTTAACTCTGCTACCCAGGCTGGAATACGATCGCACCAGGCAGTGGTGCGATCTCGGCTCACTGCAATCTCCACCTGTCGGCTCAAGCAATTCTCCCACCTCCCACGAGTAGCTGGGACCACAGGTGTGCACCACCACGCCCGGCTAATTTTTGTATTTTTTATAGAGAGGGGGTTTCGCCATGCTGGCCAGGCTGGTCTCGAACTCCTGAGCTCAAGCCATCACCCACCTCAGCTTCCCAAAGTACTGGGATTACAGGCATGAGCCACCGTACCCAGGCACAATGTGTTTTTCGAGGGATTAAACAGGTCAGCAAGTGTAGCAATGACCAGTCGAGGTGCAGCGGGGTGGTTTTGAGGATGGAAGTGGTATTATTGAAATGCCATCCTATGGAAATGGCTGCAGATGAATGCCTGCTTAATGCATAGGAGGGCACGGGTGATGCCTGGGAAAGATCCTGCAAGTGGCTGGCAGGAAGGGGAAACGAGGTTTGAAAGTAGGTGGCAGTGGAAGGGCTGGGTGGCTGGAGGGAGGGAGGGAGGGGTGCTGGCCTTCCCAGGGAGGGAGCTCCAGGAATCTCTGGCAGTTTTCTTAGCAGCCTGAGCTGGGGGCCGAGGGGCCACCTCACCACATCTGCTCATGCCCTGGTTGTCCTCTGCCCCTTCGATGGTGGGAGAAGGGAGACACTCAACAGGGAGCAGCACCAGCTCCTGCTATTTCCTGCAGCAGCCTCTTGGTCTTGCTGGTGTTCCATTCATTACTCATTTGCTCACTTACTGTCTGATTCATTCAGGATGAGGGTATGGCTGGGGACTCTGGAGCCAGAGTGCCTGGGTTCAAATCCTAAGGCTCCACCGTTAGCCAGCTGTGTGCACCTGGGCAAGTCACTTGGATGGATAGGAGACAGGAGAGGGTGGGTGGCTGGGTGGATGGATGGATAGGAGGGAGAGTGGGTGAATGGATGGATGCATGGATAACAGCGGGGAGTGGGTGGGTGGATGGATGGATAGGAGAGGGAGTGGGTGAGTGGGTAGATGGATAGGAGGGGGAATGGGTGAGTAGGTGGATGGATGGATAGGAGAGGGTAGTGGGTGGGTGGATGGATGGATTGGGGGGTTGGGGGGTGGATGGACGGATGGGGGGGTGGGTGGATGGATAGGAGGTGGAAGTGATGCGTGGATGGATGGATAGGAGGGGGGCTGGGGGTGGGTGGATGGATGGGAGGGGGAGTGGGTGAATGGATGCGTAGGAGGGGGGTTGGGGGTGGGTGTATAGGAGGGGTGTGGGGAGTGGGCAGATAGATGGATAGGAGAGGGGAGCGGGTGGGTGGATGGATAGGGGAATTGGGGGTGGGTGGATAGGAGTGGGGGTGGGGGTGGTTGGATGGATGAATGGATGGATAGGAGCAGGGAGCAGGTGGGTGGATGGATGGGAGTGGGGATGGGTAGATGGATTGATGGATGGGAGGAATGGAGACCTGTATTTGTTGATGGAATTGGCAGAGCTTGCTGACATATTGGACTCAGGTAGTGATGAGGGATGTGGAAGCACGAATGATTGGCAGCTTGAGCTATCAGGGATGATGGTGCCAGTACCCAAGATGAACAAGAGCAAATTGGACAAAGGGTAGGGCAATCACTTCCAGTCTTTGTGGCCCTCCCTCCCCTGAGGACATTTTGCAAAGTCTGGGGAGAGCTGGCATTATCATTTCTCATCTTCTTCCCAGAGTAAGGTCAGTGGCCCATAGCGTGGGGCTATCTTATGCCTCTTTCTGGCCTCACCCTGGTTCCATCTGATTTGCGATTTCAGAAATTCCAGATTCGCAGGTGGGGCAGGTGGCCTCCTGCATGACTGCGTGCACAGGTGAGTGATTCTCTCAGGACGCCTGATCACACCTCTGGTGACCAGGAGCCTGAGCCCAGTACAGGGCCCAATGGGAGTGAAGCTGTAAGATGGGATTAGAGACAGCCCCAGAGGGCCCTGACTATGCTCCCAAAGATACCAGTTGGGAGGACCAAGGCCAGTTCTGGAAAGGTCACCCACAGAGTTAGAGAAATGAATAGCAAGCTCAGAGTAAAATGCCTTAAGCCATCCCAGCCCCCAAGGCTTCCTCTTCATGCCTGTGGGCCCCAGGTGGAATAAATGTCTTTGGCCAGGTGATGCCATTTGCATTTTGGAGTGGAGCAGATGAAAGAACCTTGGGAACAAATTCTTTGGAAAGAGAGAAGCATCTTAGGAATATGAGGTGTGGTTCTGTCTCAAGGAAATTGACATGAAAATGTCAGTTCAATCACAAGCCATGGGGAGGGGTGAGATGTTATAATTAGGTTTCACGCTTGATCCCCTGGCCTCAATAGAAGGTTAGAGATTTGGCTGGATAATTACAGACCTCTCTGTTCCCTAAATCAGCTCTTCCCCAGAGCAGTTACTCTCCTCACCCCCAGATCCCCCAAGGCTGGGCAGCTTTACAGCTTTATCTTCTATAAAGATCAGAATAACAACCCACCCTAACCCCTGCCAGCCCCACTTGATATCCATCAAGATGATAGGTGAGTAGTCAGACTCCCAAGGGTGGAATCCCAGCTGCGGATTGTGTAAGTTAGTTAACCTCTCTGAGCCTCAGTTTCTTCCTCTGTAAAATGGAGAAAAAAGAGTATTCACCTCAAAGTTGGTTATGAAGCTTAACTGAGTTACTGTAGATGAATGCTTCTCAACTGGGGTGATTGTGGCCCTCCCTCCCCTGGGGACATTTTGCAAAGTCTGGGGACATTTTTGGTTGTCACAACTGGGCTGGGTTACTGGCATCTTGTGGGTAAAGGTCAGGGATGCTGGTAAATTTCCTGACAACACAGAGGACAGCCCTCACAAACAGAATTCCCTGGCCCCAACTATTAATAGTGCCCAGGCAGAGAAACCTTGATATTAGAAGAAAGCCTGGCCCATGATGACACTGGCTAGTACTTATTGAGCACTTACTGTTATTATCTTTATTTTCTTTTTCACCCTTATGAGGGTATGCAGCTACCCAACCTTTCCCCAAGCTGGGGACAGGCAGCTCAGGGCCCAGATGGAGAGAGAGAGGTGTGAGCAAGGATGGCTGGAGGTGGAGTTGGGATCCCAGAGGGCTGCAGGTTCAAGGTGACATTGCTGTCTCTCTCTCTGCCCTTCAGGGTCAGCTGGGCCCCACCTCCCTGTGGGCACCAGATACACCTATCATTTTTCCACCAACACCAGCACCAGCCTGCAGGACGTCCTGGTGGAGGGGAGTGGTCTTGGCCTCCAAGGCTTGGCTGTCCTTGATGTGCTTGGCCTGTGCCAGATGGCTTTATGGGTGAGTGTCTTTGGGCAACCGGGAGATCACGTTGATGCTGGGGAGGACTAAGAGGAAGCCACAGCCCCTTACCTCCAATTTCCAATTTGCTTAATCAACAGAGGAGCTTTCTGAGGAATCTTATATTTGGCAAGTGAGGACCCTTGGGAGGAATGTGGGAAAATGGTGCAATTTTGATTGTAAGAGGTGCCACAGAGGGCCCAATCGGGGAATAGCAGAGGTTAAGGAAGGAATATTTTTAGGGCAGGTTGGGGGAGTTCGTGGAGTGAGAAGAGCCATAGAACGGGGACATACTGTGCCCTAGGGGTGGACTGAGAGCCATGTCTGCAAGTCCAAGGGTGTGTGCAAAGTCAAACCAAGTCAAGCCTTTGGACAAAGGAATAGACTGGGTGGAAGTCTATTCCCAGCAAGGCCTGCCCTGTGGACACTAGCCTTGCAGTGCTTGGGTCCACAGCCTCAGGTTATAGGCAAACACTAAGGTCCAGTGGTGTTAGTCCTGGGTTAAGGCAGAATTATGAGCTAGGCCCACTTGGTGGTTGCAGATTTCTTTTCATTGAGATTTTCTGGAAGTTCCTCAATGTTCTTGCAAGCAGAAGTGCTTGCTCATTTGCCTCTGTCTCATTTCTGATAACCCTCATATTTTTCCTGGATAAACCCTCTCAACCCACATAAAAGGCCTTTTAGTTTCTGTTGGAGTCTCATCTCATATTGTGATGCATTTTTGTACTGGCTGGAGCACTTGCTAGCAAGAGTTTCTCAAAGCCGTTTTGTTGTATTTTCATGTAGACCACAGGATGAGGTCTTTCATGGAGTGGGCCTGAGCTGCCTCTGAATTCTTAAAGTGTCCAATATGTCAGAGATGCTGCTTTATTAATCTTTATCATCCTTTTACACCCTTCAAAACACTTGTGGTTGTTTTTATCTGCAGGGCCAGTTTTCACAAAGCAAATTGTGTTCTGTTGCAGTTTTATTCATTTGTTTACTTTAAGCACTTAAGAAAAGCTGCCAATGTCAAATGTTGGCAAGGATATAAAGAACCAGTGTATTTCAAAGATTCTAGGTGAAAATGGAAATTTTCTGGCCCCTTGGGAGGTTAATGAATATATTTTTAGAGAAAAAAGTGTAAAAATCACAAATCTTCAAAACAAGGAATTTTCATAAACCAAACACCTACGTAGCGATCACCAGAGCAAGAAACAAAATATAACCCCCAGAGCCTCCTTCATACTTCCTCTTGGTCACTTCTCCCAAGGGTACAACTTTTTTTTTTTTTTTTTTTTTTTTTTTGATGGAGTCTCACTCTGTCGCCCAGGCTGGCGTGCAATAGCACAATCTCAGCTCATTGCAATCTCCGCCTCCCCAGTTCAAGCGATTCTCCTGCGTCAGCCTCCTGAGTAGCTGAGATTACTGGTAGTGCATGGTGCGCTCCGCCACGCCTGGCTAATTTTTGTACTTTTAGTAGAGATGAGATTTTACCATGTTGGCCAAGCTGGTCTTGAACTCCTGACCTCAAGTGATCTGCCCACCTCGGCCTCCCAAAGTGCTGGGATTACAGGCGTGAGCCACTATGCCCAGCCTTCCTTTTTTATTTCTATCACCATAGATGAGTTTTGCCTGTCTTTGAACTTCTCTCTAATGGAATTGTACAGGATGTTTTCCTTTGTGTCTGGTTTATTTTTATTTTTTTACTGTGATTAAAATATAATATGGAATACACCATTTCAACCATCTTAAGTCTATGATTCAGTGGCATTAAGTACTTTCACATCGTTGTACAACCATCACCACCCTCCATCTCTAGAACTTTTTCATCATCCTAAACAGAAGCTCTGTGCACATTGAACAGTAACTTCCAATTCCCACCCTGCAGACTCTAGTCCCCTCTGTTCTGCTTTCTGTCTCTATGAACTTGCCTGTTTTTAGGTACCTCATATAAGTGGACTCACATAGGCCGGGCGCGGTGGCTCATGCCTGTAATCCCAGCTCATTGGGAGGCCGAGGCGGGTGGATCACCTGAGGTCTGGAGTTCGAGACCAGCCTGACCAACATGGAAAAACCCTGTCTCTACTAAATACAAAATTAGGTGGGCGTGGTGGTGCATGCCTGTAATCCCAGCTACTCAGGAGGCTGAGGCAGGAGAATGGCTTGAACCCGGGAGATGGAGGTTGCTGTGAGCCAAGATCGCGCCATTGCACTCCAGCCTGGAAAACAAGAGCAAAACTCCATCTCAAAAAAAAAAAAAAAGTGGAGTCACATAATACGTGACTTTTTGTGTCTGGCTTCTTTCATTTAACATAACATTTTCAAGGTTCCTCTCTATTGTAGGATGTAGCAGAACTTCATCCTTTAAAAAAATTATTGTTTATTTATTTTAAAAAATAGAGATGGGGTTCCACCATGTTGGCCAGGCTGGTCTTGAAGTCTTGACCTCAAGTGATCCGCCTGCCTTGCCCTCCCAAAGTGCTGGGATTACAGGTGTGAGCCACTGTGACCGGCTCTATTAAATTTAAACAGTGAAATCAGTTATTTAGGGAGGATATTTTCCATTTTTAGAAAGTCTACCTTCTTTTGCAACCCCCTCCCCACCCTCCACTCATCCACCACACACACCCCATGGTGACAGTGGGATATCCAAGTCCTCATCATGGGCAAAGCCTTTGTCTGCTCTACAATGTAACATATTCTTGTTGGTGCTATATAGTCCTATGAATCCCTCAACCAAACTTCCAGCGTCTTTTTGGGCAAAATGAGAACTTTCCAGACGTTTAGCAGGGAGCTGTAGGTACTTGATTATTTCAGTGAGACATTCGGCCTTCACCACCCAGGCTTGGTACCTGGTCAAGGGAGGGGTCTCTCTGCCTTGCCCCCAACATGGGTTCATGTATCCTGCAGGGCCCTAGAACTGCTTTGTGGGTGGGGTGCTGGCGAGTTCCCGGGGTATCACAGGAGAGGTCACCAACTCACGGTGCTTTGTGCTTCAGCTCCAAGACTTCCAGGTGACATCCATCCTGGGGGCCAAGGTGGAGCTTCTGAAGGAGTCGGAGAGCCTGAGGTAAGACACTTGGCCATGGGGCTGGGACCTGCTCACGATGGGGCTGGAGCTGTGAGCCCTCTGCCGTCTTTCAACAGCTGTCGGGCTCTGGGTGCACTGAATTAGATTAGGACAATTGGTTAGGGTGACCTCTCTGTAGCAAAGAGATGCCATCTTGGACTGAAGTTCAAAGAAGTTTCTGTATTTGTTTTGACCTTGTCAAGCACCGATGAAGACCGCTGGGGGGCTGCCTTCATGTAGAAGCCTTGGGTGACTCCAGATAGCCGCAGGTGCTCTTCTCTTACCTGGTGGGAGGAACTCATCCCGTAGTTCTGCCTGTGACCCCCAGCATGTCCAGATTTCACACCTGCCGATCACCCCTTGGGCATTGTTGTTGAGTGTGTTCTGGAAGACTCCGGCTAATGGGACTGCCGGGCCCATGGAGGTCTGCCTTTTCCCCTCCCCGACTCTGCCGAGACCCCATCCTCTCCCACCCCAAGCTAAGCCCCTCTTTTGTGACCCAGCCAAGCCTGGGATTCTCCCTGTGGCTTGTTTCCCAGGCCTCCCTGACAGGGCCTCGGTGGCCTCAAAGCTCAGAGCAGCCGCCAGCCTGAAGACAACTCCTTCTCTGCAGATTCCTCTTCCGTTTTTATTGCAAATTCATTTGTTAAGAAAGAAAGCCTTTGTCTAGGGATACCAGGATGGGGGATGCTGCTGAGGGACAGATAGATCCTCACTGAAAGGCAAGGGGAGGGTCTCCTCCAAGGGGACTATTGTCCCCCAGCTCCTCATCAGAAATGCTAAGTCAGCGGGGCCAGGGGTTGTCACTTCCTGGAGGCCACACTGCCACTTGCTATTCTGGGAGTGGTGGGCGCCATTAGCATTTCTCTCCATCAAGGCCTGAGACCCAGGGGACTGCCTTAGGAAGACCTCCAGGCTTCAGTTGGAGCTGGAGAGTGACCGCTGCCCCCCTGGAAGGTAGAAGTGGTAACATATCTGTTCCCCAGGGTTTTGTCTTGCTAGCCTGTAGGGTCTGGGGACTTGGCAGTTTCCCTTTCATCTTGAAGCATCTCTGTCTTCCAACTCCACCCAGGGAAGGAGGACTCCATCACCCCTCACTTCCCACCCCTTCACTTCCCCGTCCCTTCACTCTGCAGATACCAGACCCAGGCACCTTTCTGCCAGGGGAAGGGCAGGCGGGAGGAGCACGGGGCTGAATTCTGGTGCCAGCTCCTTCCCTGACTTGCTGTGTGATATCCCCCAAGAAGGCCCCCGTCTCGGGACCTCATTTCCTTGTCTCAACAATGACAGTCTCAAGTCACTTCCAGTTCGGGGTTTCTGCAGCCTGTGACTCCACAGCCAGCCTGGCTGGGTTCAAATCCCAGCTGGAGCCCCGAGCAAAACACTACATTGCTCCGAGCCTGTTTCCTCATCCAGAATGTGGGTGGAGGGATGATAATTACCTCCCTGGTGGGATCTGTAGGGGAGGGAAAGACTCCCTCTACCTTCCTGGGTTCAATAGCTGTGTCTAGAAATAAACTGACATTAGGAGAAGAGGTAGATAGATTTTTTTATATGCACAGGGGCATCGTGGAATGAAAGAGTGAAGGCTCCCCAGAGTGCTGAGACTTGGGAGCTTATGCACCATTTTCAGGGGAAAGGGGAGGAGGGAGCGAGACAAGTTAGAGGGGAGTAGATGGTTTCTAGGAAAGAGGAAGGGACCCTTGGAAGAAGAGACAGGAGATGTGCTAGTGTGGGATAAAGTTTGTCTGGGTGTGGTGTCGACTTGCACCATCCTCTCTTAGGATGAGAGCTGCTCTCCCCAGGTGGATGAAACTCCCTGGAGGGCATTGATGACAATTAGGTTCCTTTTGGAGGATCTGTCTTTAGGCAGAAGAGGGGAGTTCAGAGAAAGCCTCTCCCCGTATTTGCTGTTTCTCAACAAATACAGTCTTTGGTTCAAAATAGACAAGAGGCTGGAGTGCGGTGGCTTACGCCTGTAATCCCAGAGCTTTGGAGGCTGAGGCTGGAGGATTGCTTGAGCTCAGGAGTTTGAGATCAGCCTGGGCAACGTAGCGGGAATCTATCTCTACAAAAGGTTTAAAAATTAGCTGGGCATGGTGGCCATATGTCTGTGGTCCCAGCCATTTGGGAGGCTGAGGCAGAAGGATCGTTTAAGCCTATAAGGTTGAGGCTGCAGTGAGCTCAGCCTGGGCAACAGAGCGAGACTGGTCCACAAAAAAGGCAATATTCCCAAGTGGCATATTTTGGGGTGGCACATCCAGAATGCCTTCAGCTCCTTGGGATTAAGTGAGGCGTTTTGGAATGCAGGCAGCTCTTGGGGTCTCAGCCTTTTATTCTTTGACACTTGTCTCACACACCTGTCCATTTGTCCCGGGGTGAAAAGGCTGGGGTGGCTCAGAGCAGAGTTGGCTGCCCCAGAGCCCAGCTGCAGAGGGAACAAAGGCTATCTAGTGGGGGGATGTGGGGTTCCCTGGGAGCTTCCCATGGGGGCTGGCCTGTAGGAAGGCAGGGATGCTGTGGCCTCTGGCAGTCTGCAAGTGGCCTGGGGCACTGGAGGGTCCCGCTTGACCCCTGTCCGCCCTCCTGCAGTGCCACCCTGGGCCGTAACCCACTCCGCTTCATCCTGCACTCTGGGCGTGTGGCCCACCTGTGTCCCCATCCCACTGAGCCACGCTGGGTGCTGAACGTGAAGCGTGCTGTGCTGAGCCTCCTGCAGGGCCACCCAGGGGCCCACAGCCCCAAGACCTTTGATGAGGTGAGGCCAGGAGATGGGAAGGGGGTAGGGGGTAGAGGTGGCCAGAAGGTTGACCTGTCCCCAACCCTGTCTGCCCAGGTGGACATCCTGGGCCGATGTCCTACCACATACCAGCACCATGGGGACTGGCTACACAAGACAAAGGACCTGGCACGGTGCTCCCTGCGCAGGGGACGCTCATCACTCCATTCTCAGGCCCTGCCTGGAGTGGCTGTAAGTGCTGGGCTAGGCTGGGCTGGGCTGGGCTAGGCTGGGCTGGGCTGGGCTGGGCTGGGCTGGGCTGGGCTGGGCCGGGCCCCTGACTGCTGCTCTCCCAGACCCTTCTCCTCTTCTTCCTCTTCCTCCTCCTCCTCCCTTTTCCTCCTCCTCCTCCCTTTTTCTCCTCCTCCTCCCTTTTCCTCCTCCTCCTCCCTTTTCCTCCTCCTTCCTCCTCCCTCCTCAGCTCTTCATTTCCTCTCCTCCAATTCCTTCTCTTCTTGGTCCTCCTTCCTTTACCTCCTCTCTTCCAATTCCTTCTCTTCTTGGTCCTCCTTCCTTTACCTCCTCTCCTCCCTTCCCCTTCCCCTCCCTTCTCCTCTTTCCTTCAAGAAATTTTATTTTATTTTATGTATGTATGTACGTATGTATGTATGTATGTACGTACGTATGTATGTATGTATGTACGTACGTATGTATGTATTTCCTTAGAGGCAGAGTCCCACTCTGTCACCCAGGCTGGAGTGCAGTGGTGTGATCATGGCTCAGTGCAGCCTTCAACTCCTGGCCTCAAGCGATCCTCCTGTCTCAGCCTCTTGAGAGTAGCTGGGACTACAGGCACAAGGCACCATTCCTGGTTAAATTTTTTTTTTCTGGATTTTTAGTAGAGATGGTGTCTTGCTGTGTTGTCCAGGCTGATCTTGAACTCCTGAGCTCAAGTGATCCTCCTGCCTCAGCCTCCCAAGTAGCTGGGACTACAGGCACACACCACTATGCCTGGTTAGTTTTTTAAAAAAAATTTTAGTAGAGATAATGTCTTGCTATGTTGCCCAGGCTGATCTTGAACTTCTGAGCTCAAGCGTTCCGGCCACCTTGGCTTCCCCAAGTGCTGGAACTACGGGAATGAGCCACCACGCCCGCCCCTCTGTCCTTTTCCCCACGCCCTCCTCCCCGCCTCTGTCTCTAGCTCCCTGAAGAGGCAAGTGCTTTGTAAATACCAAACATCTGCAGGAGGATGAGAAGTGATCATTGTTCATGTTCACTTACTATCAAAAGTCTCAGCATCTAAGAGGTGGAGGTGGGCCTCTGCTGTTTGAAATGTTTTCATACTGACGCTTTGTCATTCCTCTCCTGGGGGGTCACTGTCTGCTAGACTTTCTTGTTTCCCCTCGTCCTTGTCATCTCCGGTGTGCCTTTGCCTGGGCTGATGTTGCCACAATCCAGGCGAGCCAGGGGTGGGTGACGCAGGGATGCAGCCCTCAGGGTCTCCTCCCCAGCCTCGCTGAGTGGGGAATGGGGGGTCTACAGCTCTGATGTGTCCCTCGTCCCTCCTCCCCTTGGTCCCAGCTGGGTCCTGTGGATGGCTAGATCCTGGCCTGAGCTGTCCCTTCCCCTCTTGGTCCGCAGCCCGGCCTGACCTCCCGCCTGACCTGCGTCCAGAGCTTCCGGGCCGGAGTGCTGAGGGAGGCCTCCTGCACAGAGCTGGACTCCGCGGGGCCACTTCCTGCAAAGGCAAGCGCTGTGCAGATGAGGACCCTCTCCTCACTCAGTCTGCTGCACGAGATGCCCCAAGATCCAGCGGGCACAGGTGACCTCAGCCTTCCCTGGTGGCCACCCCCTGGCCGTGGCATGAGGGGGTCTGGCCAGAGGGGCCCAAGCAGGCCCAGGTTCCGTTCCTCTGTCCCGGCCTGGACACCTCTGACCTATTGCTGAAAATGGTTATCATCAGGAGAGTTAGCCACTTCTAGAAGGTTCTCCAGGCTCTTTCTGAGGCTCAGATCAAATGGCCCTGGCTTGGTTGAGTCCCTTTTCCCTGGGATGTCCTTGGTGAAGATGGAATCTTCTGTTTCTCAACCTTAAATTCAGTGACCCCTCAGTCTGCCCATTTTAGGGGCAAACTGACTCAGGTTTCCTGATTTTCCAGAAAGTTCCTGCTAACACATAGCATTCCCTGGGACTTGGTGCCCTCCTACAATTCTGCACAGAAAGAAACAAGCGAGGCCTATATCTGGGGGGAGGATTGCTTTTCCATGTTTGGAAACCAGTTGTCTTCCTGAATAATGAAATAAGAATGGTTATTCTTACTGCTGGGACTTTGGAAGGATTTACTGTGGGCCAGTTGCTGTGCTGAGCACTTTATGTGTATTTAATTTAATTTAATTCTCATCAAAACCCCATTAGGAAGGTAAAATTAGTTAAATTTAAATAAAAATTTTGGCCAGATGTAGTGGCTCACACCTATAATCCCAGCGGTTTGGGAGGCCGAGGTAGGCGGATAACTTGAGATCAGGAGTTCGAGACCAGCCTGGCCAACATGGAGAAACCCCGTCTCTACTAAAAATGCAAAAAATAGTTGGAAGTAGTGGTGGGCGCCTGTAATTCCAGCTACTCGGGAGGCTGAAGCCGGAGAATCGTTTGAACCCGGGAGGCGGAGGTGCAGTGAGCCAAGATCATGCCACTGCACTTCAGCCTGGGCGATAGAGTAAGACTCCATCTCAATAAATAAATAAATAAATAAATTTTTAAATTTTTTTTTTTTTGGAGACACAGTCTCGTTCTGTTGCCCAGGCTGGAGAGCAGTGGTCTGATCATGGCTCACTGTAGTCTCAACCTCCCCAGGCACAGGTGATCCTCCCACCTCAGCCCGCCAGGTAACTGGGACTACAGGTGCACAGCACCATGCCTGGCTAATTTTTTGTTGTTGTTGTTGAGACAGGGTTTCACTATGTTGCCCAGGCTGGTCTCGAACTCTTGGGCTCAAATAATCCTTCCACCTCGCCCTCCCAAAGTGCTGGGATTACAGGATTACAGGTGTGAACTGTTGAACCCCGCCGATTAAATTTTTCGTATAAGTGACCTGTGGCTCAAAGAGGTCAAATGACTTGTCCAAGGTCACACGGTGAGTGAGAGGCAGGGCTGGGACCTGAACCCCTGCCGTGTGTTCTGCAGCTCTGGCTGGTAATAGCGTTTACCTTGGAGGGCAGGCTCCCGGCACCCCCTGGGGGAGAACCCACTAGATGGGACCTTGGGATTTCTCCGACTTCGCTCTGCACCATGGGATGCCTTCTAGGATCCCAGCTTGGTCTGCCCTCCCCGCACACCGACCCTCAGCTACAGAAACTAGCTGTGCCTGGGGGCATCCAGGCTTGCCAGGACCCAGTGGTGTCCCACTGAGTTGGATGAGATTTCTTTTTTTTTCCTCCTTTTTAACAGCTTTATTAAGAGAGAATTCACATACCATACAATTCACCATTTAAAGTGTACACTTCAGTGGTTTTTAGTATATTCAGAGTTGTACATCCATCATCACCACAATCAACTTTATTATTATTTTATTTTATATTTTGAGATGGAGGCTTGCTTTGTCGCCCAGGCTGGAGTCCAGTGGCGTGATCCTGGCCCACTGCAACCTCCTCTCCCAGGTTCACGCAGTGCTCCTGCCTCAGCCTCTGAGTACCTGGCATTATAGGTGTGCACCACCATGCCTGGCTGATTTTTGTGTTTTTAGTAGAGATGGGGTTTCCCCATGTTGGCCAGGCTGGTCTCAAACTCCTGACCTCAGGTGTCTGATCTGCCTGCCTCGGCCTCCCAAAGTGCTGGGACTACAGGCGTGAGCCACCGTGCCAGGCCCCTTTATTATTATTATTTTATTTATTTATTTTTTTGAGATGGAATCTGGCTCTGTTGCCCAGGCTGGAGTGCAGTAGCATGATCTCAGCTCACTGTAACCTCCTCCTTCCGGGCTCAAGCAATTCTCCTGCCTCAGCCTCCTGAGTAGCTGAGATTACAGGCATGTGCCACCATGCACAGCTTATTTTGTGTTTTTAGTAGTGATGGGGTTTTACCATCAGGGTGGTCTGGAACTCCTGACTTCAGGTGATCCGCCCACCTCGGCCTCCCAAAGTGCTGGGATTACAAACATGAGCCACCGTGCCCAGCCTTCAACTTAAGAGACAGTCTTGGTCTGTCGCCCAGGCTGGAATGCAATGGTACCTTGGCCTCCTGGGGTCAAGGGGTTCCCCCAGTGTCAGCCTCCCCAGTACAGCTGTGCGCCACCATGCCTGGCTATTTTTTAAATTTTTTGTAGAAATCGGGTCTTGCTATGTTGCCCAGGCTGGTCTCAAACTCCTGGTTTCAAGTGATCCTCCTACTGCAGCCTCCCAAAGTGCTGGGATTACAGGTGTGAACCACTGTGCTCCGCCTTAGTCAACTATAGAACATTGTCATCACTCTAAAAAGAAACCTTGTGCTCATTAGCCATCATCTTCCCAGACCCTGGCAGCCACTCAACTACTTTCTGCCTCTAATTTTCCTGTTCTGGAATTTCATATAAATGGGGTCATAAAGTGTGCCCTTTTGTGTCTAGCTTTTTCACTCAGCACGGTGTTTAAGGTTCATCCATGTTGTGGCATGAATTGGATTTTTTTCTTTTTCATTGCTGAATAATATTCCATTGTACAGAGGAATTTTTTCATATTTTCACTGTCATTCCCAGGAGGCTTTGGAGTCAGAACTGGATTCAAATTCTGACTCTATGTTGTGTGACTTGGGCCAATAGCTTCTCTCTGTGCCTCAGTTTCTTTAGCTGTAAATATACGGGTAGGTCACCCCTTACCCCATAGGTTATGGGGAAAGTTACAGAAAATGGTCAGCTGGGCACAGTGGCTCAAGCCTGTAATCCCAGCACCTTGGGAGGCCAAAGTGAGCAGATTGCTTGAGCCCAGGAGTTTGACACCAGTCTGGCAACGTGACGAAACCCCATCACTGTGAAAAATACAAAAAATTAGCCAGGCATGGTGGTGTGTGTCTGTAATTCCAGCTGCTTGAGAGTCTGAAGTGGGAGGATCACCTGAGCCCAGAAGGTCGAGGCTGCAGTGAGCTGTGATCGCGTCACTGCACTCCAGCCTGGCGACAGAGTGAGACCCCTTCTGAAAAAAAAAAAAAGAAAATCATCATTGCCTTTAGCTAAGCACCTGGCACGTGGCCTCTGTGAGCACTGGTTCACATCATCCTGGCCCCGTTCTTTAGGGCCTGATCCCAAAGGCATACTCAGAAATGAGACTTTATCCCTCCTTGAAGTTCCGCGCTGGGCTCAGATGGCCCTGGCTTGGCCCTGTCTTCCTCCCTGGGTTGGAGTCATCTGGTTCCCAACTGTCGTGGGAGAATTCTCCTTAGGTTTGCAGATTCTTGGCAGGTCATCAGGAGTGTGTTTTCATTCATGCTTACCCGAAATGCTTGTCTGAGCACCTGTTGTGTGCTGAGCACTGCCGGGGCTCTGGGGACAGGCCTGTGATCATGGTCAACTCCATTTCTGCCACCCTGAGGCTGACACCCTCCTGGGAGGGGGAAATCATTGATGGGGAAAAAGCCTAGTCAAGGTGGCTTGAGACTGTGATCCATGTCAGGAAAGAAATTAAACAGCTGCATGACAGCCAGTGACTTAGACAGGGGCGCCAAGAGGGCCTCTCTGAGAAAGTAATGAAGGATAAGACAAGGTCAGCTTTGGGAAGATGCAGGAAAGAGCATTCAGGGCGGAAACAGGAAGTGCAAAGGCCCTGGGGCAGGCACGACCTCTGTGTGTCCCAGGCACCTGGGGGGCTAAGGAGAGGTCTGAGGATTAGATGGATGAATGTGTGCACCTGTGTGGAGCTAGACACACTGCGAGGGCAGGTGCCCAGGCCTGCAGGCAGCCAGATGGTGTTGGACAGCATCTAGAAGGCACACGCCTTTGCTAAGGAGCATTGAAGCTGAGGGAGGTGTGGACTGTGGATTCGAGGGTAGGTCTTTGGCTGAGATGTGGGGGTCCAAGCGGGGCTCAGGGAAGTTTAACACCATGGCTGTGTGTAGAGCAGAGGGCAGTTTCTGCCATCACCCATCTTTATTAGGAAGCAGTCACAGGACGAATGCATGAGAGAGATTAAGATTTATTGTTTTGACAAGGTGATGTGTGACATGGTACAAAAGGACACGGTTAAAATGAGTCCCCCCTCTCCAGAGGCTCACTCCATTCCTGGCTTCCAGTATACTCTTCCAGACAAATTCTGTGTACTTACAGATACATAGGCAACTGTGTCTGTTTGGGTGGTCTGGTTGTTTTGTTGTGTTTTGTTTTTTTGAGACAGAGTCTCACTCTTGTCACCCAGGCTGGGGTGCAGTGGAGTGATCTCAGCTCACTGCAACCTCAGCCTCCCAGGTTCAAGCAATTCTTCTGCCTCAGCCTCCCGTGTAACTGGGATTACAGGCGCCTGCCACCACGCCCAGCTAATTTTTGGTATTTTTAATAGAGACAGGTTTCACCATCCTGGCCAGGCTGGTCTCGAACTCCTGACCTCGGGTGATCCACCCACCTTGGCCTCCCAAAGTGCTGGGATTACAGGCATGAGCCTCTGTGCCAGGCACAGAGTGGTCTATTTTTATTTTTGCACCATACATTGTTCTGCATCTTGCCTTGGTCACTCGATGGCTTGGAGATCTTTACAAGGCAGGGTGTGTCCTGCTGACTTGTTTCTGTTAAAGGATACTCAGTGTTGGCTGGGCATGGTGGCTCACGCCTGTAATCCCAGCACTTTGGGAGGCCGAGGTGGGTGGATCACAAGGTCAGGAGATTGAGACCATCCTGGCTAACATGGTGAAACCCCGTCTCTACTAAAAATACAAAAAAATTAGCCGGGCGTGGTGGCAGGCGCCTGTAGTCCCAGCTACTCAGGAAGCCGAGGCAGGAGAACGGCGTGAACCCAGGAGGCGGAGCTTGCAGTGAGCCGAGATCGCGCCACTGCACTCCAGCCTGGGCACAGAGTGCGACTCCGTCTCAAAAAAAAAAAAAAAAGAAAAAAAAGGATACTCAGTGTTCCCTGATGTGAGTGGCCCACAGTTTGTTTGCCCAGCCCCTGCTGGTGGGTACATAGGTGCTTCCCATCTTAGGCTGTTTGCAATGACGCTGCTATGATTTCCCTCGTAGACACCCCTCTTACCTGTTGCCTGAAACATGCTGAAGGAAGCACTGGAGGGGGTGGGGGCGACTCCCAGAGGGCTTTCTAGCTCACTCTGGCATTTCCCCATATGGTCATCCCATCCACCTCTTACCATCTCAGATCCAGATGATAGAGACGATGAAGACATGACCCCAAGCAGCCTGCTGTATGAGTGGGAGGAGACACCATCCCAGGCCATGGTGGCCACCGCAGCCACATTAGTAAGGAGGCTGTGCCTGGCTCAGACCACTAGCTTGGAGGTAAGTGGCTTCTCCAGCCCCAGGCCAGAGTCTTTCTTGGCCCTGAGTCCCTAGGACACCTTCCTCTTCCTGCCCATATCCTGGCCCATCCTCTCAGATATTTAATATCAGGGCTGTCACCTATGGGTGGGTAGGTTGTGCACTGCACAGCTGTGCCTGGTTGCAGAAGCAAGGAAATCTAGATGGCGTGTGCCAGGCCAGTGCCCCAGTCCAGGTTGGATGTGAGCAGAGGGGAAGCCTTTTCTCCTCTGTCTGTCTACGAGCACACAACAGTCCTTTTGACTCACAGTCTAATCTCCCAGGCCTAGCAACATCTGAGCCTCAGCATTGAGGACTTCCCACAGCAAAGTTAGAAACACATGGCCCAGGCCTCCTCCGAAACTCCTGGCTGTTTCAAGTCAGGAGGTGGATGTGGCTTTGAGACTTAGGGCCAGTTCCTTCGTTGGTGATCATCAAGAATCTGAGGCCCTGAGGCTGTGCTGTGATGATGAGATTCTCCTCACCATCTGTCTTGTTCTGAGAGAGGGCCCTGAACCCACATGTAAGATGGAAAGCACGAGAGAGATGGTTTAGCATGGCACAGTCCCTGGGGGAGGAAAGTGATGTGTCATTGGATTGAAGACTCATCCAGATAATCTAGAATGATCATATCTCAAGATCCTTAACTTAATTACATCTGCAAAGATCCTTTTTCCAAATAAGGGAAATTTACAAGTTCCAGGGCTTAGGACATGGACATATCTTTTTGGGGGCTTCCATTCAATGTTCTACAATTTTTTTTTTAGACAGGGTCTCATTCTGTTGCCCAGGCTGGAGTATAGTGGTGAAATCATGGCTCACTGCAGCCTTGACCTCCCTGGCTCAAGTGATCCTCCCACCTCAGCCTCCAGAGTACCTGGGACTGCAGGGGCATGCCACCACACCTGGCTAATTCTTGTGTGTTTTTTGTAGAGACGGGGTTTTGCCATGTTGCCCAGGCTGGTCTTGAACTTCTGGACACAAACAGTCCTCCCACCTCAGCTTGCCAAGGTGTTGGGATTACAGGCGTGAGCCACTGCGCCCTGCCAGGGCTTTACAGTTTAATTGAGCACTTAGTGTATGCTCAGACAATAAGCTCCGGGGCCTCACTTGCGTTATCTAATTTAATCATCTCAGTGAAATTCATATCATTGTGCCCATTTTACAGATGAGGAAACTGAAGCTTGAAGAGTTTAGGAAATGTGCTTAAAGCCACACTGCTAGCAAGTGATAGAGCTGGGCTGTTAACCCAGGCAGCATGGCCCAAAGCAGGGTTTCTCGCCCTGGGTGCTGTGGACACCGAGGGCTGGGTCATTCTTTGTGGAGTGTGTGGGGGAGGCTGTCACGTGCAATGTGGGATGTTTAGCAGCATCTCTGGCCTCTCCTCACTGGATACCACCATCATCACCACCTGCAGTCCGTGGCAACCAGATGGCCCTGGGGAGCACACTTGTCACCAGTAGGGGACCGCTGCTCTGTGGCCTGTGCTCTAACCGTTGCACTGCCGAACCTCATGGCTTGATGGGAAGACAGCACTGCATTCTTTGGCCCCAAGAGGACCCCTGACCACCTAACTGGACATTTCCCCTGGCAGGGGTGGCTCAGGGCAAGGGCTGTGGGCCTCGATCTCCACTTTTGGACGCTGGCGGTGCTAGCCCCAGAGGGCACTGTGCGGCTGTCTTTTACTTACAGCATTGAAAAAAAGGAAGTTACTGCCACCGTGGAGGTCCCCTGGGCTGAGGGGTGAAATGCTGAGGACCCTGTTGCTAGAAATGGCTTTGCAGGGACACATCGGTGCACACCAAGCAGCTCCTGGGCCCCCGGGAGGGCTGAGGGCCTGCCTGGGTTGCCAGGGGGATAGACCTCATGAGCTTCGGCTTGAAATGCCTCTGCCCCTCCCCATTGATGGTGGGCAGGAGACAAGGTTTGTTTTTCAGTCTGGAAACAAAACCAGGACTCAGCGCTCAATAGAAAGCAAACCCCCGAGTCGGGCCTTCCATAGAGAGGCCCCGGAGTTTCGATGTGGGGGGCAGAGGGTGGGATGGCCAAGGGCGTCCCTAAGGAACAAAGGAGGAGGAAGCAAGGGTGCAGTGGGGTTGGGAGGGGACAGACAGACGGAGCCAGCAGGGCCAACTTCTCCAGGCTGCCAGGAAGGATGCCTGGGAGAGGGCATGGCTTATCACCAATCTTGGGTGTTCTGAGAACAAGGAGCTCGAGTTACAGGTGTTTATTAAGGACGGTTTACACTCACGAAATGGCATAGACAGTGGCAGAACAGGACTGGCTCATACTGGCTCACAAGAGTGGGTGAGTAGACTTCCGGATGTCCCACAGGCTGGTTGTTAAACACTGCTGTTTTAAACATTAAGTTGTGGCCAGGCTCAGTGGCTCATGCCTATAATCCCAGCACTTTGGGAGGCTGAGGCGGGCAGATCACCTGAGGTCAGGAGTTCAAGACCAGCCTGGCCAACATGGTGAAACCCTGTCTCTACTAAAAATACAAAAATTAGACAGGAGCCTGTAATCCTAGCTACTTTGGAGGCTGAGACAGAAGAATCGCTTGAACCCAGGAGGCGGAGGTTACAGTGAGCCGAGATCACTCCACTGCACTCCAGCCTGGGTGACAAGAGTGAGACTCCATCTCAAAATAAATAAATAAAATAAAATAAATAAAGTTGTTTTAGCATAGCTGACTAATGGGTGCAAATATACACTTCAGTAGAAGAAATCAGACTCTAATACTCAATAGATTCCTAGGATGACTATAATTAAGATAATCCTACACTTAAAAATAGCTGGAAGAGAAGAATTTGAACGTTTCTAACGTAAAGAAAAGGTGGTTACGGTGATGGATATCGCAATTATCCTGATTTGATTAGATGAATGTATCAAATTATTTCACGGGTACCCTGAAAATATGTGAATCTATTGTGTATCAACAAGTAAACAGGCCGGGCACAGTGGCTCACACCTGTAAACACAGCACTTTGGGAGGCTGAGGTGGGTGGATCACTTAAACCCCAGGGGTTTGAGACCAGCCTGGGCAACACAGGGAGAGAGCCCATCTCTACAAAAAATAAGCCAAGCATGGTGGTACGTGCCTGTGGTCGTGGCTACTTGGGAAGCTGAGGGAGGAGGCTGGCTTGAGCCTGGGAGGTTAAGGCTACAGTGAGCTGTGATCAAACCACTGCACTCCAGCCTGGGTGACAGAGTGAGACTCTTCTCCAAAAAAAAAAAAAAAAAAAAAAAAAAGAAAAGAAAAATTAAAAAAATCAAATAAAATGAATTATATTAGAAACAAAGGTATTAAGTACTCCCAACCATGACTACCTGGTTATTTTACTACATTTTACTATTGTCTTTCCATTAGAGGTTAGTCATGTTTATTGTAACTGTGTGGTGGAAATATGACATGACGTGCTAAGGTGCATTTCTTCCCAGGTCTGTCCTTAGCAATTGCAAGTTGGTAGCTTGAAATCGACCATGGTGGGTATATTTACACCATGACGATCGGCAAATGCTACAAATCAGGACTTTTTTTTTTTTTTTTAAGCCATTGCATATAGGATGCTTGTTAAGAGTGTGGGTTCAGGAGCTGGTGCCCTGGGTTCAAGTGTCTGCTCTGCTACTGAGTAGCATGCGGCCACCGGCCCCTGCCTCAATCACTTTGAGTGTCACTTTCCTTCTCTGTCAGCTTAGACCAGTTGCTGGAACATAGTAAAAGCTCCTTACTAAGTAACTAGTGGCGTAGTTGTTATTACAATTTTTTTTTTTCGAGACAGGGTCTTGCTCTTTCGCCCAGGCTGGAGTGCAGTTGTGCGATCTTGGCTCACTGTAACCTCTGCCTCCCGAGTTCAAGTGATTCTCCTGTCTCAGCCTCTTGAATAGCTGGAATTACAGGCTCATGCCACCATGCCCAGCTAAGTTTTATATTTTTGGCAGAGATGAGGTTTCACCATGTTGGCCAGGCTGGTCTTGAACTCCTGACCGCAAGTGATCTGCCTGCCTCGACCTCCCAAAGTGCTGGCATTACAGGCATGAGCCACTGCACCCAGCCTTATCACTATTATCATGTGTTATTGGTGGTGATGGGGATGGCAGTTTTCTTATCGACCTACGTATCCGTCTTTTTTTTGGGGGGGGGGACGGAGTCTCGCTCTGTTGCTCAGGCTGGAAAGTGCAGTGGCGTAATCTCGGCTCACTGCAAACTCCACCTCCTGGTTCAAGTGATCTCTTGCCTCAGCCTCCTGAATAGCTGGGATTGCAAGCATGCAACACCACGCCTGGCTAATTTTTGTATTTTCAGTAGAGACAGAGTTTCACCATGTTGGCCATGCTGGTCTCAAACTCCTGACTTCCAGTGATCCACCCGGCTCGGCCTCCCAAAGTGCTGGGATTACAGGCGTGAACCACCGCGCCAGGCCCTGGACTTGATTTCTAGGCAGGAGCCTTGGACCCTTTGCCTCCATCCGTAGCCTGCCTAGATCTGCCCTCTTTTCTCCTTTTGAATTTGTTCTTCCTCCAGTGGAGGGAAACCAGGATAAGCCACTAATGATCCCTCCTGTCGTGCCTGGATCTGAAAGGCGCATTCTCAGGGTAACACTTGTGGCCAGAGGCTTGCCCAGAGGAGGAGGAGTGGTCCCGGGCAGGCACCATCCCCAGGTGCCCATCTGCACACGTCTTCCGAACCCAGGGTGCCAAGGGCAGCTGGGGAAAGGCAGCCACCAGCCAGAGGGAAATGTGGCCGAGCCCATTAGGAAGGAAGGAAGGAAGCAGGCCTGGAACTGACATTTTTTGGATAGACGCCCCAAACTGGGCAATAGAGTCTTTTAGGCTACCAGTGGTCAGGGCCAGCTGCGATGGTGGCAGTTAGCCTGCAGCAGGGGCTGGCTTGTGGGTCCTGCCGGAGGAAGGAAAGACAGAGCTGAGGGTTGCCACTGGCTCTGACCACAGAAGGCACATTCTGGGAAGGCTGCCGGGACTCTGGTGGGCAGACACGTTGGCAGGTGGGCCGAGTGACCAGTGAGGGCCTGTTTTGCAGGCTGCGTCTTGCTGAGATCGAGCTGCGTGTGCAGGGATTCTGTCACAGCCACACACAGCAGGGAGGCCCAGGGTCAGGGAAGCAGGTCCCAGCCTCGGAGGACCTCTGGGTGGGTGGGGGATTCAGGCCTGGCCCTGGCCAAGCCTGGGGAAAGTATGGGGGCTTCCCTGCAGGAAGCTGGGACCTGGCTTGGCTCGGCTCCTACCTTGTTGCTGTTTCTGTGGCTTTGGGTTCAGGCCAATGCAGTGAGCCTGAGACTTCAGGGGTACCAGGAGGGAAGGTTTTCCAAACTAAACATCTCCTAAACCCAGGGGCTGTTCTCTGAGTAGAGTCCTTTATTTCTTGTGAGTTTTGGGCCCTCTGCACCCCCTATAATGCCCTTTATTAGCCATCACTGTTAATAATTGTATAAAACAATTTTTTTATTAGGAATATTGGAAAAGGGTGGGCGCGATGGCTCACACCTGTCATCCCAGCACTTGGGGAGGCCAAGGTGGGAGGATCACTTGAGCCCAGAAGTTTGAGACCAACATGGTGAAACCTCATCTCTATGAAAAATACAAAAAAATTAGCTGAGCGTGGTGATGCACACCAGTATTCCCAGCTACACGGGAGGCTGAGGTGGGAGGATCGCTGGAGCCCAGGAGGTTGAGGCTGCAGTGAGAAGTGACTGTGTTGCAGCACTCCATCCCGGGAGACAGAGGGAGATCCTGTCTCTTAAAAAAAAAAAAAAAAAAAAGGTGGTCCAGGTGTGGTGGCTCATGCCTATAATCCCAGCACTTTGGAAGGCCGAGGCGGGCAGATCACAAGGTCAGGAGATCGAGACCATCCTGGCTAACATGGTGAAACCTCTTCTCTACTAAAAATACAAAAAATAAGCCAGACGTGGTCACAGGTGCCTGTAATCCCAGCTACTCAGGAGGCTGAGGCGGGAGAATCGCTAGAACCCAGGAGGTGGAGGTTGCCGTGAGCCGAGATTGCGCCACTGCCCTGTAGCCTGGGCAACAGAGTGAGACTCCGTCTCAAAAAAAAAAAAAAAGAGTATGTATATTATGTAGGAAAAGATTGCCACCTCGCTAAATATTTGAAATATGCTAAGACTCATTAGAATAATTATATTACAATCATAGTGAACATTTATTGGGGTTTTATTAGATGCCACAGATTCAGACACTATGCCTGTTCTTTCACTGCCATATCCTGAGTGCAATGCAAGGCACATAGTAGGTGCTCAATAAATACCTGCTAAATCAGAGAAAAATGAGCCAGCTTGTATGCTTGTAGGGGCTTGGGGTGCAGTGAGGGAGAAGCCAGACCTGGAGCTTCATCTCACTGGGTCTCAGCACATCCTGGGAGAAGGTGGTAGGTCCTTCCCACTTTCCCCACGGTTGTGCTTACAGGCAGGGGACGGGTGAGGTGACCTTCGGGGATCCCCCGCACTGCTGGGTGTCTCATGCTGCCCCCTCTGAATCGCAGGCCATGGACTTGTTCCTGACACTGGTGTCCCAGCTCCAGGGCCTTTCTGGGGGTGAGCTGATGGAACTCTGGCAATATTCTTCCTTCAAATGCCGAGACAATGGGTAAGGTCCCTCTCCGGGTGGGGGATGGACTAGGAGCTGGCTGGGGGCATCCCTGGGTTAAAGGAGTCTTCGTGCTGTCCTGGGTTCCCAGTGAGGGATGGATGCTGATGCGTCATCCCGTCCCCTTGACACTGACTTGTCCTTCAGTCTGAGAATGTGCGCCAAGAAGGAGATTAAGTGGGGAGCCTGGAGGTTCCCACGGGGTCCAAGCTCTATCCTGCCTGAGACCAGAAGCTGAAGGGCCTGGCGGATAAAGACAGCCATTGTTCCCTTCCCCAGACAGGGACCCTCTTGCTGGAATTAGCATTCCAATGCACCTAGGGTACCCTCCTGCTGGGGGCGTGGAGAGTCTGGGCTGGGGGGTGCTGGGCAGGGCCGGCATTCCACCACCCAGACCTTGCTGATCTGGGGCTAGTAAGGCGGGTAAAGAGACTCCCAATCTCAGAGGGGAATCTCTGAGGCACTAACTCAGTCAGCTTACGGCTATGCTCAGGAGTTTGAGACCAGCCTGGGCAACATAGCAATGCCCCCATCTCTACAAAAAATTTAAAAGTTAGCTCGACTTGGTAGCGAACACTTGTGGTCCCAGCTACTTGGGAGGCTGAGTGGGAGGATCACCTGAGCCCAGGAGGTGGCGGCTACAGTGAGGTGTGATCGCACCACTGCACTGCAGCCTGGGTGACAGAGTGAGACCCTAACTCACAAAAAAAGAAAAAATAAATGTCCTGATGTTGTGCTGAGTATTCGAGGTTTAAATTAGGGACTGTTTGCTGATTGCTGGTTCCTGTTCCGCTAGGGATTTTTACCCCTTCTCGGTGACATTTGCTTGGGTGGGTTTCAGCAGAGCACTGGGTACGGACTTGTGTTTTCCCACACCAGTGTTTCTTGGGTGGGTAGAGCTGCCGGGGTCTGGGCTGGGTGCTGCTGTGCTGAGAGCACGGGCCTCAGCCAGACTGCGGGGTCCCAGACCCGGGTCAGCCCCTCCCAAGGTGTGAGGGTGGGCATGTCTGCACCGTACCTCTCTGAGCCTCAGTTTACCCCCGGGTGACTTCGGTGAGATGAGCTTTGCAGGCGCTCAGCACGTGTGGGTCGCCTTGATGATCTCAGGCAGCCACTGTTGGATGCCCTGCCTTCCTGTGGGACGGAGCACTGTGTGGGCCTCATGAAGGAACTCATCGCATCAGCCGCGGTGGAGGCAGACGAGGTGGAGGCGTGGCTCTCATCACTGGCCTTCCTCCCACAGCCCACAGATGCTATGGTCCACATGCTGCTGGTGAGTCCCTGCACCCCACCCGGGGCCCCGGTGTCCTCCCTCCGTGGCTTGGCTGCTGGTTAGATGTGGGGGAGGTGATCAGTTCTTTTGTGCCAGCCCCTCGTAGGATAAGCAGAGGAGGCCAGACCACCCATCCTCCTGGGCTTCTGTGGCGGGTTCAAGGCAACCTTTGGTATCAGAGAATTCCGGGTTCAAGGGTCAGCAATGTGCCTCCCACCTGTGTGATCCCAGGCAAGTGATTTAACCTTCCTGAGCTTCTTTTCTGATTATTATTATTATTATTATTATTATTTAGGACGGAGTCTTGCTCTGTCGCCCAAGCTGGAGTGCAGCAGTGCGATCTCAGCTCACTGCAACCTCCACCTCCTGGGTTCAAGCAATTCTTCTGCCTCAGCCTCCCAAGTAGCTGGGACTACATGAATGCACCACCCCACCTGGCTAAGTTTTGTATTTTTTTCAGTAGAGACGGGGTTTCGCCATGTTGGCCAGGCTGGTCTCGAACTCCTGACCTCAAGTGATCCACCCACCTCAGCCTCCCACAGTGCTGGGATTACAGGTGTGAGCCACCACGCCCGACTGTTTTCTGGTCTCTATAAGGAGGATGGCAGTGGTACCTCTATCCTGGTCTTATAGTGAGGAATGAAATGCTGTGTGTGAAGTGGTTCTCCTGGTGTCTGGCACTAAATCTGAGCACTTGAAATCAGAGCTATTATATTTATAAACACACATATTTAATGAGTCTGGAGATTAGGAAATCTGTGTGAGATGAGGTCAATAATTTCTACGATATGTGGAGGTCTCATTTAACCCTTGAGGTGTCTCTATGAAGTAGGTGCTCTCATCAACCCCATTTTGCAGGTGAGAAAACCGAGGCCCAAAGAGGTAGGGCAGCTTGCCCAAGGGATTGCAGCTGCTCTGCCCTTCACCTCAATTCTGACCTGAGACCTTGGGGTGTGTCCTCACTTTCCTGGGCAAGGGGGTGTCACCTGTCACTCCCCATCTTGTCCCGGCTAATAGTGAGTGCCAAGTCAGATGGCATCGGTAGGGAGCGGGAGTGAAGACACAGCTGGTGCCAGGCAGCTGGGGTCCCTGGGGGCATCAGAGACCCCTGCATTGGTAGAATGGACCCTACCAGGATCTGAGAGCCCCTGGAGCTGGTCCAGCCCTGGCTGTCCCTCCAGGTGGAATATAGGGAGCCCTTGCCTTCTGGCCCCTGACCGCAGGGTTTGAGGTGGGGCTGTTCCAGGTAGACTGTGTTGTTGGCTCTGCTCAGCAGACAAGAATCAGGCACTGACTCAGAGCCAGGCCCAGATTGGGTCCCAAGAGGCATCACCCACAGTTCACAGCCTAGCAGGTGGCACGCTGGCCACCAGGAATGCCAGAACCACCCAAGACCTGCCCTGGGCTTAGCCCATCTCCCTGGAAATGTCTGTCTCCTTCCCCTTCCCCCATTCCCCTCTGCCTCCCTTCCCCCTCTCCCCTCTCCCTCCCTTCCCCCCTCCCCTCTGCCTCCCTTCCCCCCTCCCCTCTGCCTCCCTTCCCCCCTCCCCTCTGCCTCCCTTCCCCCCTCCCCTCTGCCTCCCTTCCCCCCTCCCCTCTGCCTCCCTTCCCCCCTCCCCTCTGCCTCCCTCCCCCCTCCCCTCTGCCTCCCTTCCCCCCTCCCCTCTGCCTCCCTTCCCCCCTTCCTCTCTTTGCCCCCTTTCTCCCTTCCCCCTCCCCTCTTCCTCCCTTCCCCCCTCCCCCCCTTCCTCCTTTCACTCGTTTATTTGTACATATGTTCGATTCATGTGCAGTAACTAAGAGCACAAACCCATCTGGACTTCCTCATTTCAGATCCCAGCCCCATTCCTCACCAGCAGGACCTTGGGCAAGGTACTTTACTTTCCCAGGCCTCAATTTTCCCCGTCTGGACAATGGGACTATTTTGTAGAATGACCTTGCAGACCAGGTGAATTGTATGGTGTGTGCGGAGGGAAGTGGCTGTTGCCATTAGTCTGGGACACAGCACTGAGCCAAGCAGGTGGCATCGATCGGCTTGTGGAGCCCAGAAGCTTCCTCTACCTGCCTCACATGTGATGTTCCATGTGCAGGCCAGAGCTCATGCCTCTCTGGGCTGTATTTTCTTGTTCTGTCATCGAGTCAGCAAGGCCCTGCATGAGCCCTGGCAGGTTCTGGGAATGCACCGGGTTCGTGAAGCCTGGGGAGAGGAGGGGGGTGGGAAGTGGGGAGTGAGGGGCAAGCAGGGAGAGAGTATTTTAATGAACTTTTAATTTCGGATTAATTTTATTTATTTATTTAATTATTTAATCATTATTATTTTTTGAGACGGAGTCTCGCTCTGTTGCCCAGGCTGGAGTGCAGTGGCGCAATCTCGGCTCACTGCAACCTCCACCTCCCGGGTTCAAGTGATTCTCGTGCCTCAGCCTCCTGAGTAGCTGGGATTATGATGCACACCACCAGGCCCGGCTAATTTTTTTGTATTTTTAGTAGAAATGGGATTTCACCATGTTGGCCAGGCTTATCTCGAACTCCTGAGCTCATGTGATTTGCCTGCTTCGGCCTCCCAAAGTGCTGGGATTACAGGCATGAGTCACTGCGCCCGGCCTTCTTAATGGTGTCTTTCAATGAACAAAAGTTCTTCATGTTGGTGAAGTGTGGCTTCTTGATGCTTTGTAGCTGGTGTTTGATCTCCCCCAGGTCCCAGTGCTTCCTGGCTTGTCTTCTCCCAGTTCTGTTTTCTTAGCTTTTCAGGGAGGGTTGGTTTGAGCATGATGACTGAGCTTTAGAATCATGTTGGAAAAGTGAAATCAGCTTAATAAGGGTCACAGGTTTGAGGGTAATTTTATTTTTCCATCTTTAAAAATGAAAAAGTGAGTATTTTAAACAGACTTCTAACTGAAGTGTAAGTAAGCCTTCGTTAGAGATTTTTGCATTAAGATTGTTTTCTTCTCCTCCCATTTTTTTTTTAAATTTATTTCCCTTTCAAAATTGTTTGTTCTTCTCTTTGCGATGTGGTTTCTGGTTTTTGTGAAAACAGGGAAGGCTGGCCCTTCTGGGTTCATCCCCCGGGCAGCCATACACAGAACCAACTGGGTCATTACTGTGTGGACTGCTCAGCACCCAGGCCTCATGCTGGCCCAGTTGTCCTGGCAGGGCCACCGGAAGTGGCTCACAGATCTGGGCTCTCTGCCAGCCAAGTGGCACCAGCCTGCCCCACAGCCCTGCAGGCTGTGACCAGGCTTCTGGCTCCAGCTTTGGTCTGGGACAGGCCCGAGCCTGCCCTGTCTGTGCCCCCGCCGCCTTTCTTGGGCAAAGCAGTCAGAGGCGGGAACCTCCAGCAGGCGGCCCCTCCCATGTGCCGGAGAGCTTCTTAGTCTTTTTATAACCCCTGCCCTCCCAGCCAAGCCCGCTTGCCCTGCTCTGTATTAAGAAAACAGACAGCTTTGTTTTCTTTGCTCAAATATAGGGAAACATTGAATGTGCTTTTTCCAGGCTCCACACACCCCTGTCCTTTCACAAAGAAAATATGCAGTGAGATGCACACGCCAAGACCCACACGCATGCATCCTGAGCGCACGTGTACACACATGGGACACAACCCACACACACTGAAGCAGGCACCCATTGCACTGGGACGTGCACACGCACACTGGATCATGTGTACATGCACAGACCTGCACGTACACTGACACAGGCTCACACCAAGGCACAGGGACACACAAACACACAGGGATATGCACACACATGCTGGATCACGTGTACACACACAGACCTACACACACTGTTGCAGGCTCACACTGAGGCAGGCTTTCCCAGGACACCCACATGGGGAAATGCACGGACACACACCCACACCATAGACCTGTCAAGACACACACACACACACACACACACACACACACACACACACACACATTGAGGCATACACGCCAAGACTCACGTACCTGGAGATGCAGATATACACCCCAGTGTATGCACATGTGAAGACATGGCAGGACATGCACATACACACAGTAGGACACTCACCCAGTGGGACGTGTGGAGACAGCCACCCACACCTGGACACATGCATAGGCACACCAAGACACACTGGGCTGTGCGTGGGCACACAAGGGACACACAGTACACACACACGCACCTGGACGCATGGGCACATGCACACATCCAATGGGACACACGAGATGCCCACATGGGGACACGTGTGCACAGGCATCCACCAGGAAATACACGCATACTAGGGTACTCGAGTGCGCTGAGACACCTGCACACCCAAGTGGGAACGTACACACCCACAAGCACTAGGATTCTACAGCACACACCAATATGCACACACACAGATGCTTATGTTCACACCTTCACACAGTGTGCTCACACCCTAGCGTAGTAACACAGATCTGGTGAAGAGTCACGAATCCAGAGAAAGAACAGAGCTGGGCAGCTCGGGCGTGGTGGCTCACTCCTGTAATCCCAGCACTTTGGGAGGCTGAGGTGGGCAGATCACCTGAGGTCAGGAGTTCGAGACCAGCCTGGCCAATATGGTGAAACCCCATCTCTACTAAAAATACAAAAATTAGCCAGGCGTGGTGGCAGACATCTGTAATCCCAGCTACTCAGGAAGATGAGGCAGGAGAATCACTTGATCTCAGGAGGCAGAGGTTGCAGTGAGCTGAGATTGTGCCACTGGACTCCAGCCTGGGTGACAAGAGCAAGACTCCATCTCGAGAAAAAAAAAAAAAGGACAGAGCTAGGCAGAGATTTTATTTCTCCACAGCTGCCAAGCAGTCCCTGTTCTGGAGTGACGTGGGTCTAGCACAGAGGCCCCTGTTCACAGCCAGGGCCCCAGGGCTGGATTTTAGAGTGAGCCCAGAATTTGCATTTTGAGAAGCCGTGAGTGTTGGTATCATGCCTGGCCTGGGAGCCAGCCTCTCCTGGGTTAAGTCTCAGTTCTATCTATAGCTGTGGGCTACCTGAGGCACGTCCCTTACCCTTTCTGTGTCTCAGCTTCCTGTGTCTCAGCTTCCTGCTCTGCAAAATGGGAATGATAAGAAAGGCAACGTGTGTGACATGTTATCAGCAGTCTGGCTTGTAGTGAACACAGTTTGTTTACTAAGATTTGTTGGTCTAGACTAGGCACGGTGGCTCATGCCTGTAATCCCAGCACTTTGGGAGACCGAGGCGGGCAGATCACTTGAGGTCAGGGGTTCACCACCAGCCTGGCCAACATGGTGAAACCCGGCTTTACTAAAAATAGAAAAATGAGCCAAGGGTGGTGGCACGTGTCTGTAATCTCAGCTACGTGGGAGGCTGAGGCAGGGGAATCACATGAACCCAGGAGGTGGAGGTTGCAGTGGGCCTAGATAGGGCCACTGCACTCCAGGATGAATGAGAGAGCAAGACTCCATCTTAAAAAAAAAAAAAAAGATTTGTTGGTCTGATTTCTCTGAGGTGCCTGGGGCAGGGAGCAGCTGTGTCCTGAACCCCCTCCTGTTTGCCTTCCTTTCACTGAAGCCCTGGAGTGAGGGTAGCTGGGCGTCTGAGTCGTGGGCCACATGGAGTGCCTTTTTTGTTTTGTTTTCTTTTTTTTTTTTTTTTTTGGAGACAGAGTTTCGCTCTGCCACCCAGGGTGCAGTGCAGTGGTACAATCTCAGCTCACTGCAGCCTCTGCTTCCCGGGTTCAAGGGATTCTTGTGCCTTAGCCTCCCGAGTAGTTGGGATTACAGGCACACACCACCATGCTCGGCTAATTTTTGTGTTTTTAGTAGAGACGGGGTTTTGCCATGTTGGCCAGGCTGGTCTCGAACTCCTGACCTCAGGTGATCCACCTGCCTTGGCCTCCCAAAGTGCTGGGATTACAGGCATGAGCCACCGTGTCTGGCCTCTGGGGTGCTTTTAAAATGTTCCCTGAAAAGAGCAATTTGTTCAGACTCTGGGGGACTCAGCTCTGTATTATGAAGTTGCCCAGGTGAGTCGGTGTGTGGCCAGGGTGAGGCCTGTGAAGTGCATTTACCCACCACCTCGGGTGGGGGCCGATTTCTGTCCCCAGCCACTGCTCCAGACCCCGAGGGCCAGCCCTGGCGCCTTCCTGGGCATCTCAGCCCTGGTGCACAACCTCTGTGCTTCTCTGGACGGGCCCTGCGGCCAGCTGCCTGGAGTCGGCTCCCTAGTGAGGATCCTGGGAGACGCCTTGGGTGAGAACTGTACCATCCAGGAGCCCTCGGATGATGACAAGGTGAGGACATCCAGTGTCCTGAGTACCGGCTTCAGTGCCCCCAGTGGGGCCGAAGCGAATCAGGCAAGCTCCAGGTGGAGAGGGTGGGGGTGGGTTCCCCCCTTTGCCCCTTCCTCCTATCCCTCATTCCCCCTTCCCCACTTCAACCCGTCTCCTCACCCTCCTGCCTGCCCCCCCACGCCACTGCCCCTTCTATACCACTGCCCCCCCCACACCACTGCCCCCCAACACCACTGAGTGGGGGTGGGGTGAAGGGGGGAAGGGGGAATGGGCTGAGATGCCCAGGAAGGCGCCAGGCTGGCCCGCGGGGTCTGGAGCGTGGCTGGGGACAGAAATTGGCCCCTACCCCGAGAAGGTGGGTAAATGCCCTTCACAGCCCACCCCCCACACCACTGCCTATCCCATGCCACTGCCCCCGCCCAGGCCACTGCCTCCCCCCACGCCACTGCCCCCTCCCCCACGCCACTGCCCCTCCCCACGCCACTGCCCCGCCCCTCACGCCACTGCCCCGCCCCCCACGCCACTGCCCCGCCCCCCACGCCACTGCCCCGCCCCCCACGCCACTGCCCCGCCCCCCACGCCACTGCCCCGCCCCCCACGCCACTGCCCCGCCCCCCACGCCACTGCCCCGCCCCCCACGCCACTGCCCCGCCCCCCACGCCACTGCCCCGCCCCCCACGCCACTGCCCCGCCCCCCACGCCACTGCCCCGCCCCCCACGCCACTGCCCCGCCCCCCACGCCACTGCCCCTCATGGTCCTACCTCCATCTCGATTTAGCTCCAGCTTGTGCTGAAGGCAGTCGGCAACGCGGGCTTGGCAGCCATGGCTCTCACCCCTACGTTGAGTGCCTGTGCATCTCTGAGAAGCAGCACACCCGAGATCCGGCTGGGGGCCATCCAGGCCTTCCGAAGGGTCCCCTGCTCTGCAGACGTGAGCCCTTGTGTGCTGTTTCATGGGGTTGGGGTTGGGTGGTGGTGGGTCTCGAACCACAGTTTGCTAATTCACTTATTCAGTTGTTCATTCATCATGTATTTAATGAGCACCTACTGTGGGCTGGGTACTAGTGTGAACAGGTATCCAGGTCTAAGCCTGTGTGTAGTGTGGGAAGCAGATTATTTATCAAAAACACAACCATATGATTACCAGTGCCATCTGTGCCCCCTCTAGTACAGGGTTTGGCAGACTACGGGCCATGGGCCACTACCTGGCCCTTGGTCTGTTTTTCTCAATAAAGTTTTATCGGAACACAGGCATGCCCACTCACTTAGGTGTTATCTATGGCTGCTTTCCTGCTCCACCTGCAGAGTCAAGTCATTGCAAGAGACCGCATGGCCTGCAGAGTCTAAAAGAGTTCTCTGTCCCTTTACAGAAAAAGTTTGCTAATCCCTGGACCACTACCTCCCTTCTTACTCAGAGTCAAAGTTACAGTCCCTTCATTGACTTCCCAGGCCCTGAGGGATCTGACCTCTGGGCCTCACCTGCTCCTGTCACCTCCCATCCCTCCTCCCCAGCACATTGCCCTTTCTGTTCTTCCTCAAACACTTGTGACCCTCTCTTGCCCCAGGCCCTTTGCACATGCTCTTTCCTGGTACACTTTTCCTCCAGATGTCCCCAGGCCTTTCTTTTTCACATCCTGTACGTCTTAGCTTAAAAGGCACTTTCACTGTGAGGTCTCCCTTGACAATTTCACCTGAAATTGAACCTCCCAGGTCCCCCTGGCTCTGGTCCTGTTTCCCCATTTCATTTTCCCTTCCTTAGGGTTTATTACCACCTAACTTTTTTTTTTTTTGAGACGGAGTCTCACTCTGTCACCCAGGCTGGAGTGCGGTGTCACCATCTCCGCTCACTGCAAGCTCTGCCTCCTGGGTTCACGCCATTCTCCTGCCTCAGCCTCCTGAGTAGGTGGGACTACAGGTGCCCGCCACCACGCCCGGCTAATTTTTTTGTAATTTTAGTAGAGATGGGGTTTCACCGTGTTAGCCAGGATGGTCTCGATCTCCTGACCTCATGATCCTCCCAGCTCGGCTTCCCAAAAGTGCTGTGATTACAGGCATGAGCCACCGCGCCCGGCCACCACCTAACTTTTTATGTATTTCACATGCTAATCTCATTGACTGTCTCCCTGCACTAGGATACCAGCTTCAGGTGGACAGGGGCTGAGTTGGTCTTGTTTATGGCTGTCACCTAGCACAGTGCTGAGTGCATAGTTGTTGCTTATGTTAATATTTGTTGCATGGATGGATGGGTGGGTGGATGGATGATGGGTGGGTGGATGGGTGAATGGATAGATGGGTGGGTGGGTGGGTGGCTGGCTGGCTGGCTGGCTGTGGAGGAAGCCAATAGGTATTGAGGGAGTCACAATGTGGGGAGGTGAATTGCTTAGGAATTGCCTAGGAAGGCCAAGACATTTAAAGGCCTCCTGTGTGGCGAGACACTATGCTGTTTTCGTAAATAGTTTTATTGGAACGTAGCCATGCCCATTTGTTGGGGAATTGATGAGGCTCTAGGCTGGGGCTGGTAGAGACTGGGAATTAGGCAAGGTCAGTGAACCCCTGCTACCTCCCACAGCTGCGCCACAGGTGAGTGTGTGTCGGGGAAGCCTCCCGCAGTAGGGGCATCAGGACAGCTGGGGCTAGGCAGCAGGTCCACCTGCTGCAGCCAGGGACATCATACTCCTGGGTGGAGGTAGGTAGGCCTTGGGTGATGGCTTTCCTTCTGCCCAAGCCAGAGATCGGTGCTCTCCCGTCTATACCAATCCCTGGAGGAGGATGCTGAGATCCGTATCAATGCCTACCTGGCCCTGATGAGATGCCCCAGTGAGGAGGTGTTTGCCCAGGTGCGGCGCACCCAGGCAGGCGAGCTCTCCACCCAGGGTGAGCCATGGGTGTGTGTGTGGGAGGGGTGTGGGCAGGGGTGGGGCTGGGAGGGCACCTCCTGAAGAGTGCAGGGGATTTGAGAGCATCCTCTCCCTCCACCCCTTTGGTATTCTGCTGTGTTCTTGTTCCCCTGTTTCTCTACCACACTGTCTAGATAAGGGGCTATGTATTCTCCCCTCCCCCACATGGCAATTCCAGTCCCCATTCTGCCATTGGATGACTTTGGAGAAGTTGCTTCTCCTCTCTGGTCCTCAGTTTCCTCATCTGTAAAATAGGATGGGAATCAGTGAGGCCTCTTTTAGCTCTGGCCAGATCACGACACAGTATCCTAAAGAGAGACCTAAGATAGAAGAGGGATGGCGTCGGCAAATCTAGATCCCTTCTGGAGTGAGACAATTCCCTTTATACAGGCACCTGAACGCAAAGATGTAAATTCAAAAAAATAAGTTCAACTGATTGTTGAAAAATTTTCCATAATGCACAGTGGGGTGAGAGCCTGGAGCCTGAGAACCCAGGTTCAAATCCCAGCTTCACCTCTTCCTTCCTGTATGCCTTTAGACAAGTAAGTAAACCTTTGTGAGCCTCCATTTCTGTACCTGTAAAATAGGGATAATGCTAGTACCTCCCTCATAGAGTGTTGTGAGCATAAAATGAGTTAATACACAAAGACATTTAGAAAGCATAGTAAGTGCCATATGTGTGACTGTTGCTTTTAATGTTGTTATCACTACTGCTATTATTATTAATGCAGTGTAGCTGTATAGTCAAAATTTTAAAGCATAGGCAAGGGACAAATGGAAAATTAGTCTTCCTTCCTCTTCCCCCCAGTATTTTCCTATGTCCTGAAGATACACACTGTGAACAGTTCTCCTGTGTATTACATCAGAACTTGTAATACATAGGTAAACATACACACGTATCTCCTTAACAATAGCCTCTCAGGATCATGTTCTACTTGCTGTTGTGCTCTTGGCTTTTTTGTTTTGTTTTGTTTTTTGAGACGGAGTCTCGCTCTGTCACCCAGCCTGGAGTGCAGTGGTGTGATCTTGGCTCACTGCAAGCTCTGCCTCCCGGGTTCATGCCATTCTCCTTCCTCAGCCTCCCAAGTAGCTAGGACTACAGGTGGCCACCACCTCGCCCAGCTAATTTTTTGTATTCTTTTAGTAGAGACGGGGTTTCACCACATTAGCCAGGATTGTCTCAATCTCCTGACCTCATGATCTGCCCGCCTCAGCCTCCCAAAGTGCTGGGATTACAGGTGTGAGCCACTGCGCCCGGACTTTTTTTTTTTTTTTTTTTTTCGAGACAGAGTCTCACTCTGTTGCCCAGGCTGGAGTGCAATGGCACAGTTGTGGCTCACTGCAACCTCTGCCTTCTGGGTTCAGGCAATTCCCCTGACTCAGCCTCTTGAGTAGCTGGGATTACAGCTGCACACCACCATGCCCGGCTAATTTTTGTATTCTTTTAGTAGAGATGGTTTTGCCATGTGGGCCAGGCTGGTCTCGAACTCCTGACCTCAGGTGATCCATCCACCTCAGCCTCCCAAAGTGCTTGAGATGACAGGGATGAGCCACTGGGTCCAGCCTGCTGCTTGCTTTTTGTCTTTAGCATGTCTAGGAGCTTGTCTCTCATCTATAGCTCTTGTGGACTCTGATCTGTGGCTGTGTGGGTGTTCCGCCAGAAGTTTGTACTATAACCCATTTTACCCGTCTCCACTGATAGGCCTTTAGGCTGTTTCTGGTCTTTTGCCGTTAGAAGCAACAACCACAAACCTACCTGCACAGCTACCTTTGGCCCTTGAGTTAATCTCACTTTAGGATAATTTCCCAGAAGATAAGTTGCCATGGTAAAGGGTGTGTACATTTAAAAGTCTGATGTGACGTTGCTGAATTACATTCTGAAGAGATGGCACTATTGGAAGATACACCTCTCTGCCTTGGCAGTTTCAGGCATGGGGTGTGATGTGTGCTAAACCCCTCCTCAGGGGATCAGCTGAGGGGCTCAGCCTCCACAGTGGCCCTGGGGTACCACCTGATATATTGTCCAGTGGGAATAAGTGGGCACCTTATCCCTAAAAACCCACATTCTGCTCTATTCTGTGATAGATTGTTCCAGAAGCCCCTGACTGGACCTTCTAAGAGCCTGAGACAATGGGGGGAGGGTTGGGGGCTCCCTGTAGGACTCTAATATTCCCGTTGGATTCAGTCCCCTGAGGCTCTTATTTGATCTTTATCCCTCCAGGGACCTTCATGGGTCACATGTCACCTTTTGTTGATGCTGAAATGTGCTTAGTCTTTTTAGGTCCAGGCTCTGCTTTTAACTGATCTTCCCAAAAAGCCCTGCAAGATACTTTGTTAGTTCCTTCTTCAGATGAGAAAACTAAGGTTCCAAGAGCTGGAGTGACCATCTCAGGCCACAGTGGTACATGGTGGAACTAGGATTTGAAATCAGGTCTGACTTCTCATTTTCACTGATGAGGAAACTGAGGCTCGGAGAGGCAGAGGGACCACCCCAAGGTCACACAGGTTTTGAGCTTTGGGACTGGATTCAGACTCAGGTCTGACTTTTGAGTCCATGACACCTTCCTTTCTCTTCTGGGAAGTGTGTCAGAATTCCATACACGGGCTGGATTTCCAAGTTCTGTTCAGGCACGACTTGTTGGCTGCTGTTTGAGAGAAGACGTAGGTCTCTGTAGCCAGACTCCTGAGAAGCCCCCGTGCGTGGGAATTGCAGGACTGGGATGGGGGTCGGGAGGGTCTTTTCTCTGGACAGCGCCAGCTCCTGGCCCTTTCCTCACGGCCCCTCCCTGCTGCCCACGACTCTATTCCAGTGGGTTCTTTTGTGTGGAGTCACATCCTGCAGCTGCTGGAGACGCACGACCCCCTGAAACGGGCCCTCCGGGACACCCTCCCCGAGGACATCCTCAGCCAGGAGTTCCACCCAGAAATGTGGAAACACTCGTCCTATTCTGATGTCACCTTCCGATCAGGTATGGCCATCCTGGGCAGCCCCTGTCCTGCTCTGGAACCACAAAGGCTGGGGGACCCTGGAGCTCCAGCTCTTGAGAGCATGTGGATCAGACGTTGTGTCAAGGGGTCAAATATTTACATGTCAGTTGGGTGTGGTGGCTGAAACCTGTAATCCCAGCACTTTGGGAGGCTGAGGCAGGAGGATTGCTTGAGCCCAGGAGGTCAAGTCTGCAGTGAGTCATGATTGCACCACTGCACTCCAGCGTGGGTGACAGAGTAAACCCTGTCTCAAAAAAAACAAAACAAACAAACAACAACAACAAAAAACTTACATGCTGCTTGTTCAAAAATATTTTTGGAATATTTTCATAGCACCTGCTGCTTTTTTTGGAAGACAGAAGTCATATCAGTTATTTTATGGCATTCAGCTGAATACTTACATCTTTTCTCTAAATTGGCTGTTTGTACCTTATATTTTTGTTAAAGAGGAAATTGTCTATCACTACCATTAATAGAAAATCACCTTAACTCTCTGTAAAGAGAAGGTAGTCCTAAAAAGGAGTACTGTACACCAAGAGGCGGGTAACGAAACACTGATTTTTTTTTTTTTTTGACATGGACTATCGCCCTATTGCCCAGGCTGGAGTACAGTGGCACAATCTTGTCTCACTGCAACCTCTGCCTCCAGGGTTCAAGTGATTCTTCTACCTCAGCCTCCCGAGTAGCTGGGACTACAGGCGCGCACCACCATGCCCGGCTAATTTTTGTATTTTTATTAGTGGAGATGGGGTTTCACCATGCTGGCCAGGCTCCTCTCGAACCCCTGGCCTTAAGTGATTTGCCTACCTCGGCCTCCCAAAGCTGAGATTACAGGCATGAGCCACTGTGCCTGGCGGAAACACTGTTTTATTAAATTCTCCTGGATTCTGTGGCTTGCTGAGGGCTGTGAATTGTGAGAAGTGTTTTTTCCTGTGTTAAGAAAAGAGATTAGCCCCACACTGAGACTGCCTCTTTGTTGTAATTAAACAGAAAATAAAAAAGGGAATCTCTTTCAACCTAAGGCTCCAAAACTACCTCAGCCATTCTGGGAAGCCTGGGGTTGGGGGTCGGGTGCTCTGGGCACCTCCTCTCTGCCTGTCAGCAGAAGTGGGTGTGTGTGACTCTGTGTCCTGGACTCCCTCTGTTCTTGAAAAGGCTTAAAGGCTGTTTCCCATCCTGGCCAGGGAGGGGTGGGAAGACACACCATGTATCTGGCCCTGTCTCAGGGTATGGCCCTGTGGTAATAGCCAGACCCCACTCTGTGAGTGTACAGAGTGTACTGATGTTCTTGTCTTACTCCTAGTGTCTGGCAGCCTGGGAGCCAACCTGGAGGGGACCCTTCTCTTCTCTCCTGCCTCCTTTCTTCCCCGTTCTGCCACAGTCAACCTGACCATCCACACCATGGGCCGTGCCTTCAACCTTCTGGAGGTTAGAGGGGAGCCTTGCTATAGCCTCTGCAGGGCCTCTCCTAGACTTGGGCCAAAAAATATCCCAGTCACTTACCTGTCTGTCCATCCATCCCTTGCCTCCATTGTTCAATCTCCTCCCCTAATATCTAGTCACCCACCTGCCCATAGATATGTCCATACATCTATCAATTCACCTACATGCCTCCATCACTCCATCCCTCCCTCCCTCCTTCCATCTATCCACTGACCTGCTCATCTGTCCATCCGTCCATCCACGCACATCCCTCTCATTCATCTCGTCCATCCACCCACCCACCCACCCATTATCCATTGATCCACCCACCCATCATCCATTCATCCTACCACCCACCCATGATTCATTCATCCAGCCCCCCACCCCCCCACCCATCATCCATTCATCCACCCACCCGCCCATCATCCGTTCATCCAACCACCCACCCGCCCGCCCATCATCCATTCATCCAACCACCCACCCACCCACCCATTATCCATTCATCCATCCACCCACCCACCCATTATCCATTCATCCACCCACCCATCATCTATTCATCCTACCACCCACCCATCATCCATTCATCCACCCATCCACCTACCCACCCATCATCCATTCATCCAACCCACCCACCACCCACCCACCCATCATCCATTCATCTAACCACCCACCCACCCATCCACCCATCCATCATCCATTCATCCACCCACCCATCATCTATCCACCCACCCTCCCATCATCTATCCAGCCATCATTCATTCATCTATCCAGCCATCATTCATTCATCTACCCACCCATCATCTGTCTACCCATGTACCATTCATCCATCCATCCATCCATCCATCCATCCATCCATCTATTCACTCAATCCATTTACCAAACCACACACCCACCCAGCCATCATTCATTCATCTATCCAGCCATCATTCATTCATCTACCCACCCATCATCTGTCTACCCATGTACCATTCATCCATCCATCCATCCATCCATCCCTCCATCCATCCATCTATTCACTCAATCCATTTACCAAACCACACACCCACCCACCCATCATCCATTCATCCACCCACCCATCATTTATCCGCCCACCCTCCCATCATCTATCCAGCCATCATTCATTCGTCTACCCACCCATCATCTGTCTACCCATGTATCATTCATCCATCTATCCGTCCATCCATCCATACATCCATCCATCCATACATCCATCCATCTATTCACTCAATCCATTTACCAAACCACCCACCCACCCATCCATCCATTCACTTATTCATCTGTCCACCCTCCTACCCATACATGGACATACCCACCCTCCCATCTGTCCATCTGTGTGTCCATCCAGCCCTGTAATTTCCCATCCATCTCTGTCTACCTACCTATCTATTCATCTGTTTTCCCACTCATCCATCTTTCATCCTCTGAGTCACACATCCATCTATTATCCATCCATCCACTCACCAGTCATTGCCAAGGGCTGGTCTCTGGTGACTTCTCTGAAAATGCTATCAGAGATGTCTGGATGGAAAAAGGGAAGAAAGAATAGATAGAAGGAGAGGGGTCCATAAGAAAGGAAAAGCAGATGGATGGATAGGAATAAGGATGGATAGAACAAAGGAAAGAAAAGATGGAAGGTGGAGAGGCAGATGGATGGATGGATGCGTGGGAAGGATGAAAGGATAGGTGAAGAGAGGGGTGCGCGGACGGGCAGATGGAAGACGGGAGGGACAGAAGGAAAGATCCATTTATTCACCTATCAAATTTTGAAACCCTCCCCCCCATCCAGGGGAGGTCGTGCAGGTGCCTAGTGATTGATACACGAGCCCTTGCCCTCATCCTGGATCTTTCGAGGAAGACACACATTCCAGTCTGAGTATATTGTGTGTGGGGCAGAGGAGGTGGGAAGAGAGTGACATGGGAGTTCAGGGAGGGCTTCCCACAGGTGATGACATTTGAACCAAGCCTTAAAGAATTGGCAAGAATTCTTACCGTGTGGCATCTACCAAGTAGATACAGAGAGATTGGTGGATTTCCCAAGGTTGTGTCCCCGAACCTCAGCCCAGGTGGGCACCAGGGAGCCTGGAGTGCCGTGCTCAAGCCTTCTGGGTCCTCCATTCATATCCCCAGCCTAACAGCTCATCATCACCCCTGTGACTGAATTGTTCCTCCCTGAGCCTGTGGCTTCCCTTCCCAGCTTGGGCTCCGGCTGGAAAATGCTGAGGAAATTGCTCACAGGCTGTTTGGCAGGAAGTCATTCTGGGGTCAGGAAGACGGGAGAGAGCCTGAGCCAGAGGAACCCCCAGGGCCAGAACCAGGGCCTGCACCACAGCCAGCCAGCCCCGAGTGTCCAGGAGACAGAGACAGAAGGATGAGATACCTACAGCAGAAGGTAAGGGAGGTGGCCACACCCACTGTACTCCCCCAGGCAGGCCCACCCCGCTTCATGCGTGGACTTTTGAACCTGAGACTTGGGTGTCCGTGAACTCTGACTCTGCCTCCTCCTTGCAGAATTAAGTGGCTGGTTCAAATCTGAGTAGTCCACTGGTAGCTGGCTTTATTTGGAAAAACTGTTGCTTGAAATAGATCCTATGCATGGAAAAGTCCCTAAGTTGTAAGTGTACAGCCTGCCTGTCCACCACCTCAATACACCCATGTCACCAGCACCCAGACCATCTTCAGCTCCCACCCTCCCCTTTGTACTCCTGTTCTTGTTAATACCCATCCTTAACCAGGAGTAACCACTCTTCTGACTTCTGGCAGCATCAGTTTGTTCTACTTTTTAAAAGTGAGATTTATTGAGGTCTAATTGACACACGGTGAACACTAGTACATGGTTAAGGTGTACAGTTTGATACATTCTGACCCATGTACACACTCATGAGATCATCACCATGATAAAGCTTATGAACATACCCATCACTCCCAAAAGTCTCTTCCAGATCCTTAATAATCTCTTCCTGCGGCCGGGCGTAGTGGCTCACGCCTGTAATCCCAGCACTTTGGGAGGCCGAGGCAGGCGGATCACGAGGTCAGGAGATCAAGACCATCCTGGCTTACATGGTGAAACCCTGTCTCTACTAAGAATACAAAAAATTAGCCAGGCGTGGTGGTGGGTGCCTGTAGTCCCAGGTGCTTGGGAGGCTGAGGCAGGAGAATGGTGTGAACTCGGGAGGCGGAGCTTGCAGTGAGCCGAAATCACGCCACTGCACTCCAGCCTGGGCGACAGAGCGAGAGTCTGTCTCAAAAAAAAAAAAAAAAAAAAAAAAAAAAAAAGTCCCTTCCTCCTGCTTCTCCTCTGTCCCCAGAAACTAGTGAGAGGCTTTCTGTCACCATAGACTTCTTTGCATATTCTAGAATATTATGTAAATTAGATCACACAGCATGTCCTTTTTTTTGAGACAGTCTCACTCTGTCACCCAAGCTGGAGTGCAGTGGCATGATCTTGGCTCATTGCAACCTTTGCCCCCCAGGCTCAAACAATCCTTCCACCTCAGCTTCCGGAGTAGCTGGGACTATAGGCATGTGCCATCATGCCTATCTAGTTTTTTTTTTTTTTTTAAAAGTTGTACAGACAGGGTCTCATTATGTTGCCCAGGCTGGTATCAACCTCCTGGGCTCAAGTAATCCTCCTGCCTTGGCCTCTCAAAGTGCTGGGATTACAAGTGTGAGCCACTGCGCTTGCCAACATGTCCTTTTTAAAAAAAGCATGTACTCTTTTTTGTTTGGCTTCTTTTATTCAGCATAATTATTCTGAGACTCACCCATGCTATAGGTTATAACATAGTTTCTTTCTTTTTATTGCTTAATGGTATTCCATTGTATAGATATACCACAGTTTGTTTCTCCATTCACCTGTTGATTGACATTCGAGCTGTTTCCAGGGTTTGGCTATTAAAAAGAAAGCTGCTATGAATATTTGTGTACAAGTTTTTAGGCATATGCTTTTGTTTCTCTTGAATAATTAGTAGGTGTGGCTAGATCATATGGTAGGTATATGTTTAAATTTTTCTAAAGCTGCTAAACCATTCTCCCAAGTGGTTGTACTATTTTTGCATTCCCACCAGCATTGTGTGAGAGTTTCAGTTTCTCCACATCCTCACCAACACTCGATATGGTTAGACTTTTTAATTTTAGCCATTCTAATAATGCGTTGTGGTATCTCGTGGCTTTAATTTGCATTTCCCTAATGACTAATGACATTGATAATCTTTTCATGTGCTCATTTGCTATTGTACGTCTTCTTTGGTGAAATGTACATTCAAATCTTTTGCTCATCTTATTTTGTTGGCTTGTTTTCTTATTACTGAGTTTTGAGAATTCTTTCTATACTCCAGAAACAAGTTGTTGATTTTTTCTTTTTCCTTTTTTTTTTTTTTGAGTTGAGGTCTGGTTCTGTCATGCAGGCTGGAGTGCAGTGGTGTGATCATAGCTCACTGCAACCTTGACCTGCTGGGCTCAAGTGATCTTCCAGCCTCAGCCACTTGAGTAGCTGGGACTATAGGCAGTACTGCCACACCTGGCTAAGTTTTTTTCTCTTTTTGTTGAGATGGGGTCTCACTGTGTTGCCCAGGCTGATCTTGAAGTCCTGACCTCAAGCGATCCTCCTGCCTCAGCCTCCCAAAGTGCTGGGATTACAGGTGTGACCCACCATGGCTGACCAGAAACAAGTTCTTCATCAGATATGTAACTCAGAAATATTTTCTCCCAGTCTGTGGTGTATCTTTTTGTTCTCTCAATGGTGTCTTCCAAAAAATAGCAGGAAGTCTTAATTTTCATGAAGTCAAGTTTATTAGTTTCTTTGGCTGATAGAGCTTTGACTGTTACATCTCAGAAATTTTTGCCTGATGGGATGTTACAGAGATTCTCGTAGGACCTTCTGCAGACCTGCGAGCATGCTCTCTGTTCAGCTCTCTCATCTCTGGTATCCTGTCCTGCAAAGTCCAGCTGCCAGGGACTCCCCATACCCCCAGCTCCTCAGTTCAGGGAGTCCCCTGGCTCAGCCTCCATTCCCCCTCCTTGCACCACAGCCTGGACACTGTCTCCAGGCAGGAAGTTGAGCTCATCTTGCTTGTTTACATCTCTTGGGGTTCATCGTCTTGGATTGCCTGATGTCTGTGTCTTGGGAACCATTGTTGAGCCTGTGTCATCTGGGTTACCAGCTGCTCCACGTGGGAGGTTAAACCCAGTCTTCATTACTCCTATTTGGTTGGCAGTAGAAGTCACATCCAGTTCCTTTTGTAAACTTTATATAAATGGAATCATTCACCGCATACTCTTTTTTTTAAGAGATGAAATTCTCATATGTAAAAATAACCATTTTAACGTGAGCAATTGGCCGGGCATGGTGGCTCATGTCTGTAATCCCAGCACTTTGGGAGGCCAAGGTAGGTGGATAACTTGAGCTCAAGAGTTCAAGACCAGCCGGGTCAACATAGTGATACCCTGTCTCTACTAAAGACACAAAACAATTTGCTGGGCATGGTGGTGTGCACCTGTAATACCAGATATTCTGGAGGCTGAGGCAGGAGAATCACTTAAAACCGGGAGGCAGGGGTTGCCGAGAGCCAAGATAGCACCACTGCACTCCAGCCTGAGTGACAGAGCAAGACTCCGTCTCAAAAAAATAAAAATAAAAAATAAAATAGGGCTGGGCGCGGTGGCTTATGCCTGCAATCCCAGCACTTTGGGAGGCTGAGGTGGGCAGATTGCCTGAGATGAGGAGTTCGAGACCAGCCTGGCCATCATGGTGAAACCCCGTCTCTACTGAAAATACAAAAATTAGCCAGGTGTGGTGGCAGGCGTTTATAATCCCACCTAATCAAGAGACTGAGGCAGGAGAATCGCTTTAACCCAAGAGGCAGAGGTTGCAGTGAACCAAGATTGCACCACTGCACTCTAGCTTGGGCGGCAAGAGTGAGACTTCGTCTCAAAAAAAAAAGTGAACAATTCCATGGTATTTAGTACATTCACCATGTTGTGCCACCACCACTTCTGTCTCGTTCCAGAACATTTTTATCACCCCCAAAAGAGACACTGCACCCGTGAAAGAGTCACTCCCCAGCAGCCCCTCCTCCTAGCCTCCAACAGCCACCAATTTGCTTCCTGTCTCTATGGATTTACCTCTTCTGGATATTTCATGTAAATGGAACCATATAATATGTGACCTTTGTGTCTGGCTTCTTCCTCTTAGCCTAGTGTTTTGGAAGTTCACCCACATTGTAGCGTAGCTCAGTACTCCATTCCTAACTAAGGTCAAGTCATATTTCATCGTATGGATGTACCACGTGTGTTTATCCATTCATTCACTGATGGACATTTGGGTTGTTGCTGCCTTTTGGAGACTGAATAGTGCTGCTCCTGTACTTCTTTTTGTGTCTGACTTTGGTTTAAAATTGGTGAGATTTCTCTGTCCTGTGGTGTGTACTTATAATTTGTTCCTTTTCATAGCTGCATAGTATTCCATTGTGTGAACAAACAACAATTTCTGTATCCATCAGTTGCTGGCTGTTACATACAGTGCTATGAAGACTCTTGGGCCTGCTTTCTTAGGGAACGTGTGTATTTATACCTGTCGGGCGTACACCTAGGAGTGAAATTGCTTAGTCTTAGGGTGTATATATCTTTAGCCTACTTTTTCTCTTCTTATTGTCACTTGAGTATTTTCTTACTAGAAGCTCACCATTCGCAGGTATTTTAATATTCATCCTATGGGTAGGAACCACAGTTTACATAACCATTTTCCCATTGTTGGAGTTTTAGATTATTGACAACATTTTGCTCTTATAAAATGTCATTGCCATGTACATCTGATAGTGACCAAGGTAGACGGTTGGGGCATTGGTTCGCTTGGTCACATGTTTCCTAACCACCAAGGGTGAACCCGGGGCTTGGGAACACCAGGATGAGCAGGGCAATAATCCTTGCTGTTAAAAGCATCTTGGACTAGAGCTGGGGGCAGCAAGAGACTTGAAAGAGGGAGGTCCGCTAGATATAAACAGTTTTTCTTAGAATGCACAATCCCCTTTGTCTGTTATTTTCTCACTTTTCCTAGAGACTCACATCCTGAGAAACATTCTGCATCAGTGCAGTGATGAATGGCAGCAGATACTTGGCCTCAGTGTTGGAGAGACAATAGGGAGTGGTGGGGACTGTGGCGGACAGAGGAAGCCCATGGCCCAGCTAAAGTGGCAGCCACTGCTCAGCTCTGGTTCCTTGTTGCCCCTTGTTGTGGGGAGGGTGGGCAGCCCAATGTTTCTCTTTATAGAGCAGCCGGAGAGCTGGGTTTTATATCAAATCTCCCAATTTCCAAATTCAATTTATAAAAAACATACGTGGCATGAAAAACAATCAAAGACTAAAAAACTGCCATGAACCAGAGACCAGGGGGATACAGCAACGAGACGCAGTGGGGTTTGCTTGATTGGATCTCGGGACGGAAAGAGGACAGAAATGGAAAAACTGGTGAAATGTAAATGACCTCTGGAGTTTAGTTGATAGAAACATACCAGTGTTGGTTTGTTAGTTTGCACCATGCATCCTGGTGATGGAAGATGTTAACAATGGGGAAATCAGTTGAAGGATACGTGGGAACTCTCTGTACTGTCTTTGCAAATTTTCTTTTTTTCTTTTCTGCTTTTTTCAGAGACAGGGTCTTGCTCTGTCTGTTGTCCAGGCTGGAGTATAGTGGCATGATCATAGCTCGCTACAGCCTTGAACTCCTGGGCTCAAGCGATCCTCCCACCTCAGCTTCCCAAGTAGCTGGAACTACAGGCGGGTGCCACCATACCCGGCTTTTTTTTTTTTTAATTTTTTAATTTTGTAGAGATAGGGTCTCGATATGCTGTCCAGGTTGGTCTTAAACTCCTGGCCTCAAGCGATCCTCTTTTCTCGGCCTCCCTAGTGCTGGGACTAGAGGCATGAGCTACCTTTCCAAGCCAGTTTTCAACTTTTCCGTAAATCTAAAATTATCCTAAAATAAAACCTTCATGAAAACATACACACAGTCTCTCAGCATTGGGCACTACTGTGCAAGTCAGAGAAAACACATCTGGGGTTGGGATTTGGTTCATGCTCTAGGAGTTTTGCACGCCTCATCTGGATCCCACAAGTTCTTGACCTTTCTCTTCAGCCACCCCTTCCCCCTCCCAAAGTACAGGCACTTTGCCCTGTGTATTAGTTCGTTTTCTTGCTTCTGATGAAGATATACCAGGGACTGGGCAATTTACCAAAGAAAGAAATTTAATAGATTTACAGTTCCAACTGACTGGGGAGGCTTCAAAATCATGGTGGAAGGCAAGGAGAGGAAGTCACGTCTTACATGGATGACAGCAGACAAAGAAAGAGCTTGTGCAGAGAAACCCCCATTTTTAAAACCATAGAATCTCCTGAGCCCCATTCACTATCACGCGAACAGCACGGGAAGGACCCGCCCCCATGATTCAGTCATCTCCCATAGGGTCCTTCCCACAGCATGTGGGAATTATGGGAGCTATGAGATGAGATTTGGGTGGGGACACAGCCAAACCATATCACTCTGCTAACCCTGACTGTGTTCTTTGTGACCTGTCTGGGCTCTCCCCCAGGTGACCCGGAGGCGTGGGGCCCGGCAGGCTCTGCGATGCGAGCTGAGCGTGAAGTTGCTGGGGCAGGAGCTGAGCTTTGTGAACTGCGGGGCCACGGGGAGTCACGTGAACCACTGGCCCCTTAACTTGGCCGAGCTCGCCATCAAGCTCATGAAGGTAGCTCCTCCCTGCCCCTGCCCATGCCATCTGCCCTGTGACACTTGGCAAAGCACTTAAGGGCATGAAATTTGGAGTCAGGCTGCCCAAGGTCCAATCCCAGCTCTTCCGTTTACCTCCTCGAAGCTGTTGATTCACTTACCACGGCCTTAGTTTCTGCATCTGTGAAATGGGATATTAAATAAAAAATAACAAAATATCTGGTTCGGCGAAGTGGCTCACGCCTGTAATCCCAGCACTTTGGGAGGCTGGGGCGGGTGGATCACCTGAGATCAGGAGTTTGAGACCAGCCTGGCCAACATGGCGAAACCCTGTCTCTACTGAAAACACAAAAATTAGCCAGGCATGGTGGCAGGCGTCTGTAGTCCCAGCTTTGTATTTTTAGTACAGGGTTTCCCAATGTTGGCCAGGCTGGTCTCAAACTCTTGGGCTCAAATGATCCACCCGTCTCGGCCTCCCAAAGTGCTGGGATTACAGGCGTGAGCCACCGAGCCCGGCCCCCGCTTATCATTTCTTGGCTGCAGGGGCAGGAGGTGCAGATGAACCGGAGGCTGAGCCTGGCCGCACAGGAACTGGTCTTTCCCACCGTGTCTGGCCTTCCTGCCCGGCTGACCCTAAATGCCTCGGCTGCCATCAGCATCCGGGTCCGAGGAACCACTGACTTCCAGCAGCGCTCGGATTTCTCTGTGAATGGTTATGTCAAGCCCAGGTATCTAGCTCCTGGGAGCTGGCGCAGGTTAGGTGGTGGGATCCCATCCCTACAGAGGGCTGCAGAGGCCTGGGTGACATCCGTATGGGTAAGAGAGGATCCCTATTCTGCAGAACACCTGTGCCAAGAGACTGTGTGCAGAGATGCTGGGTGGTTAGATCCACTTTACAGGTGGGAAGAATGAGGCTCAGAGAGGTCCAGTCACATGTTCAAGGTCACACCGCAGTACGAGGTGGCTGGCCACAACCCTATGCCCTTCCATCCACCCCACCCAGAAGGGAGGAGAGGAGGTAGCCTTGAGCTCACTGAACTCGTGTGACGCCCTCCCGACCAACCAAGCCTGGTGCTTCTTATTCCCACTGACAGATGAGGAAACCAAGGTTCAAGGCGAGGACACTGACAGCCTGGGGCCACATGGCGCCAGAGCAGAAGGTGTGCAATATTTGGTCCGATTCTGGAACCTGTCATGGTGCTGCTGAGCATCTGTCCCCAGCCCCTCAGCTGAGCTGTCCTTGGGCCCTGAGTTTGACATGGGGAATGCAGATGCCCTAGGCTGGGTGCTCTCTGGCGTGAAGAGCCTGGGCTGGGACTTAGACACCCGGGATTCACATGTCCCAGCCACATGCTTTGTCCCAGTCATGGAACCCAGGCAGGTGCTTTCACCTCTCTGAGCCTCAGTTTCCCCATCCATAAAAGGGATTAGTGCAGGTGAGGACTGGAAAGTGCTTGGCGCATGTACAGCCTGTGGGTGGCAGTGGTGGCAGTGGTGGAGGGGCTGCTGTGGCTCAGGACTGCAGGGGGCTGCTGGGGGTCGCAGGTGGGATCTGTGGCCCCAGGGCCCTCGGGATGCAGCTGGTACATGCCTGTCCCTCAGTGCCCTGCTCCAGATCTCAGCTCAGATGGGCACAGCGGGCATCCTGGGGCAGGCCGGGCTGAGGTGGGTGACCAGCGTCCGCAGCGCCGCCAGCCTGGATGGCGGGATCCAGGTGCAGAAGGGCCGGGTCCTTAAGGTGCATCTGAACACGCCTGAGGAGGCCGTGGAGCTGCTCAGCTTCAGGTGGGTGCCCAGTGCCGGCAGGAAGGGAACCATGAGCACGAGGGTGCAGGTGAGCAGGTGTGTGGTGTGTGTGCTTGCATGCATGCATGTGAGTGTGTGATCACGTCTGCGTGTGCACAAGGGGATGTGCATGGGTGTGGATGTGACATTAGCATGCATGTGTGTTAGTGTGTGCACCCATGAGCCTGTGTCTGAGTACACATGATCAGACATATGAGAATGTATGAGCTGCTGTGTGCATGAGGGTGTGTCCGTGAGTGTGGCAGTGAGGAGTGAGTGTGTTGTGGGAGTGCGTGTGTGTCCACGAGCATGTGTGTCTGTTGACTGTGAAGGGTGGGCGTGTCTGACAGGGACCGTGGGCAGCTGAGAGGTGAGAGCTGGAGAACTTTCAGACCCCTCAGCTCTTTCCTGGAGTCCCTCTGGGGCATGCTTGTCTGTGACCCCTAAGGAGGTGACTCTTGGAGAGGGGCAATTTTAGAGGGAGTGAATCCAGGCTGCCCCACCTACCCATATTCTTTCCCTTGTCCTGCTCCATGGGGACTCTGCCCATCTCCCTCCTCCCTCCTCGCATCTGCCCCTGTTCCCTGCCCCTCACTCACCGTCCCCCTCTATCCTGACCCCCTCCCACCAGCCTTCTTTCCATGCTCCTAAAGCAGCCAACTTGTTCCTACCCCAGGGCCTTTGCACCTGCTGTGCCCTCTGTCTGGAACAATAGCTCCTTCTCATCCTTTGGATTTCTGCTCAAAAGTTACCTCTGCAGAGAACTCCCCCTACTCCAGCTAGGGGAGGCCCTGCTCTATCCCCGAGACAGCCCTGTGCCATGCTGTCCTCCATGTGGGTTTCTCACAGCACTTGTCACTCTCTGTGGTCCTCAGCATCTGTCCCTGTGCCCACGGAGTGTCACCACACCAGCGTGTGCACTGCCCAAAGGCTGGCCCCGCTCAGGGTAGAATTTGCCCCTGTGCCAAGCTCTGGCAGCTCAAGGTGTTACTTGTCTAATGAATGAATGAAAATGATGCGTCTGACACTGTCCTCTTTCCCCACCCAGCTCTCAGCTGTACCTCATCACCAGGGATGGCGTGAGGAGCCTCAGACATGTCCCTGGCCCTTCTGAGGTCCAGTCCTGTACTGGTGAGGAAGGTAGGCAGCAGGGCCTCCATGACATTGTACCAAGGTGGGCATCCCAGGGTTGAAGGGAAAAATGCCAGCTCCAGATCCCAGAGTTGCTCTCCTGCCCTAAAAGTATTCATATTCTGCAAACCAAAAAGTATCTGAGACAGGTTTCAATCAATTTAGACATCTACTTTGCCAAGGTTAAGGACATGCTTGGAAATAAAGGAACACAAATCCACAGAACAATCTGTGGTCTATGCCTTTTTTCAGAGATGATTCTGAAAGCTTCAATATTTATTTATTTGTTTATTTATTATTTTTATTTTACTTTAAGTTCTGGGATACATGTGCAGAACATGCAGGTTTGTTACATAGGTGTACATGTGCCATGGTGGTTTGCTGCACCCATCAACCTGTCATCTAGGTTACAAGCCCCGCATGCATTAGGTATTTGTCCTAATGCTCTCCCTCCCTTTGTTTAAAGGGGAAAAGCGGGCTGGAGGGGAAAGAGGGAGGGTATGGTCACATGACTGAATCCACAAGCTGCAAGGGAAAAGGAGCAGGGAAGGGAATAGTCACTTACATATTCATACTTGCTCAATAAATCAACACTTTACATAAGATAAGGTGAACATAGAATAGCTGCGCAAATATTTAACCTTTTATCTGTAGCTACCTGCTTAGGAACAAGAGAAGGCAGCTTCTTGCATGACTCAGCTTCCAGCTTAATTTTTTCCTTTTGGCATAGCGAATTGGGATCCCGATATTGTACTTTTATTATTATTGAGACAGGGTCTCTGTCGTCCAGACCGGAGTGCAATGGTGCAATCATGGCTCACTGCAGCCTCCATCTCCCCAGGCTCAAGTGGTCCTCCCATCTCAGCCTCCTGAGTAGCTGGGACTACAGGCACTCACCACCCTGCCCAGCTAATTTTTTTTTTTTTTTTGTATTTTGTAGAGACAGGGTTCCACCATGTTATCCAGGCTGGTCTCGAACTCCTGGGCTCAAGTGATCCACCTGCCTTGGCTTCTCAAAGTAATGGGATTACAGGCATGAGCCGCTGCACCCGGCTTTATTTTCCTTTACCAACCACTTCAGTCAATGATAATGCTTCTGTAATTCTACCCTATACAAGCAAACCAAAATCACTTAAAAATGCTCTGTGCACAAAGATGTTCGTTGCATCATTATTTAGAACAAAAAATAGGAAGCAACTCAAATATTCCAGAGTAGGCAAAATGGCTAATTATAAATGCCAGTGAGGTAAGGGTAGGTTGTTACATTAAGTGGCTAAAAAGAGTCAAAAGAAGAATATCTCATATCATGAAAACTTCATGAAATTGAAATTTCAGTGTCCAGAAATAAAGTTGTATGGGAACGCAGCACACCCCCTTCATTTGCATATCACCTGTAGCCACTTTGTCCCACAACAGCAGAGCTGAGTAGTTGCAAGCTAGACTGTGTGACCGCAAAGCATAAAATATTGACTATCTGGCCGGCGGATAGCTCACGCCTGTAATCCCCACACTTCGGGAGGCCGAGGTGAGAGGATTCCTTGAGTCCAGGAGTTCAAGACTAGCTTGGGTAACATAGTGAGACCTTGTCTCTACAAAAATAAAAATTAACAAATTAGCCGGGCATGGTGGCGTGCACCAGTGGTCCTAGCTACTTGGAAGGCTGACAGGAAGTCCGCTTGAGCCCAGGAGGTCGAGGCAACAGTGAGCTGTGTTCATGCCACTGCACTCAAGCCGGGGTGACCAAGGAGGATTCTGTCTCTAGCTAGCTATCTAGGTAACTAACTAAACAAACAAACAATCTGGCCCTTTACGAAGAATGTTTGCTGGCTCCTGGGTTGGTAAGTTATTGACATATCGCATAACTTTTTTTTTTTTTTGAGACAGAGTTTCACTCTCGTTGCCCAGGCTGGAGTGCAATGGTGCGGTCTCGGCTCACTGCAACCTCTGTCTCCTGGGTTCAAGCAATTCTTCTGCCTCAGCCTCCCAAGTAGCTGGGGCTACAGGCACCTGCCACCAAGCCCGGCTAATTTTTGTATTTTTAGTGGAGACAGGGTTTTACCACATTGGCCAGGCTGGTCTTGAACTCCTGACCTCGGGTGATCCGCCTGCTTTGGCTTCCCAAACTTTTCAACTCCATTATGAGTGAGCTGTTTTAATGAGAAACTTCGTTAATAATAATGCCAAGTGTAAGCCAGCAACACTGAATATGATCTCAACTGGGTAAAAAGACAGGAAATAAATGTGCCAAATAATAGGAGATCTTGAAATTTTTTTTTCTTTTTTTTTTTTTAGAGTAAGGTTGGGGAGGGCTCTATTTAATGAAGATATACAAATTTTGCTTCTTGATAATGTTTCTTTTTTGCATTTAAGTTGCATTTAGAATTGTAAATAAACTTGAAACTATAACATACAATACAGAAAAAAATTTTAGAAATCTTTCTGAGCTTTCTGATTTTCTTTCTAATTTCCTGCAACAAGTACATTTTTATTTTATTTATTTATTTATTTATTTATTTTGAGATAGCGTGTCCCTCTGTCACCCAGGCTAGAGTGCAGTGGCGCAATCTCGGCTCTCTGCAACCTCTGCTTCCCGGGTTTAAGCGATTCTCCTGAGTCGTTGAGATTACAGGTGCCTGCCACCACGCCTGGCTAATTTTTTTTAATTTTAGTAGAGACAGGCTTTTCCTATGTTGGCCAGGCTAGTCTTGTACTCTTGACCTCAGGTGATCCACCCGCCTTGGCCTCCCACAGTTCTGGGATTACAGGTGTGAGCGACCATATCCAGCTAACAAATATATTTTTATAATCGGGATAAGAGTTACTACCAAAGACATTACTGTAGGCCTGGTGCTGCTCTCAACACTTACTGACCTGTTAATCCTCACAGCTACGCCATGAGGCAGGAACTATTATCATTAGCAGTTTAAGATGAGAAAGACTGAGGCCTTTACAGTGAGTCTGGGGAGTAGTAACAATAATAATAATGAAAAAGAAACATTGAGACCCAGAGAGGTTAAGTAATTTGTCCAAGGTCACACAGCTGGGAAGTGGCCAAGCTAGAATTTGAACCAGGCATTCTTGCTGCAGAGCCTGTGTTCTACACAGTATTGCCTGACACTCTTTTTAAAAAGTCTACCAGGGGCTGGGCACGGTAGCTCACGCCTGTAATCACAGCGCTTTGGGAGGCTGAGGCAGGCAGATCACCTGAGGTCAGGAGTTCAAGATCAGCCTGGCCAATATGGTAAAACCCCATCTTTACTAAAAATACAAAAATTAGCCAGGCGTGGTGCCACGTGCCTGTAATCCCAGCTACCCGGGAGGCTGAGGCAGGAGAATCACTTGAACCTGGGAGGCAGAGGTTGCAGTGAGCCGAGATTGTGCCACTGTACTCCAGCCCGGGTGACAAAGTGAGACTCTGTCTGGAAAAAAAAAAAAAAAGAAAAAGTCTACCAGGGGTTCTCAGCTGGGGCAGTTTTGACCCCCCAGGAGACATTTGGTAATATGTGCAGAAATATTTGGTTGTTGGTAGGGGTTACTGGCATCTAGTGGATGGGGATCCAGGATTCAGCGAAACATCCCATAATGCACAGGACAGCCCCCAAATAAGATGATCTGATCCCAAATGTCAGCAGTGCTGAGGCAGAGAAACCCTGGTCTACACACCACTGCCTCACAGGAGTCCTGTCTACATGGTGCCTTTCCTCAGAAGAAATTAGAGAAGAGGTTTCTTTGCTGATGTGGCAGCTGCGGGCACCCATGCCCAGAGCCCTCTGAGTCTCCACTGACCAGTGCTGCCTGCTTACCTCTCTCTGCAGTGTCCTACACCTGGGGCTGGCGACTGTGCACTGGAGTGACCTGGCCGGTGCCTGGCCAGCCCTACCTGCTCTCATTGCCTGTGTTCGCGGCCGTGACGCTGCAGAAACGGGACCCGGGGCTCCGACAGTACCTGCTGGAAGCTGCCTATACCCTGCAGCCCCAGGTGGGCCCTAGACAACAGCCCCGTCTTTCTCAGCCATGTTGTGGATCTCCTTAGGTCAGCCCTGGGCTCACCCTAAAGGACGTGGGGCTCCTCTCTGGGGCTGTTGGGCTGTGCTGGTCTTGCTGTAGGTTTCTTCTGGACGTTTGCACATGCTGATTCTCCATCTGGGGCTGTATGATGCATTAACTCTGAATCAGTCTTTAGGTCTCAGTTCAGGGGTCACTTCCTCAGGGAAGCCTGCCTTGGTTACCCCAGAGCACATCATATTCTTTTGTGACTTGCCGTAAGACAACCACATTTCTTCCCTTTTAATCAGTTCTGTTTCTTAGTGAAGCTACTTGGATAAGGTCTGTCTTCCCCGCTGGTGACTCAGTTCCTGGGAGCAGATTCAGGGTTGGTTTTACTTACCCCTCTGTCATCAGCATCTGGTCCAGAGGAGGCACTCGGTGGCCTCCTGTCTGATCCCCCAGCTCCCGCTCTGGTCTCCTTCCCATCTTTACCAGCAGCCAGATGGGCCCTCTGAAATCCCAGCTGGATCGTGTCCCTTCTCTGTGTAGACTGCCCCCCTATGGCTTCTGTTACCCTTAAAGTAGGAGCCAGACGCCGTGACCCACAGGCCCTTGGCAGTCCTGCCCCTGCTGGCCTCCTTCCCTGACTCTCCTCCAGACTCACTGCCCTGAAGACACACTGGCCCCTTTTTCAAGGCCACACACATGCCTGCCCCAGGGCCTTTGCACTGGGCGTTTCCCCTGCCAGGAACACTCTTCCCCGGGACATCCACCTAACTCCCTCCCTAGCTCCTTTCAAGTGTCCTTCAGTGGGACCCCTCAGAGGCAGCCTTCCTGGGCCTCCCTGTCTAGACCAGCATCCCGGTCAGGGCCCCTACACCAATGACTTCGCCAGCACACTCACCGGCGGCTGCCGTCTTACCCGTTCTCGTGTCTGGTGTTCCTGTGCCTCCTCTCTAGGACGTAGGCTCCACGCGGTCGGGCACTGCGTGTCTCATGCTCAGTCATCTTCCACGCAGCAGCACACATCTCTGTTGGTGTTGAACAAATGTACGGTGACATGGGATTTCCGAACGGGACTTGTGGCTGAGGCTGCACTTCCCCAACAAGAGACCGAAGCCTTGGACTGGGGTACAAGTGATTTATTAAGAAAAGGCTCCGGGGGACCCAGAAAGAGTGGAGAAATTAGGAAAGGCCGAGGGAAGATGCTGAGAGATGTGCAATTTCAGGTGAAGTTGCAGCCTCAGCCTGGTCTCACAGGGAGCCCCAGAGCACGAGGTACTCGCAGAGTGTGTTCCCCTCTGGGCTAGGGTGCTGGGAGTTTTGGCTGCAGTGCTGGAGGGCAATGTTCTGAAGCCCTCAGGTGACAGCCAGGAAGTGCAGAGCTTGCAGAAGCTGGGGGACAAGGACACAAAGCTGGTTAAAAGGATGGGAGAGGCCAGGCGCAGTGGCTCACTGTAATCCCAGCAGTTTGGGAGGCCAAGGCAGGTGGATCACTTGAGGTCAGGAGTTCAAGACCAGCCTGGCCAACATGGTGAAACCCCATCTCTACCAAAAATAACAACAACAACAAAAAAAAACTGGGCTTGTTGGCGCATGCCTGTAATCCCAGCTGCTCAGGAGGCTGAGGCAGGAGAATCACTTGAACCTGGGAGGCAGAGGCTGCAGTGAGCCGAGATCATGCCGCTGACACTCCAGCCTGGGCAACAGAGCGGGACTCGGTCTCAAAACAAAAAAGGATGGGAGGGGTCTGTGCAGGGTGCCAGGAGTGTGCACCGCAGCCGCTTCTCCCTGGCCGTTTGCTGAATAAATTGCGACCCTGTGGACATGGTCCTGGGCTGTTCTGCAGAGCTTTACAATTCTGCAGGCAGTTTTCAAGCCTGAGAAATTCCTGGTTGGGGGATTGTGAGGACAACAATGTGAGTGTCTGAAGGGTACAGGTGGAGGCTCTCAATCTTGAAGACTCTGCTATTTCCAGAAGGGCAGCTGGTTCCCCCAAGAAGCCACAGCCCACGTCTTCATGGGCACGCCCGGGTCAGAAGTGCTGAGGGACGTCGGGGTGGACATGAGCTACAGCTTGCCCCAGAACAAGTTCCGGCTCAAGCTTCTCCATCCCAAGAAGAAAATCGAGCTGGACGGTAATGTCAACGTCCCTCCCTGCTCACTGCGCCCCTCACTCGGTGCCACACCCGGGGCAGGGCCCCTGCAGTGAGCTGGCTTATAGGTTTGTCTGTGACCTCCTGAGGTCAGCACTAAATCCAGCCCCATTTTACAGGTGCTACATCTTAGGCTCAGAGATTAAAGAAAGGGCAGGCAGTCCTCCCAGGGGGACGGAGGGGCCAGATCCAGATGTTGAACCCTTGTCTCTAAACTCTTGTTTTGCACCCCCAGGAAAGATGGAGGCTCTTGGGAGTGCCCACACGGGTCACTTGGAGCTGGTGCTGGATGACAGGGACGTCTACTACATCAAGGTTTGCTCCACACCCTAGGCCCACCTGTGTCTGCACCTGACACCTCCCCAGGGATTTCCTTCCCCCGTACCAGAGCCCTGTTAACTATTGCCACCACCTCTGGGATCTTCCCTTTCTACCTGCCAGTTAACAAGTGTTAGTTCTATTACCCAGAAATGTATAAACAAGAAAAAAATGGGCTCAAATCCCACCGTCATTGATGTTAAAAATGGATATTAATAACACAAAAACATGCTTTTAAGAATTCAGGTGGGATGCAGTGGCTCACACTTGTAATCCCAGCATTTTGGGAGGTCGAAGCGGGCAGATCACCTGAAATCAGGAGTTCGAGACCAGCCTGGCCAAATGGTGAAACCCTGCCTCTGATAAAAATACAAAAATTAGCTGGGTGTGGTGGCGGGTGCCTGTAATCCGAGCTACCTGGGAGACTGAGGCAGAAGAATCACTTGAACCCAGGAGGCGGAGGTTTCAGTGAGCTGAGATCATGCCACTGCATTCCAGCCTGGGCGACAGAGCGAGACTCTGTCTCAAAAAAAGAAAGAAAGAAAAAGCCAGGTATGACGGCTTGTACCTGTAATTACAGAAAGTTGGGAGGCCAAGTTGGGAGGATCACTTGAGGGTAGGAGTTCGAGATAAACCTGGGCAACATAGCAAGACCCGGTGTCTACAAAACATTAAAAAATGTTAACCAGGCACAGAGTTGTGTGCCTGTAGTCTCAGCTACTCAGGAGACTGAGGCAAGAGGATTGCTGGAGCCCAGAAGGTCAAGGCTGCACTGAGCCATGCTTCTGCCACTGCACTCCAGCCTGGGTGACAAAGTAAGACCCTGTCTCTCAAAAAAAGAATTCAGAATAGAGAAAGGTATAACTTGTAAGTTAAAGCATGCCATGTCCCAAATTTCCTGCAGAAGTACTGATGCACGCCCTGAGAAATCTGTGTTCATTTCCCAGAGCTGCCTTAACAAAGTACGCTAACTGTGTGTCTTCAACTATAGGAATTTGTTCTCACAGTTCTGGAGGCCAGGAGTCTGAAATCAAGGTGTTTTTTGTTGTTATTGTTGTTTTTTGTTTTTTGTTTTTTTTTTCCCCACCTGTGAAGGCTGTCAGGGAGGATCTGACCTAGGTCTCGCTCCTGGATTCTAGAAGCCCCCAGAGCTCCTTGGCTTGGAGGTGGTCTTCTGTCTCTGTCTTCCCATAGTCTTCCCTTTGTAGGTGTCTGTGTCCACACATCCCCTTTTTATAAGGACACCAGGCAAACGGGATTAGGGTTCACCCTCATCACCTCAGCTTAGCTTAATCATGTGTGAAGACCCTATTTCCGAATAAGGTCACATTCACAGGTCCTGCGGCTTAGGGTTTCGGCATCTTTCAGGGAGACACAGTACAACCCATAACCTTATAGATTTGCAAATATTTTTAGTTTGGGTTTCTGGGTTTTATTTTGTCTATCAGGTGAGTGATATGATGATGTAACAAGTTTTGAGGGAGGCAGGTATCATGCAATAGCATGAAAACCCAGTTGTCATGTTTAGGTTTTGTTTTTTTATTTTTATTTTCTTTTTTTGAGGCAGGGTCTTGCTCTGTCACTCAGGCTGGAGTGCAGAGGTGCAAACATGGCTCACTGCAGCCTTGACCTCCTGGTCTCCAGCGATCCTCCCACCTCAGCCTCCCGAGTAGCTGGGACTACAGGCATGTGCCACCATGCTTGGCTTCTTTTTTTTATATTTTTGTACAAATGGGGTCTCACTATGTTGCCCAGGCTGGTCTCAAACTCTTGGGCTTACACAGTCTGCCCACCTTGGCCTCCCAAAGTGCTAGGATTACAGGCGTGAGCCTCCACTCCCAGTTTCCCAGTTTTTTTGTTTTTTTTTTTAACTCTGTGAGGACTTTTTTTTTTTTTTTTACTCAAAAATATAGCTTGGCAGCTGGGCGCCGTGGCTCACGCCTGTAATCCCAACACTTGGGGAGGCCAAGGAGGATGGATCACTTGAGGCCAGGAGTTTGAGACCAGCCTGGCCAACATGGTGAAACCTCATCTCTATTAAAGATACAAAAATTAGCTGGGTGTAGTGGTGCGTGCCTGTAATCCCAGCCACTTGGGAGGCTGAGGCAGAAGAATCACTTGAACCCAGGAGGCAGAGGTTGCAGTGAGCCGATTTCATACTACTGCACTCCAGTTTGGGTAGCAGAGCAAGACTGCGTCTCAAAAATATATATATGTGTGTGTGTGCGTGCATACACACACACACACACAATACACATATACGTACGTACACCTTGGCAATCTTTTCAGACAAGCATGCGCTGATAAAATTTAAATTCTATTGTAGATTTCATTGAGATTAATTCAATCTAAATATTATTAAATTCTACAATTAAATAGGCAATACATTTAAATGATTCAAAGTTCAAAAGCTATGAAAGGGTATAGAACTGACTCTCCCATATGGTAGCCAGTGGCACACATGTTTATAGAAATCTCAGTGAGGCCAGGTGCGGTGGCTCACGCCTATAATCCCAGCACTTTGGGAGGCCGAGAAAGGTGGCTCACCTGAGGTCAGGAGTTCAAGACCAGCCTGAACAACATGGCAAAACCCCGTCTCTACCAAAAATACAAAAAGTAGCCGGGTATGGTGGCAGGCTCCTGTAATCCCAGCTACTTGGGAGGCTGAGGCAGGAGAATTGCTTGAACCTGGTGGGGTGGAGGTTGCAGTGAACCAAGATCACGCCACTTTACTGCAGCCTGGGCAACAGAGCGAGACTCCATCTCAAAAAAAAAAAATCTAAATGAATTAAAATTAAAGAAAATTAAAGATTTGGTTCTTTGGCTGCATGGGCCGCATTTCAGGTGTTCCACAGCTTCATGTGGCTCTGAAACATTGTCCTCATTGCAGAAAGTTCTATTGGTTGGCGCTGGTATAGACTCAAAACCTCTCTCCCACCCCTCCTGAAAGCCAACCACTGTTAGGGATTTTTTGGTGATTCCTTTCTGAGATGATCTATGCACACAGTCAGCACATGGAGTTAATATATCCACTTTAAAGAAAATAAGTGCCTCCTGTGTAGCGCAAATTGCTGTGTAATAGTCCGTGGAATGGAATTTATTCAGCTAGTTTAATAATGAAGGACTCTTGAGTTTTTTCCAGGTTTCTGCTCTTACAAATATTCTGCCATGAACACCATTCTCTCTGCAGAGTAAATTCTTAACAATGGAATTCCCAGGCCACAAGGTTTATATGTTTTTTCTCTTTTCTTTTTTCTTCCTTTCTTCCTTTTCTTTCCTTTCTCGCCCTGTCTTTCCCTCCCTCTATTCCCTCTCTTTTCCTCTTCCCACGTCTTTCCCCCACTTTCCCCCATGTCTTCTACCAGTCTCTTTCCCCCTCTCTCTTTTCCCTCTCTGCCCACCCCCCGCCTTCTCTTTCTTTTACAAGGTCTTATTCTGTGCAGTGATCGTAGATCACTGCAGCCTCAAACCCCTGGGCTCAAGCGATCCTCTTGCCTCAGCCTCCCAAGTAGCTGGGACTACGGCCTGTGCCACCATGCCCTTCTATTTTTCTTTTTTTCTTTTTTTTGTGAAGACGAGGTCTTACTATGTTGTCTAGGCTCGTTTTCATCTCAGTAGGTGCTTTTCTAGGGTTCTTACCCAAGGGTACCTGGACGGAACTTAGTCGTTTGAAGCCCCTGTCACTGTGTTGAAGTTCTGTGTCTGCCCTCCATCCTGCGAAGAAGGTTGAAAACTTCTATCCACTTTTCAGGAAGATGTGTGACTTCAAAAAGTATACAAATGTTGGGAGGCTGAGGCGGGAGGATCACTTGAGGTGAGGAATTTGGGACCAGCCTGGCCAAGATGGTGAAACCCTGTCTCTGTTAAAAATACAAAAATTAGCTGGGTGTGGTGGCGCATGCCTGTAGTCCCAGCTTCTTGGGAGGCTGAGGCAGGAGAATTGCTTGAATCTGGGAGGTGGAGGTTCCAGTGAGTCGAGATCATGCCACTGCATTCCAGCCAGGGTACAAATAGCAGCTTTAGACTTGATCCCACCAGGCATGATTGCTGGGCACCTTCGGCAGTGGATCTCCTGATTCTGCCTCAGTTTCCAGTGTCTTCTCAGAGAGGCCTGGAGTGGAGCATCTGAAGCCGGAGCTGGATGTCTTGCTGCAAAAATACATTCTCCTCTTCCAGCTCTGCCGTCAGCCTGGGTGGGGGAAGACCTATGTCAGGGGAGAGCTGTCTTCCTCCTAAAGCTCCACCTGCCTGATGGCTGAGACTTATGCCTCATTTTCAGAATTCCCAGGGGCCCTTGAACTTCTAGTTGTTTGCTAAATGTGCAAGCACGGATTGCCTCTACCTCCCCGTGGATCTTCCTGCTGGTCCCTATAGAGCTGCCTGCAGCCTGGAAATGTTTGCCTTTGGAGAAATTCTAGTTCCGTCTGCCCCAGACTCATCACAATTACAGTAACAGCCGGAACTCCGGAACTTTCTGGAGCCTGTTTCAGCAGACAGGAGGTCCCCCCTTCAAGTCCTCTGTAACCCAATACAAGATGAAGAAACTGAGGCAGATGAGCTCATGAATACGAAGTCCCAGAGCTTATGTTCAACTTGTCTCAAAGCTAATGGGATTTAAGGTTGGTTTAGGGAAGAATGTTCTGTTCAGTGCCCCCTCCTGCTAGTGTGCAGGGGTTGGGTCGTGGGTTGCCTGGAGAGCCCCAGTTTACGCCTGGTGACGTGACACATTTACAACTAGTGTTCTCTTTAACTGCAAAGTGTTCCGGTTTGGGTGAGAAATTCTGTGTTCACCCTGTTCATGTGCACCTTGAGGAAGCTCTGACGAGCACTGCACAGCCTCTGATACAGACTGGAGAAAGCCATCGCTCGAATGTGCCTGCCAGCAGGAAAAGCTGGGAGCAGAGTGGAGAGCGAGCATCTGTTTCTGTAAAAAGGGAAGGAGAAGGGTGTGTCTGTATATTCGTGTGTGCACACACATACATCCATACACATATGACATACACATGTCCATACACATACACATCATACACACGTCCATATTTACATACACGAACATCCACATGTAGATACAGCTGTACATACATTCGTATATACACACATATCTGTACACATGTCTGTACAGAGTCCATACACATCCATATTCACACACATCCAAATGCATATCTGTATGCACATTCATATACACACATCCACATATATACATATCTTTTCACATGTCCGTGGTGTACACACGTCCATATACATCCATATTCACACAGTCCACATGTGGACATATCTGTACACATTCATATGCACGCATCCGTATATATGCATCTCTTTACACACATACATGTCCATAAACACACGTCCATACACACATATTCATACACACAAACATCCATATGTAGACACATCTGTATATACGTTCATATATACACACATCCATATATATACATATCTGTACATATATCCACACACACATCCATATATACATATCTGTTCACATGTCCGTACACACACATCCATACACATCCATATTCACACAATCCACGTGTAGACATATCTGTATGCATACATTCATATACATGCATCCATATATATACACCTCTTTACACATCCGTATACATACGTTCACACACACGTCCATACATGTCTACATACAGACACATCCATGTATACACACATTCATACATCTGTATGCACCCACATGTCTGTGTACATACACGTCTGTATACACACACCCCTGTATACACACACATCCATGTACAGATACATCTGTACACACATCCACACACATTCATACACACACATCCGCACACACATCTGTGGGGATCGGGGACAGAGAGCATTAAGTAGTGGCAGTGTGGTAATAGTGAGTCTTGTTTTGGCGTCTTTTGGGTAAACTGACCAGCTGGTGGCCATCAGGGGGGCGTGGGGGTGGGGAGCCTACAGGTTGGCGGGGCCATCAAAGATGATATTTGTAGTTGCTCATGACTTTTCCAGAGAATCTTCTTTGCGGGGCCGTGGAGTGTGTAGTGAGCTGTCCCCGTGGCCCATCTGCCAGTGTCTTCCCATGGCCAGGTCTGCACCACTGACCAGCAGAGAAAGTTCTGGCCTCGCTGGCCTTCACAAGGACTTTGGGTTGTACTGTAAGAAAGGCTAGTGTGCCATCATTCGACGTGTCTGGTTGCCGTGTGGAGATTAGTTGCCACCAGCGGGATGGGAGCCGGGAGAGCCAGGAGGATGTTGCAGTGAGACAGGCCGATGACCGGGGCTCCAGCTGGTGAGGCAGCGGAGGTGGCAGAAGTGGTTGATTCTAGACGCGTTCCATAGGGACAGTTGACTCAAGTTCCTGATGGACTGAATGAGGGGGATGTCAAGGAGAGAAGAGGAGTCCCTTACATTTATGTCTGAGTTTGTAACACAGGTTTCTAATTTTGAGAAATCCAGAGTTTAAAAAATTGGGGAAGGGCTGGGCACAGTAGTTCATGCCTGTAATCCTAACACTTTGGAAGGCCAGGGCGGGTGGATCACTTGTGCTCAGGACCTTGAGACCAGCCTAGCCAACATAGTGAAACTCCATCTCTACTAAAAATAAAAAAATTAGCCGGGTGTGGTGGCACGTGACTGTAATCCCAGGGAGGCTGAGGCAGGAGAATCACTTGAACCCAGGAGGTGGAGGTTGCAGCGAGCCAGGATTCCACCACTGCACTCCAGCTTGGGAGACAAAGTGAGACTCTGTCTCAAGGAAAAAGAAAAATTGGGTAAGGATCGGTGTAGAAGGTTGTTAGCGATGTTGTCTCCTGCCCTGTCTGGTCCCAGTTCGTGTGGTAAGGGCTGGGCCTGCTGGCCAAGCCTGTCCTCCCAGGTGACACTGAGGCCGTTTCAGGGCTGGAGTGACCTGCAGCCAGCCATGGGTGGCGAGGCTGAGCGGTTCCAGGCGCAGCTGGAGGTGAAACTGGTGACGGGGGGCAGCCCCGTCGTCTTCACCGGGAACCTCACACGGCAGGTGGGCAGCAAGCTGGCCTTCTCCGCATCGCTGAGCCATCTGCTGAGTGACCAGGCCAACGTGACAGGTAGGAGATGAGACCCCTTCTGTCCCCTCTGCTCTGTGGCCAGGTTAGGGTGTGGTGGCCCAAGTGCCTCCTTATGGTCCTCATCACTGCAGCTTCTCTTAATATCAACATCCCATCCAAGGGCAGATCCAAGCTCCATGTGAGCCCCCAGAACCTCCCCCAACCTCCAACTGCACCCACAAACCTTAAAATAGCAACTTTTGGACTGTTTTTATTCTGACCCACGATAAGAAACACTTGTAACATTTTGACCTAAAATACACTGGGCATTTAAAACACACACAGAGTGAGCAGGTGCTGGCCCTGGTGCTGGAGCTGGGGTAGTGGCGCCTGGGTGTGCCGCTCATGGGTGTTCCGGAAGATTCCAAGGTAAGGACAGGAGCTGGGGCTGGGGGTACTTGGAGCAGTGGCTGTGGACCCCCCGATGTGGGTGTCTGGGAGTCATAACAGCTGGCCCAGTTTCACCTGTGCGTTCTGGCTGACCTTCTGTGTCTCAGAAGCTTCAGAAGGTGAAATTTACCCAACAACCCATGATGGGCTATTCTTTCTTTTCTCTTCTGTCCTGTTCGATTTTGTTTTATTCTACTTTATTTTTGGGCCAGGCACAGTGTCTCACGCCTGAAATCCCAGCACTTCGGGAAGCTAACGCAGGAGGATTACTTGAGCCCAGGAGTTTAAGACCAGCCTGGGCAACATAGTGAGATCCCTGCTTCTACAAAAAATACAAAAATTAGCCAAGTGTGGTGGCACACGTCTGTAGTTCCAGCTACTCGGGAGGCTAAGGTGGGAAGATCGATTGAGCCTGGGAGGTCAAGGCTACAGTGAGCTGTGATCAGGCCTGTCTGTGGCCTGTTGTGCAGGGTGCACATGTTGGCTCTTCAAGGAGCCCCCAACCCCAAGGCCCCTCGGTGATACCTGAGTCCCTTCTTTGCCTGGGGATGGGGGTGCTGGTCCCTGGGGGCTGACCCTCTCATCTGCCTGCTCTCTGTCCCTGCAGCACTGCTGGAGAGGAAGGAGGAGAATGGACGGAGGGTGGCCGCCCTGGGTGCCGAGCTGTTTGTGCCAGGGCTGGTGGGGCTTCGTGCCCTTGGCCTGCTGCAGCAACGGGGCCAGCTCTGGACCAACTCCCTGAGGATCCAGTACAGCCTCCTGGGTAAGGCACTGCGTGCCTGGTTGCGGGGCAGGTGGAGGTGGCAGGGCCTGCCCTGTTTCCTAGGGCTGTGGCTCCGTGAGCTGAGATACGCTGTCACCACGGGGTTTTCCATTAGTCATTCTGTTGGCTCTGAGTAGGACTGAATACCTGCCCATTAAAAAGTGTGTCTGTTGAGGAGACATTCACCCATCTCTTAACACCTCCCCATCGACAGGTTCTAATGGAGTGACAGGTGGAGCAAAGCATGGGGGGTGTGGCTGAGGCCAGGCTGGGCCGGGCCCTCCTTCTCTTGGAGCCCTGGTGGAGGGCTGCCTGGCAGAGGAGGGCAGGGGTCTCTGGGTTGATCCACACAGGTCAGGCAAAGCAGGCGGCACACGAGTGCAGCACCAGCCAGAAGCTGCGGGCAGACAGTGGCTCAGACGGTGCCTACAGGCTGGAGCTGCGCCACGAGCTCCACTGCACACAGATCCTAGCCTTCAGCCACAAGGTGGGTTCCCAGGCCAGGTGCGACATCCGGAGAGAGCACTAGAGTCAGGCAAGTGGTGATCTGAGTACCCTGAACTCATCCCCAAAGAGATGGACTTGCTCACAATCACATAGCCATATGGGAATGGATCCGGGGCTGGAACTTCAGTCTCAGTCTTATGTCTGTTCATCCAGGAACGCTTCAGCCCAGGAGGCGGAGGTTGCAGTGAGCAAAGATGGCGCCACTGTACTCCAGTCTGGGTGGGAGAGTGAGATCTTGTCTCTAAAATAAATAAGTAATAAATTAAAAAAAAATAGTGCTTTCTACAGAACCGTCTCTTCTGAAAACCAGGCTGATATCCCTGGAGTGGGTGGCTATGAGGAGGCCCAGGGACTGGGTGGGCAGGGCCTCCATGGGCAGTTCACCACCCATGTGTGTCCCAGGTCCAGCTCTGGCATGAGGAGGACTCGGGCCACCTGCACTCACAGCTGGAGGTGAGCTACGGGAAGCACTGGGACAAGAACAGCAACAAGAGGCATCTCCGTGTCAGCCAGACCTTCAAGAATGACTCGGGGCCCGCCCTGAGCAATCACTTCATGGAGGTGAGCCTGGCCACTGCGGCAGAGCCGTGCCCCATGAGTCCAGCATGGACGGTAGGAGCTGGGGAACCCCCACATGGCCCTCTGGCCCTGGCTACAAGGATGCAAGCAGCTGAAACTTAGCCTTGGTGACTTTCCCTTTTGCATCTCCAGCCCCATGACCCCATGTCCCCAGGGGTGAGAAACACTTGTCAGAGTGCCAAGGACTGGCAGGAGGGCTTGGGAAACATAGATTTCCACCTGTAAAAATGCATTTTTGAAAGAGCGGTTCGCTTTTAGTCTTTCCCAGAGGGTGGGTTCTTTTGCTGAGTTAGGACTGATGGTGTGCTCAGCAGCTGAACAGGTGGTGGTTCTTACACAGCACACATTTAACCTTGTATGTTTATTTAAAAATTTGTTTAGGGGCCGGGCGCAGTGGCTCATGCCTGTAATCCCAGCACTTTGGGAGGCCGAGGCGGGCGGATCACGAGATCAGGAGATCGAGACCATCCTGGCTAACACGGCGAAACACCGTCTCTACTAAAAATACAAAAAATTAGCTGGGCGCGGGGGCAGGTGCCTGTAGCCCCAGCTACTCGGGAGGCTGAGGCAGGAGAATGGCTTGAACCCCAGAGGCGGAGCTTGCAGTGAGCCGAGATCGCACCACTGCAGTCTGGCCTGGGCGAAACAGCGAGACTCCTTTTCAAAAAAAAAAAAAAAAAAAAAAAAAATTGGTTTAGGATATTTTTTCCCTTTTCACATCCAGTCCTGCAAATGATCTTTTAAATATTAACTTTTAATTTTAATTGTGGCTAAGTATACATCATGTAAAATTTACTGTTTTTTATTTATTTATTTATTTATTTTATTTTTTATTTTTTTGGAGATGGAGTCTCGCTCTGTCGCCCAGGCTGGAGTGCAATGGTATGATCTTGGCTCACTGCAACCTCCGCCTCCTGGGTTCATGCAATTCTCCAGCCTCAGCCTCCTGAGTAGTTGGGATTACAGGTGCCTGCCACCACGTCTGGCTAATTTTTTTGTATTTTTAGTAGAGACGGGATTTCTCCATGTTGGCCAGGCTGGTCTTGAACTCCTGACCTCAGGTGATCCGCTCACCTCAGCCTCCCAAAGTGCTGGGTTACAGGCATGAGCCACCACACCCGGCCATATTTACTATTTTAACCATTTTGGAGTTTGGTGGCATTACATGCATTTACATTCTTGTGCAACCATCACCACTACTTATCTCCAGAACTTGCAAAACTGCAAGTCTATAACCAGGAAATGCTGACTCCCCATTCTCTCCTTCTCCCAGTCCCTGGAAAGCACCATTCTACTTTCTGTTTCGGATTTTTGACTACTCTAGCTAACACAGAGCCGTGGAATCATACCGTTTGTCTTTTTTTTTTTTTTTGAGACAGAGTTTCGCTTTTGTTGCCCACACTGGAGTACAATGGTGCAATCTTGGCTCACTGCAACCTCCGCCTCCCAGGTTCAAGCGATTCTCCTGCCTCAGCCTCCCAAGTAGCTGGGATTACAGTCACCTGCCACCACACACGGCTAATTTTTTTTTTGAGATGGAGTCTCAGCCTGTTGCCCAGGCTGGAGTGCAGTGGCACGACCTTGGCTTACTACAACTTCTGCCTCTGGGTTCAAGCAATTCTCCCTGCCTCAGCCTCCTGAGTACCTGGGATTACAGGCGCCCACGACCACGCCCGGCTAATTTTTGTATTTTTTAGTAGAGATGGGGCTTTGCCATGTTGGCCAGGCTGGTCTTAAACTCCTGACCTCGGGTGATCCGCCTGCCTTGGCCTCCCAAAGTGTTGGGATTACTGGCGTGAGCCACCACGCCCAGCCCTGGCTAATTTTTTGTATTTTTCGTAGAGACAGGGGTTTTACCATGTTGGCCAGGCTGGTCTCGAACTCCTGAACCCAGGTGATCCACCTGCCTCGGCCTCCCATAGTGCTGGGATTACAGGTGTGAGCCACCGTGCCTGTCCTGTCCTTTTTTTGACTGGCTTATTTTACTTAGCATGTCCTCAAGGTTCATCCATATCGTAGCATGTGTCAAATTTCCTTCCTTTTTAAGGCCGAATACTCCATTGTCTGTATAGACAGCATTTTGTTTATCCGTTCATCTGTTGATGGACATGTGGGTTGCTTCCATTTTTTGGCTATTGTGAATAAATGCTGTTATGAACGTGAGTGTGCAAATATCTGATGCTTTCGATTCTTTCTATTGCTTTCAATTCTTTTGTATGTATACCTGGAAGTGTTATTTCTGGGGCGTATGGTAATTCGATCTTTAATTTTTTTTTTTTTTTTTTTGAGATGGAGTCTGGCCCTGTGCCCAGGCTGGAGTGCAGTGGTGCGATCTCGGCTCACTGCAAGCTCTGCCTCCTGAATTCACACCATTCTCCTGCCTCAGCCTCCCAGGTAGCTGGGACTACAGGCGCCCACCACCATGCCCGGCTAATTTTTTGTATTTTTAGTAAAGACGGGGTTTCACCGTGTTAGCTGGGATGGTCTTGATCTCCTGACCTCGTGATCCACCCGCCTCGGCCTCCCAAAGTGCTGGGATTACAGGCGTGAGCCACCGTGCCCGGCCCGATCTTTAATTTTTTGAAAAACTGCCACACTGTTTTCCACAGTAGCTGCACTATTTCACATTCCCACCATCAGCGTATGAGAATTCAGATTTCTCCACATCCTTACCAACGCTCCTTGTTTTTTGTTTTTTTGGACTGCGTTCCACTCCCGTTGCCCGTGTGGAGTGCAGTAGTGCAATCTTGGCTCGCTGCTGCCTCAACTTCCCGGGCACATTCTACGCCAGGGGTGGCATGATCCCATTGGCATCTTGGGGGGGTGGGCATTCTCCAGTTTGTGCTGCAGGTGCCTGAGAGGCAGGTGGATTGCCGCGTGCAGCTTTACCACTTGAGCCTCCGCCTGCCCTATGTGGAGAGCAGCAGTCACCTGAAGGTGCAGTACAATGGGCGGCCGCTGTTTGTGGCAGGCGGGCAGTGGAAGGACACATCTCGGGCCACCCTGTGGAAGTGGGAAGGTGAGTGTTGGCTGTGGGGCCTCCTTGGCTAGCAGCTCAGGTTTCTGATCTCCAGGCCTTTGCTCAAGCTATGCCTCCTTCCTGGAACACCTTTTCCTTTTGTTGGCTAGGCTAACTCAAGACTCAAACTGGGCCAGGCACAGTGGCTCACGCCTGTAATCCCAGCACTGTGGGAGGCCAAGGCGGGAGGACTTCTCGAGGCCAGGAGTCTGAGATCAGCCTGGGCACCATAGTAGGAACCTGTCTTAATTTTAAAAACAAACAAACGAAAACCTTATCTTTAATGAGTGCCGTGATGCTTATAATTACATCGTAACTTCTTACCTTTGCCAGTCAAGTGTCAGGCCCTTCCTCCTTCTCCAGCCTTGTCCCACCCCACTCTCCCCCTTGCTCGTTATCCTGCAGGCTCAGAGGCCTCTTTTTGTTCCCCAGACACACTCCAGGGCCTTTGCATTTGCAGATCTTTGTGTCTCGAAAACACTGTCTGTCACTTTTAAAAAATGAATCCACCGGCTGGGAATGGTGGCTCACGCCTGTAATCCTAGTACTTTAGGAGGCTGGGTGTGGGGGCGGATTACTTGAGGTCAGGAGTTCAAGATCAGCCTGGCCAACATGGTGAAACCCCATCTCTGCTAAAAATACAAAAATTAGCCATGTGTGGTGGCAGGCACCTGTAATGCCAGCTACTCGGGAGGCTGAGGCAGGAGGATCGCTTGAACCCAGGAGGCGGAGGTTTCGGTGAGCAGAGATCACACCACTGCACTCCAGCCTGGGCAACAAGAGTGAAACTCCACCTCAGGAAAAAAAAAAAAAAATTTTATCCACGAATTTTTTTTTCCATTTTTTCAGTTTTTATTTTTATCGAAGCGATACCTTGTTTAAAAGTGAATTCGGCTGTGAGTTGCTCATTGTCGAAGCTGGGTCCCATGGGGGCTCATTGTATTATGCTCTCTGCTCTTGTGTAGACCTGAACTACGTTTTCTAAAAGTTGATTAAAGTTTATAAAGTTTAATCTAAAAGATTAAAGTTTATAAAAGTTGATTAAAGTTTATACATCCTCTTTGTCACATCTGCCTATGTTGTTTGTTTGTTTCTCTTTTTCTTTTTTTTTTTTTTTCTTTTTTGAGACGGAGTCTTACTCTGTCACCCAGGCTGGAGTGCAGTGGCACGATCTCGGCTCACTGCAACCTCTGCATCCAAGACTCAAGCTCTTCTCGTGCCTCAGCCTCCCAAGTAGCTGGAATTACAGGTGTGTGCCACCACACCTGGCAAATTTTTCTATTTTTAGTAGAGACGGGGTTTCACTCTGTTGGCCAGGCTGGTCTTGAACTCCTGAGCTCAAGTGATCCACCTTCTTTGGCCTCCCAAAGTGCTGGTATTACAGGTGTGAGCCACTGTGCCTGGCCCCTACCCCAAGTCTTGCTTAAAACAGTAAGCACGCTAAATTCTTTTAGCCATTTTTTCTGTTTATATTCTCCATATTTAAAAATAATATAATCATGCTGTTATTTCTTGATTTTTCAGCTTTAGGCCTTCTCCATAGGTTTCTTACTAGAGAAGATAAGAATTTAACTCTTAGATTGGTGCCCCTTTCAAATACATATTCTCTTCCATTTTCTTAAAAGAGTTACCTTTTGTTAACATCTGATGCTTACCCAATTATAACTATAAATGTCTTACATAGCTGAGATATATGGTGTCCTATCATGGTGACCTATTGTTTTTTTCTGGAGTTTTGTAATTGCCTTTATTTTTCTATTTGATTAGTTTTCTATAATTTTTGTCTACTAATTACAGAATTTTCAGCAGCATTGCAAAACTTTTTTCCAGGTGGTCAGACACATCAGATTGTTCATTGACTTCAATTAGTTTTGTTATTTTTCTTGGGGACCCTCTTCCTGGAGCCTGAGTCCTGCTCCAAAGACGACCAGTTGCACAGCTGTGGTTCTGCAGCCTCCCTTTTCCATCAACCTGGGAATTCCTTTTACTTCTCCTCTGGGTCACAATCCCTTTTTCTTAAACCTGTGTCATATCTCTTGGTTTATTCCTTTGTTCTGATGGAGTACATCTTTCAGTAGCTTCCAAAGAAAGCATACATTGGAGGTGTATTCATTTCCAAGGGTTCTGTAACTAATTACTGAATTGGGCAGCTTAAAGCAACAGAAATTTGTTCTTTCACAGTTCTGAAGGCTGTAAGTTTGAGTCAAGGAGCCACCAGGGCCATGTTCTCTCTAAGGCTCTGGGGACAACCCTCCCTTGCCTTTTCCAAGCATTTGGTGATGGATGTTGAAGCTTGGTGTTCCTTGGCTTACAGCCGCATCCTCTCTAATCTCTGCCTCTTTTGTCATGTGGCATTCTCCCTGTGTGTGTGTGTCTGTGTCCAGATTTTTCTTTTCTAATAGAGACATCAGTTCTATTGGGTTAAGGGCATGTCCTATTCTCGTATGACCTCATCTTGACTTAATGATATCTGCAATGACCCCATTTTCAGTTAAGGTCGCATTGGGAGGGATTGGGGATTAAGACTTCAATTAATCTTTTGGGGGAACACAAGTTAACCCATCACAGAATACAAACATTTTGAGACCCTAAATGTTGAAAATGTCTTCATTCTACTGGGACAGTTTGAGTGGAGAATTTTAGGTTGGAAATAATTTTCTCTTGGGATTTTGAAGGCATTGCTCCATTGTTTTGAATTAATTGGGAGATCTGATGCTTCTTCTGATTTATCATCTTTTGTATGTGACCCTTTTCTCACTGTCTTAGAAGCTTTTAGGAGCTCGTCTTAGTCCTGTTGGTGGTAAATCTCATTATGAGGTACCTTGGTATGGATCTATGTTCTTCCATTGTACTGGGTCCTTAGCATAGGGTGTTTCAATTTGGAAACATGTCATTTTGGTCTGTGTAATTTTCTCTTACAGTTTCTTTGATAATTTCCTTTCTTTGTTCTGAAATTCCTATTGGTTAGATGTTGGTCCTCAGAAAACTGAGCTTCTAATGTTTTCTCTGTTTCTCTTTTCAAACTCGTTTTTCTTTTTTTCTTTTTCTTTTTTTTGGAGAATGGGGTCTCAGTATGTTGCCCAGGCAGGTCTCAAACTCCTGGGCTCAAGTGATCGTCCTGCCTCTGCTTGCCAAAGTGCTGGGATTAGAGGTGTGGGCCACCGCACCTGGCCTCCTTGTTTCTCTTTTGTTCTATTTCTTTGTCCTTTGGTTCTGTTCAAGAGCCGATTTCCTCGACTTCATATGCTAGCCCTTCTACTAGCATTTTTATTTTGGATTATCTTATATTTTCAAGAGCTCTTTTTTGTTGTTGTTGTTCCTTTCTTACAGCGTCCTGTTCCATGAATGCAATTGTCTTCTCTTAGAGTATAAGTTACAGAATTTCAGGGAGTTTTATCTGTTGCCTCGGAGTTTCCTTTTTCTTTTTATTTCTGTATTTCCTGTTGGAGGCTTTCCCCCAAATGCTAAGCCAGCCTTGGATATGTGCTTATGCTTGAGTCGGCTGCTCAAAATATTGGTTACCCTGTTTTCAAACAGGGTAATTATGTTTTCAGTGTACTCAGAAGCTGCCTGAGGACTTAATTAAAACCAGCAGTTTAGCAAAGTTAGGGATCTGATATTCTGGAGCACAGATTTAAAAAAATCTATTCTCCTTAAAATCCTTTTATGAAACTTCGAGTAAGAGACCCGCTGAAACAGAGAGGAGAGAACACATTTCCACACTTGGCCACCTCTTGACTCTCCTGGATCCCATTAGGGGAGAGTGAGTGCTAGTTCTCTGCCAACCCAGGATTAGGCCCTAAGGCTGCCGTAAAAAGGATCCCAGGAGAAAACTCAGGAATAAAAGTGGAGAAAGTGAGACATCTGACTAAAATGACTAGAAGCCCTCAGGAAGTAAAAAAGGAAAAAGAAACCAAGAACCAGAAAACTCATCGGACCAGTTAATTCACCTTTGGAGTAACTGGAGATCCAGAGCTTCCTAAAAGATTAGAAATCTTCTGAAATTGAAGAGTTGAGGAAGAAGAATCAGGAATGGCCTAAAGCAGTTGCCCAGTGTCTCACACAGAAGGGCATGGAGAAGAACTGGCAGGAATGTCCCCAGATGGTGACAAGTTTGCAGGACTTTTACTGAATGACCCATGAGGCCACCCAGAGGCCCAGGAGCCAGCCCTGGCCCTGTCCTCATGGAAAGACTCTACACAGGATTTTGGGATACAAATGGAAGGACAACATGTTTTCAGGTCCTGCCTGGGCAGATGCAGTTGTCCTTCCAGCTCCGGAGTTCCAAACCCAGGCCTGTGCCATCCCCATTCACTTTGAGGGGCCGCTGTGGGCTCCCTGACCCATGAGCTGTGTGCAGGATCCTCGGGTACCCAGAGGGGCGCCCTTGATCATGAACCCCGCGTGTGGTCAGCTCTAGGTCTGTTTCCTGCCTTTCCTCCAGCAGCCCCTAGCCTCCCGCAGCAGTGGCCACTCTCTTCTGGTTCTGATCCAGGTCTTGAACTTGGGAGACAATTAGAACCTGGATCCCAATTCTGTCTGAAAGCAACAGAATAACATAATCTATACACTGGCGCATGACTCTTGGCCCAGCCCAATGTAATGAGAAATAAATGAATGACCATGACCTCAAAAGCAAAAAAAAAAAAAAAACAAACAAAAAAACTGAGCAACCAGACAGATGTTCTGGAGGGCCTGAGTTTGCCAGATCACAACTGTGATCTATAAAGTGAAATAAGATCTTTATCACCTTGAAAGAACATGAATGAAATAGAAAACTAATTGGAGACTCAAAACTTGTTTGGAAAGAGGCGCTATACATAGGTGGGGCATGTGCAGACCGGTGGGTTTCCCTGTCAATCAAGCAACTGGGTGGGGACCTGGCTCTCCAGGGATCCGTGCGTTCCTTCTGTTCTTCTGTGGTGCCATCTTCCCGCTTCCCGTGGGAAGGGAGCAACTGGGCAGGGACCAGACTGCCCACTCTTCAATGTCTCCCTATTCTCAACTCCGCGGCTCCTCCTTCCCGTCACTGTGTCTTTGTCCCTGCATCTGAGCCTGTCTGCCTCAGTTTCCCCAGACAGTAAATCTCCTGTCTCCAGCAGGGGTGGGTTGCCTGCCCCTTTGATCAACTCCCCCTTGTCTGTCATTTAGGTATCAGGTAAATTGTCACTTCCTCCTAGAAGCCTTTGCTGACCTAACCAATTTTTATCAAATTCCTTCTTTATTGTTTTTCTTCACAGCCCTCAGCATTTCTACCTGTGTTTTTTGTTTGGTTTTTTGTTTGTTTGTTTGTTTGTTTGTTTGTTTTGAGACAGGGTCTCCCTCTGTTGCCCAGGCTGGAGTGCATTGCACCATTACAGCCACTGCAGCCTCCACCTCAGCCTCCCAAGTAGCTGGGATATAGGTGAGCACCACCGTGCCTGGCTAATTTTTGTATTTGTTGTAGAGATGGGGTCTCGCTTTGTTGCCCAGGCTAGACTCAAACTCCTAGACTCAAGTGATCCTCCTGCCTTGGCCTCCCAAAGTGCTGGGATTACAGGCATGAGCCACTGCGCTTGACCTTCCAATGTTTTATTATGAAAAAATTGCATTCAGAAGAGTTGGATGAATGGTACAGTGATTACCAGCATCCTCTCATACTAGGTTCTGCTATTAACAGTTGACCCCACTTGCCTCATCACCTCTCTCTCTGCATATCCAGCCCTCTTATTTTTTCCGTGCAGTTGAAAGTAAATTGTAGACATGGATACCTCTCACTCCTAAACGTTTCAGCATGTGTTTCATTAAGCACAGTGAAATGTATAAATCTCCATGGTGCGATTGGATGAGTTTTGACAGGTGTATACATCTGGGTGATCCAAACACCTGTCATGAGTCACAACATTACCAACGTCCTAGAAAGTTCCCTCATGCCTAGTTATTCCCAGTTTTGAGATTTGTCCATTGCGGCTGTGATGAGACTCTCGGGACCTCCAGCTGCCTGCTAGAAGCTTCCTCTCTACCCCGTGTACCAGATTCTCCTTCTTTGTTGCTTGCAGGAGCCTTGAACCTGGATAGTCCATGGCTGATGGTCTCTGCAGCTCACAGGCTATACTGGCCACACCGAGCTGTGTTCCAGGCTGTCCTGGAGCTAACGCTGGGCAAGGCCTGGACCCTAAAGGACCTGGTGGTCAGCGTGGGCTGCAGGAGTCAGGGCCCCAACAGGGAAGGCAAGATCCAGGTTTACACCGCAGCTACCACCTACCTCCGGGTGAGCAGTGCTCGGCCCCCGATATATGTCTGGTCCCCTGCCACTGAGATCTTTTTCTGGTGCAGAGGCGGATGAAAGCTGAGGTCTGTGGGCAGATAGCAGCTCACAGGTGTGTGAAGTCTGGCCCTCCCAGTGCCTGCAACTATCAGAGTTTAGTTCCTAAGTGACGTAGAAGAATTAGACCTAAAAAAAGAAAATCTAGATTTCCCACATCCCTGCTCGGCAGATGACGGGGAGAGAAATATAAAATAGGAAAGCAAGTCAAACGGGACTTTGGAAACAGATGGACATTCGGCTTTTGCCAAAAAAACAGAGTGAAAATTTCTAGGACGTAAGTCGGTTTGATGCCGACTACTGACTGTCATGATGTTGCTTCTCTGCACACGTTTGGTGCAGAAGCAAGAACAGGTTTGGGAGAAAAGCCATGAGTGTCATCTGCAGGGCTGAGGGAGCCTGGTGGGTGGACTGTCTGGGTGATGCGTGGATGTGGGGAAGGTCTGGGCCTTGATTGGGCTCATCCGAGGGCAGCACAGTCCCCTCTGAGGCAGGGCTGGGTGGCACCAGGTTGGAGTCAAGAGCGGTGGTAATCTTAGGGACCATGAGGAGGCCTCTGTGTAACAGAGGATGCCAAGACAGGAGAGCAAGGTGTGGTCGGCTAGCCGGCTCCTGCCCTTCACCCAACCAGAGGGCATGGCGGCCTGGCCCGGGGTGGTGGCAGTGGAGGTGCCGGCAAGTGTCCAGATCCTGGAGATGCCAGATTTGCTGATGGACTAGTGGTGGGGAAGGAGTGAAGGAAAGGAAATAAATGGCTCTGAGGTCTTGGCCCAAGCATCTGGTGGGATGGAAGTGCCATTCTAGGAAATGGGGAAGTTGATGGTGGGGAACCAAGGATCAGTGACATGGGACAAAGTGTTACGAAGTTCTGGTATTGGGTTGGAGGCTCAGCCACGCCCAAACCCTGTCTTGTCCTTGTCACTTCTCCTGGTGAGACCCCTGAGTTGTGTGAACAAGGGATGGTGGCCAACAGGGAACCATCCCATGGGGGGCTTGTGCCAGGGTGGCGGCTGCAAATGCCCTACCTCCCCTAGCTCTGAAACGAGCCAGATGACACCCACCTCTTCCTAGGACTCCCGAAGACCATGGTGATGGTGCAGGGAGAGAAGGCCACCTGCCAGCATGTGCCCTTCAGGGTACAGACACCCTGGCTACTAGTAATAGCGGCCCAACAAGATCAGATTCCCTCCCCAAACTGAAGAGGAGAAAAGGAAATTATTTCTGCTCAGGGTTGGGGCAACAGAGAGGAGTTTTTCTTCTTGTTTCAAGGCCCTGTAGAGAAAACTAGCCTACCTGCACCAGTCAGGTTAGGCGTCAGAGAAATGGCATTGAAGGGGTTTTGAGGGATGAAGAGGAGTTCACCAAGCAGGAAAGAGATGAAAGGGTATCCCAGGTGGAGGAAATAGGGTGTGCAAAGGCCTTGGTCCCCCTCCTCACCTCATTGCAGGTTTCCACAGTGACAGTCTTGGCACAGAGCCTCTTCCACAGCTGGAGCGAACTCGAGTCAGCCTGGAACGCAGCAGTGCAGGGCGAGATCCATGCTGAGAACAGCCGGGACCGTAAGATCCTGAACTGCTGGTTGAAAGGCCCCCAGCAGGAGCTGAACCTAACAGCGGCCTACAGGCACCTGGAGTGGGTAAGAACCCAGGAGGCCCGTGCAGCCAAGAGACCACCGAATCCCTCACCTCGGTTTCCTACCTCTCTCCCTGCTTCGGATGGAAAAGGGCTTTGTGCTACTGGCTTGGCCTGTGACCTTGGGCCTCCTGGAGCCTCTATTTCTCTTTCTCTTTCCTTTTCCTTTTTCCTTTTCCTTCTTTTCTTATATATTTTTTGACAGTTTCATTCTGTTGCCCAGGCTGGAGTTCAGTGATGCTGTCATAGCTCACTGCAGCCTCGAATGTCTGGGCTTGAAGGATCCTCCCCGCTCAGCCTACTAAGTAGTTAGAACTATAGGCACATGCCACTCATGCCACCATGCATCACTGACGTTTGTTTGTTTGTTTGTTTGTTTGTTTGTTTGTTTGTTTGTTTGTTTGTTTTAGCAGACACGAGGTATTGCTGTTTCCCAGGCTGGTCTTAAAGCCCTGGGCTCAAGTTACCCTCCCATCTCAGCCTCCCGAAGTGTTGGGATTACAGGCATGAGCCACCATGCCCAGACAAGCTTTAGTTTCTTGGCCTGTGAAATGGACCCTGGTCACTTTAGCAAAGATCCAGGAGCAAAACTTGGCTTCCTTTAGCTGAGAAGTCCAAGTTCTTCTTTCCCCCGGGTACCTAGGGAGGTCTAGCCATGGTGGTGTGCCGGTGGGATCCTGTGGTCTGATCAGGGTGGAGGCTGTGGCTCAGTTCAGTAGCCATTCTCGGATAGTCATTTCTGGGGGTGATGGGCAGGTTGTGGGGGGCTACCTCTTGCCTTCCTGCAAGGCAGGTCTGCAGCTTGGTCCTGCTGGCCCGTCCCTCTCTTCAGCCTGGATCTTGTTGCAGCCCCGGAAGACCCAGGTGTCGCTCACGGCTGTGCGGATTGGTGCCCAGGGCCAGCCTCGGGGCCTGCAGTTGGAAGGAGAGCTGGAGGAGCTGAGGCAAGACAGGACATTGTACCGGAAACGGGGGGCCTTGCTCCTTAGGTATGTGCGCCCCTTCTGCTCAGCTGACACCCCTGCAAGTTTCCCCTTCTCTAGCACGGAGCATCCCCAGGGGGAACAGGATGGGCAGAGCTACCTGGAGAATCTCTGCTGACCTGCTGGGGCCCAGATGGAACCTAAATCCCAGAGAAGAGCCACCTCCCCTGAAAGCTCCCACATCCCTCGCCCCCTCCATTAGTTGCTGAGGTGGGAGCAGAGTTAAGAGTCTCATCATCCTAGCCTGGAGCTGCTTGGGGCGTCTTCTCATTTCCCAGAGACGAGCTCATTCAAACAGTTCCCTGTGTGCAGGGAACAGCACGAGGTTAGGACGAGCAGAGCCATCTTGGACTGCGGGCTATGCATTGAGCAGCTGTATGGCCTTAGATAAGTCAGCTACAGCCTAAACAGAAGCAGTGATGACAAAGGAACAGCAGCATCGTTGGCAGAGTGTTCGTTCGTGTTTTTATCCCATTTACATTCATTGAGCACATACTATGGACCAAGTGCTCTTCTGGGCACATGGAAAATGGCAGAGAACCGGAATGTCAGAAACCTTTGCCCTTGGGGAGCTTGTGGTCGTTTCATGTATGTTATCTCTAACCCTGACCACTGTGTCCAATCAGTATTATTTTAGCCTCCGTTTTACAGATGGGGAAACTGAGGCACAGAACAGTCAAGTCCTTTTCCCAAGGTCACACAGCTAGTGAAAGACCGTGCCTGGATTCTAATCCCAGTCTGTGTGACACCAGATGCTGTGTGTCATCTATCCTCTTGGGTCTTTGCTGTCAAATGGCGACGGGGACCCCAGCCATGCCCACTTCTCTGGCACAGTGAGGTGGTGAAGGGTTCTGGATGCCACATTGTAAAGCATAGGGCTGCCAGGTGTCCTGATGTTCTCTTCTCTGTGGCAGAGTCTTAACTCTGCAAGCTCGTGACAGGCCCAGGCTGAGACCGTGGGGCACAATTGTCCCCTGGCACTGCCAGCTGCTTTAATGGCTTTGGCCTGTTTTTCCCTCTGCACACCAGGCACCCGTTGCACCTGCCCATCCCGCAGAGCCTCCTCCTGCAGGAGACCTTCACAGCTGATAGGCGACACCAGCGCTATTCCCTGGAGACTAGGGTTGTCCTGAATGGCCGAGAGGAAACCCTGCAGACCATGGTCCTGGGCTGCCAGGCCGGACACCCCTACGTGAGTGTGTCTGGGGCATAGCCCGGAAGGGGCCTGAGAGCCAGAGGAAGGCCCCAGCTGCCTCCTCACTCCCTGCATGCGTGTGTACATGTATGTGGTTGTCCCTCCCAGGTCTGTGCAGGTCTGATGCATCCATACGATGGCAAAGTCATCCCCAGGAACACAGAGGGGTGCCTGGTTACTTGGAATCAGCACACGGTAAGAGCAGAGACCCCAGAGACTTTTGCACCCCAGCCAGCCCTGGTTCAAGTTGCTGTCATCGCTCAATAGGATTGAAAACATGTTATCTGGACTGAGTGCAGTGGCTCACACCTGTAATCTTAGCTACGCAGGAGGCTGAGGTGAGAAGATCGCTTAAGACCAGGAGTTTGAGATCCATCTGGGCGACATATGGAAACCCTGTTTCTACAAAAGAAAAAAAAATTGTTTAATTAGCCAGGCATGGTGGCATGTGCTTGTAGTCCCAGCTACTGGGGAGGCTGAGACAGGAGGATCTGATTAAGCCCAGGATGTTGAGGCTTCTGTGAGCCATGGTTGCACCATTGCATTCCAGCCTGGGCAACAGAGCAAGACTCAGACACCACTCCCCCGCCCCCCAACCTCACACACAAAAAAGTTCTCCTGGCCAGGTGTGGTGGCTCATACCTGTAATCCTAGCACTTTGGGAGGCCAAGGCGGGCAGATCACCTGAGGTCAGGAGTTCCAGACCATCCTGGCCAACATGGTGAAACCCTGTCTCTACTAAAAATATAAAAACTAGATGGGCATGGTGGTAGGTACCTGCAGTCCCAGCTACTCAGGAGGCTGAGGCAGGAGAACCCAGGAGGCAGAGGTTACAGTGAGCTGAGATCACGCCACTGCATTCCAGCCTGGGCCACAGAGCAAGACACTGCCTCAGGAAAAAAAAAAAAAAGGTTCTCCTGACTGGGTTCTCTGTTTCATTTGGTCCTCCCTAGTACAGTCTATGTGACAGTCAGAGGGATATATTCTGAAGGCCAGCACAACCCTGCCACCCGCATGCTCTCAAACTCTGACAGCCTCTCTTGGGATAAAGCCCCAGTCCTGTCCCCTCAGCCCTGCTTCGTGGCCTGCATCTGCCTCATCCAGCCTCTTCGCATTTCCTCGCCTGGCTCTTTCCTGCCTCGGGACCTCTGCGTGTCCTGTGTGCCTGGAGCCGTCACCCTCTCCTTCAGCTTTGCCTCCTCCCTTCTACTCATCTTTTAGGATTGAGCTCAAGCATCCTCTCACCTGACCCCCAGACCACCTCACACAGACCCGTGCTTACCCTAGCGATGCCTTATATCTTTTTCTTTCTTTTTTTTTTTTGGAGAAAGAGTCTCACTCTGTCGCTCAAGCCGGAGTGTAGTGGTGCAGTCTCAGCTCACTGCAACCTCGGCCTCCCAGGTTCAAGTGATTCTTCTGCCTCAGCCTCCCAGGTAGCTGGGATAACAGACGTGCATTCCCACTCCTGGCTAATTTTTGTATTTTTAGTAGAGACTGGGTTTTACCATGTTGGCCAGGCTGGTCTCAAACTTCTGACTTCAAGTGATCTGCCCGCCTTGGCCTCCCAAAGTGCTGGGATTACCGCTGCACCCAGCTTGCCCTATAGCTTTCGCTTTTAGTACCTATCACAAATCCCAGTTCTTTTTTTTTTTTTTAAAGACAAAGTCTCACTCTGTCACCCAGGCTGTAGTGCAGTGGCACAATCTCAGCTCACTGTAGCCTTGTCCTCCTAGGCTTAAGTGATCCTCCCACCTCAGCCTACCAAGTAGCTGGGACCACAGGCACACATTACCACCACACCTGGTTATTTTTTATTTTTATTTTTAGTAGAGACAGAGTCTTGCTATATTGCCCAGGCTGGTCTTGAGCTCCTGGACTCTAAGCCATCCTCCCATCTTGGCCTCCAGAATGCTGACATTATAGGTGTGAACCACCGTACCTGGCCCCAGTTCTATTTTTGTGTGATCCATCAATCCCTGGCTCCTCTGGAAAGCTCATGATCTCCATGAGTACTTTACCACCGTAGCCACAGGGCTTGGTACACAGTAGGTGCTCAATGAATAGTTGCCGTCATGATGTTATTTAACACCCATTGCATGCCAGGATCCAGAGCAGAGGTCAACAAACTTTTCTGGAAAGAACCAGATAGTAACTAGTTTAGGTTTCATGGGCCACATGGTTCAGGTCTTGTTCACTCATAACTACCGTTACAATTCAAGAGCACCGTGAATAATACGTAATGAACGGGCGTGGCTGTGTCCCAACAGGGCTTCACTTGCAAAAACAGGCCACATTTGGACCAGGGGCTGTAGTTGCTGACCCCTGACTTAGAGGGTCTTTTTTGAGGCAGGGTCTTGCTCTGTCACCCAGGCTGGAGGGCAGGGGTGCGATCATGGCTCACTCACTGCAGCCTTGACCTCCCAAGCTCAAGTGACCCTCACACCTCAGCCTCCTAAGTAGCTGAGACCACAAGTGTGCACCACCACACCCAGCTCATTTTAAGATGTTTTGTAGAGATGGAGGTCTCACTGTGTTTCCCAGGCTGGTCTTGATCTCTTGGATTCAGGGGATCCTCTTGCCTCACCTTCCAAAGTGCTGGGATTGGGCCAGGTGTGGTGGCTCACACATGTAATCCCAGCATTTTGGGAAGCCAGGGTGGGTGGATCACTTGAGGTCAGGTGTTCGAGACCAGCCTGGCCAATATGGTAAAACCCCATCTCTACTAAAAAAAAAACTATAAAAATTGGCTGGGCATAGTGGCAGGTGCCTATAATCCCAGCTACCCCGGAGGCTTAGGCACAAGAGTCACTTGAAACTGGGAGGCAGACGTTACGGTGAGCCGAGATCCCAGCACTGCACTCCAGCCTTGGTGACAGAGAGAGACTTGGTCTCAAAAAAAAAAAAAGTGTTGGGATTACAGATAAGAGTCACCACCCCTGGCTGAGGGTCTTGACATGTGGCTCCCTAGGGGTGAAACTTGTTTTTGCCTGTGTGTCCTTGGCAAATTATTTCATCTCTCTGGACCTCAGTTTCCTTGTGTGCAGAATGGGAGCAGCAGTACTCATCTCTATGCAGTGGCTGTGACGATTACAATGTAGCGTTGTAAAATGCCTACTAGAACCCCATCCGGGTCTTCTTCCTGACACCTCTAGGAGGAGTTGATACTCTGGGAGAGCATCGTATTTTTCAGCAAGCATTTATGGAGCATCTACTGTGTGCAAGGAAGATAGTCATTGTTTCTCTCTCTCTCTCTTTTTTTTTTTTTTTTTTTTTTTTTAAGACAGAGTCTCACTCTGTTGTCTAGGCTGGAGTCTGGAGTGCAATGACTTGATCTCAGCTCACCGCAACCTCCACGTCCCAGGTTCATGCACAGACCCCTCCGATCATTTTTTTTTTTTTTTTTTTTTTTTTTTTGAGACTGAGGATCGAGTCTTGCTCTGTTGCCCAGGCTAGGGTGCAGCTGCGCAATGTCGGCTCATTGCAACCTCTGCCTCCTGGGTTCAAGTGATTCTCCTGCCTCAGCCTCCCGAGTAGCTGGGATTACAGGCTCCCATGACCACACCCGGCTAATTTTTGTACTTTTAGTAGAGTTGGGGTTTCTGCATGTTGGCCAGGCTGGTCTCGAGCTCCTGACCTCAGGTGATCCCCCGGCCTCAGCCTCCCAAAGTGCTGGGATTACAGCCATGAACCACCACGCCCGGCCATTTCTATTTGCAAGATACACAACAGCCCCTGGGAAGGAGGGTGAACCAGGCAGCTGTTGAGCATTGAGACCCACCTTTCTGGGGGCTCCCTTCACCATTAGTTAAACGAGGCTGCGTGTGGCTCCCCGGGGATAAGGTAGTACAGTTATTGGAGCTTCTAGGGAGAAACAAATGGCAGGATGACAGCCTTAGACACCTGCAGAAGTGGCTCCCGATGGTGTTTGCTGTTTCTTAAACCAGAGATTGCAGAGCCGGCGCCATGGGCCATATTCAGCCTGCAGATGGGTTTTGTTTGGTCTGCTTAGCATTTAAATTTTTTAAGGAAATTAATTGCTACCATTGAAAATCAGAAGATTTTGAGTAAAACCCAGATTTCCAGTGTTTATAAGAAGAAAATCAGACGGTGTGACCACACCAAGCCTCAAATCCCAGCTGACAACAACAGGGTCTGACTGAGTAAATGGCAGTCGTTTAGTTTCATATAATTTAGCTGTCTGCTCTTTTTAAAACCGTGTCTAGGCTGGGCGAGATGGCTCACGCCTGTAATACTAGCACTTTGGGAGGCCGAGGCAGGCGGATCATTTGAGGTCAGGAGTTCGAGACCAGCCTGACCAACATGGTGAAACCCCCATCTCTACTAAATACAAAAAAAATTAGCCAGGCATGGTGGCGGGCTCCTGTAATCCCAGTTACTCAGGAGGCTGAGGCAGGAGAATCGCTTGAACCTGGGAGGTGGAGGTTGCAGTGAGCCGAGATCACGCCACTGCACTCCAGCCTGGGTGACAGAGCGAGGCTGTCTCTAAAATAAAATAAAATATAAAATAGAATAAAATAAGCTGTTTAATGACATACATTTTTCTCTCGTCTTGGACCCTTATTTCTCTTCCTCCATCTTGGTTCTAAAGTAAAGCCGAGCACCCTTTAAAGATGCACTCCAGTGATAAAGCTCCTTGGCAGGCATTTTTAACTTCTCAGTCAACACAGGTAGGAAAAGATGGCAACATGCTACTGTGTACTTGGCCTGTGGCAGAAGCTAAATGATTGTTGAGTGAATAAATGATGGAGTAATTGTGTATTAGTTTGCTATGGCTGCCATAACGAATCTCTGAAATCTTAGTGGTTTAAAACGCCACAGATTTTACAGTTTTGGAATTCAGAAGCCCAAAATGGATCTCACGTGGCTAAAATCAAGGTATTAGCAGGGTTGTGTTCCTTCTGGAGGCTCCAGAGGAGAGTCTGTTTCCTTTCCTTTTCCAGCTTGTGGAAGCTGCCTGCATGCCTTGGCTCATGGCCCCTTCTTCCACCTTCAAAGCCAACAGCGTGGCATCTTCCAGTCTCTGTGTGACTCTGACCCTCCTGCCTCCGTCTCATAGGACCCCTGTGATTACTTTAGGGCCACCCAGATAATCTCCTCATCTCAAGATCCTCAATCCAATCACACTGCAAAGTCTCTTTTGCCATGAAAGGTCACATATTGACAGGTTCCAGTGATGAGGACATGGATGTCATCGTGCAATGAGTGTTCTTCTGCCAGCTCCACTATGAGTTACTCATTCTTTCACTCTAGCACAGCTTTGACCTTGGGGTTTCAGGCTATAACTAGTGATTCTGCATTTGTCCAAATATTTATTGAGCACCTACTACATGCCAGGACCTGTGCTAAGTATTAGGAATATGGCAATGAACAAAATAAACTACTCCCAAGGCACTTTCTTTGAGCAAGACACATTCACATTTGTTCCATCAAGCCCACCCTGCTAATCTTACCTGTAGGCACTGAAGTTTACCATTCCTGTGTACCCATCCCCGCTTCCTGCCCTATAAGTGGAAGAGTGTAGACTGCTCCATAACCCATCAATCTTTGGACTACTTTCTTCTGACCACTGGATTCCCAGGGTAGCTTCTGCAGGCACATAGAGATGGGATGAGACCTCTCTCAGTGCCCCTGGTTCTCACACACCCAGGCTAAGAACAGAGAGGTCGAGGCCACTTTGAAAGTCCACCGGAAAGTTGTCCTGCACTTGAAGGGTTTGCATCATGACAGATCTCAGCATGGGGAAATCCGGCACAGCCTGGCCCTGGACTTGGCCCATTCCTACCAGGTATGGGTCCCCAGATTGGGCAGACACTGGTTTGTGCCCTCCACCCAGAGCTTGGCTGTTAGCGGAAGTAAAGGGTGTTGTCTATTTCTTCCCAGCTGAGCTTCCCCCAGGCCCTGAGCTTGGATGGGGGCATCATCTTTAGACAGAGTCCCCAAGGAACATTCAACTTTGGCATGGATGCACGAGCTGCCGTCAATCACAACGTCACATCCCAGGTCAGGAGACTGAGTTCTGCTCCCTTGCCGAGGGAGGCCGGGTCTTAATAACCTTTAGTGAAGGTGCCCTGTATGAGATGTCTGAGGAGGTGGCAGGAGACATGACCCTGGGGAGCCAACAGCACAGCCCTTATTTTGGCAGTGTGTGTGTGATTAGTCAGGATGCATTGACTGTTGTTGTAAACAATGTTTGGCTCTTTGTGAAAGGCCAGTGTTCATGTGCAGTTCAGCGTGGCTCTGCTCCATGCAGTCTCTCAGGATCCAGGCCTCCCCACCTTGTGGCTGTGCCCCAGCAGGCAGATGGAGGGACAGAGAGTGGAGAATTATGTAGGAGGCTTTTATGTGCCAGACCCATAGGTAGAAAGGTCATTCCTGCCTGGGTTCTCATCACATGATCCCACCTAGCTGCAAGGGAGGCTGGGAAATGTAGTTTTAGCTATATGTCCAGGAAGAAAAGGAAATGTAGTTTGGTGAATATATAGCAGCCATTGTAGGTATATTTACTCATTCATGGCTGTTCATTTGTTCATCCGTGGACGTGTTCATTCCTGTCCATTCATTCAGCATGGATGGGTTGTATCTCTGCTGGGTGACACTGTCCCCATCTCTGTTCCCATCTCTGAGGAGCTTTCAATCTAGTGGGCTTTTAGTGTTATATAAGTTCAAGTTCAATTCCAAGTTCCACTGTTAACTAGCTGTGTAACCTTCGGTGAATTACTGAATCCCACTGAGCCTCAGTTTTGCTAGCTGGGAAATGGGATGGTAACAGCAACCCAGCAAAGCACTGCTGAGGATTAAATGAGGTGGTCATTGTGAACCTGGTAGCACAGTGCCTGGTTCAAGGTCAGGGTCAAGTAGAAGGTGGTGTGGCTGTGGGAGGCATGAACAGGCAACATGGCAGGGAGTAGGGGGTTCCAGAGTGGTCTTCCCAGCCCCCCATCCAGGATGTCACTTCCTAAGCAACCTTTTTCAGTAGCACAGCCTGCATAAGATTGAGGGCTGAGGAATATTAAGGGAGGACAGAAGTTTCTGGTTTGAGCTTTGGGCATATTCTGGGATGCATTTGCCCAGTAGCCACCTCCTAGTGTTCTGCATCTCTCTCTCTGTTCCCTCTGACCCCTCTTCAACTCTCCCTGCAACAGGCCTCGGTCCAGCTGAACGGATCTGACTCCGACTTTGCATTTTTCTTCCAACTCAGGCATCCTCACGGACCAACATTTCCTCCAAACTTCCAGGTGTGGACGTTGCTCCCTTGGAGATGACCTTGACTCGCCTGCCAAGGGTTGTCTCTGAGCAGCTGGCCTGCTGGGAGATGGGCAGAAAGAAGGCAGGATGGGGGCCCGAGGGAGGGAGCCCACACTTGCAATGTTGTGCTTAGCCAAACAGCCCTGTAGAATCAAGAACAGATGGCAGGGAGGTTTCCACATCCATCATTTGGAAGTGATGGTCCAGGCTGAAGGGGGTGAAGGATCACATTTCACTCTTGAAAATGGGCAGAAGCAGAGTTTTCCTCCAAACTCTACCCTATATTTGGGCTTGGGAGAAGCCATGTAATCCTTCAAGAGGGCTTTGTTGACCCGGGGCATTTTGGAGGTGGAGAAAGACATCCAGGTGGGAGCCCTGTCCCCCCCACCAAATTTGTGGCTTCATTGAGCAGGCTGTGCATGGTGTGTGCACAGAAATTAGGGGGTGGCTAATTCAAGGATGTGGAGGTGTAAATAGGGAATCCCAACAGGGATGAGGCCCTCAGGAGACATGGGGCACACCATTAATTTGACAGCAATAAAAAAAATTAGAGGTGGGGTCTCACTATGTTGCCCAGGCTGGTTTTAAACTCTTGGCCCCAAGCTGTCTTTCTGATTCAACCTTCCAAAGTGCTAAGATTACAGGCATGAGCCACCGCACCTAGCCCGATAGCATTTTAAAATTTCTTTTGAGACAGGATCTCACTCTGTTAGCTGGGCTGAAGTGCAGTGGCATAATCATGGCTCACTTCAGCCTTGACCACCTGGGGTCAAGCGGTCCTCCCACCTCAGCCTCCTGAGTAGCTGGTACCACAGGCACCTGCCACAACACCCAGCTAATTTTTGTACTTTTTTTTTTTTTTTTTTTTTTTGCAGAGACAGGGTCTCGCTATGTTGCCCAGGCTGGCCTTGAGCTCCTGGGCTCAAGTGATCCTCTTCCCTTGGCCTCCCAAGGTGCTGGGATTACAGGCATGAGCCAATGCGCCCAGCCCTGATAGCATTTTTTTAAACACCTGCTGTTCATTCCCTGTGTATTGGGTTTTAGAAACTTGAATGGAGCCCGAGAATGGCTCTGAATGGAGGGAACTGCTTATTCTTAGAGGCATGAGCTTTCACAGGTTGATGTCCCTGAAGTCAGTCTGTATCTTCACCTTGACACAGGTCACCGTTTCACTAGCAACCTTTTGCTTTTGTGGAGTTCCCAGAGATCTGGCCCATTTGAGAGCTGCTGGCATCTTAGATTGGAGGAAATGTCATCATATTAACCATTTGTTCCAGGAGCTGATGTCTGTGAAATGATTGCGTGGCAGGCTCTGTTCTAAACCCTCTTTGTGGATTAGCTCATGGTCACCTCATGATGCTATTGTGGGGGGGCATGGAGCACCGTTGTCATTTTGTGGGTGAGGCTCTGAGATTTAGAGAGGTGGCGTGACTTGCCCAAGATCATGGAGCTCACCAGTGGAAGATCTTGGGTGGGAACCCAGGCATTCTGGTTTCAGAGCGCATGCGATCGATCCCCCGAACTCATCGGGGAGTGGGGGTGGGTTGCCCTGGAAGCTTGGATGCTGGGTCATCTAATGAGTGCAAACATTATTATCATTAGTATTTTTCGAGACCGAGTCTCGCTCTGTCACCCAAGCTGGAGTGCCGTGGCATGATCTCGGCTCACTGCAACCTCTGCCTCCCAGGTTCAAGCGATTCTTGTGCCTCCGCCTCCCAAGTAGCTGGGATTACAGGCATGCGCCACCACACCCAGATAATTTTTTGTATTTTTAGTAGAGATGGGATTTCACTACGTTGGCCAGGCTGGTCCTGAGCTCCTGACCTCAAGTGATCTGCCTGCCCCAGCCTTCCAAAGTTCTGGGATTACTGGTGTGAGCTGCTGTGCCCAGCTCAAACATTAATTTTAATTTTAATTTTTAAGACAGGGTCTTACTCTGTCACCCAGGCTGGAGAGCAGTGGCATGATTATGGCTCACTGCAGCCTCCACCACCCAGGCTCCAGCCATCCTTTCACCACAGCCTTCTGAGTAGCTGGGACTACAGGTGCATGCCACCACGCTCAGCTAATGTTTTAATTTTTTGTAGAGATGCGGGTATTGCTCTGTTGTTCAGGCTGGTCTCAACTCCTGGCCTTCAGCAGTCCTCCTGCCTTGGTCTCCAAAGGGCTGGGGTTACAGGTGTGAGTCATCGTGCCCTGCCAGCCTGTGGATTTTGACAGATTGATACAACGTAATGGATCTGCCATTACGGCATCATTCATAACAGTTTCCCTGCCCTAAAAAATCCTCTGGGTTCTACCTTTTCATCCCTCCTCCTACACTCCACCCCCTGGCAACCACTGATCATTTTACTATCTGTGGTTTTGCCTTTTTCCAGAATGTCATAGAGTTGGAATACAGTATGCAGCCTTTTCAGATGGGCTTCTTTCAGTTAGTAACATACATTTAAGTTTCCTCCATGTCTTTTTCAGCTTAATAGCTCATTTTATATTAGCACTAGATAATATTCCATTGTCTGGGTGTATCATGTTTTATTCAGCAGCTCATCTAAGGAAGCACCAGGCATTCTTTTAAAACCTTTCCAGGCCAGGCATGGTAGCTCACGCCTGTAATCCCAGCACTTTGGGAGGTCGAGGCAGACAGATCACCTGAGGTCAGAAGTTCGAGACCAACCTGGGAAACATGGTGAAACCCCATCTCTACTAAAAATACAAAAAAAAAAATTAGCTGGGCATGGTGGCGGGCACTTGTATTTCCAGCTACTCGGGAGGCTGAGGCAGGAGAATTGCTTGAACCTGGGAGACAGAGGTTGCAGTGAGCCGAGATTGTGCCACTGCACTCCAGCCTGGGTGACACAGCAAGACTCCGTCTCAGAACAGAAAAGAAAAAAAAAAAAACTTTTCCTGTGATTGTAATGCACAGGCTGGATTGAGAACCATGGGGCTAAACCTGCTTTGCAGATGGGGAAACTGAGGCCCAGATCAGGAAAGGGATAGGCTCACGTCCCTTGGGAGCTGGTGGAGCCTTGGACCTCTCTGCTCCCACCCTCCACTGCTCCCCTCCCCACTGCTCCCTTCAGCACCCTTGTTGGGACTAGCTACATGTTCACCCCAGCCTGACCACTTGGGTACCCAGATGCCATCCTCTTTGAACCTCAGAAGTTCTGGGTCCTCTGGTTCCCGTGGGGCACTCTCTGGGGCCTCCTTTTCTGTGGAGGAGTTGCAAAGATGTCCTCTGCTTCCCCCACCAGCCCCCTTCAGGCACCAGCACGAGTTTTAGAGCTAGGCAGACTCAGGTGGCATATGTGACCCTTTCAGTGCCTCAGTTTCCCCATTTGTACAGTAAGAACTCCCATTTCACATGTGGTGGAAAGGACAAGATGGGACTGTACCCCTGGGCCAGGAGCTGGAGCCAGGGTAGGCTATCTCCCCCATTCCTCCCTCTGTCTCATTTCTCCTCTTAATTGTGTGCTGTCTACCATGATTGGTGAGTGCTCAAAGTTGGAGTGGCTCAGGAGGGCTTCATGGAGAAGGAGGCAGCCCTCCCCCACACCCAGGATCCCATAGACCCTTCCTGTCCCTCCCCTGCCTCCCTGCAGGTGCAGGCAGCTGCCGGGCGCTACAGAGTGCGCAGCCTCAACGGGTCTCTATCTGTGCAAATGTCTGGCCGGGAGCTGGTTCTGCTGGAGGTCGACGCCAGCCAGGACACTCGGAGGAGCAGCCGGGGCTGGGGTGTGAGTGTCCTTCTCCACCAGGCTGTCCTCAGTGCCCCCAGGGCTGTTCGGCTGCAGCTGTCTGCAAAGATCACCCCAGCAAGGTAATGGTCCCCAGGTGGCCTGCGAGGAGGCAGGGAGACCACAGAGGCCAAAAGGCTGGTGTCCTGGGATATGGGAGATCCTCACTCAGAGGCCCCTCTTCTGTTCCCCTGAGACCACGCCCAAGTCAGCCCCATTGGTGCCACTGAGGGCATGAAAAGAGGGTGGTGTTCACTTCTTCACTTTGGCCCTTTGTTTCTTTTTTGCGTTGTTATGAGAGTGTTCGTTGTAGATGGCTTAAAGGATAATGTATAAAGGGCTGGGCACCTTGAGTCATACCCCAGGGCTTTGGGAGGCTGAGGCAGGAGGATTGCTTGAGTTCAGGAGCTCAAGAGCAGCTTGCACAATATAGCAAGACCCCATCTCTCCAAAAAATAAAAAAAATTAGCCAGGTGTGGTGGGGTGCACCTGTAGTCCCAGCTACTCAGGAGGCTGAGGTGGGAGGATTGCTTGAGCTCAGGAATTCAAGACCAGTCTGGACAACATAGACCCCATCTGTACAGAAAATTTTTAAAAAATAGCCAGATGTGGTGGCATGCACCTGTAGTCCCAGCTACTTGGGAGGCTGAGGCGAGAGGATTGCTTGAGCTTGGGAGTTGGAGGCTGCAGCGAGCTGTAAGATTGCAGCATTGCAGCCCAGCCTGGGCAATAGTGAAATGAGCCTGACTCTAAAATAGTAATAATAATAATCATGTAAAAAGGAATGAAATAAAAATCACTAGTGATCCCAAGGAATGTGCGTCTCCGTCTGGTCTCATGTCTGAGGATATATTTACCTACTCATGTGTCCACTATGGTGGGGTGCTCAGGAGCCTAGGGTCCAGGGGTGACCACTTGGGTTCAAGTCCCAACTCGGCCACGGCTGCCTCTGGGACCACTCGCCCTTCTGTGCCTCAGTTTCTCCACCTGCTTCTTAGGGTTGTCCTAATGGTGAACTGAGCCCTGCATTTGAATTCCAAGCCAGGGCCAGTGAGCATGCTCAGTAGCTGGCTACCATCTTTGCTGCAGGTGTAATCGGAAAAAACAAACTCTTTTCTGCTGCTCTCCTCTTAATGCTCAGTACAGGATAATTCTGTGGCCAGGAACAGGGGGTCTTTTTCCCCATCAAGCAGTTCTCTGGTGGACACTAACTGGGTGTCCTACAAATGGTCTCGGTTCTGACTCTATATACCTGGAGGTAGCATCAGACCCCACATGTTAAGTGTGCGAGACTGCCCCCAACTTCAGACACCATTCCCCTCAGCCTCTCTAGTAGCTGGAATCACAGGCTCACCACCGCACCTGGATAATTTTTGTACTTTTTTTGTAGGAACGGGGTCTTGCTATGTTGCTCAGGCTGGTCTTGAACTCCTGGCCTGAAGCAATTTCCCAGCCTTAGCCTCCCAACATGCCAGGACTGCAGGCATGAGCCACCCTTTATACATTATTACTTATAGAGTATTATAATTCTTTGTGTTATATACCATGAATGCTCTCATAACGGTGGAAGAACCTAGGTTCTGCTGCCCACTGTGCTTGGTGAGCTCTCCAGAGCTGGAGTGGCTCGGGAGGGCTTCCTGGAGGAGGGATCCTCCCCCTCACTCAGGTTCCTATAGACCCTTCCTGTCCTCCCTCTGCTTCTGAGCCTTCCCCTGCCTCCTGACCAACTGGCTGTAACTTGGAGGTCCCCATAACCTCCTCCCATCTTGTGTCTGATCATTCGCGAAAATGGCTCACAGAACTCAGAGAAACATTTTACATATATTTATTCATTGATTATAGAGGATATGATTTGAGAACAGCCAGATGGAAGAGACGCATAGGGCAAGGTATAGGGCAAGGGATGCTGGGCTTCCCCGCCCTCTCTGGGCTCACCACCCTCTGTGTGTTCAGCCCAGAAGCTCTCTGTGAACCCCATGGTTCAGGGATTTCTATGGTGGCTTCATCATGCGGGCATGACCGCTTATTAACTCAACCTCTAGCCCCTCTCCCCTTCTCAGAGGATGGGATGTGGGGCTGAAAGTTCCAACCTCTAATCATGGCTTGATCTTTCTGTTGACCAGTTCCTGTCCAGGAACCCACCAAGAGTCACCTCATTAGAACCAAAGATGCTCCTGTCAACAAAAGAGACTCTCTAGTTCCAAGGGATTAGGAGCTCTGTGTCAAGGATTAGGGACAGAGACCAAATATATATTTCCTATTACATCACAATATTATGCTGGTATTTTGAGTACTGCACATTCTGGTACAAATTGGGTCTCCACTAAATATTTCCTCTGCAATCCCATGTTTGTTCCAGCTTTGGCATGGATTTAAGGAGACCCTGGGCTGTGGACATGGTCCTAGATAACCTTGTCTTCAGCATTGCCACCACAGCTGTCTGTCCATCCACCTGTCCAACTGCCCATCCTTATCCCCAGTCTGAAAAGGATTCGAGGCAAATTATTAAAATGCACCTTGTTGTAGGTCAGGAGTTGGCAGACTCTCAGTAAAAGGCCAGATGGGAAATATTTTCAGCTTTGTGGGCCATATGGTCTCTGTTGCAACTACTCAACCCTGCCATTGCGGTACAAGAGTGTCGTAGACAATTCATAAATAATGGGCATGATTGTGCTCCAATAAAACTTTATTTATAAAAACAAGTGGTGGGCCAGCTTTGGCCCACAAGCTGTAGTTTTCCAACCCTTGTTCTAGATTTTAAAAAGATACACGAGGAAGCTAGGGGGAAAGGAAAAGAAAAATGGGAAGCTGCTCAAAGTAGTTTCAGTAAACAAAATTCATGCCATGAGTTCCTCTGTGTTATTTAGAGCTCAGCTGAAGATTTGGCTCTGAGCTTCCTAGCAGCCAATGCAAAGGGAGAAACCAACAAGTAGTAGTATTTGCAGTGGCCCTCAGGAAGTGCACACACACAGTCCACAGCTGTGCACCACGAAATGCATGGCTGATCTTGTTCCTGGTGGTGAAGCTCAAGGGAAATCTCTCCAATGGTGTCATGTAGGAACTCACTGTGTGATGATAGGAACTGTGTCCCCTGCCCCAATTTTCCAGCAAGTTTAACAGCAAGCTTCTTGGGGCTGTTCCTTTTCTCACATTTATCAATCACTCATTATGACCCTGGAGTAGGAACCTTATATTCCAAAGTTCGTTTAATTCTAAACAACCCTATGCTTTAGGTACTGCTAACTGCTTATTTGAGCTTTGGGCATATTACTCTCTCTCTACCTGTTTCCTCATCTGTATATTAGGGTTCATAATATTCTCAAAACTCACAGGGCTTTTGTAAGGAGTCAGACAATGTGTCTAAAGTGCACAGTGCATGTCAGAGTCTGTTGGTTAGATGTTGCTGCATAACAAGCTACTCCAAAGCATAGAGATTAAAGAACAACCATTTTGTTTGCTCACGATTCTGTGGGTCAGGAACTTACACAAGGCTTAGGCAGTTCTGTTCTGTGTGGCTTTGGCAGGGGTCATTCTCTGGGACTCTTGGCTGACATCAGCCTTCAGCTGAGTCAGTTCCCAGCCAGATGTGTGCATGGGCTGAGGACGGGGGTGGACTGGGAAGTCCAGGAAGGCTTCCTTTACATGTCTGGCACCTCGGTGCTCTTCCATGTGCATCCCCCTCTCTCTTTTCAAGTGGCTGCTTGGGCTTCCTCACATCATGGCGGTCTCAGGCTGGTCAGACTTCTTACCAGGTGGCTGGGTTCCAAGAGGCAGCATTCATGTGAGAAGGTGAAAGTTGCAGATCTTAGGGCCCAATCTTGAAAGTTCTACATTGTCACTTCTGCCACATTCTACTGACCAAAACGTAGGTCACAAGGCCAGTCCTGATTCAAAGGGAGAGGACATAGATCTCACGTGTTAATGCAGGAGTGGCAAAGTCACCTTGCAGGAGAGTATGGGAAGAGCTGGCCATAGGTGCAAACACACTGTTTCACACCTGGTTGAGTACCTGTCAGTATCAATATCAATATCAGTTCAAGGCCAGGCACAGCAGCTCATGCCTGTAATCCCAGCACTTTGGGAAACCAAGGTGGGCAGATCACCTGAGGTCAGGAGTTCGAGACCAGCCTGGGCAACGTGGTGAAACCCCATCTCTACCAAAAGTACAAAAACTAGCCAGCTGTTGTGGTGGGTCCCTGTAATCCCAGCTACTCAGGAGGCTGAGACAGGAGAATCGCTTGAACCCAGGAGGCGGAGGTTGCAGTGAGCTGAGATTGTGCCACTGTACTCCAGCCTGGGTGACAGAGTCACTCTGTCTCCTAGGAAAAAAATGAAAAAAAGCTCAATATCAGTATGTCCACTTTATTCCCACTTTGCAGAAGGAGAAACTGATGCCCAGAGAGGTTATGTCCTTGTCCCAGGTCATCCTGTTAGTGAGCAGCAGCATTGGGGTTGGAACCCAGGTTTGCCTGACTACAAAGCCCATGATCTTAACCCCCTTACTTCGCTGCCTAGGATTTGGCTGTTTTCCAAGGCACTGCTGGACCAGAACACAGCACAGTTGCTCCTCAAGGCATCTGAGGAATGGAGGGGAGGCCGGATCCTGACTTTCCAGAGCCAAACCCGGCACACGGTGGCTGGCTGGGCAGCGATGCCCCGCCTCCTGACACTCACAGGAAGGCTGAAGCAGAAGGAGACACTTCAAGAGGGTGAGGGCCTGGGGAACGCCATGGGGGCAGCGGCAAGCACTTTCTTTGGAACTGCAAGGTAGATTCATTTCCACCCAAGTCCAGTGATGCTCCAACTCCAGCATCTCACACTGGCATATCTACAGGTTTAGATAAAGGGGTATGGATGATTTCCCTTTGTGAGAAATGAACATGCATTCTGACAAAGAAAATCTGCTCACTAAAAACTGAATAGGGTTCCTTATGCAGGACTTGTCAGAGCCTTTAACACGCTAATGGACATTGTATATCTCCAGGAGGGAGAGTTGGGTGCAGGGTTTCCCAGGCATATATTTTGGAATACCTTTTATTTTGACGTAACACTAGACTTGTAGAAAAGTTGCAAGAACAATGCAAAGAATCGCACAGCCCCTTTGCCCAGATTAATCAGTTACTAACATTTTACATTTCCCTTATCATTCTCATATTCTCTCTATATGTATGTATATTTAACATATTATTTTATTCCTGAATTGTGTTTTCCTAGATTGCAGACATGATAATTCTTTTTTTTCGTTTTCTTTTTTGAGACTGAGTTTTGCTCTTGTCCCCCAGGCTGGAGTGCAATGGAGCAATCTCAGCTCACTGCAACCTCCGCCTCCCGGGTACAAGCAATTCTGCTGCCTCAGCCTCCCGAGTAGCTTGGATTACAGGAACACAGCATCACACCTGGCTAATTTTTTTTTGTATTTTTAATAGAGACGGGGTTTCACCAGGTTGACCAGGCTGGTCTCGAACTCCTGGCCTCAAGTGATCGATCTGCCTCCACTCCCAAAGTGCTGGGATTACAGGTGTGAGCCACCGCGCCTGGCAGATATTTACATTTTGAAGGGTACCGGGCAGTCATGTTGTGAAACAGCCCTCCGTCTGGGTTTGAGTGACACTTCCCGATGCCTGCTTTCAAGAAAGCCTGTTGGTAGGACACCACAGAAATGAGGCAGCCTCTTGTCAGGTGGCACCTTCTGTCTGTTTGTCCAACGTTGGTGACATTAGCTTTGATCTCTTGATTAAGGTAGGGTTGCCAGGTTTCTTGGCTGTAAAGCTTTTAGTTATTTCCTTTGTAATTAATAAGTAACTGGGGTGAGATACTTGGAAGTCATGTAAGTATTCTCTGTTCTCATGGAATTGTGACCCTCCTAGTTTTAGCACCCACTGATGATGCTTGTCTGAGTCTGTTACTGTTATGATGATTGCCAAATGGGGATTTTTCTAATTCTTTTTTTTTTTTAAATTTATTGCTTACAGGCCAGGCATGGTGGCTCATGCCTGTAATCCCAGCACTTTGGGAGGCTGAGGCGGGCAGATCACTTGTAGCCAGGAGTTCAAGACCAGCCTGGCCAACATGGTGAAACCCCGTCGCTACTGAAAACACAAAAATTAGCCAGGGGTGGCGGTACACGCCTGTAGTCCCAGCTACTCAGGAGGCTGAGGCACGAGAATCACTCGAACATGGGAGGCAGAGGTTGCAGTGAGCCAAGATCACACCACTGCTCTCCAATCCTGGGTGATAGAGTGAGACTCTGTCTCAAAAAATAAATTATTGCTTAGGGCAGAATGCTTTCCCTGCTAACTCCCTTTGCCCTTCCCTTCCCTTCTATATTAGTCTGTCCTTGCAATGCTTTCACATCCGGAGACTGGGTAATTTACAAAGACGTTGGCTCATAGTTCTGCAAGCTGTACTGGAAGTATGGTGCATCTTCTCCTCTGCCAGCACGTCACAGGGCCAGAGCAGGATTAAGAGAAAGAGGGGGGAGCTGCTACACACGTTAAACAGCCAGATCTCACTATGGAAAGGACAGTACCAGGGGATGCTACTAAACTGTTTAAGAAATCCGCTCCCAGGCCAACCAGTCACCTCCCACCAGGCCCCACCCCTGACGCTGGGGATTACAATTCAACATGAGGGTTGTTGGGGACACAGGTCCAAACCATATCACCCTCCTTCTTTCCTTCCTTAACCTCAGTAGGGACTCATGGATTCTTATTTTATTCAGTAATCTGTCATGATCATTATTTCAGTGCCGGATTTTCCTAGATTTGCCCCGTGGGAGTCCCTACGAGATGGCTTCTCCCCCTCCCCCTCCCATTTCCCATGCAAGATTGCAAGCATATAGAAAAGTTGAATTGTGTGCAAACACCCACGTGCCCCCCACCTAAATGTTATAATTGTTCGCATTTTGTGTTATTTTCTTTATCCCCTATCCACTCTCCATCTGTCAGAGGTGTGTAAACCAGAGCAACTCCATCTTGAATAGGGGCTGGGTAGAATGAGGCTGAGACCTACTGGGCTGCGTTCCCAGGAGGTTAAGGCACTCTTAGTCACAGGAAGAGATAGGAGGTCGCCACAAGATACAGGTCATAAAGACCTTGCTGATAAAACAGGTTTCAGTAAAGAAGCCGGCCGAATGCCACCAAAACCAAGATGGTGACGAGAGCGTCCTCTGTTCGTTCTCATTACTACATTCCCACCAGCGCCATGGTCATTTACAAATGCCATGGCAACATCAGGAAGTTACGTCATATGGTCTAAAAAGGGGAGGGATGGGCCGGCCGCGGTGGCTCACGCCTGTAATCTCAACACTTTGGGAGGTTGAAGCAGGTGGATCACCCGAGGTCAGGAGTTCGAGACTAGCCTGGCCAACATGGTGCAACCCCGTCTCTACTAAAAATACAAAAAAATTAGCCAGGCGTGGTGGCACATGCCTGTAATCCCAGCTACTCAGGAAGCTCAAGCAGGAGAGTCGCTTGAACCTGGAAGGTGGAGGTTGCAGTGAGAGATTACGCCACGGCACTCCAGCCTGGGCAACAAGAGCGAAACTCAGTCTCAAAAAATAAAATAAACACAAAGGGGAGGCATGAATAATCCACCCCTAGTTTAGCATATAATCAAGAAATAACCATAATAATGGGCAACCAGCCGCCCTCAGGGCTGCTCTGTCTGGAGTAGCCATTCTTTATTCCTTTCCTTTCTTAATAAACTTGCTTTTGCTTTGCACCGTGGACTTTCCCTGAATTCTTTCTTGTGGGAGATCCAAGAAGCCTGTCTTGGGGTCTGGATCCGGACCCCTTTCCTGTAACACATCCATCTATGCTGTTTTTGACGCTTTTCAGAGTGAGTTGTAGACATCAGAACACCTTACACCCAAATAGATTATAATACACATCATGGACTAAAGCTCAAAATGTGCTTACAATTCTCCCTGCTCTTAGTCTCCTTCCCTTTCTTCGTTCCTCTGATATAAAATTTACATAAAAAGAAATGTGCACATCTCAGCTGAGAGCAGTGGCTCACACCTATAATCCCAGCACTTTGGGAGGTGGAGGAGGGCAGATTGCTTGAGCCTGGGAGTTTCAGACCAGCCTGGGCAACATAGGGAGACTCTGTCGCTACAAAAATTTTAAAAAAATTAGTTGGGCATGGTGGTGCATGCCTACAGTCCCAGCTACATGGAGGCTGGGGTGGGAGGATCGCTTGAGCCTGGGAGGTGGACATTGCAGTGAGCCATGATTGTGGCACTGCATTCCAGCCTGGGCAACAGAATGAGACCCTGTCTCAAAAAAAATAATCAAATTAGTGTCTAGTGGTTTCTCCTTGTGGCTTTAATTTGCATTTCCCTGTTGATTAATTATGTTGAGCACTTTTTTTTTTTTTTTTTTTTTTTTTTTTGTGAGATGGAGTTTCGCTCTTGTTGCCCAGGCTGGAGTGCAATGGCGCCATCTCAGCTTACCGCAACCTCTGCGATTCTTGTGCCTCAGCCTCCCAAGTAGCTGGGATTACAGGCAAGCGCCACCATGTCTGGCTAATTTTTTTTTTGTATTGTTAGTAGAGACGGGGTTTCTCCTTGTTGGTCAGGCTGGTCTTGAACTCCTGAGCTCAGGTGACCCACCCTCCTAGGCCTCCCAAAGTGCTGGGATTACAGGTGTGAGCCACTGCGCCTGGCCAAGCACTGCTTCATGTGTGTTATTTGCTCGTGTAGCTTCCTTTGAGACAGGTCACATGAATTTTTTTTTGCCCATTTATTAAATTGTTTGTCTTTTATTGATTTGTAGATACTCTTTATATATTCTAGAATAGGATATTTTCTTCCATTTTGATTTTTATGCCTTTTTTTTTTTTTTTTGAGATGGGGTCTTGTTCTGTCGCCCAGACTGAAGTGCAGTGGGATGATCATGGCTCAAGCATCCTCCTGCCTTAGCCTCCCAAGTAGCTGGGACTACAGGTACCTGCCACCATGCCCAGATAATTTTTTTTTTAGAGGTGGGGTCTCCCTTTGTTGCCCAGGCTGGTCTGGAATGCCTGAGCTTAAACAATCCTCCTACCTCAACTTCCCAAAGTGCTGGGATTACAGGTATGAGCCACTGCACCCAGCCTGGCCTGATATTTTTATGCCATTTAGGTTTTTTTTTTTCTTATTGCAGTAGCTAAGAAATACAGTATATAATATTGAATAAATATGCTAAGAGTAAAAATTCTTACCTTGTTCTCATTCTTACAAAGAAAACATTCAAAATTTCCACAAATAATTTTAATGTTTGCTATTGGTTTTGCAGAGTTTTTGTTGTTGTTGTTTTTTAGAGACAGAGTCTTGCCCTGTCTCCCAGACTGGAGTGCAGTGGTGCAATCTCTGCTCATTGCAACCTGCAACCTCCACCTCCCAGTTTCAAGCGAGTCTCCTACTTTAGCCTCCCAAGTAGCTGGGATGACAGGCATGCGCCACCACACCTGGCTAATTTTTATATTCTTAGTAGAGACAGGGTTTCACCATGTTGACCAGGCTGGTCTCGAACTCCTGACCTCAAGTGATCTGCCTGTCTCAGCCTCCCAAAGTGCTGGGATTACAGGCGTGAGCCACCGCGCCTGGCCAGTTTTTATTCTTAAGAATGGGTGTTGAATATAGTCAAATGCCTTTTCTGAATCTAGTACATATTCATATGGTTTTTCACTTTAATTTTGTTAATAGTGTGAATTAAATTGGACTTCGGTATGAAACCAACCTTGCTTTAGTGGGATTCCCTGCATTTTTTTCTTTCCTTCTATATGTAATTGAATTTGGTTTCCTAATACTTTGTTAAGAAAGTTGGTGTCTGTGTTCATAGCTCTATTGGGCTGTAATTTTCCTTTTTTGCAAAGCTTTCGTCAGGTTTGGTATGAGGTTTATGCCAATTTCATAAACCAAGTCGAGTATCCTCATCTCTTCTCTTTTCTGAACGAGTTTGTATGAGATTGGTGGTGATGTTCTCTAAACGTCTGATCGATTTTACCAGCGAAGACGTCTGGAGCGTTCTTTGTGGGAGTTTTTTGGAAAACGTATACAGCTATATAAACGTATAGCTCTATATAAATATAGAGCTGTTCAGATTTTCTGAATTATTTTGCGAATTAGGTCGCTTGATTTTCAGAGTATCCTGGGAGGGAGCTGGTGTACTCTGATGGATTTCACAAATGTGCCATTTCTGACATGAGTTACAAGTGCGACATCATGAATCTAGCAACTTCTTACCCCCAAATTCTTTTCCCTCCTCTCCAAAGCAGCTCATTTCCCTGAGCCGCCTCTGCTCTGTTCTTCTCCACCATTCTCTGCAGGCACCCTCAGTGTCACTGCTGACTCAGCTGTGCTGGGCTTCCTCCTGCGGGACCAGCATGAGAAGGCAGGGAACGGCACCAGCGTGCGCAGCGTGACCTGTGTCCTTGCCCAGAACAGCAGCCAGGCCTTGCCTGGAGAGCTCCAGCTGAAGGGCCGGCTGCAGGCCCAGACGAGGAACCTGAGGGCCCAGGCCAGCATCCGGGCCCATGCAGCCAGCCTGGCTCTGGGTGGCGCCTGCTCCTGGGGCCCCCGGCACGGACAGCTTGCGGGTGGCCCGACACACAATATCAGCACGCTGAGTGATGCAGGTAGGACGAGTGGTCCAGGCAGAACAGCTTCCTCCAAGACTTCTAAGTCCTGGAGCCAAGGGAGGGGGGATAAATGAGCCTCCAACCCCCAAATTCACATTCCAGCTTCATTTCTTTCCCCTGCTGGCTTCCCCGGCACACCTGTGTCTCCTTCCCTGGGACGTCATTCAGCCAGAACATGCAGCTTCAGGGCACCAGTTGTTACCGTATTGACAGGCTTCAAATCAGCTGGTGACAGCCGCTGCCATCAGCCCTCCAGGCCTCCCACCCCCAATTCCCTGGGACAGCTTGTGCAGCGTGGATACCTGGCCTAGCCAGGACCCCAAGGATGCCCTCTGGGACCGCAGCTATGAAATAATCCCAACAGCCCCTGCTCGAGCTTCTCAGAAGTTACCTCCAGGCCTGGAGGGGCCCCCAGGTGCAGCAGCGAAGGGAGGACACACAATCAGACCCCTGTTTCCCTCTGAGATTTGTGTCCTTTCCTCGGGGAGCTGGAAGTCCTAAGGGACATGGGTCTTATCACCGGCTGCATGTGGCAATTGTGCTGTGAGGTTGGACCAGATGAAATCGCCATTTCTGTGAACTGTGGACAGTTTCAGATGGTTTAACCTGGTGTATTGGGTGCAGTAGGACCTGGAGCTATGGGGCTCAGGGGATGCTCTAGAGAGCAGGTGTGCTGGCCAGGCCCCCGTCATGTTCCCATCCTGACTAAATGCGGTGGACTGGGGTGAGTGGTCTCTGGGGCTCTGCCCACTCCTGCCCGCTGGCCTCTTCCCCCAGGACTCCCCTCCGAGGCAGGGATGCTCCTGTCTCTCACCCACGTGGCTTCCAACTGCTCAGCACGCCTGGCGCTGTGGAACGCGGGGGCTCAGCTAGACGGTGCCATTGGCCTGGAGGACGTGACCCCCGAGTCCTCGGGCCTCCAGCTCCATGCCAGCCTCCGTCACACCCACACCATGCCCAGCCTCAAGCACTGGGGCCTCCCCTTCTCCTTAGATGGCCACGGGCACTTCCAGGTGAGTGAGGAGGGGGCTGCACCCGGGCCCTCTCGGGGGCCAGTGGGTCCCAGGGACACCCAACAGCTTTGCTTCTGCCCAGAGTGTGGGACGTAGTCTGGCGGCCGGGCTGACGGTGATCTTGGATGGCGAGCAGCTCCGCGCAGCCCTGGAGAGGAAGGCAGAGGGTGGCCGCCAGGGGCTGGTGCTGGGGCTGCACCATGGCCTCTCGGGGCTGCAGGGTACCCTGCCCTCCCAGCTGGAGGTGAGTGGGTTGGGTGCCCACATGGGCCAGGCTGCAGCCTGCACCAGGCCCTGTCTGGTAGAATGAAGATGGTAGAGGCCCTGGTCTCTCAGTTCCTCCCTGGGGCCCCTACCCTGGGGAAGCCTCACACCCGCAGCTGTCCTCTTTATTGTTCTCAGAAATGAAAAGCAGGAAACCACCTCGGTGCCTGTCCCTGAGGGTGGCTAAACCGTCCATGGTGGGAGAGGGAATGTGAGTGAGCAGGGCTCCTGGCCTGAAGCCAGGCTGCACCGTCGCTGACTGTGTGACCACATGCAAGATGCTTCCTCTTTCCCTGACTTGCGTGACTCAGTTTCCTCATCTGCCACCTCCTCCCATGGTTACTCTGTGGTTCAGTTAGCACCGTGCCTGGCGTGGAGGCCCTGCATGCTGGGAGCTCCGTTTACCTTCATTTGATGATGATGCCGTGGCTTCGCCCTCAAGTCCCTGTGCAAACCTCTCTTTGGGGTTATTTGCCCATGGTGGCTTCCCCAAAGGGTGGCGGGGTCAAGTGGGATCTTGGCATCCACGACGGTTCACTCTGGGGTCAGGGAAGAAGCCAGCCCCTTCCCACCCACTGGTCTCTGTAGGTCAACTGCAGTGGAGACGCCTCGCCCACCCAGCTGTTAGGATGGTGCCGAGGGGACATCGCTGGGCAGCCTCTCGAGGTATGGGGTCTCTGTCCTGGGCTGGATGGTTGTGGTACATAGTGGGCCCCTCCAGCGGGGCTGGCACAGCCTGATCACAGGGGCCGTCTGAGGTGTGGCCCGGAGCTGAGTTCGCTGCCAGGAGATACTCACATGGTCCCCCTCCTTCAAAAGCCCCCCACATCCCTGGTGACATGCACCTGGACTCCCAGTTCCCAGGGGCATCAGCTCAACCTGATGGTCATCGAGTGGTCCCATCTGCAAACACAGGTAAACATCAATCAGGACCCAAGGGTTGCAAGCCCACCTCTGTCATGGGCAGCTGGGCTGGCGGTGGGCATGTCCTGGCATCGTGAGACAAGCGGACCGTGGCGCTCAGGGCTGGGGTGCAGCTCAGCTCAGGTGGCTTCAAGCTGTCTCTGCCGAGGGTGCAGGCAGGAAGCACAATGCCTTTCTCTTTGTCCTGTCTGCCTCCCACCACTGCCACCTGAGCGTCACGGGCTCAGGCATTTCTATTTTGTGCATGGTAGTATCCCCAGGTTTGAGACGGGGCCTGACATGTAGTAGGTGCTCAGTCAACATTTTTGACCTATATGGAGTAGCAGTTCCTGCCTCATAAAACAGGTGACATAAAACAGGTGAGGGGCCTTGCCACCTGCTGCATGCTCAGGCAGTGATCGCAGCTGCTGCCGCTGTTGCTGCTGTTTGTTTTCCTTTCTTTTCCTTTGCTTCGTTTTCCTTTCCTTTCCTTTCCTTTCCGTTCCGTTCTGTTCCTTTCCGTCCCATTCCTTTCCTTTTCTGAGACAGAGTCTTGCTCAGTTGCCCAGGCTTGAGTGTAGTGGCATGACCTCAGCTCACTGCAACCTCTGCCTACCAGGTTCAAGTGTCTCCTGCCTCAGCCCACCAGGTAGGTGGGATTACAGGTGCCCACCACCACGCCCAGCTAAATTTTTGTATTTTTAGTATAGACAGGGTTTCACCATGTTGGCCAGGCTTGTCTTGAACTCCTGACCTCAAGTGATCGGCCCGTTTCGGCCTCCCAAAGTGCTGGGATTACAGGCATGGGCCATGTACCCAGCCTGCTCCCGCTGTTTCAATGATAAACCTGTGTGCATTGGGTACAGGGGTTGCAAACTCGAAGACTTTGGGGGCAGGCGGAGAACTGAAATGTGTCACTGGGCTGTGTGGGGAACTACAGAGTGTTTGCCACGTCTCAAACCCTCCACATCATATGTATCTTTTCACATTTCTTGTTGTAGTAAAATATGTGTAATAATGTAAAACCGTTTTAAAGTATACAACTCGGGGATGCTATGGTCGTTCACACTATTCTACAATCATTGGTGCTTGCAAGTTCCAGAACTTTTCAACACCCCAGTGGAATCCCCATACCCATCAGTACATTAGTAGTCCCTCCCATCCCCTCCTCCCTGGTCCCCAGCAACCACAAATCTGCCTTCCGTCCCTATGCGTTTGTCTATTCTGGAAATTTCATACAAACAGAATTATACAAGATGTCGTATATCCCAATACTTTGGGAGGCCGAGGTGGGCGGATCACTTGAGGTCAGGAGTTCGAGATCAGCCTGGCCAACATGGTAAAACCCTGTCTCTACTAAAAATACAACAAAATTAGCTGGGCGTGGTGGCGCATGCGTATAATCCCAGCTACTTGGGAGGCGGAGGCAGGAGAATCGTTTGAACCCAGGAGGCGGAGGTTGCAGTGAGCCAAGATTGTGCCACTGCACTCCGGACTGGGTGGCAGAGCAAGACTCAGTCTCAAAAAAAAAACAACACAAAAAATACCAGAGTGAGTGACCACATAAAACTTATCAGCTCAAGGGCCACCAGTTTGCAACCCCTGGTCTAGGGTTGACTAGACCCTGGGAATGCCTAGTCCTGGGGGGAAAGTCCAGGGAGCCAGCTGTGTGGTGATGAGGGCTCAGGCCTCAGTTTTCCCAGCTCTGCCCACTGGGGCTGGGGTGCAGGGAAGCGCTCTGTGGATAGTGACAGAGAGCTCACCCCTGGCCTCTCTGCTGTCACACTGAGTCTCTGGATCTGCCCTGAGCCTGAGTGCCTGGGGCCCGTCTGACCTTGGCACCATCAAGGTCAGCGGTGACACCAGCAGAGGCCTAGCAGGCAGGCCTGGGTGTGGCCCAGGGTGGATGGGGACAGTTTGGCAGAGGTGGCCAGCAGTACAGAGCCCCTGAAACTCAGGACAAGTCCAGCCCTGGGCCCTGTGCTGTCATCCCAGAGGGTGGGTGGCACATGATCAGAGCCCAGCAGACCTGGACCTCCTGTGGTGGTCCTTCTGCCTAGAGCAGGGCTTCCCGCACACCCAGTACACAGGCATAATCGGGGAGGGCGTTAAAATGAAGGTTTGATTCAGCAGGTCTGGGGTGGGGCCTGAGATGCTGCGTTTCTCAGCCCGGGTGATGCAGTCACGGCTGGGCCGCGGCTCATTCTTTGGGTTGCAGGGGACCAGGGTGCCCTCTCCCCGTCTGTCATCCCTGCTCCTTCATGCCTGGGTAGCTCCTTCGAAATTGTGGTAGAGGTGGTGGAGATTTCACTGAAAGTTTGGGGTTTTTTTCCGGGGGGGGGGGTTTATTATTATTTAAGTTTTAGGGTACATGTGCACAATGTGCAGGTTAGTTACATATGTATACATGTGCCATGCTGGTGTGCTGCACCCATTAACTCGTCATTTAGCATTAGGTATATCTCCTAATGCTATCCCTCCCCCCTCCCCCCACCCCACAACAGTCCCCCGAGTGTGATGTTCCCCTTCCTGTGTCCACGTGTTCTCATTGTTCAATTCCCATCTATGAGTGAGAACATGTGGTGTTTGGTTTTTTGTCCTTGTGATAGTTTGCTGAGAATGATGATTTCTAATTTCATCCATGTCCCTACAAAGGACATGAACTCATCATTTTTTATGGCTGCATAGTATTCCATGGTGTATATGTGCCACATTTTCTTAATCCATTCTATGATAGTTGGACATTTGGGTTGGTTCCAAGTCTTTGCTATTGTGAATAGTGCCGCAATAAACATACGTGTGCATGTGTCTTTATAGCAGCATGATTTATAGTCCTTTGGGTATATACCCAGTAATGGGATGGCTGGGTCAAATGGTATTTCTAGTTCTAGATCCCTGAGGAATCGCCACACTGACTTCCACAATGGTTGAACTAGTTTACAGTCCCACCAACAGTGTAAAAGTGTTCCTATTTCTCCACATCCTCGCCAGCATCTGTTGTTTCCTGACTTTTTAATGATTGCCATTCTAACTGGTGTGAGATGGTATCTCATTGTGGTTTTGATTTGCATTTCTCTGATGGCCAGTGATGATGAGCATTTTTTCATGTGTCTTTTGGCTGCATAAATGTCTTCTTTTGAGAAGTGTCTGTTCATATCCTTTGCCCACTTTTTGATGGGGTTGTTTTTTTCTTGTAAATTTGAGTTCATTGTAGATTCTGGATATTAGCCCTTTGTCAGATGAGTAGGTTGCGAAAATTTTCTCCCATTTTGGAGGTTGCCTGTTCACTCTGATGGTAGTTTCTTTTGCCGTGCAGAAGCTCTTCAGTTTAATGAGGTCCCATTTGTCAATTTTGGCTTTTGTCGCCATTGCTTTTGGTGTTCTAGACATGAAGTCCTTGCCCATACCTATGTCCTGAATGGTAATGCCTAGGTTTTCTTCTAGGGTTTTTATGGTTTTTAGGTCTAACGTTTAAGTCTTTAATCCATCTTGAATTAATTTTTGTATAAGGTGTAAGGAAGGGATCCAGTTTCAGCTTTCTACATATGGCTAGCCAGTTTTCCCAGCACCATTTATTAAATAGGGAATCCTTTCCCCATTGCTTGTTTTTCTCAGGTTTGTCAAAGATCAGATAGTTGTAGATAAGCGGCGTTATTTCTGAGGGCTCTGTTCTGTTCCATTGATCTATATCTCTGTTTTGGTACCAGTACCATGCTGTTTTGGTTACTGTAGCCTTGTAGTATATTTTTTTTGTTGTTGTTGTTTTTTGTTTTTTTGAGACAGAGTTTTGCCCTTTCACCCAGGCTGGAGTACAGTAGTGTGATCTCGGCTCACTGCAAGCTCCGCCCCCTGGGCTCAAGAGATTCCACCGCTTCAGCCTCCTGAGTAACTGGGATTATAGACACCCACTACTATGCCTGGCTAATTTTTGTATTTTTAGTAGAGACGGGGTTTTGCCTTGTTGGCCAGGATGGTCTCAAACTCCTGACCTCAAGTGATCTGTCCGCCTTTGCCTCCCAAAGTGCCGGGATTCCAGGCATGAGCCACTGCACCTGGCCTCACTGAAGGTTTTACTAAGACAATTGTGGGGTGGCATGGGAGGGAATTACATCTCACAGCAGAGTTTGAGAAACTTTTTCCATCAAGGGCCAGATAGTAAATGTCTTAGCCTCTGTGGCCCTGCAGTCTCTGCCACAATGCCTCCATTCTACTGCTATTGTGTTGTGAAAGCAGCCACAGGAATGGGATGTGAACATGTTACCGGAATGGGGTCTCGATCCAGACCGCAAGGGAGGGTTCTTGGATCTTGTGCAAGAAAGAATTCAGGGCTGCTGGTTGCCCATTTTTATGGCTATTTCTTGATGATATGCTAAACAAGGGGTGGATTATTCACGCCTCCCCTTTTTAGACAATATAGGGCAACTTCCTGACATTGCCATGACATCTGTAAACTGTCATGGTGCTGGTGGGAGTGTAGCAGTGAGGACGACCAGAGGTCACTCTTGTCACCTTCTTGGTTTGGTGGGATTTAGCCAGCTTCTTTACTGCAACCTGTTTTATCAGCAAGGTCTTTATGACCTGTATCTTGTGCTGACCTCCTATGTCGTCCCGTGACTTAGAATGCCTGACCTCCTGGGAATGCAGCCTGGTAGGTCTCAGCCTTACTTTACCCAGTGTCTATTCAAGATGGAGTTGCTCTGGTTCAAATGCCTCTGACAAACAGGCAGGGCTGTGTTCCAACAACTTTATTTACAACAACAGATGTAGGCTGTGGTTTGCAACCTGTTTCGCACCAGCCAGGACATCTTGGTCTTCCCAAAGTCTTTCTCCAGCCATCTTCCCCAGGCCCACTCTCCCCTGCCTGCCCCACTTCCTGATTGGTTTCTCCGCGTTTTCTCTACGGTCTCCTGGGTGCATGTGTAATTAGCTGGAGTAACCCCATTGGTCATCAAACCTGCTCCTTCAAGAGGGTCTGAGTTCCTCCCATCACAGCGACGTGGATGGCACTGATAACCCCAGGGTTTGTGGGAGCCAGTGCCAGCTTGACCCAGGCTGGCTCTCTCTGCACAGGGTGGTCCAGCGTCTCCTTGGTGTCATTCCAGGTCTCTGTGGACATTCACAATGGCAGCTCCGGCTTCGAGCATTCTGGACGCATCCTGATGGGGCCCACATTCCTCAACTACTCTGTGAGCTGCTATTACCATGATGGGCACCTGGAGCTCTCCGGCCGGAGCTGGCACAACAGTGAGGCTTTGTTGTGGGCAGGGTTCCCAGGCGAGGCCTGCCTTAGTGCTGAGCTGCAGATACACGGTAAGGCACTCAGCGCACAGCCCGGGACTGGGGAGCTGGCTTCCTCCATGCCTGGGCCAGACCAGCAGCCTCAGGCCTGGACCCAGGTGGCACTCCTGTCAAGTCCAGTGTGGCTCTGGGCTCCAGGACAACCAAGACAGCCTTGCCCGTCAATGACCTAACTCCCAAGGCAGGTGGATTAGTTTTCTAGGACTTCCACAACAAAGTCCCACACACTGGATGGCTTAAAACATAGAAATCTTAGCTAGGTGTGGTGGTGCATGTGTGTGGTCGCAGCTACTCGGGAGGCTGAGGCAGGGGATTACTGGAGCCAGAAGGTTGAGGTTGCAATGAGCTATGATTGCAACACTGCCCTCCAGCCTGGGTGACAGAATGAGACCCTGTCTCAAAATAAAAACAATCCACAGTGGATTGAGGGCCCGTCCGACTTGAATATGACCTTGTTTTTACTTAATTACATCTGTGAATACCTTATTTTTAAATAAAGTCATATTCACAGGACAGAGGGTGAGGGGGGGTGGGACTTCAATATCTCTTTTTGGGGGACACGGTTCAACCCATTATGGTGGGAAGATAAAAGCAACAAGAGGAGCCAGCACTGGCTGAGCACTTACTGCATACATGCCAGGCAAGCTGTGTGCACACGAGAGCACAATACAGTACAGCCGTCCCGATCACACAGGGTGAAAGTCAAAGCTCTTAGAGGGGCCTGCGAGCCATCAGAATCCACACCCTTCCCCCATCTGACCTCATCTCCCAGCCCCCAGCCCTACTTGTTCCACTCCTTGCTATTCTTCAACACGCCAGGCTTGCTGCGGCCCCAGGACCTTGGCACGGGCTGATCCTGCTGCCTGGAATGTGTCTCTCCCACACGCCTGCCTGGCTCCCTCACCTCCCTTAGGTATTTTTCCAATGGCATCTCAGGGAGGCCTCTCTTTTCCACCTCCCCGTTTCCTCCCATCCCCTCCCATCCCTCTCCCCAGCTCTGTCATTTGAACACACTGTGTAGCATACAAATACCTTTGTTTTTCATTTTTCTATGCTAGAATCACCAGAATGTGTGCTCTGTGAGGGCAGGGATGACTTTTGTCTGCTTCGCCGTAGGGTGCATAGTAGGTATCGAATGGGTGCATGAACGAGCCTATGAGATAGGGTTAGGAATGCCATTCCCATTCTGCAGATGAGGAATGGAGGCTCAGAGAGGTTGAGTCACCTGGTCTAGGCCACACAGCTGGTAATGACGGAGTGAGGATTGAACCCAGAGCCATCCTCTGACCCCCATATAGATTATGGAGACTTGGCTCTTGACCATTCAGGATCCCGGGGACTCCCCAGTCCCCTAGGGGAGTCCTTCTGTTGGCCTCAAATTTTTTTATTTTGGGGGCCGGGTGCAATGGCTCATGCATGTAATCCTAGCACTTTGGGAGGCCAAGGCGGGTGGATCATTTGAGGTCAGGAGTTCGAGACTAGCCTGGCCAACATGGTGAAACCCTGTCTCTACAAAAAATATTAGCTGAGCATGGTGGTGCATGCCTGTAGTCCCAGCTACTCAGGAGCCTGAGACACAAGAATCACTCGAACCTGGGAGGCGGAGGTTGCAGTGAGCCGAGATCACGCCACAGCACTCCAGCCTGGGCCACAGAGTGAAACTCTGTCTCAAAAAAAAAAAAACAAAACAACAACAGCAAAAAAAACACTTTATTTTTGGCCGTTAGCCTCCTGAGGGGAGAACAGAGGACAGGATCACATGGGGAAATTGTCCCCAGTCTGAGTTGACCTCAGGGTTTGTTAGGGACATGACAGTCAAGTGAGGGGAGGCCATTCTGGATGACCACCTCCACGCCGCTCTAGTTCCCGACCCAGGATGCCTGGTATGGCCGCCCCCAGCCAAGAGTGACTTCTCCCTTCTCCCACTGCTGTCCAGTCTGTTGTCCCTACCTCCTGGGGATGCTCTGCCTGTCGTTAACATTCTTGGTATCTCTGACAGCCGGGTGCTCCCAGGTGTGGGGATTGTGTCCCCTGTCTCCTTGTGCCCTGCATGTAGTAGGTACATGTGGCTGAATGTTGAACGAGGAAGGAAGGAAGCATTTCCTGAGGCCACCTGCATGTCCCACAAGTGGTCCTCTCCCGTGTGTTACCCCATTCACTCTGGACGCTGTCCCTTGAGGCGGGCGGGCTGTGCCCACCTCATAGATAAGGAAGTCGAGGCTCAGGGCTGTGGAGCTCGTCCACCCTGCTGGCCAGATGGGAGGTGCTGGAGCCTGGCTGAGTGTCACTTGGGCCTGAGCCGTGAGCTGCACCCCACGGGAACCTGGCATCTGATACAGAATCGGCGCCATCTGTTTGCTCTGGGGCTCCTGGACCCGATGAGTTTCTCTGTATAGCAAAGGGAGTTTAAGTCAAAGAAGAAACTCCTAACTGTGAGCCAAAATCTCCTGTTCTGTAGGGGGTGATGGGAAGGACGGGACCCTCCAGCCAGGGCCAGGTGGCTGCAGGTGGATGTCAGTGGCCGCAGTGGCCATTTGTGGGGAGCAGACGTCATGCTGATTCCTCTGCAGGCTACCCCTCCCATAATCCTCAGGAATCCCTGCAGAGAAGCCTTTCATCCCACAGTCATTCAGAAAGCACTCACTGCACCCCCGCTGCATGTCAGGAGCTGTCCTAAGGGAAATCCCGACCCCAGGCACTGACCTTCTGGTGGGGTGAGAGTTTGGGGAGCAGGAACCTAATAAGTAAGTGAGCGAGGTCATTTCAGGTTGTGCTGGAAACCACACTCCAGGGAGATGGGATGGAGGATGCCTGGCAGCCAAGGACTGGGAGGGACTTCAGATGGGCAGTCAAGGGAAGCTTCTTGGAGAAGGTGTCATTTCAGCAACTTCAACTTCAATGAGAGAAGGAGCCACCCAGGCCTGGATCCTCAGGGACAAATTATGACAGATGATGTCACGGAGGCTCAAAGGGGTTGACCCCACCCAGCACCCACGCTGTGGCAGCCTTGCCCTTTCCTGCTGGTGTTGTGTTTGAGGGCCACAGGGCATGGCCTCTCATGTAGTCTGGTGTGTTCCTGGGCTGGGAAGGGAGGTGAAGCTGTCTTCAGTAGCCCATGCCATTCTCTGTCTCTAGAGACCCAGACCCAGGCCAGGGTGGCCCTCCATGGTGGGGACAGTGGAGTCAGCATGGACCTGGCAGCCCTGGTGGCTCGGCCACGACGTGGCCCACTGCAGCTGGTGGCCAGTGCCAGCCACACAGTGCCTGCTCTCCAGAGGCTGGGCCTGCCCTTCACCAACCAGGTAAGGAGTGGATGGAGCAGGACCTCCCTCCACATTCTGTTCTCTCTGTCCAATTCCTGGTGTGCAGAGGACCCGCTGTGTGCAGGGTGGGTGGGGAGGACCAGGCCTTGGGTTTCCCCAGTACTTGACAATTTACAAAGGCTTCATTCATAATCGCTATAACCAGGTCTGCTGAGCAGTCTCTGCATTTCCAATCACAGGGCTGGTGTGGATGGGTGCCCTGGAGCCTCGTCTGGCTCCTGCCCTGCGTCCTTCTGCCCTGCAATCTTGGGTCAGAATCAAAGCTCCTGCTTGTCAAGCCCTGCCCTGTGCCCAGCCCCCTTCAAAGGGTTTATGGGCGTTCGTCAGTCTCATCCTCCTCAGGCTCCAGAGAAAGGCAGGATGGCACCGTCCTTACCAAGGCCCTCTCCGATGTTCAGATCCCAGCTCTGCTGCTTGCCAGCTGTGTGGCCTTGGGCAAATTCCTTCACCTGTCTGTGCCCTCATCTCCTCATCTGCAAAACAGGGATGATGATATTACCTATAATGTGGAGGTTGTGAGGATCGAGTGAGTTCATCCCATTAATGCCTGAGTAGATCCTTAAGCACCTGCTGTGATGAAGGCAAAGATGAAGAAGAAGATGCTGATGGTCTGACAGTGATTATTATCGTCATCATCATCATCTCTGGGTCACACGTGAGAGTGTGGGTGACTTGCCCAAGGTCACCTAGCAAGTTAGCAGCAAAATAGGGACTCAGACTTGGCACCCAGGCCCTTCCTCACGGTGTCCTCCTGCCTCGGTGAAGAGGAACCCACATGGGGCCATGCCCTGACCACTGTCACTTGGCATGAACTCGTCCTGCTTGGCTGGGCCCTCCTTCTCCAAGAGCCACAGAGCCTATTCTAGAGCCAGGCGCCAATGCTTCTTTCACACCCTCCTGTTTCAGATTACCCAGCAACCCCTGCCCCAGTCCACTCTGCTGTAGGAGGAGGGAGCAGCTCCCAGGGGGTCAGGGGGCCAGGATGTCACCCCTCCTGCAAAGGATCTCAGCCCTGTACCCCACAACTGAGTGGACTGGATACCCTGTGCCCTTGGCTTCATCTAAACCCTTTCCTGGCCTCGAGGTCAGGTGACAGGGAGCCCTCCCGGGAGCACATTCTCTGTCGACGTCTGGGCTGCAGCTGTCCTTTGAGGTCCCTCGGTGGGCACTGCCAACCTGAGCTGCAATAGGGGCTGACTCCGGCCCTGTATCCTCAGCACCTGTGAGAGTGTTGGATGAGCCAGGCCATGCTGGGCTTAGGGACAGGGACGTGCTGGGCTATAGAGCTCGGCTGGGGTCCCCACCCAGCCTGTGAGGCTCCTCAGGCTATGTACACCCACACATCTCACAGCCTGCTCCCTCCTCAGCTCGTGTTCCAAGGACTCTGGGAGGCAGAAGAGATGAGCTCCTCACTGCAGCTGACCTGCGATTCTCAGGCCACCTTGGTCCTTGACGTCCGTGGCCAGAACCAGGCAGTCAGGTGAGGGGGGCCCCCAGGAGGAGAGGAGTCGGGGGAGGAACCATTGACTGGGTACCTGCTGTGCACCATCGCTGGACACAGCACCTCTCAATTCTCTGCTCAGCACTGCTGCATAAACAAGGGCAGGGAGGCTCAGAGAGGCCAAGTAACTTTTCCAAGGTCACACAGCTATAAAAATCCCTCATCCTCTCCAGGCAGGGCACTGATGAGTTCTCAGTCTCAGAAACTAAGTGCATCCAAGGCCCCAAACACTTATTAATAACTATTACTGCCCTTAGGCCTGGGGGCCTGGTGAGGCGCTTGGTGCTCTTACGTGTGCAGTAAGTCAGGGGCCACCAGCCAGGCTCTAGCCCTCAGGTCTCAGCAGTGAGGGAGGGGGTGAGTAAGCCACTTGTTGAAGGGGTAGACCAGTGGTTCTCACCTAGGGGCGAGTTTCCCCCCAGGGACTTTCAGCAAAGTCTGGGGAATTTCTGGTTGCTACAGTGGGGAGGAGGACACTGTGAGAGTCAGTGTATAGAGGCCACGGATGCTGCTAAGCATCTTACAGTGCCTAGGACACACCCACGACTGTGAAGGCCAGGAGTCAAGATGTCAGCTGTGCCAAGGCTGAGACATGGAGGTGGAGAGGAACCTGACAAGAGGGTGTAGCACCCTGGAGTTAGCAACAGGGGAGAGAGGCCTGGCACAGCGGCTCACACCTGTAATCCCAGTGCTTTGGGAGGTCGAGGTGGGAGGATTGCTTAAGCCCAGAAGCTCGAGGCCAACCTGGGCAACATAGTGAGATCCCCATCGCTACAAAAAATCTTAAAAATGAGCCTGGTATGGTGACGCATGCTTGTAGTCCCAGCTGCTCAGGAGGGTGAGGCAGGAGGATCACTTGAGTCTGGGAGATCGAAGCTGCAGTGAGCAGAGATGGCACCACTGCACTCCAGCCTGGGTGACAGAGAAAGACCCTGTCTCTAGTGAAGAAGGAAAAAAAAAAAAAGAAAAAGAGAAAAACGTGGAGATTGTAACCACCCTGGCCTGGAGGAGTGAGGGGAGGGGTGCTATGTGAGGAGGATCCCTGGGAGGGAGTCAGGGGGTTAAAATCCTGCTGTCCAGACCCTGCTGGGACTCCCATGGGACCAACCCAAGAAAGCTCATTGATGGACTCATGGAAGACTTGAAGCCCAGAGCCATGTTTAACCCTTGATACCAATGGGGAAACTGAGGCTCAGGGGAAGCTGAGGCTCAGAGAGGGACAACCAAGAAGCTTGCTCCTGGTGCCAGAGCTAGGCAGAGGCCAAGCCAGGACTCAAATCTAGGTAACTTGGCTCCAGAGTCCAGCCCTAACCAGGGCACCGTATGGCCCTTGGGCCTCGGGGTGTGTGAATAGCCCTGAACTGGGCCACTGATGTGATCCTGGCTCTCTGACTCTCTCTCGGGGAAGTCCCCTTGGTCTCGACATGGCCCTGGGGGCACTGGACAAGGTGCTGTCTTGCCAGCTTCAGGCCTTCTCTTTCCTTCCTTCTAGCAAAGAGCTGCTGTTCTCAGGCCGGCATCGCCTCCCCTTCCTCCTGGGTCTCTGCCCCAGCTCAGCCTCAGCCTCAGCTAAGGTAACTGTGCCCCAGCTGCCTGGCTCCTAACTGGTTCCAGATGCCCAGCCCGAGGCAGGAGGGGGCCAGGCCCCTCTGGGGAGTGTTAATACATGCACATCTGTTCACCAGCCTGCAGCAGGCTCCGGTGGGCAACCCTCGGAAACCCCTGGCTCCAGCTTTCCCAAACATACCCAGGTTTACATTCCTGGGCCAGCCCCCGTGGCCCCCAGTCAGGCTCACAAGCCCTTTGGGAGATGGGGGAGGCCTCCTCACCCAGTGCCTGGCGCCTGGCATTGCCTCACCCAGCCTGGCACACTTGTAGAAGCTGGAGCAGATGACACAGCCCTTTGGAGCTGAGCCAGCGTCACCCCCATCTCTGCCCTGCATGCAGGACTTGAGGGGTCGTAGGAGTGCACAGGAGGGCCCAGTAGTCTTAGGCCAGGTTCCTCTGTCCCTCTGAGCTGTCATTGTCTGTGCCCAGATCCGGAGCTCCTGGAGGGCATGCCTAGTGCCTGGCACAGGGCCCAGCACACAGTAGTTGTTTAGTAAAAAAAATAGGGCATGAATAGGTGAGTGCATGCATGAATGGTTACATCTGTAACTAGTCACTTCATTTTCCTACCAGCCACCATGTTTTGGTAGGCACCCTCCCAGCCCTGGCCCAGGCCACCTTTGTCTACAGAGCATGCGCTATGTGCTGGGTCCCCTGCCGCATTTACACGTGATTTTGGAGTTCCTCAAACTTCGCTCCAACTGCACAGTCATTCAGGGAACTTCTTTATTTATTTATTTAATTTTTAAATTTTTTTTGAGACACAGTCTCTCTTTGTCACCCAGGCTGGAGTGCAGTGGCACAATTTCGGCTCACTGCAACCTCCGCCTCCCCGGTTCAAGCGATTCTCCTGCCCCAGCCTCCTGAGTAGCTGGAATGACAGGCGTGCGCCACCACGCCTGGCTAATTTTTGTATTTTTGGTAGAGACAGGGTTTCACCGTGATATCCAGGCTGGTCGCAAACTCCTGACCTTAAATGATCCACCCACCTCGGCCTCCCAAAGTGTTGGGATTACAGGCGTGAGCCACTGCGCCCAGCCTTATTTTTTGTTTTTAGAATGTCTTTTTGAGACAGGGTCTTGCTCTGTCACCCAGGTTGGAGTGTGGTGACGTGATCATAGCTCACTGCAGCCTCAAACTCCTGGGTGCAAGTGATCCTCCTGCCTCAGCCTCTGGAGTAGCTGGGACTACAGGTGGTACCACCACACCTGGCTCCATTCCGGGAGCTTCTTAGTTTTTTCCCAAGTTTTATTTTGAGTTATTTCAACCTATATAAAAGCTACTGTAGGACAGTGAACATTGACCAATTGTTAATATCTTTCCATCTTTCTTATCTGTTACATAAATTTGTATCATCACACATTTTTTCTGTATCATTAAGAATTAATATAGAGACGTTTCTGAAGACATCAACTTTTTACTCTGAAATACTTCAACTATTTCCTGTAACAAGGATATTTTCTGATTTAACACGGTAATTACAACATTCCAGAAACTGAACGTTGAATTAATACCTTCATTTAATGTACAGCCCATATACAATTTCCCAGCTTTCCCACTAATGTTCTTTCAAAAAACTGTTTTGTTTTGTTTTAAATCCGGGATGCAGGCCAAGATCACGCAGCATTCGTAGTTGCCATGTCTTTTTAATTTTCTTAATCTAGAACAGAGGTCTACAAACTTTTATTGTAAAGTAAAATGTTGTGGGGGTTGCAGGCCTTATGGTCCCTGTTACAACTACTCAGAATTGTCACTGTAACACAAAAGCAGCTATAGACGATATGTAAGTGAATAGACATGGCTGTTACAATAAAACTTTTTATAAAATCAGGTTGTGGGCCAAATTTGACCCAAAAGCCAACTCCTGATCTAGAATATTTTCCTTCTACACCCTACCCTTCCTTACCCAATGTTTTATTTTTTTATTTTTTTATTTATTTTTTCTTTTTTTGAGATGAAGTTTCACTCTGTCACCCACGCTGGAGTGCAGAGGCGTGATCTCGACTCACCGCAACCTCCGCCACCTGGGCTTATGCAATTCTCCTGCCTCAGCCTCCTGAGTAGCTGGGATTACAGGCATGCACTACCATGCCTGGCTAATTTTTGTATTTTTGGTAGAGATGGGGTTTCGCCACGTTGGCCGGGCTGGTCTTGAACTCCTGACCTCAAATGATCTGCCCACCTCAGCCTCCCAAAGTGCTGGGATTACAGGCATGAGTCACTGCATCTGGCCCCCCAACATTTTATTATACAATTTTTTAGACACTAAAAAATTGAAGTAATTTTACAGTGCATACCCACATACTAGATTTTCCTGTTTACATTTTATTTCACATAATCACATAGCTCTCTATCCATCCATCTTATTTTTGGATACATTTCAAAGTAAGTTGCAGATATAATTCCCCCTAAACATTTTATTGTCATTAACCACCTTCAGAAAAGTCCCAACTGGATGCAGTGGTTCACACTCATAATCACAACACTTTGGGAGGCCAAGGAAGGAGAATTGTTAGAGTTCAGGAGTTCAAAACAGCCTGCAACCTAGGGAGACCCCATTGCTACAGAAAATTTAAAAATCAGCCAGGCATGGTGGTGTGTACCTGTATCTCAGCTACCAGGGAGGCTGAGGTATGGAAGAATTGCTTGAGCCCAGGAGGTTGAGGCTGCAGTAAGCTGTGTTCACACCACTGCACACTCTAGCCTGGATGACAGAGCAGACAGACCCTGTCTCTGTCTAAAAAAAAAAAAAAAAAAAAATCCTGCACTGACAATTTTGAAGTGTCCAGGAAGTTATTTTGCAAAACATCCTCCTAATGTGGATTTGTCCGATTGTTTCTTGAAGATAAGATTCAGGCTGAACATTTTTGACAAGGGGTATCACTAACGAAATGACGCCTCTAGTGAGCGCGTTAAAAATACCAGCTCTTGGCTGGGTGCGGTAGCTCACACCCGTAATCCAGCACTTTGGGAGGCCGAGGTGGGCAGGTCACCTGAGGTCAGGAGTTCGAGACTGGCCTGGCCAACATGGCGAAACCCCATCTCTACTAAAAATACAAAAATTAGTTGGGTGTGGTGGTACATGCCTGTAATCTTGGTTACTCAGGAGGCTGAGGCAGAAGAATCACTTGAACCCAGGAGGCAGAGGTTGCAGTGAGCCGAGATCGTGCCACTGCACTTCAGCAGCCTGGGCAACAGAGCAAGACTCCTTCTCAAAAAAAAAAAAAAAAAAAAAAAAAAACAGCTCTGGAACATCTTCCCAGAGACTCCATTTTTGTAGGTTTTAAGTGGGAGCCCAGAATCTGTATTTTTAATAAGTTCCCCCGCAGTGATTCTGCTTTTCAGCCAACCTGGAAGTTAGCACATTATTTCATACAATTTTCGCAGCAACCCGTAATAAAATAGGTGTCCTTATCCCTGTTTTTGGATTAGAAGGCTTGGGTGGTTAAGGAACTAGCTGGAGATCACTCACCTCTCAGTGGTAGATCCACACTTGGAGTTCTGTTGTGTTTGATGCTGACACGCACCCAGGCATAATTCTTTCTGCTAGACTGCCCCCTGCTGTCTGCAACAGTACTACAACTAGAATTCTTGGCTGCTGGTGCCAGGCTGGTAGATATTTTCAAGTCAATGTTATAGCAGGGAGGGCATGAAGGAGATAGTTGCCATGGCCACGCTTGATGGCCTAACCTGAGGCTCCAAACCCTCGCATCATCAAACTTCATCCAGCCCAGGGAGTTGTGGGTCTCTTGGGCCTGGGACTTTGGGAGGCAGAGCCCTCGGCCTACAGCCAGCATCTCCTGGAATGTTCCATCAGAGCCCTGATGAGGAGCTTTATCGTGTTTTGTGGTGGTTTTTTTTTTTTCTGACCCAGCTACACTACTCCAAGGGTGAGGTTCAGAGCATGTTCGCCTTGGGCGTGGAGGAGCGTCATTTTCACATCAGCACCCGGCAGGTAGCTGCTAAGGCCGGTCTCAACAATTTCATCAAACTGGAACAGACCTTTCTGCAGGTGTGTGGAGGTCAGCCCAGGGCCGGAGCACGCTGGGGTGGGGGGCCTCTGGGACAGCCCTTTGAGAAAAGAAAAATTGTCCTAGTGTCCCGGTTCCTGGGCGGAAGGACAGACAAGGCTGTGAAATGGACACAATGTGCTGGATTTATTGAGCTGGATTTATTGCATGATTTATGGAGCATCTACTAGGTGCCAGGCACTATTTCAGAAGCTGGGGCGTGACCTAAAACAGATCTGATCAATCCTTCCTCTCATCAAGTGTCCACTCTAGCGGGGGAGATTGACTCCCCGAAATCACACAAACGAAATATGCCAGATAGTACTATGATACGGAGAAAACGTACTGAAGTGACTGAGAGTGACCAAGGAGCTTATTTAGATTAGGTGGCCAGGAAAGGCCCCACTGAAGAGACGACACATGAGCTAGCGGTGGATGATAAGCACCAGCCATTTGAAAATCCGGGGGAAGGCCGGGCACGGTGGCTCGCGCCTGTAATCCCAGCACTTTGGGAGGCCGAGGCGGGTGGATGACCTGAGGTGAGGAGTTCGAGACCAGCACGGCCAACATGGGGAAACCCCGTCTCTACTAAAAATATGGAATTAGCCAGGCGTGGTGGCACATGCCTATAATCCCAGCTACTTTGGAGGCTGAGGCAGGAGAATTGCTTGAACCCAGGATGTGGAGGTTGCAGTGAGCCGAGATTGCGCCGTTGCACTGCGGCCTGGGTGACAAGAGTGAAACTCCATCTCAAAAGGAAGAAAAGAAAAAAGAAATCTCTGGGGGAGGGGCATTCGAGGCAGGTAAAGAGACTGTGGTATATATACACCATGGAATATTACACAGCCGGAAAAAAGAATGAAATTCTGTCCTTTGCAGCAGCAGGGATGCAATTATCCTAAGTGAACTAGCTCAGAAACAGAAAACCCAGTATCACATGTTCTCACTTGTAAGCAGGAGCTAAACATTGAATACACATGGACATAAAGATGGAAACAGTAAACACTGAGGGCTCCAAAAGGGAGGAGGGTGAGAGGGAGCCAAGGGTTGGAAAATTACCTGCCTGGTATGATGTTCGATATTTGGGTGACAGGGACGCTGGAAGCCCAGTCCCCACCATTACACAATATACCTATGTAACAAACATGCACACTGACCCCCTCAATCTAAAATACATTTTTTAAAAAGAGTATTCCAGGCAGAGGGAACAAGACATGCAAAGGGCCTGGGGCAGGGATGGGTTTGCATGTTTTAGGAATGGCCAAGGAGCCACTGGGCTGGAGCTGGGTGGGTGGGGAATGGTAGGAGGTGGTCTGATCACACAGGGTCAGTCAGGCCACAGGGAGGCGTTTGCATTGTGTTCTATCTGCTACTAGAAGCCTTTGAAGCCATGATCAAATAAATGATGATTTCAGATCCCTCTGGCTGCTGTGTGGGGAGGGACCTACAGGTGGCAGAAGTGAGCAGTGAGGAAGCCCCATAATGGGCAGGGGCAGGGCAATAATAATGCGTGGACCAAGCTGGGGGCAGTAGTGATAGGTTTTAGAGACGTTTAAGAGCAAACTTCCTTCCCCACCCCAGCAGTCCCCCTGCAGTGCCCTCAAGTCACCCTCGGACTGTGGCACCCACCAGCAGGGACGGCGTCCCTCTCCGAACCTTTGCACAGGCTCTTCCATCTGCCTAGAATGCTCTTCCCTGCCTCCTCCCCAAGCTTGCTTCTCTGCGTTCCTTTCTCCCTTGAATGTCTCTTGTGACCATCCTTGTCACCTTATCCCATCATTTTCTGTCCTGTGACTATCTCGACTATCTCCCTGGGAGCCCCTTAAGGGCCAGGACCAGGTCTTGGCTAGCTTTGTACCCAGGCACTCAGCACTGGCTTGGGAGCATGATACCTGCTCGCTACATGATTGAGAAACCGCAATACCAACTGCGTGCCTCCTACAAGCTCCTCTCCACCGTGTAGCCCTGGGCTGAGTGCACCACTTGTATCATCTTGCAAAGGTTGACACTTTCTGGCCTCCATTTTCTAGGAAACTGAGGCTCAGAGAGGTTGAAAAATGCCCAGAGCCACACAGCTTGGCCATGGAATTGAGAAGTGGCTGTTCTGTGCTGTCTCCTGTTGGCCATACTCCCCTCACCTACTCCTCTCCTTTAAATTATCTGCTCATCCTTAGGAAGCATTTGGGTTTTTGATCCCCTGACATATGTCACCATTCAGGAAACTGTAAATGATCCACAAATATTCCCTTTTTCCTCCTCTGCAAGCTTCTCTTCTTTCCCATCCCAGGCAGAAGCATGGGTCGGGTTCCCCCATGACGCCGTCATTCTCTTCCAGCTCAGCGCTCTTCCCAGGGAGCTGTTCCTGCAGACCGCATACGAGCGAGCTCATGGGACCCGTGTCCTGCGCCAGGTGGTGCTGTGGGATGGCCAGGAGGTGGCCCTCACCGGGAGCCTTTCTGGGCCTTTCCCCAAGCCCACCAGGAACCTCAGCCTGCAGGGTGAGTGTGTGAGGGGCTGCAGGCAGGGGTGGCCCAGTCACTCAAGAAATCATCCCTGGCCAGGCGCGGTGGCTCATGCCTGTAATCCAAGCCCTTTGGGAGGCCGAGGTGGGTAGATCACTCGAGGTCAGGAGTTTGAGACCAGCCTGGCCAACATGGTGAAACCCCATCTCTACTAAAAATACAAAAATTAGCCAGGCATGGTGGCAGGCACCTACAATCTCAGCTACTTGGGAGGCTGAGGCAGGAGAATCGCTTGAACCTGGGAGGCAGAGGTTGCAGAGAGCCGAGATTGAGCCAGTGCATTCCAGCCTGAGCGAGAGTGAGACTCGGTCTCAAAAAAGCCATGACTGAGCACCTGCATATCCCAGGTGTAATCTAGGCACCAGGGGTCCATCAGGAAGCAAGATGGCCCAGGTGTCACCCCTCAGGGAGACAGGCATTGAGCAACAAGATGCACATAAGCAAAATAACGTCAAGCATGACCATTTCCACGAGTGGGAAAGGCTGTGAGAGCAAGCAGGGTCTTTGTGGGGTGTGGGCCTCCTTTAGGTGGGGTGGTCTGGGAAGGCCTCTTGGAGGAGGTGACTTCTGAACTGAGTTCTGAAGGATGAGAAGGAGCTGGCAGATCTGAGCAGAGGCACTTCAGGCGGAAGGCCCCACTTGGAAATGAGGTTTGCATGTGGAGCAGCAGCTGCGGGGCTAGCATGGCTGGAATGGGGAGAAGGGATGAGGCGAGGCAGGAGGGCTGGGGGACCCAGGTCATGCAGCGTCTCAGCTCATAGAGAGGAGCTGGGGCTTATCCTGAGTGCAGCCGGGCAGGGAGAAGGGGCCAGGGCGTGGAAGAGGTGGCATCCCTGGGCAGTTGTGGTGCCAGGGGAGCTGAGTGCCGACACAGCGCCAACAACAGCAGCCATGAGCCCCTGGGTCCTCCAGAAACAGGCATCCCTGGAAGGGGCTGTAATTTGTGGCCTGGGCAGCCACAAGACTTAGTTTCTGTGTAAGGAACCTCCTGAGCACAGAGCAGAGCCCGACCCACAGCCTGCCAGGTGTGGAGACAGAGTGCAGACCCCAGCCTGGAGGCACGGCTTACCAGGTGGCCTGATGGAATCCTCCCAGCGTCACATTTGCCACATGTGTGCCCTGGAAGGCAGAGGAAGTGAGCAGGTCCCCAGCAAGCCAAGGCAGTGTGCATGCGTGTATGTGTGTGCTCATGAGTGTATGTGTGCTCATGTGTGTATGTGTGCATGTGTGTGTATACATGCACGTGTGTGCATGCCTGTGTGTGTGTGTATTTGTGCCACCCTTGGTGAGCTACACAGTCTGCAGCCCCACACGGTGTTGACAGTGTTGCAGGTGGGGTCAGCGGGTGGCAGGAACAAAGGGTTCTAGCCCTGCATGTGGTCAGCCTCCCCAGAACCAATGACTGGGTGATGCCCTGAGAACCAGCCAGTGCCAGTGTCTCTGGGCACGGCTCCTGCAGCCCATCTGAACAGGTGGGTGCCCTTTGTACAGAGCTCACAGGTCACCAGCGTGCACAGGGGCCTCGGGCAGCCTCCTGCTGTGGGGTCTGGGAAAGCAGGGCTGCTCAGGGGCCTCAGGAGATGGGGTCAAGTGATGTCGGAGGTCAGGTCAGCTTGACTCACCTGGGGGACAGAGGAAGAAAACCCGGGGTGTGGAGGCCATCTGTTGTTGCGAGGACTCAGCTATGGGGTGTCACCTGTCACATCCAAGATGGAAGGAGAGCACAGGACAGCAGACGGTGGCATGGGGTGTGGGGCTTCCGAGGGGGCACAGGGCACCTGTGCATGTGAGGCCCCCGAGAGGGATGCAGGTTGTTGAGGTTGCGGCTGCCCCCATCAGCTCCTGATTCAGGATGGTAACAAAGTATTCCGAAACTCAGCGGCATAAAGCAAGCGTGGCGCCTTGCTCACGAGGCTGTGGGTCACCTGGGCAGCTTTTCTGGTCTTCCTCATGTTCAAGGTCAGCTGTAGGGTGAGCGGGCGGCTCCGCTGGCCTTGGCTGGGCTCTCCAGCCTGCTCAGGGGCTGGCTAGCTGTCAGCTGCGCTAGGACATCCTGAGCTGAAAGCAGGCTCTCCCCAACCCCACGTGGCACCAGCCCACAGGCCAGCAGGGTTTGTTCTCATGTGGCTGGACAGGGGTTCAAGGGAGGAAGCGGGGTGAGGCCTCCTAAGGCCTGGGCTTAGAACTGGCACTCGGTCAACTTTGCTGAATTTTATTAGCACGTCACGAGGCCAGCCCAGCTTCAAGGGCTGGGGAGGCAGACGCCACCTCTTGGAGGAGCCTCAGAGTCTCATTGTAACGGGGCTCCCACAGGGACAGTGCAGGGTGTCGAGTGGTAATGGTGACAAAGCGAGTGTGTAGCTTCTGAGTTTTGTGAAAATTATCTGGCTGTGTGGCCCCCGAGTGGCCATTTGCGTGAGCTGGCAGTGGCGTCAGTTGAGTCCCCTGAACCCCCTTGGGCCTGGAGCTGCTGACCTCAGCTCACGTGCCCTACCCTTTGTGTGTGTCCTCACCCACCCAGTGGAGCTCACCCACCCGCTGCCCCTCCCCCTGCCGCGACACTGCAGCCTCCGCCTGTCCTCAGAGCATTTGGGAGGCAGCCACCGGGATGGCCTGGTTGTCGGCTGGGATGGCAGGGACCAGGTAAGTGTCAGGGCCGGAAGGTGACCCTGGGGCAGAGCTGAACTCCACCCTGCAGGCTGAGCGGGGTCTTTGGGGCCCTCCCCTGCCTGAGGAGCCTTATCTGGGGTCAATGAGGCTGTACCACATCCCCAAGGGACTGTGGGAAAGGCACTGGGGGGGCAGCAGGAGACCTGGGTCCCCACAACACCTTGACAGCCACGGCAGTGACGGTGGCTCACAGGCCCTGAATGCTTACCCCGTGATAGGTTCTGTGCGTGAAGCCACACATCAGCCTCCCATCTGCTCGGCGCTATTAATGGGCCCGTGTTCAGATGACGAAATTGAAGCACTTAGAGGTGCAGTGACCTGCCCGGGGCCACAGAGCTAAGGGAAGACAGTGGAGGAGGAGCGCGACCTCCAGTCCCATCTCTGTCCTGTGTTCGCTCCATCTGCTCCTCTCTAAGCCTGGATTTCCTCCTCTGTGAAATGGACTGAGCTCTCCGAGGGCCTTGCACAGGGATGGGGTTTTGTGCTGAAAGCCACCTGCCCTTTTGCAGCCTTGACCTCGATGGAGAAGGTGGTCTGTGCGGGTGGGAAAGAGGTGCAGTCTGTCTGGGCAAGGCCACTGGCTGAGTCTGTCTCCCTCCCTAGGTGCTGGTCTCCTCCTCCCTGTGGCTGGGGAAGAGTGAGCTGGCCGCCCGCCTGGCCCTGGCTCACCCATTCAACCTCCCTTGGCGGCAAGCCGAGGCCAGTGGCCTTGCTGAGAGCAGGGGTGGCAGGCAGAGCCGGCAGGTGAGTGAGGATGTCCCAGGCGCCCTTGGCCGGGGCTGGAGGTGGGAGCCGCGTGACTGAGCCTGTGGGGCTGGGCACCTCTGGTAGGAGAAGGAGAGTGTGTTCATCAGTGACAAAGACTTCTCCGGAATCACAGCTTCCTGAAGCCTGGGGATCTCTGGGATCCTTCATTCAATCATTCCTTTATCAATACCTCATTGAGCACCTACTGTATACCAGGCGGTGTTTGAAGATAGCTCACATTTTAATGTGGGAAACAGGTACAGGCGTCTCTGATTGATCATTTATAGTTGCTTGTTTAGTGGTAGCTTTGGGGACTGAGTGAGGCAGCTGGGCTCCCTGTCTGGCTGGGGGGCCTCGGGTGTGTCCTATCGCCTCTCTGAGACTCAGGTTTTCCCATCTATGAAAGGGAGGACAACAGGCCAGCTGTGTGCAGGCAAAAGACGCTCTCCAGAATTCAAGCCAAGGAATGAATTAAAAAATCAGAAGGTGTGATATGATAAGCACTGTAAAGTAGTAAAGAGGGGCCGGACGTGGTGGCTCATGCCTGTAATCCCAGCACTGAGGGAGGCCGAGGCCAGTGGATCACTTGAGGCCAAGAATTTGAGACCAGCCTGGCCAACATGGCGAAATCCTGTCTCTACTAAAAATATAAAAATTAGCTGGGTGTGGTGGTGTGTGCCTGCAATCCCAACTGCTTGGGAGGCTGAGGCGGGAGGATCGTTTGAGCCCTGGAGGTGGAGGTTGCAGTGAGCCAAGATCACGCCACTGCACTCCAGCCTGGTAACAGAGTGAGACAGTCTCAGAAGAAAAAAAGAAAAAAAAAAGATGTGAGACTGAGCGTGACTGGGTGGGTGGGTGGGGCAGCAACTGTAAGGTGGGTGGTCAGTGAGAGCCTCATGGGGGAGGCGGCCCCGGGATGGGAAGGAGCCGGGCTTGAGAGAAGCTGGAGGAGCAGCACTGCAGGCAACAGGAAAAGCCCGTGCAAAGGCCCTGTGGTGGGAATGAGCCGGGTGCTTTGGGGAGGGCTGGAAGGGAAATAAGATGGGAACAGAGTGACTGGGAGGGATGGGTGACAGGGAGATGAGGTCAGATGGGCAGGGACAGATCATGCTGGCCCTGGAGGCCCCAGTGAGGAGCACGGTTGCTTTCTGTCTTTGGAAATGCTGAGTCTGGGTGTTGGGGATGAGGCTTTTTTTTTTTTTCATTTAAATGCTTTCAGTCTCCAGCCTGGGAATGGCTCTGAGCTCTTCCAGAGATGGGGGTAGGCAGGGCAGTCTCTCCACCCTCCATCCTAGTTCCTCTAGGGATATCTGGGGGAGGGGCACCAGCTTCTCCATCCTCCCTAGCCTCTCATTTCCCAACAGAGATGGCTGTGGGGACACCGTTAACCTCTCCTCTCCCCTACATGTCCCCCTTTCCCCACCACTGCCCTCCCATCCCAATGCAGGTGCAGCTCACCTGGAACAGAGGACAACCTGCGACGCTGCAGCTCACCTGGGCTGACGGGTCCTTAGCACACAGCACCGCCTGGGACGGCTGCCTGGCCGCCTCCCCGGGGCAGGTATGTGGGGCCTGACCGCTGCACCGAGTGAGGGGGTCCCCCTCGCTCCAGGCTTCTCAGCTGGCCCCCCAGGTCATGTACCCTATTCTCTTCCCTATCAGCTCCAGGAAACCTGGGGCCTGAACAGCCTCCAGGCCTGCGGGGCCTTCACGCAGACCCCAGCTGTGTTCGTTGAACAGCTCAACGTGTCCTGGGGCCAGCACCGCATGCGGCAGAACTTGACCTACGAGGTGAGGTCAGGGGAGCAGCGTCTGGGCAGGGAACCCCCAGGCGGCTCCACCTGCCACAGGAGCGTCCAGCTCTGGGGCCACGTGGTCCTGGGTTCCAGTGCTTGCGGGATCCTGGGCAACTTACTTCTCTGCTGTGAGCCTTAGTGTTCTCATCTGTGAAATGGTTCCCTTCCTAACTGGGATGTGGTGAGGGCTCTGGAAGACAAGAAAAGCAAGGGGAACGGCCCGAGATGCTGGGAACAGATGGGGAAGAAGGTGGGATGCTAGGGGGCTTCTCGGGAGGGGGCGGAGGGAGATCGGGAGCTCCGGTTCCCCGAGGCATCAGGTCTGGTCTCCTCCAGCATCATTACCTGATAGGGCTCCTCATGGGGCCGAGCACTGTTCTGCAGAGCTTGGGGCAGGAACCAGGCCATGGAGAAATGGGGAGAGCTGGCCCTGGAAGCCCCTTCCTCCTCTGGACCTCCCGCCTGGGTTCCTGGGGCTCTTAGGCATGGCCCCCTAAGTGCTCACAGCAGAAATCCTGCCACGAGCGGGGCATGGCGAATCACACCTGTAATCCCAGCACTTTGGAAGGCTGAGGTGGGGGGATCACCTGATCGCCTGGCCAACATGGCGAAACCCCATCTCTACTAAAGAATTAAAAAAAAAACTGGGCGTGGTGGCATGCACCTGTAATCCTAGCTATTTGGGAGGCTGAGGTGGGAGAATCGCTTGAACCTGGGAGGTAGAGGTTGCAGTGAGTCTAGATCATGCCACTGTACTCCAGCCTGGGCTATAGAGCAAGAGTGTCTCAAAAAAAAAAAAATCCTGCCGCAGAGTGTAAGGGGGTGCTGTGGCTGATGAGAGCTCTGACGGCACATTCCTGGCACATGCTCTTGCCTAGGTGAGGGTCTCCAACTGCAGCTGGCCATGGGCATTCTCTTAGGTGATGAGCCCCTGACCCATAGGCCCTCTCATTCCAGAGGCATTGGCCATCTCAGCCAGACAAGATCATCATGGAGGCCACGCTGGAGCACGTCCTCGGGGCCTCTTGTACCCGTCAGAGCTTCTGGGGAGAAGTACAGACTGACTATGCACGCTGGCTGCGGCACTCCCTCCACCTGGGGCTCTGTGACCTGCCCAGGGTGAGTCTGCCCTGCAGAAGGGGGCAGCTGGAGGACCAGGGACCCATGGTGAGGGGGCAGCAGTGAGGGTGGTGCCCGCAGAATGCAGGGGTGTGAGCGAGGCAGCCAGACGCCACCATCGTGGCTCTGCCATTTGCCTGCTGGGTGACTGGGCAGTGCACATCTCCTCTCTGAGCCTCTGGTGTTTCATCTGAGGAAGGAGCAGCAGGTTCCAGGACGTAGAGTGATGGTGAGACTTAAGAGAGACATGATGCGGGAATGCTCAGCCTTGGTGCCGGGCACATGAGTTAGAGCTGCTGTAGTCATCATTACCCCAGAGGAGAGGTGTTAGGACTCCTTTTCCTCAACCCCTTTCCCCTCCTGGGGTTGGTAGCTGGTTGATTGGTTCTTCCATCCACCAACCCATCCATCCATTCCTTTACGCATCCTTCCATCCTCCTTCCTATCTTCCATCCATCCCCGTATATCTGCCCTCCCATGTACCCTCTCTCTCCATCCATTCATCCTCCAACCGTTCCTCCCTTGCATCCATTCATCCGTCCGTCCATCCCTCCCTCCCTCCCTCCCTCCCTCCATCCCTCCCTCCCTCCATCCCTCCCTCCCTCCATCCCAAGGACTCATACTCTTCTGTAAAGAGACAGATAGCATATATTTTAGGCTTTATGAACCATCCAGTCTCTGTTCCAACAACCAACTTTACCACTGTCTTGTGAAAGCAGCTATAGACAATATGTAAATGAATCCTTACGGCTGTATTCCAGTAAAAGTATTTACAAGCCGGGTGCGGTGGCTCACGCCTGTAATCCCACCACTTTGGGAGGCCGATGCAGGCAGATCACGAGGTCAGGAGATCGAGACCATCCTGGCTAACATGGTGAAACCTCTTCTCTACTAAAAATAGAAAAAATGAGCTGGGCACGGTGGCACGTGCCTGTAGTCCTAGCTACTCAGGAGGCTGAGGTAGGAGAATCGCTTGAACCTGGGAGGCGGAGGTTGCAGTGAGCTGAGATCGTGCCATTGTACTCCAGCCTGGCGACAGAGCATAACTCTGTCTCAAAATAAAAAGCATTTACAAGAGTGGGCAGTGAGCCAGATTCGGCCCCAAACCATAGTTTCCCACCCCTTATCTTTTCCTCTGTTCATTCAGAAAACATTTGTGTGTTTCACCTATGCCAGGCTGTGTTCTAGGTGCAGGGAGTGGATGTGAAAGACACAGCCTAGGTGCCGGCCTCCTGGGTGGCGCATTCCAGTGGGGCCAGGACGATACAACAAACTAGAGATGCATGGTCTATGGTCAGGGTGTAGTAAACGTTGTGCAGGAATGAAGCAGAGAGGGGCCAGGGTGTTGCAAAAAGGGGCCTCACTGGTGAGTGTGAGCCCTGCAGAGGGAAGGGGCCTAAGGCACAACTCTGCCTTGAGGAACACGGGGCAGCACTTACGGAGGGAGCAAGGGAAGTGAGGTTGGGACAACAAAGCAGGCCACGGGCCATGCCAGAGCCCAGCTTCTTAGGGGACGGCATCTGATTTGCGTTTCTTAGAGGTCAGCTGTGAGCTGCGACAGGTGTGGAGGCTGGGAGGTGGCAGCTGCTGCTGCATTCTCGGTGCAGGGGACTGGGGAGAGAGGAAGCTGCCACCCCTGTGCCTGCCTGACACCTAGACTCTCTCGTCCCAGGCCCTCTTGGTCGTCGGGGAGCACACCCTGGGCCAGGGTGGACTCCTGCTGCGTTCCCGCTGCCACCTGGGCCTTGCACCAGACCCAGACCACGGCCTGCATCTCAGCCTGACCCTCCAAAACCACAGCAGGCCTCGTTCAGCTGACTTCTCCGGGGCACTGGAGGTCAGTGGCCAGGATGGGGCTGACAGTCCCTGGGAAAGATATCCCGGCATCCCTGCGGTTCCTCCCTGGCCAGCAGGCCCCCAACTGCCTGGGCGGCCCCGCCATCTAGTGGCTATCTGAGGAACTGCAAACCAGCATTCTGGATGGGGCCAGAGCTTCATTCTGGGTCGGGGGAACGCCTGCTGAACCCCAGGCCTGGCCCTGGCGCCAAGACAAGGCAGCTCCTCCACAGTCCCAACACCCGGCCCTTCCTATAACAGAGAGGCAGTGGCTGGGCTGCCCAAGTTTGAATCCCAGCCTAGCTGCCTCCTGGTACCTGAGTTTCCTCCCCTGTAAAATGGGTATAATTGTACTGGCCCTATCTCCCATGGGGTTAATATTGCAAGGGTTAAATATAGTCGTAGGCATAGATCGCTTAGAGCAGTGCCTGAGAGAAAACAGCCACTACGTAAGTATTTGCTATTAGCCATTACTGGTACCATCTCCTCCCCCTCCTTACTCCCAGCAGCCCTGGGAAGTAGGAAGGGGCAGAGTTGGCCTCCAATACCTACTCTGCCCTGACCTGGCCAGGTGATCCCAGGAAGGAACCTCTCTGAGCATGTGTTTCCTCATCTGTAGGAGGGGATCAGATATTTCACAGGGTGGTTTTTGGGAGTCTGGATACCGGTTCCCGCTGCCTGCGTAGCCAAGGCACGTGACGTAGCAGGTGCTCTCTCGGCGTTTCCATCCACCTCCTCTGTCTCCCTGGCCAGGTGAACTTGGCCTCGTGACTTTCGTTTGCTGAGCCTCAGTCTTCCCCTCTGTCAAATGGGAACAAATACCATCTCCCTTGCAGAATGGTTAGGAGCAAACACATTTGTACAACATCTGCATGTAGCAGGTGCTTGTGAGAGGGGAGTTCCCTCCCTTCCCGGCATCCGAGCTGAATGAGGATGGCATTTCTGGGTTGAGAGTTCAGCAGCCGTGGCCATTTCAAAGGAGTTTCTCCTTCCAAGGTTCTTGTTCTCCGGGACTGACTGTCACTTCCCCGTTTCCAGCCAGGCCCCTGCCTGCCCCCGGCTCTGTAAGCCCCGTGCCTGATGGAACTGGAGCCCTGGGAGTGAACCCATGGCGGATGCTCGGCAAGAGGCTGGTCCTCTTGCTTCCCTATCCCCGATTTATTTGGGACAGCTATTCTCACTTGGTCCATTCTGGGGTCTGTGGAGTGGTCAGAAGGCTTTCCCAGCCTTGTTTCTTGCTCACCCCAACCCAGTGGCCCCAGGACAGATGAGGGACAGATTCAGGGAGGTCAGGCATTCACCCAGGCTACACAGAGGCAGGCATGGCCCTTGCTCTTCAGTGACACCCAGCGGGGCTGAGCTCAGATGCTGGGAGCCATCCAGGGCCAACTCCGTGTGGTCTGCAGACCGTCCCCTGCCCCCACCTGCCTGGCAAGATCACATTGTGCTTGGTTAAATTCCACAGGAGTCCTGGGCTGTAGCCCTATTACCAACTTGGATCTCCTCAGAGATCGACATGCTTCTGCATGTTTAGTAAGCACCCTGCATTCGATTCCTAGGACTACTGTATTAAATTGCCACCAACTGGAAGGCTTAATGCAACAGACAGGTATGGTGTCACAGTTCTAGAGGCCAGAAGTCCAAAAGCAAGTTGTCAGCAGGGCCACACTCCCTCTCAAAGTCCTAGGGAAGATCCTTCTGTAGCACCTCCAGCTTCTGGTGGTTGCCAGGACCCACGGCTGTGGTGGCATCACACCAGTCTCTGCCTCTGTCCCACGTGGTGGCCTTCTGCCTTCTGGGTGGCATCTTCACATGGTCTTCTCACAGGGACAGCATTCATTGGGTGTGTGGCCTACCTTCATCCACTATGGCCTCAACTTGATTACTTTTGCAAAAAACCTATTTCCGAATAACACCACGTTCACAGGTATAGAAGGTTAGGGCTTCAACCTATCTGAGGAACAAAATTCAACCCTTAACAGACATACGTGCACGCGCACACACACTCTTAAGTCCTGTTAAGTTTTGTGAACCATTGTTCTGTATCATTTTACAGATCTTGGAGCTGAGGCCCAGAGAGGGTGACACCCTTACTGAAGGGTGCACAGCTTGTTAGCTGCAGTGTCTGGACTAGAATACAGGGTAGCTGAGGCTCCCTCCCCTGCAGGGCCTCCTCCGGGCTTGTGTTCTCTTGGGGGCCTCTGAGCCTCTTTCCCACCCCATTCTAGACTCGCCTGTCCTGGTCCCTGCCGTGCCCCCAAGGCTGGGCACCTGCAGGGACTTAGGTAAGCTGCCCAGTGCCTGGGGTGTTATGCCAGGTGTGCCCGTGTCTCCTTGCTTAGACCTTTGCAGTGGTTCCCATGCAAACTCGGAAAGCCTGGGCTGTAGCAGAAACACCAGGGCACTGGGGATGTTAGAAATGCCAGGGCCCGGGGCCCCCAACACCAATTAAATCAGAGTGTCTGGGTGGGGCCTGGGCAGCAGCCATCTCTAAGCCACCCTGTGGGCGGCTGCTGCTGGGTTGGGCTCCTAGATGGGTATTTTTAAAAATTAAAAAAAGTATTTGTCATGAGACTGGCTAAGTTTTGTATTTTTGGTAGAGACAGGGTTTTTGCCATGTGGTCCAGGCTAGTCTGAAACTCCTGGGCTCAAGCGATCCACCCGTCTTGGCCTCCTGAAGTGCTGGGATTATAGGAGTGAGCCCTTGATCCTGGCCCGGAGTATTTTCAAAAGTGCTTTCTGTAATGGGGCACTGGCAGCCTTAGACAGGGATATGGCGTGGGGAACCTGGTGCCCTGGAGATCGGGCGTGGGCATTGTGCCTTCCCTTGGTTCCCTACAGGTCCAACAGCAGCCTCCCCAGCCAGCCTCTTCCTGAGCCTGGGGCGGGCAGGGGAGAGACCAGGGACAGGTGGGCCAGGCTCCACTCAGGCCTCTGCCTTCCCCCTCCCAGCTTCGTGGCTCCAAGGCTCAGCGGGTTGGCCTACTGGGCCGTGTCTCCACCTCGACTTCTCAAAGCCTGGTCCGGTTGGAGGGAAGCGTGGACAACAGAGAGGAGAAAGTGAGGCTGTCTGTGTTCCGGGCCCCAAGCTGTCTGCAGGCCTCTGTGGCCCATGAGGAGGGTGAGTGGCAGCTGGGTCCCAGCTCAGCTAGCTGGGCCACGGCCCCTGTTGGCTCAAGAAAGGACGGGGGTCTGGGCGTTAAGATTTCAGAAGTCGGGGCTGGGTGCAGGGGCTCATACCTGTAATCCTAGCACTTTGGGAGGCCGAGATGGGTGAATTGCTTGAGCTCAGGAGTTCAGGACCAGCCTGGGCAACATAGTGAGACCCCGTCTCTACTTAAAAAAAAGGGGGGGGGGTGGCCAGGCGTGGTGGCTCACACCTGTAATCCCAGCACTTTGGGAGGCCGAGGTGGGTGGATCACAAGGTCAGGAGATCGAGACCATCCTGGCTAACACGGTGAAACCCCATCTCTACTAAAAATAGAAAAAAGTAGCCGGGCACAGTAGCGGGTGCCTGTAGTTCCCAGCTACTCAGGAGGCTGAGGCAGGAGAATGGCGTGAACCCGGGAAGCGGAGCTTGCAGTGAGCCGAGATCGTGTCACCACACACCAGCCTAGGCGACAGAGCGAGACTCTGTCTCAAAAAGTAAAACAAAAACAAAAACGAAAAAACCTGGTGGGGTAGGGGGTGATGTGTTCCTGTGGTCTCAGCTGCTGGGAGTGAGCTGTGATCCAGCCACTGTACTCCTGCCTTGGTGTCTCAAAAAAAAACCTCAGGAAACCCCCTGAAGCCTTATGGCATCCCTAACTGACTGCCGTGTCGGGGGAGGGGACAGAAGAGGGGGCTTCAGGTGGCTCAGGTGGTTGCTCTAGGTGGTGCAGCTCAAGGTTCTCAAATCCTAGGGCCTTGAGGCTTGGCCTGGGGCAGTGGGGAGCTACGGAAAGCGGTGGAGGGGGAGTGGGCAGCCAGAGACATGGTGGGGGCACCAGCAGGTCCCTTTCTGGCTCCAGGGGGCAGAGAGGAGAGTGTGGTGCTGCGGGCATGTGCCCATGGGCGGACAGCCGAGGCGGAGGTCCTGTTCCGGGATGGCAGGCAGCCCTCCCAGCCGCTGGGACGCCTGACCCTGCAGGCTGCCAACCAGAGTCTCCTGCTGGCCGCGCGCGGCTGCCAGGGGGGCCTGCTGGGCCATGTGGAGGTGAGAGGGCCTGGGCTGGGACACAGGGAAGGGGTTACCGTTCTCCCACTGGGCAGAGGCCCCCGTGCCAGGAGCCCCGAGCCCTTGGGGTCCAGCTGTGCCCAGAAACCAGGGCAGACAACCCCATTGTGAGGCCCACACCTGCTGCTGGCACCGAGAACCTTGTGTCTACTTCATTCCTGCGAGGCCCCAGCCTCTTCCTCTGTCCTCACAGTCCAGGATTGCAGCAGTTGGCTCCCAGGTGCAAGCCCGGCTGGAAGAGAAGGTTCAAGGCTTGGGTGCCTCTGTGAGAAGGTTCCAGCAATTGGTGGGTATCACAGCAGGGGAGGGTGGGGGCTCAGGTTGGAGAGGTCCCCCTCTGACCTGGCTTGTAGCCCCCACTCACCAGGCAGGAGGGTCTGGGGCTCTCTCTGCCCTGGACCTCACCCTGATTCTGCCTCGGTTTCCCTGTCCAGGTGCAGCCGGCAGGCACCCTGGACGGCGTGGCAGGCCTCCTTCTGCAGCTGTCCCAGGCGGGGCGGGAGGCCATGCAGGCGAGTGGTTGGGCAGTAGCCACTTTGTGGGCCCGGAGCCAGGCACTGACCCAGCACCTGCCTCTTTACCTGGAGTGGCTGCAGGTGGGGCTGGAGCAGCTGCGGGAGGAGCTGGAATGTAAGTGTGGGAGGGGGAGGGCTCAATCCTGTGCGGAAATCAATGTCCCCCCTCTCCACCGGGGCCCTAAGCGCTCACATTGGCCTGTGGCACTGTTTCAATCAGAAATGTGGCCTCGCTTCCCATGGGCCTGTAGCCCAGCTGTGTTTAGCCCCCTGCCTTATTTGTTATAGATCTACAGCCTTTGTTTTTTCTGGGTCTGCTGTGTCATTTTTACAGAGTCTCCAAGCTCATCTCCCTTATGCCTGCTGCCTAGGTTTTTTCAGTCTCCCGCCTGCTTTCTTTTGAGTATACAGCCTTGTTTCTGTGAAGCTCACTGCCACAGCATCTCTTTCTGGTTCCACGATGAGCTCAATGTGGCCAGGTGGTCATTAAAGGCTCACACCTGCTGCCCCAACCAGCCTCGTGGCAGGACTGGGAACCTCTGGCCTCTCCGCCATCCAGGGCTAATGCCCAGCACAGCACAGAGCCCCCAAGGCCCTGCCCAGCGCCAGGGTGGGCATCCCTCTGACTGGCTGTTGAATGTTACCTCCCGATCCTCCCTGCTGTGCCAGAGTGTTCCTGTGACCACCCCCAGGGCAGTGAATCAGGAGGAATGCGCCAGGACTCCGCCCAGCGCTATTCACAGCTGTGATTTATTATAGTGAGGGGATGCAGGAGTGTCAGCACAGGGAAGGGGGCTGGGGCGGAGTCTAGGGAGAACCAGGGCCAGTGCCCAGGGTACTCTCCCAGTCCCAGCGCTTTCACACAGGATGCATTTAGCTGTCCCAGCTGTCACCAGAGCAGCTCCTGGGAGACTCAGCACCCAGGGTTTTTATTGGGGGCTGCCACACTGGCAGGTGCTGCTTGGCACGGACCACACTGTCAGACTCCTAGGAAGCAAGCAGGGGTCCGGCATAAACCACGTTTGTACAAACAGTTCAGATGCAGGGAGCCTCATATCAATTCTAGGACTGGTGGGAACCCTCCCCCAATCCAAGTTCCCAGACAACCTTATAAGCAGGCCTTGCAGAGACGGCTCAGGCCTGCTGTGACAACTCCCCTGCAATCTCCAGTGCCACTGCTCTGTTCCAGTTCCCCCAGCTCCCCACATCTTAATCCCAGGAACAGGCCCTATCTCCTCGAGGCCTGGCGTGTCTGGGCAGGGCTGGTTCTCTGACCTGCCCTGAGGTCTCATGGTGGGTGGTGGCTGCCTGTTGCAGGGCCCCTGGCCACACTGAAGGATGCCTACCTGGAGGTGACACTGCGGCCCCTGGAGGAGGTGTGGCGGGAGCGAGCAGAGGAGGCCATGCGGCGGCTGCAGGCCTGGGTGCCCGGGATGCCAGGCAAAGGGGGTCCAAGGCCCATCAGGGCGGCCCTGGGGGCCATGAAAGGAGCCCTGGAGCTGGTGAGTGAGCAAGGATGGGGCGTAGTTGGCAGGTGAGGATGACTGAGCCAGCTCTCACTGTCCCCTCCCTCTCCAGGCCGCCCAACAGATGCTGTCTTGGGCTGAGGCCACGTTCTCACGGGCACTGAAGAGGCTCTGCAAACCACTGCTGGACCTGTACAGCCTGTCGGCCAGGTAACTCGGGGTTTGAGAGTAGCGCATCCTGCGTGCCTGCCACATACCAGGTGCAGTGCTGAATGCTTTGACACCTTCCGACACACTGACTCCTGTGACCACCCTGCCCAGGGGCTTCTTCTCTCCTCGTTTTACAGATGAGGAAGCTGGGCTTTCTTCCTCACTCCATAGATACCTCGTGAGCACTGGCCGAGGGTAGGCAGGATTTCAGGAGCTGCAGAGAGCGCAGTGGCTGAGGCTGACCCTGCCTTCAGGAAGCTCACTTTTACTCAGACACGAAGCACAAGGAAGTCATCTACACCGGGGCTGGTACAGCTCGCTGCAGAGGGCCTGAGAGTCGCATCTTAAGCAGGCCATTCGGCTCTGTCACATTTCCTTGCTTTTGTTTTGTAATCTTTTTTTTTTTTTTTTTTTTTTTTGAGATGGAGTTTTGCTCTTGTTGCCCAGGCTAGAGTACAGTGGTGCAATCTTGGCTCACTGAAACCTTCACTTCCTGAGTTCAAGTCATTCTCCTGCCTCAGCCTCCCTAGTAGCTGGGACTACAGGTGCGCGTGCCATCCCACCCAGCTAATTTTTTGTATTTTTAGTAGAGACAGGGTTCTGCCATGTTGGCCAGGCTGGTCTCAAACTCCTGACCTTAGGTGATCCACCTGCCTTGGCCTCCCAAAGTGTTGGGATTAGAGGCATGAGCCACTGCACCTGGCCTGTTTTGTAATAATCTTTTTAACACACAAAAACCCTTCTTACTTGCAGGCCGTGCAGAAGCTGGCCACAGGCTGGGGCCCACTGGTCACCATTTACCACCCCTGAGCTATACGTTAGGTAGCAAATGCTAGAGAAGGAACATCGGTGAGATGGGGGGGTGGATCCTATGAAACGGTGTGGCCATGACTGGCTTTGAGGAGAAGGTAGAGTTTCAGCAAGAGCCACGGGGCCAGCGTGGTAAGAGCGCTCCAGGTGGGGGTCACTACTGCACAAAGGCCTGGGAGAGGGATGTGCCTGGCCTGTTTGTTTTTGAGATGGAGTCTTGTTCTTTGTTGCCCAGGCTGGAGTACAATGCTGTGATCTCAGCTCACTGCAACCTCTGCCTCCCAAGTTCAAGGGATTCTCCTGCCTTAGCCTCTCAAGTAGCTGGGATTACAAGCATGTGCCACCAAGCCCAGCGAATTTTTGTATTTTTAGTAGAGACGGGGTTTCACCATATTAGCCAGGCTGGTCTCAGACTCCTGAGCTCAAGCAACTTGGCCTCTCAAAGTGCTGGGATTATAGGCATGAGCCACCAAGCCCAGCCCTGTCTATTTGAATATCAAGCCAGCAGGGCTGGAGCAGAATGCCTGCAAGGGAGAGTGGATGTGACTGGGAGTTCCTAAGACTGGGGAGGCGGGTAGGTGGGGCTCAGCTGGTCTCTGGCTTCTGCTCTGACCTAGGAAGGATGTGATCGCCCTTTCACTTTAAAAGACCCTTTTGGCCCCTGTGTTGAGAACACGGGGGTGGTGGATAGAAGGGGGGAGCCCAGTTTAGAGCAGAGACCTGGGGACCCAGTATCCTCCCCCTCACAGGCACGAGGCCCACCAGGAACCGGGCTCCAAGCAGGGAGGCAGCTCCTTCTTCCATGCTGGTGGCCTCACAGAGCATCTGGAATCCGGCTCTGCCTCTAACTAGGATTCCTCTGCCTCAGTGCTCTGTGCCTCAGTTTCCCCAGCCATAAAATAGGGACTAAACCCACATCATGGGGAAAAGACTCCCTGTGATACAAGTTCCTGCTCCTGCCTTCCTGCGGTCAGAATGGAGGCTGATGAAGGGAAGAGCTCCCAGGGCGGGGTTTGGCTTGGCTGAAGAATGACCTGCCTGGTTACTCACCTACCTGGTGAGTGGGATCCTGTCACTGCTAGGTGGGGGTGCCAAAACATGGATTCAGGTGGCAGAGAGGGAGTTGAGGCTGCTTCCTGCCTCCAGCTGCAGGGCCTCTGGGTTCCTAGAAGTAAGCAAGTGAGGCCACCTGCCCCTGCTCCCTCTCTACTGGCCCATCAACAACAGGGTATGAGATGTTTGTCTTCCCACTATACCCCCATGTGAGCTGACATCCCCCTGATCATTCAAATCTCACAGGCTTGACTCCTACTCTAGATCCTGAGAAAGTTCCAGTCCTCCCCTAAACTGTAGAAATTTTCTAGACCTGTTGGCCAGGCACAGTGGCTCACACCTGTAATCCCAGCACTTTGGGAGGCCGAGGTGGGCAGATCAGTTGAAGTCAGGAGTTTGAGACTAGCCTGGCCAATGTGGTGAAACTCCAACTCTACTAAAAATACAAAAATTAGCCGGGTGTTGCGGTGGGCGCTGGTAGTCCCAGCTACTTGGGAGGCTGAGGCAGGAGAAACAAACCCGGGAGGCAGAGGTTGCAGTGAGTTGAGATTGTGCCACTACACTCCAGCCTGGGCGACAGAATGAGATTCTTAAAAAACAAAATTTCCTAGACCTTCCAGCTCCTGTCCTCGGCATCCCCACACATAAGCCCATGCTGCCCAAGACCCGGGGAGCAGAGTAGGCATGACATCGGACATCTGTGTCCTCAAAATGGGGCAGCTTGTTTCTGTCCCCAGCCATCATCTACCACCTCCGTTGTCATGCCGGCCTCTGTCCTCCTCCACCTCATGATGGGATTTCCCAAAACAAGGACAGCCCCTCCCTGAAAGGCACCCTCATGCTCTCCACTGCAGAGCTCTTCCTGCAGACCTAGAAGCTCCCCTCTGCAGCCAAGGGAAGCAAGGCTCGGGCAGGCACAGTGACTTGTCCTCTGCATTCCCTGCAGGAACCGCTCAGTGGTGGTGATGCTGCCACTGTTGCCTGCGGGGGACGAGCCCCTGGACGTGGCCCGGGTGACCAGCTACCTCATGGAGGAGAAGCTGCTGCGGCCGCTCCGAGAGCTGTCTGGGGCCAACGTGCTGGCTGAGTACTACTGGCTCAGACGCCGCCTGCTGGCGGGCCCCTGGGAATGTGAGTCCTGCCCCGGGCTGTGCCGCCCTCCTCCCTGAGAGCCCCCTGCCTCCTGGGCACAGGGAAGCCTCCATAGGCTAGTAGCATCACAGTGCCAGGCCCAGAGCTTACTGGACTTCCCAAGGTCCTATGGGACTAGGGCTGAGGGTACACATCCTGCTTTTGTCCAGAATATAAGTCTTGGCCCTGCAGAGGGGTGAGGAGGGTGGTTTAGGGCTTCAGGCCAGCTCCCTCCCTGCGGGCACTGCTGGAGAAGACGGCAGCCCTCCAGATCCAGCTGGAAGAGAACTGACTGACTTCAGACTCGCCGGTCAGAGGCGACCTGTAGCCAAGGGCTGGGGAGCTTGCTTGTGGCTCAGGCTTGCTGTGTGGCCAGGCAAGTCAAGTCTAACCTCTGTGGGACTCGGTTTCCTCCACCATGAAATGCTGTGTGGCCAGGTGAGTCTAACCTGTGGGACTCTATTTGCTCCACCGTGAAATGTAGGTAACAACGTGGCTCGCTCATATGGGTAATGGGCATGTACTGTTCTTGATGCAGGGGGAGCCCCTCATGTCTATGGGGGAACCCCGGTACCCAGGCTTGGCAAGGAGTGCTTTATGTGTGTGGGACTCACACCCAGGCCCAGGGCTCCCTAGAAGCGTGGGCGCAGTCATGTCTAAGCAGCACATTGGTGTTGTAGAAAACAGCCTGGTCTTCAAGTTCCATGTGTGTGACCGTGGGCTTCTCTGTGCCTCTCAGTTCTGACAGCTGCCCACGGGGCTGGTACTGCCTCCCTCAGGATGCTGGGACTGGCCGACAGGTGCCTGGCTGTGCACCATAGATGGTGCTTCCTGGCCACGGGCAAGGGCACCCCCACCCCCAAGCCACAGCTCAGGGGCCGCACTGGCTAGACTGGTCAGACCTCCTTCTCAGGCCATCTGTTCCCTACCCTGAAGAGGGTAGGTCTGCAGGACACCAGTCTTGTGTTTGAGGGACCTGTTGGCTATCCACTTACATAGTGAATGTTTCCCCCCATCCCCGCCAGCAGCTTCATTGAGATTAAATGGATGACTTGTATGTGTGACATTTTTTTTTGAGACTAGGTCTCACTCTGTTGTCCTGGCTGGAGTGCAGTGGCGCCATCTCAGCTCACCATAGCTTTGACCTTCTGGGCTCAAGTGATCCTCCTGCCTCAGTCCCCCAAAGTGCTGGGATGGCTTTTAGCGCCGCCGTGCCTGGCCGATGTGTGAATTTTAAGTGTACGATTCAGTGGCTTCTAATTTATTCAGAGTTGTGCCTGCATCACCACAGTCGATTTTAAAACATTTTCATCACCCCAAACTGAAACCCTGCAGCCACCAATCTGCCTTCTGTCCATGGCTGTGCCTGCTCTGGACATTTTATGTAAACAGAAGCATAGACCCTGTGGCATTTGAGCCAGGCTTTTTTACTTAGCACAGTATTTTTGTAGCAGGTCTCAGGACTCCTTTCCTTGTTAGGGCTGAATTGCCAGTAGACCTTCAGCTCATGTCATCTTGAAGCCGGTGGGGGATCCCTGGGCCTCTGGCTGCTGCGCCAGGGGAGGGGGAATCCAGGCCTCAGGGCAGGCTAAGCCAAAGCTCTAGGCATCCGGGGCACCCAGCAGGCATTGGGCTCCTACTGCGGTGGGTGGAGCTGGCCCCGCTCACCCTGCCTTTGGGCTGCTTCTACCCAGACCATGCCCTGGTGGCTGGGGCCCAGCACGTGGTGACCTTCGACGGCCGGGTATGGGACCTCAGCACCCAGTGCGGCAGCATCCTCCTGGCCCAGGACTTTGCTCACAACACATTCTCGCTGACGCTGAGTCGGACAGGCTCGGGGCTCACAGCCCTGTTCGTGGAACTTAACCACAAGACCCTCATCCTCTACCCCAGTCTGCAGGTGAGCAGGAGAGGCATGGCAGCCTGTAGGACTGAGCCTCCCCTGGAGACCTGTGCCCATGGCAGGTCGCCTGGGGGGATGGCACTTTCAAGCTTGTCACCTGGCTGTGGGTCAGACCTCCTGCCCAGCCCCCTCTGGCCCACAGGCCTACAGGCTGTACAACTCCTCCCTGCCGGGGGACAGTTGTCCGGACCTCAAGCTGCATCCTGCCACGACAAGGAAGGACGTCTCCAGGATTGAGCTGGCCAGCGAGGACGGGGTGTCTGTCTCCTGTGACGTGCCCACCGGCCTCTGCAGCCTGACTCTGGGCCTCTGGCAGCACGGTGGGTCTGGGCCCCAGGAGGGTTGGCCCCACCTACAGCGGACTCTTTGGGATGCACCCCTTTAAGCTTCCAGGGCGGCAGGGGGCTACCGTGCATGCAGAGCCTCTGCCGGCCTCGTCTCTAGCATGGCAGCGCGTGTGCCCTCAACTCCTCATCTAGCCTCATGCCATTGACCCCATGTCCAGATGACCGCACAGAGGCCCAGGGCTTTCTGTCCCATCCGTGGGACACGCGGCTCCAGTGTGGAGTTGGCCCTTCTGTCGTCCCTCTGCCAAGGAACACAAAGGAAGGGCCTGGATTCCAGCCACTTGAGCTGAGGACATGGGGAGGGGACGGGGGATACACATGCTGTCCCTGAGCCCCTGTGCTTTCTCTTCCTCCTCTGATGAGGGTTTACAGCCAGGGCCTGGGCTCCAGGAGTCCGGGGTGGAGGTGGTGGGACTCTACTGCTCCTCTGTGTGCTTCAGGCTCATCTCACACACAGGTCCTGAGGCAGCAGGGCTGGGGCTGGGGGAGGATCACAGGGTCTTACGGCCGGCCTCCGCTTCCCTCTTCCCCACAGGCATATCCGCTGGCCTTCTGGGCACCAATGACAATGAAGCAGGCAATGAGCTGATGTTGCCGGATGGCTCTATGGCCCGCAGCCTGGAGGAGCTCAGCCTGGCCTGGCAGGTGAGCGGGTGCACCTGCCTGTCCTGCTTCCAGCTGAGGTTCTTGAGGGCTGCTCACTGCAGAGTCCCGGGAGAGGCAGGCGGCCTGATGGCTCTGCAGAGGACTTCGTAGGCCCAGGGTTTGGGGGAAGTCTCCTGCTGAGGCCAGTGTACGCGGGGGAGCCACATGGTCCAGCAGGAGGCCTGAGTCTTGCATCCATCCTGCCAGGTGGGTGGTGACTGCAGGGCCACTGAGAAGCCTCAGCAGGAGCAGGCCTGCCCGGGACAGCTCCCCGCCTGCTGGGCCTTCTTCGAGGGCCCCCACTCCAGCTTGAGGGACTGCTTCCGGGTGGTGAGTGTGAGCCTGGCCCATGGGGTGCAGAAGGCCCTTTGTCTCATCAAGCTTAGGTCCCTCCTCAGGGTGTGGACAGTGACTCGGTGTCCCTGATTTCAGGTAGACCCTACACCATTCCTCAGCCTGTGTGTGCAGGTCCCCTGTGGCACCCAGGAGCTCCAGCCTGCCTGCAACCTGGCGGCCGCCTACATCCACCTGTGTGCCCGTGGATTCGTACCCCTGGCCCCTCCTCCACAGTGTGGTAAGCTGCCCCAGCCATCTAGCACTCTGCCCCGTCTGGCATCTGCCTTCCAGGCCAGAGGGAAAACCAGTCCCTTTCTCTCACCAGGGAGGACAAATAATTGTCATTCAAGGAGCTAAGAGTCACAACATTTATTAAGACTGCCTGTTTGGATGTGTGTCCCCTCGAGGCAGGTACATGCCTCATGGATGGCCTAGTGCCCTCCGTTTGGTGAAGAGTGAGTTCTTGCTCTATTAGTTCACATGAGAGCAGGTTGTTTAAAAAGAAGCTGGCAAGGCTGGGCACGGTGGCTCACGCCTGTAATCCCAGCACTTTGGGAGGCTGAGGTGGGTGCATCACGAGGTCAGGAGATCGAGACCATCCTGGCTAACACGGTGAAACCCCGTCTCTACTAAAAATACAAAAAAAATTAGCCGGGCATGGTTGCGGGCGCCTGTAGTCCCAGCTACTCAGGAGGCTGAGGCAGGAGAATGGCGTGAACCCAGGAGGCAGAGCTTGCAGTGAGCTGAGACTGCACCACTGCACTCTAGCCTGGGCAACAGAGTGAGACTCCGTCTCAAAAAAAAAAAAGACCCTGGCACCTCCTCTCTTTGTACTCTCTCCTCCTGCCATGATTGTAAGCTTCCTGAGGCCTCCCAGAAGCCAAGCAAATGCTGGAGGCGTGCTTGTACAGCCTGTAAAACTGTGAGCCAATTATCTCATTTATGAACTACCCAGCCTCAGGTGCTCCTTTATATCACTGTAAATGGATTCCCTACCCCCTACTAAGCTAAGTGTCCACAGAGCCACATTAAGTTGCCTCTTGAAAATTTGCCATTAGGTTTTTTCTTTTTTGGGACAGTCTCACTCTGTCACCCAGGCTGGAGTGCAGTGGCACAATCTCGGCTCACTGCAACTTCCACCTCCTGGGTTCAAGCAGTTCTCCTGCCTCAGCCTCCCAAAGTGCTGAAATGACAGGCGGGAGCCACCACGCCCAGCCTCATCAGGGATTTGAATGTACACCACTGTTTAGGGAAAATACTCAGCCCTGTTTTCTCTCTGCTCTCACACCACAATAATCATCAACACAGCAGATGACTTCTGTGACCAAATGTGTGTTGTTCCCACTACCAGGCTGTCCCTCTAATTCAGTTCTAACACCAGCTACCTGGAGACAGCATCAGATCCCATGTGGTGAGAGCTCCGTCATCCAGTGCTGCGTATGATTCCCACAGCCAAAGCCCCACTAAATGGGCATAGAAGTCAGTGGCAACAACAGGAGTAGGCTTCCAAGAGCTTCAGATGCCAGAATTAGTGGCTGCCATTCAGACATTTAAAACCTTAACAGCAGAAGAGAAAATTAATGAATTGGAAAATATGACAAAGGGAGGATGAAATAAGAGGATCCAACATGTCTAAAAGAAATGCCGGGTGTGGTGGCTTATGCCTGTAATCCCAGCACTTTGGGAGGCCAAGATGGGCAGATCACCTGAGGTCAGGAGTTTGAGACCAGCCTGGCCAACATGGCGAAACCCCTGTCTCTACCACAAATACAAAAATTAGCCGGGTGTGGTGGCGGGCTCCTGTAATCCCAGCAACTATGAAGGCTGAGGCAGGAGAATCGCTTGAACCCAGGAGGTTGCAGTGAGCCGAGATTGCGCCACTGCACTCCAGCCTGAACAACAGAGCAAGACTCCGTCTCAAAAAAAAAAAAATTCCAGAATGAAAACAGACACAGGACCCTTTAGAGTCAGCAGGCATGATCCCCAATACAATAAATCCATCCATACCAAGACCCATCAGAACTAAACTGCAGAAAAAACAAAGAAAAGGTCCTAAAAGCTAAGGAAGAGGGTGGAAAGAAGGAAGAACATGTTGATAACTGATCTCCCACCAGCAACAGCAGAAGACAGTGGAGTAAGAGAAAATAAGCATGAGGTTAGTGTGTGTACCCAGCTCAACTATTATTTAAGAATGAAAAAGCCTCTCAGCACTGATCTGTCTAGAGATATCTTTACCATGAATGACACTTACTCAAGGGATCCACCGACGTTCATTTACGTAGTCTATGGCTGCTTTCCTGCTACAGAGGCAGAGTATTTGCAAGAGAGATCTTATTTTTGCTGTCTGAAAGACTCTATTAAGAAGATGGAAAGATAAGCTACAGATTGGGAAAAATGTTTACAAACCATCTATCAGACCGAGGACTCATCTCTAGAGACTCATCTCTAGAATATATAAAGAACTCAAAGCTCAAAAGTAGGGCAGGTGTGGTGGCTCACACTTGTACTCCCAGCACTTTGGGAGGCTGAGGCGAGATTGCTTGAACCCAGGAGGTCAAGGCTGCAGTGAGCCATGATCACACTCCTGCCTGCGTGACAGACTGAGACCCTGTCTCACAAAACAAAAACTCAAAAGTAAACAATGGGAAATAAATGCATGAAAAATGTTTGCAATACCAGCTGCAGAGAAACAAGGTAGTGCCACACACCTGAGCTCCAGTGAGTTCCGGCACGGGGAGTGAGTTCCAAGGACTCAGCAGCATAAAGCATCGGTTGAACATCCAAATGGCCAGGCTGTGATTTCAGCGTCCAGTTACGAGTGCACTATAAAAAGCACCGTTCTAGTACCAAAAATGTGACTGGTGAGAATATAGGACAACTTCTTGCAGAGCCAGGCTTAAGGCAGGAATCAACTTCATGGTCTACCAGCCAGACCCTTGGGAGGCAGCCTTGGACTCGATGAGACAACTATGAAGTGCCAAGACAGGAGGTGCTGTGGCTCCACAGGAACCTCGGAGAATCTGTGTATCAAGCAGAAGTGCTCGTTGTTTTGAGTCCGCTACGTCAGCCATCAACAAAACATCTGGGAGGACAACAGAGAAGACTTACAGCCACAGTGTCACAATGGAATGGTATCTGCAGTTAAGGTCCTCTCCCTCCCTTAGGGTTTATTTTTTTAAATCAAGGGCTAAGTTATTCCCCTCTTGGACACCAGACAAGTATCTAAGAAAAGCAGTCACCCGTTATAATTAACTTTTGAAGGACAAATTAAAAGGTGGTTATAAGTTACAAAATAAAGGCATATTATGAATTCTCATAGGAAATTAAGACACTTATTATTCTTATTTTTTTTTGAGACAGGGTCTCTGCTCTGTCCTTCAGGCTGGAGTGCAGTGGTGCAGCCTCCCGAGTAGCTGGGATTACAGGCATGCGCCACCACCCCCGGCGAATTTTTGTATTTTTAGTAGAGACGAGGTTTCACCATGTTAGCCAGGCTGGTCTCGAACTCCTGACTTCGTGATCTGCCCGCCTTGTGTCCGGCCAGAGAAATTAAGACATTCTCAGATAAACAAAAGCTGAGAGAGTTCATTATGCAAGAAATGCTAAAGGGAGTCCTTCAAGTCAAAAAAAAAAAAAGATGCTAGGTGGAAGTTTGAGGCCACATATAAAGACCTGTATTGTAATTTTCATTCATCTCTGTAATTATTTTATTGGATTTAAAAGATGTATAACTATACATCTACGTTAAACATATAATTTGTGAAAAAAAGTAGGCATGGTGGTGGCATGCACTTGTAGTCTCAGCTACTCCGAAGGATCACTTGAGTCCAGGGGCTTGAGGTTACATTGAGCTGTGATAATGCCACTGCACTCCAGCCTGGGTGACAGAGTGAGACCCTGTCTCTAAAAATAGATATACTTTGTGATATCAACAACATAGGAGGGGGACAGAGCTGTCAAAGAGTGGGGTATTTGTATGTGATTGAACTTACCAGTTTAAAATGGATTGCTCTAACTTCAGGATGTTTCGTGTAATCCCCATGGTAATGACAACATATCTACAGAACGTACACAAAAGCAAATGAGATCCTAAGTGTGTCACAATAAAAACATCAATTAAACACAAAGGGACGAAATGACAGAGAAAGCAAACCATAAGCCATGCAGAAAACAATCAACAGCGTGGCACCAGGAAGTCCTTCCCCATCGGGAAGTCCCGTCAGTAATGTGCTGGAGTCTCCCCACAGCAACTGGTCACCGCAGTCCTTGGCTGTGGGCCTCATGACACAGTCACCAGGTTAGTCAGTTGCATCAGAATGATAATCTTTAAAAATACAAATGAATTCCACCATCAGAAGACTGAGAGACTTACACAGGTTGAAAGTGAAAGGATGAAATAAGATAGAGAAGGAGTAGCTATACTAATATCAGACAAAATCGACCTAAGGTCAAAAGCTGTTATAAGAGATAATGATAACAGTCAATTCACCAAAAAGATGTAACAGTTATAAATGTACATGCAACACACCTCAGAGCTCCTAAATATATTAAGCAAACACTGTAGAATGAAAGGAGAAACAGATAGGTCTACGATAATGGTAGGAGACTTCACCTCACTTTTTTTATTTTTTTGAGATGGAATCTCACTCTGTTGCCCAGGCTGGAGTGCAGTGGCATGATAACGGCTCACTGCAACCTCCACCTCCTGGGTTCAAGTGATTCTTAGGCCTCAGAGTAGCTGGGATTACAGGCGTATGCCACCACGACCAGCTATTTTCAGTAGAGACAGGGTTTCACCATGTTGTCCAGGCTGCTCTTGAACTCCTGACCTCAGGTGATCCACCCATCTTGGCCTCCTAAAGTGCTGGGGTTACAGGCCTGAGCCACTGCACCCGGCCCAATACCTCACTTTCAATAATGGATACAACACCCAGACAGAAGATCAAGAAGGAAACAAAGTACTTGAACAATACTATAGACCAGTTGGACCTACCACACAGACAACTTCACCCAACAGCAGAATACACATTCTTCAAAAGTACACGTGGAATGTTCTCCAGGAAAGATTGTATGTTAGGCTTCAAAGCAAGATTTAATACATTTGAAATGACTGAAATCATACTAGAAGGAAAACTGAAATATCCACAAATATGTGGGAACTAAACAACATACTACAAAACCAGTGGATCAAAGAAAGAAAATAAGGAAAAATCAGAAAGTATCTTGAGACCAAACATATGAAATCTTATGGGATGCAGCAAAAGCAGTGCTATGAGGGAAATTTGTAGCTGTACACACTTAAATTAAAAAAGAAGCTGGCTGGGTGCAGTGGCTCCACCTGTAATCCCAGCACTTTGGGAGGCCGAGGTGGGCAAATCATCTGAGGTCAGGAGTTTGAGCCCAGCTTGGCAAACATGGCAAAACCCCAGCTCTACTAAAATTATAAAATTTAGCCAGGCGTGGTGGCAGGCGCCTGTAATCCCAGTTACTTGGGAGGCTGAGGCAGGAGAATCACTTGAACCCGGGAGGCAGAGGTTGCAGTAAGCTGAGATTGTGCCACTGCACTCCAGCCTGGGCGACACAGCTAGACTCCACCTCCCCCCTCCCCCCGGCAAAAAAAAAAAAAAAGAAAAAAAAAGCAGCAGCCAGGCACAGTGACACTGTTCTATAATCCTAGCTACTTGGAAGGCCGAGGCCAGGAGACTGCTTGAGCCCAGGAGTTTGAGACTAGCTTGGGCAACGTGGCAAGTCTCTCAAAGAAAAAGGAAAAGCTCTCAAACCAACAACCTAACCTTCTACCTTAAGTTATTAGAAAAAGAACAGCCTAAACCCAAAGATAGGAGAAGGAATGAAATAATAAAGTTTAGAGCAGAAATAAATGAAATAGAAGATGGAAAAAACAGACCTGTAACTACCAAGGAGATTGAATCAGAGACCAAAAACTTGGCAGGAAAGAAAAGCAGAAGATCAGATGCCTTCACTGGTGAATCACCAAACATTTGAAGAATCAATACCAATCCTGCTCATATTCTTCCAAAACATTGAGGAAAGAATACCTCCAAACTCACTCTGTGAGGCCAGCATTACTGATACCAAAGGCAGACAAAGCACCAGAGGAAAATAGACCAATGTTCCTGATAAATACAGATGCAAAAGTTCTCAACAAAATACTAATAAGGAGAATTTGACAGCATCATAAAAAGGATTACACACCATGATCAAGTGAGATTTATTCCTGGAATGCAAAGATGGTTACCATATAAAAATCAATGTAAGATATCACATTAACAGAATGAACGAAAGAAAACACATGACTATTTCAGTTAGTGAAGAAAAAGCATTTAACAAAGTTTAATACCCTTTCGTGATTAAAAACATACAGACTCAAAATAGAAATGACCTCAACATAATAAAGGTCATATGAACCACCCTCAGCTAACATCACACTCAATGATGAAGACAAAGTTTTCCAAGATGAGGAATTAAACAATGATGCCTGCTTTCATAATGCTGGAAATCCTAGCTAGAGCTATTAAGAAAGAAAAGGCATCCAAATTGGAACGGAGGCAGTAAAATTATCTGTTAACAGATGACATGATCATCTTTGTCGAAAATCCTGAACACTGCATGAAATAAAAAACAACTGTTAGAACTAATAATTTGTCAAAGTTTCAGGATTACAAAATCAACATACAAAAGTCAGTTGCATTTCTACATGCTAACAGTCAAGAATCCAAGAAGGAAATTAAGAAAACAATTCCTGCCGGGCATGGTTGTGCACGCCTATAGTCTCAGCTACTTGGGAGGCTGAGGCAGGAGGATCACTTGAGCCTCAGAGGTCAAGGCTGTCAGTTTTGACGATGATTATGCCTGTGAATAGCCACTGTACTCCAGCCTGGGCAACACAGTGAGACATCATCTTTAAAAAAAAAAAAAAAGTCCATTTACAATAGCATCAAAAAGAATAAAATAGGAATAAACTTAACCAGGAGGCAAAGATTTTGGCAGGATGTAGAGTCCCAGAGACCGGTTATACAACAAATGTAAAGGCATCTCATATTTATGGATTGTAAGAATATCATTAAGATGTCAATACTACTCAAAGTGATCTACAGGTTTAGCGTAATTGCTATCAAAATCCCAGTGGCATTTTTTCTTCACTTATAGAAAAATCCATCCTAAAGTTGATACACAATTTCAAGGGACTCCAAATGGCCAAAACAATCTTGAAAACAAAGAACAAATTTGGACGTCTTATACTTCCCAATTTCAAAATTTGTTGAAAGCTACAGTGGTCAAAAGTGTGGTACTGGCGTAAAGACATACATACAGACCAGTGGAATGAAATACAGAGTCTAGAAAGAAACTCTTACACATGTGGTCAAATGATTTCAATAAGGATGCCAAGACTATTGAATTGGGGAAAGGACAGTCTTTCAACAAATGGTGTTGGGAAAACTAGATATCCACATGCAAAAGAATGAAGTTAACCTCTTACCTTATAACATGTTGGGAAAAAAAAAAAAGAAAACCTCAATAATGGATTAAAGACCTAACTGTAAGAGCTAAAACTATACAACTCTTAAAACACAGTAGGAGAGCTTCCTTTGTCAATGATTTCTTAGATATGGCGCATATGACACCAAAGGCACAAGCAACAAAAGGAGAAACAGACAAACTGGATCGCATTGAAGGATACTATTAACAGAGTGAAAAGGCGTCCTACAGAATGGGAGTAAAGATGTGCAAATTATATCTGATAAGGAGTTCCCATCTAGAATACATAAAGCACTCTCACAATGTAACAACAAAAACCCAACCCGGTTCAACAATGTACAAAGGGCCCGGCGCGGTGGCTCACACCTGTGATTCCAGCACTTTGGGAGCCCGAGGCAGGTGGATCACCTGAGGTCAGGCGTTCGAGACCAGCCTCAACATGTTCTCCATGGGGTTTCTCACCCCGTCTCTACTAAAAATACAAAATTAGCTGGGCATGGTGGTGCATGCGTGTAATCCCAGCTACTTGGGAGGCTGAGGCAGGAGAATTGCTTGAACCTGGGAGGCAGAGGTTGCGGTGAGCCGAGATTGCACCATTGCACTCCAGCCTGGGCAACAAGAGCGAACTCCATCTCAAAAAAAAAAAAAAATGTACAAAGGACTTGAATAGACATTTCTCCAAATAAGATATGCAAATGGCCAATAAGCACATAAAAAGATGCTCAACATCACTAATTATTAGGGGAACTCAAACCAAAACCACATGGAGAGGCCAGGCACAGTGGCTCACGCCTGTAATCCCAGCACTTTGGGAAGCCAAGGTGGGCGGATCACTTGAGGTCAGGAGTTCGAGACCAGCCTGGCCAACATGGTGACACCACGTCTCTACTAAAAATAAAAAATTAGCCAGGAGTGGTGGTGTATGCCTGTAGTCCCAGCTGCTCAAGAGGCTGAGGCAGGAGAATTGCTTGAACACGGGAGGCAGAGGTTGCAGTGAGCTGAGGTCCCGCCACTGCACTCCAGCCTCGGTGACAGAGCAAGACTCTGTCTCCAAAAAAAAAAAAAAAAAGTACATGGAGGTGCCACTTCAGACCCATTAGGATGGCTGTAATTAATACAGAAAATAACAAGTGTTAGGACATTGAGTTGTTTGAACCCTTGTGTATTCTTACGGGGAGTATAAAATGGTGCTGCAGCTATGGAAGACAATATGGCAATTCATCAAAGAGTTAATAGGTCAGGTGCAGTGGCTCACACCTGTAATCCCAGCACTATGGGAAGCTGGGGTGGGCGAATCACTTGAGGCCAGGAGTTCAAGACCAGCCTGGCCAACATGGTGAAACCCCATCTCTACTACAGTACAAAAATTAGCTGGGTGTGGTGGTGCAGGCCTGTAATCCCAGCTATTTGGGAGGCTGAGGCATGAGGATCACTTGAACCCGGGAGGCGGAGGTTGCAGTGAGCTAAGATCGCACCACCGCATTCCAGCCTGGGTGACAGAGCCAGACTCTGTCTCAAAACAAAGAGTTACCATACAATCCAGCAATTCTACTTCTGGGTATGGATCCCCTAAAATTCAAAGGGTCTCACACATTTATACACCGATGTTCATAGCAGCATTATTCACAACGGCCAGAAGACAGCAGCAACCCAAGTGTCCACTGACAGATAAATGTGGTCTCTCCATACAATCAATCATGATTCAGCCTTAAAAACGAAGGAAATTCTGACACACGCTACCACATGGATGACCCTTGAGGACATTATACAAAGTGAAATAAGCCAGTCACAAAAACACAAGTACTGTATGAGTCCACTTATTTGAAGGACCTCGAGTAATAAGTTTCATAGAGACAGAAAGTACAGTGGTGGCTGCCGGGAGCTGGGAGAGAGCAGTAATGGGTTATTTAATGGGGATAAAGTTTCAGTTTGGCAGTATTTACTGAGTTCCAGAGATTGGTTGCACAAAAGTGTGCATGTACTTACACTGAATTGTGTACTTTAAAATGGTTATGGTAAATGTTACTTGTGTTTAACTACATTTAAAATTTTTTACACTAGAAATGTATATTGAGCATCTCTGTGCTAGGCATGGTGATACGATGATAAACATTTTACCTATGAACACCATAGTTATAAAACCAAACACTCTTAAGGAGATAAAATTCTAAGAGTAAAAGCTAGCACAGACAGGCAATAGACACAGACCCACAGGACTCAGATAGTAGGCTTATTAGACACAGATTATAGATTTCAGCAGGGAACTAGAAATTATTAAAATTACTAATTACTAAATTTGTAGTTTAGTAATTAATTTAGCAAATCAGCTAATTTACTAATGACTGAAAATTATATATCTGAAAAAGAACCAGAATGTAGTAGAAAGAGATGGCAGAAAAGGCCACCTAAACCCCATATTTTCAACACTTCTCTTACCAGATGAGGGCTAGAAGGGTGCTTCCCGGCCAGGCAAGGTCACTCATGCCTGTAATGCCAGCACTTTGGGAGGCCGAGGCGGGCAGATCACCTGAGGTCAGGAGTTTGAGACCAGCATGACCAACATGGTGAAGCCCTGTCTCTACTAAAAATATAAAAATTAGCCGGGCATAGTGGCATGTACCTGTAATCCCAGCTACTTGGGAGGCTGAGGCAAGAGAATCACTTGAACCCGGGAGGTAGAGGTTGCAGTGAACTGAGGTCGCACCACTGCACTCCAGCCTGGGCGACAGAGCAAGACTCCATCTCAAAAAATATAAATAGCTGGGCATGGTGGCTTGCTCCTGTAACCCCAGCACTTTGGGAGGCCAAGGCAGGTGGATCACTTGAGGTCAAAAGTTCGAGACCAGCCTGGCCCAACCCCGTCTCTACTAAAAATATAAAAATTAGCCGGGCGTGGTGGCAGGCGCATGTAATCCCAGCTACTCAGGAGGCTGACGCAGGAGAATCGCTTGAACCCAGGAGGCAGAGGTTGCCGTGAGCCACTGTACTCCAGCCTGGGTGATAGCGCGAGACTCCATCTCAGAAAAGTTAAAACCCATCTTTTAAACAGTTCTCGTAGCAGATGAGGGATAGAAGGGCACTTCCTTTGCCTGGTAGCTCTGAGTGTCCATCTGTGCCCTTGTCCACCCCACTTGATGGTGAAACAGCAGAGCAGTCCCTCTAGGGCCAGGAGCCCCACATCATGGCCTCCACTGCATGCTGTACTGAAGATCTCACCCACACAGTGAGCTCCCTTTAGCCCACACTTTGGGTTGGATGCATCCTGAGCTCTCAAAGCATCGTGTGCTAAGGTTCCGCCCTCCCCTTGGCTAGGAACTATGTCTTGGTCTTCTCTGTGTCGAGGGTGCTGGCAGCAGAACCTGACACAGAGTGAGCACTCCACAGATGCTTGTTCAATTTCCAAGGAACTCAGCAGGCTGGGCCTAGCACCGCTGCCTGCAAAGGCCCTGCAGCTGTAGGGGACTCATTGACCCATGCCCGCTGCTCTTACAAAAAGGCGGGAGGGAGATGAGTGGGAGTGGATGGGGAGTTGTCCTTTTAATAATGAAGGCCAGGGGCCCTAGCATAATTTATTTCAGGAAACAGCAGGGGCCCCTCTCCTCAGGGGCCCATAGCCTGGTCTTACTTTTCTCTCTCCTTTACAGTTTGAGATTTTGTCTATGCCAGCACTAGGCTGCCAGACTTCAAACTCCTTCACCTTCTACTGCAATTCCAGCTCCCTGACAATGACAAGATTCATGGCTGGGACAGAATAACCAGCATGGAATGCCGGGAAACTCAGAACCGCACGTGCTGCAAACGCACGGAAGCAGGGCTCATTGCCACTGGGCTCAAAATACTTCCGGGGGACATGAAACTCTCCCACTGGTCTGAGTAATTCTCCCCCTTCCTCCACACTTCCACTGCAAACCAGGAGACAGTGCGGCCAGCAAGTACCAGCTCTGCAGAGAAAACTCCACCTGGCCCCTGTTCATGCCCAAGAGATTTATTCACTTATTCAACAGCCATTTGGGAAGCCACTGCTTCAGAACGCTGACTGCGTGGTGGGGGACACGAAGCCAGGTCCTCAGCTGCTTGGTACTGGCTTTCCCTGCCTGATCCAGGGGTCTTTTCAGGCAGGAGTTTCCTTGAAGGGAAGTGATGGCCCCAAGCCTCTTAATCAGAAGCCCAGGTAGGCAGCTTCTCTCTTTGGGGTAGACACACTGGGACTGAATGCTTCAGGGGACCCTGGGGAGGGCCTCTGTTTTGGTAGGGGCACCTGTGAACTCAGGCCTCCAGGCTACATCATTGGAAGTGTTTTACTTTCTTTTGGGAATGTAACTTTTTCCTTTGAGTTTTCAACTGAAAAATAAAGCTGGCAGAATCCAAGAACATGTCTCTAGATTGCTGGGGTTGATCATCCACTCAAGAGAGGGGGAGGCGTGGGCAGCTATGGAATCTGCTCACCGATAGGGGGTGCCCTCGAGCCCTCTCTGCACTGAGCCTGGTAGGAGCTTGTAGGGCCCAGATTCCAGAGCAAAGGGCAAGGCATCAGCCACGGGGACTGAGGCAAGCTGAAGGCCAGACTTGACCGTCCTTGACCTCCGCCCCACCATCCCCCCCATGAATCCCTGGTGCATAGCAGGTGCTAGATGAAGTTCAGAAGAAAGAACTCCAGGGTGAATGGGAACAAGAAGGTTGGTCCTCCACACCCCCACACTGGAGGGAAGACAGAAGGGAGAGTGGCTGTGATTTGAGTGCTTTGCTGTGGTTACAGCCTAAAGACCCTGGAGACCAGGCACTGCTCCAAGTGCCTTGAAAGATGTTTGATCTGGGGGCTGGGTGCAGTGGCTCACGCCTGTAATCCCAGCACTTTGGGAGGCCGAGGCGGGTGGATCATGAGGTCAGGAATTCAAGACCAGCCTGGCCAACACGGTGAAACCTCATCTCTACTGGAAAAAAAAAAAAAAAAAAAAAAAATCCGGGCATGGTGGCTGGCGCCTGTAATCCCAGCTACCCAGGAGGCTGAGGCAGAGAACTGCTTGAACCCAGGAGGCGGAGACTGCAGTGAGCCAAGATCACACCACTGCACTCCAGCCTGGCGACAGAGTGAGACTCCGTCTCAAAAAAAAAAAAAAAAAGTTTGGGTCGGGCACAGTGGGTCACGCCTGTAATCCCAGCACTTTGGGAGGCCAAGGTGGGTGGATCATGAGGTCAGCAAATCGAGACCATCTTGGCTAACACGGTGAAACCCCGTCTCTACTAAACATACAAAAAATTAGCCGAGTGAGGTGGCGGGCTCCTGTAGTCCCAGCTACTTGGGAGGTTGGGGCAGGAGAATGGCGTGAACACGGGAGGTGGAGCTTGCAGTGAGCGGAGATCGTGCCACTGCACTGTAGCCTGGGCGACAGAGCGAAGGCTCCATCTCAAAAAAAAAAAAAAAAAAAAAGTTTGATCTTAGGCCTTACAATAGTCCAATGAGGAACGGATGATCCCCACTTAATGAGAGAAGAAACAAAGGCTCAGAGAGTTGAGGGGATTTCCCCAAGGTCATACAAGCTACAAACAGCCAGGATGGCACTGACGCGGGCCTGCCTGCCTCCCAAGGCTGCCCAAGCTCACTCAACCCCCACTTCTGCTTTTGCAATAAAAGAAAAGCAAATCACTGGTGCTCAGGGGCCCATGAGCAATTCAGAGTCAGATGCAACTAGAGTGTGCAGCCACCTGACCTGTTGGTTTCTCAATATGCTTAACGGATCCATGATTTCTGGTCCAGAAAGGAAACGCAGAAGCTTTCCTTCCTGCCTCCCACATTCTATGGGTCAAGTATTTACCAAAAACACAGCAGTGGACTGGACACCAGCAGAGATACAAAGAGGGAAACATAGTTCTCCCTTCTCAAGGCAGGTTGGACAACATCAATACTTTCCAACTGGGGGGTGTGGGTGGAGTACTTATGCATGAATTTGAAACAGATAGGAGAGGGAATGATTCCAGCGGAAAGACCAATTCACGTCTACAATATACACTGAACTCCAGCCTGGACAACATAGCAAGACTCTGTCTCTAAAAAAATTTAATCATTAGCCAGGCATGGTGGCACATGCCTGTCTAGGAGGCTGAGGCAGGAGGATCACTTGAGCCCAGGAGTTCAAAATCACAATCAACTATGATCACACCACTGCACTCCAGCCTGGGCATCAGAGCAAGGCCCTATCTCCAAAACAAAACAAGGTAAGATGTTTACATACAAATCAAGGTAAGAAAATCCAAAATAAAATATTACCAAACAAACCCCACTGGGGCCTTAAAAAAAAAGTGACCTAAACCAAGTGAGAATTGTACAGTGTGACAAGGATAGCTCAAAATTAGAACATCTTTTAATTTCAAATATATATATATATATATATATATATATATATATACACACATATTTTTTTTTTTTTTTTTTTTTTCCTGAGATGGAGTCTCGCTCTATTGCCCAGGCTGGAGTGCAGTGGTGCGATCTAGGCTCACTGCAAGCTCCGCTTCCTGGGTTCACTCAGTTCTCCTGCCTCACCCTCCCGGGACTACAGGCGTCCGCCACCACACCTGACTAGCTTTTTTGTATTTTTAGAAGAGATGGGGTTTCACCATGTTAGCCAGGATGGTCTTGACCTCCTGACCTTGTGATCTGCCTGCCTCAGCCTCCCAAAGTGCTGGGATTACAGGTGTGAGCCACTGCGCCCAGCCTAATTTCATTCATATTAATATGTTAAAAATCATAATCATCGTAGATGTTGAAAAGGCATTTGACAAAATTTACTACAAAATTTAGAAAAAAACACATCAAATTAGAAAGAGGGATACTTCCTTAAATTACACACGATAAAGGAAATTACACCCAGACACACACCCATCAAGCCAGAGCCCAGCATCATTTATAGGGGATGGAAGCAACAGAAGCTTCCATTAACCTTCGCAACAAAAGAATGCCCTCTGTTACCACTATTATTTTGGAGGCCCTAGCTGATGAAACTAGGCAAGGAGGAAAGTAAGACATTTAAGAAAAAAGCAGGAGGTAAAATAATTTACTCTGAAAAATGAGGCAGACAGATTTTGCTAAGGAGTTAGGTACAAAAGTAACATAATAAGCAGCCTTCCTTTTTCTTAATTTTTAAAATATAGAGATGGGGCCGGGCACAGCTCACGCCTGTAATCCCAGCACTTTGGGAGGCCGAGAGAGGCGGATTGCTCGAGGCCAGGAGTTCGGTACCAGCCTGGCCAACATGGCAAAACTCCACCTCTACTAATAATACAAAAATTAGCTGGGTGTGATGGCACACACCTGTAATACCGGGTACTCAGAAGGCTGAGGCATGAGAATTGCTTGAACCCAGGACATGGAGGTTGCAGTGAACCGGGACTGCATTACTGCACTTAGCCTGGGTGACAAAGAAAGACCCTGTCTCAAAAAAAAAATAACATAAAGATGCGGTCTTACTATGATGCCCAGGCTGGTCTCAAACTCCTGGGCTCGAGCAGTCCTTCTGCCTCAGTCTCCCTAAGTGCTAGGATTATAGATGTGAGCCACCAAGGCTGGCCTCAGTCCTCCTATGTACAAACAAGCAGTTAGAAAAGTTAACAGAAGAAAACATCCCATTTGCAACAGCACACTCCCAAAAAACAAAATTCTCAGAAATAAATGTGCAAAAATATACACACACAATCCATATGAAGAAATCTTTCAAATGCTGCTGAGGGATATGAAACACTTTGAATGCAAAGAAGGCCATGCTGCATGTGTTATCGAGAAACGTTCAACATTAAAAAGATGTCACATCAATATCAAGAGGGGGTGTGTGGAAATGGAGGCTCCACACATGCTGGGGGGAACGTGGCGGCATGGCAACTCCAAAACACAGTTTGGCGGTTTCTTAAAAGGTGAATATAAATCTACCTTATGGGGCTGGACACAGTGGCTCACGCCTGTAATCCCAGCACTTTGGTAGGCCAAGGCAGGTGGATAACCTGAGGTCAGGAGTTCGAGACGAGCCTAGCCAACATGGTGAAACCCCATCTCTACTAAAAGTCCAAAAAAAATTAGCTGGGTGTCACAGGTAGTGGGCACCTGTAATCCCAGCTACTCGGGAGGCTGAGGCAGGAGAATCACTTGAACCCAGGAGGCAGAGGTTGCAGTGAGCCAAGATCGTGCCACTGCACTGCAGCCTGGGCGACAGAGCAAGACTCCATCTGAAACAAACAAAAATTAGCCAGGCATGGTCACACACACCTGTAATCCCAGCTACTCAAGAGGCTGAGCCAGGAGAATAGCTTGAACCTGGGAGGCAGAGGTTGCAGTGAGCCAAGATCATGCCACTGCACTCCAGCCTGGGCAACAGACGGAGACTGTCTCCTAGATAGATAGATAGACAGAGATAAAAAATAAAGTGTCAAAATCAGTGGCTTTTGGTATACTTACATAACGGTGCATCCATCACCACAATTCAATTGATTTTAGAACATTTTCATTTCCCCAACAAGGAACCCTGTTATCCTTAGTCATCCCCCCTCCCAGTTCTTCCTTCCTCCCCAGCACCAGGTGACCAGTAATCTGCTCCCTCTCTCTCTCTGGATTTTCTCATTCTGGACATTTCACATAAATGGAATCATACAATACGTGGCCCTTTGTGATTGGCTGCTTGGACTTGGCATAAAGTTCGAGGCTCACCCATGTGTGGACATTTCACATAAATGGAATCATACAATACGTGGCCCTTTGTGACTGGCTGCTTGGACTTGGCATAAAGTTCGAGGCTCACCCATGTGTGGCCCATGTCTGTGCTTCATTCCTTTTTACTGCCTTATTGCCCAAGTGGTGTCATAAGCACCGTAGGTGCACTGTGAAAAGTTAGGGTGTGTGTTGTAATCCCTAGAACAATCGCTAAAGAAAACATATATAGCTAAAAACATAGAGCAAAAAGATATAGCCAGAAGTCAACAGAGATAAAAGGAAATGTGAAGAATCACTCCATTAATCCAAAAGAAGGCAAGAAAGGAGGAACAAGAGACAAAGAGAAATAGGTGGGTGCGCTGGCTCCCTATGAAAAATACAAAAAAAAAAAAAAAAATTAGCTGGGCGCACTGGCGTGCACCTGTGATCCCAGCTACTCGGGAGGCTAAGGCAGGAGAATCGCTTGAACCCAGGGCGGGGGGAGGGGTGCGGAGGATGCAGTGAGCCACTGCACACAGATCATGCCACTGCACACTCCAGCCTGGGCAACAAAGCAAGACTGTGTCTAAAAGAAAAACAACAACAAAAAACACAAACAGCATACATTAGAAATTCCATTGGGCTGGGCACAGTGGCTCACGCCTGTAATCCCAGCACTCTGGGAGGCCGAGGCGGGCGGATCACGAGGTCAGGAGATAGAGAACATCCTGGCTAATACGGTGAAACCCCATCTACTAAAAAATACAAAAAATTAGCCAGGCATGCTGGCAGGCGCCTGTAGTCCTGGCTACTTGGGAAATTGAGGCAGGAGAATGGCGTGAGCCCGGGAGGCAGAGCTTGCAGTGAGCCGAGATTGCGCCACTGCACTCCAGCCTGGGCGACAGAGCGAGACTCCGTCTCTAAAAAAAAAAAAAAAAAAAAAAACAGAGAGAAGTTCCATTGAACGAAAGTAAGTGAAATAAACACTCCAAGTGAAAGTGAGATAGTGAGACTAAATTTAAAAAAACACAAACAAAAACATGACTCACCTACATAATGTGTAGAAGAGGCACACTGTACATAGAAAAGCAGGTAAGATGAAAACACAGGATGAAAAAAGATATCTATGTAAACATTAATTATAAAACTCTATTAACATCAGATAAACAGATAATATGTCGGCTTCCTACTTTTTTGATGGAACAATTAAAAATGCAGAAAATGGGGTTGGTACAGTGGCTCACCACTTTGGGAGGCCAAGGTGGGCAGATCACTTGAGCTCAGGAGCTTGAGACCATCCTGGACAACATAGTGAGACCTCATCTCTATCAATAACAACTGCCACCTGAGAAAATGGCATTTTTCATGAGGAACATCAAATACTGTGCTGTCCTTTCCCTAACTTCTGGTTAAGTCTTTCCTAAAACCAAGGCCCAGCTTTGGGACTCCTGCAGTTCCATTAGGTGTCAACAAGTCCCTTTTGCCAAAAATTAGGAAAAACAACCGAAAGTCCATCCACCAATGAGTGGATAAACCAAATGTGGTCTATCCATATGATGGAATATTATGTCATAAAAAGGAATCAGTCATAATAAGGGATGAAGTACTGATACAGGCCACAACATGAATGGATATTGAAAACACCATGCTGAGCCAGGCATGGTGGCTCACACCTGTAATCCCAGCACTTTGGAAGGCTGAGGCGGGTGGATCACTGCAGGCCAGGAGTTCAAGACCAGCCTGGCCAACATGGTGAAACCCCATTTCTACTAAAAATACAAAAATCAGCTGGGCATGGTGGCAGGTACTTGTAATCCTAGCTACTTGGGAGACTGAGGCAGAAGAATCACTTGAACCAGGGCGGCAGAGGTTGCAGTGAGCCGAGATCGTGCCTCTGCCCTCCAGCATGGGCGAAAGAGTGAGACTCTGTCTCAAAACAACAACAAAAATTTTAAAAACCCACCATGCTGAGTGCCAGAAGCCAGACACGAAATGCTACATATTGTATGATTACATTGGAAGGAAATGTCCAAAACAGACAAATTCATATAGACAGAAAGTACATTCATGATTGCAAGAGCTGAGGGGGATGGGAGGATTGTGGGATTGACTGTTAATGGGTATGGCATTTCTTTTAGGGTGATGAAGTGTTCTCGAATTAGTAGTGGTGATGGTTGTACCACTGTGTATACACTAAACACCAGAGAAAGGCCAGGCACGGTAGTTCATGCCTGTAATCCCAGCACTTTGGGAGGCCGAGGCAGGCAGATCACCTGAAGTCAGGAGTTCAAGACCAGCCTGCCCAACATGGTGAAACCTCATCTCTACAAAAAATACAAAACTTAGCCAGGCATGATGCCGGGTGCCTATAACCCCAGCTACTCGGGAGCCTGAGGCGGAAAAATGGCTTGAATCCAGGAGGCGCAGGTTGCAGTGAGCCGAGATCGTGCCACTGTACTCCAGTCTGGGTGACAGAGCGAGACTCCATCTCAAAAACAAACAAAAAACATCAGAGAATGGTACACTTTAAAGTGCTGCATTTTGTGGTATGTGAATTACTTATCAATTCCTTAAGACTAGTAGGAGAAGGAAGGCATTGCAAATGATATTTTGGTTTTGTAATTAAACAAGAGATTTCTCCCTCTCCCCCCAAAAAAGTTCTCTTTCAGTTTCTGCAAACTTCCTCCTTCCCTCCCCTACCCATCCACCCAGAGGAATTTTATCTGTTCCTGCCTAAACAGATTAGAGGGCTTTGTCTTTTGAGGCCTGGTAGGTAAATTAGAAAGGGGTCCCAAGTAAAGAGAGAGAGAGAGAGGCATCCCAGAGCCCTTTTCCATCTGAGCCTCCCACGGCCCATGACTCACTTTACCCAGTAACATGCTTCCCTTCCAGTTTACCATCTGGAAGAAGGAATAAACTTATTTTTCTTATTCACCAATAATTTATGTAAACCAAACATTGCAAACAAGGGTTTCCTTAGCAACCTCTATCTCATTCTCTTCAGATACCAATTGCTCTCCAGTAAAGGGAGTGTCCTGTTCCACACAACTTAAATTAACTTGGAAATCTCACTTAAAACAGAAAAGTTAAGGTCTTCTTAAGGTTTACCAGGGGCAATGCATTTGCAGGAATGCACGGGGCTGAAGGTCAAAGGCAAAGAAAACAAGGCACAAATTCTTTCACCCGGATTTGGTTTGTCCTTGTACACCCATGGTTGACAAGGTCACCTGGCAATGACAAATCTGCTTTTGAAGTTTTGTTTTTTTTTCTGGAGGCAGAGTCTTGTTCTGTCGCTGAGGCTGGAGTGCAGTGGCGCGATCTCGGCTCACTGCAATCTCTGTCTCGTGGGTTCAAGCGATTCTCCTGCCTCAGCCTCTGAGTAGCTGGGATTACAGGCGCCCACCACCATGCCTGGCTAATTTTTGATTTTTAGTATAGACAGGGTTTCACCATGTTGGCCAGGATGGTCTAAAACTCCTGATTCTCAAGTGATCCACCCGCCTTGTCCTCCCAAAGTGCTGGGATTATAGGCATGAGCCACCGTGCCCGGCCAGGTCAGTTTTCTCTAACAGAAGTAACAAAACAGATGTAATCCAAAATCACAGATATATCAAAATTTTCAAAATGGTGTTGGAGGCCAGGTGCAGTGGCTCATGACTGTAATCCCAACACCTTGGGACGCCGAGACAGGAGGATCACTTGAGACCAAGAATTCAAGACCAGCCTGGTCAACACACCGAGACCTCGTATCTATAAAAAAAGGTTTTTTTTTTATTGAGATGGAGTCTCGCTCTGTTGCCCAGGCTGGAGTGCAGTGGCGCCATCTCGGCTCACTGCAAGCTCCGCCTCCTGGGTTCATGCCATTTTCCTGCCTCAGCCTCCCGAATAGCTGGGACTACAGGCCCCACCACACGCCCGGCTAATTTTTTGTATTTTTAGTATTCACCGTGTTAACCAGGATGGTCTCGGTCTCCTGACCTCATAATCTGCCCGCCTCAGCCTCCCAAAGTGCTGGGATTACAGGCGTGAGCCACCACGCCCGGCCAAAAGTGTTTAATGGTATTAGAAAATGCTGACTTGGGTAGTGACAGTTTCAATGCATCATTGCCTGGCCTTCTGGGTTTCACCTTGAACCTTGTGACAGGTGATCAAGTCATGTGTCCAAGCTCAGGGACTTCCTGTTGTACAGAGATGATGCTGCCTGGAGCACCCTACTCCAATCCCCCTCCCTTCAACTTCTCACAGTGTATCATATTCAGCCCACACCAGGGCAAGCCCCGCTCATGTCATCAGCCCTGCCCTGGCCAACAGCCTAGAAAAGATGCAGGTCAACTCCCACAAAGGGCAGGGTGACTCAGTTCATTCACATGCTACAAGCCAGCTGCCTGCCTTGTACTCTCCCCAGACCTGGGCTGTGTGCAAACTGCACAGACAGGGCCCTGTGCTCAGAAGGGTCCCCAATGCTCACTCGAATGCTCTATTACCATCTTGAATCTTAATTTCTGAAAATTATTGATTTTCATTTTGTGCTGATCCCTGCAAATTAAGTAGCCATTCCCACTTCAGAGCCACTTAACGAAGGTTCTTGGGTGGCTGGAATAGGCTGGGGTTTCCATAAAATAAGGGACTGGCTGGCCGGGCGCAGTGGCTCACGCCTGTAATCCCAGCATTTTGGGAGGCCAAGGTGGGTGGATCACGAGGTCAAGAGATTGAGATCATCCTGGCTAACACAGTGAAACCTCGTCTCCACTAAAAATACAAGAAGTTAGCCAGGAATGGTGGCACACGCCTGTGGTCCCAGCTACTTGGGAGGCTGAGGCAGGAGAATCGCTTGAACCTGGGAGGCAGAGGTTGCAGTGAGCCGAGACTGCGCCACTGCACTCCAGCCTGGGCAACAGAACGAGACTCCATCTCAAAAAAAAAAAAAAAAAAAAAAGGCGGGGGAGGTGGTGCTGGCCAGGCACAGAGCCCCTGCAACAGAAGACCCTTCCCTTGCTCTAAAGTAACCCTCTCAGAGCCATTTCTTAATGGAGCCTGCAACAGCCTGGTGACCTGCCCTCAACTGTTTTAATCATTGGCTGTCCCCTTCTTCAAGAGCAGGTGCATTTCACATAAGTGCATAATTAATACTAACAAGAGGGGCCGCCGCCCGTGTGCTGGGGCCCTGTCATGTGTATTCTGTGCTCAGGGTCCGTGGGAGGCACAGGACCCAGATCTATCCTTACAGTATGACTATAGATCACTCTAGAGTGGCCTGTCCTGAGCAGGACAAGACCCGGCAACCCTTTTGGTCAATGCTGGAGCATCTCCCAGGGATGAGCAATGGTGGCGTTTGCAGGATGGCTGGCAGCACTCGGCAGTGGGCCAGCTGTGCCTCAGTGATTCTGGTGGTTCAAACCCACAACCCAGCCAACTCACCCTAGGCTCCAACCAGCCTGGCTAACTGGGGACAGCCATTCCCAGCTGCACTCAGGCATCTGAAAGACCCTTCCTTTCCTGCGAAGCCTCTTTCAGGGTTTCAGGAAGGAAGTGGAGACAGTAAGGGGAAACCACAAACCCATATAACTCTAATAGTATCACCTCTCGGTCCATGGGGGTGGGGGGAGGCTGCTTCCCGTGTTGAATTTCATCCTGAAGCCACCCTGGTGGGGGTAGGGGCAATGCCATTCTCTCCATCTCACAAACAACATCGCATTGGCCCCGAGAGATGAACCCGGGGACTGAGTGTGGCTAGCAAAGCCAGGATCGTGACCGAGCAGGTCTCTCCAACTTAGGAGCTTTAAGGGCAGGCTGTTGGTTTCTGCAGATACTGGCCTAGCATAGCCCATGTGATCAGCCAGGGCTGAGGTCCCTCTGCTGACAGGTTTCCCTCCTAAGGACACTGGTGGGGCTGTGGCCCCGTCAGATCATCTGTCCCTGGCAACACGCTTTTCCAGGGAACTCCAATGAGGAAGAGAAAGTGCGGACCATCGACTTCCGTGTCTCTGAAAACAACTTTGTAAAAGTGTGTAAGGACCCAACACTCTGCTTATAATCAAACGGCTCTGGACCCCTCCGCTCTGAGTGCTTCAACATTGGGCATTTCCTTTTCCTGTTTGGGTCTCAAATTCTGCCTCTGGGATCTTGTTTTGAAGGCTAAGTTTCCAGCCAGAACAAGTGCCCACACTCTACTATCTCAAACTCATCCCCTTGCCTTAGCCAGGAAGGCTGATGACAGACAGGGTCTTTGCTCCCCTAGACACAGCTGGCCATGACTACAGGACCCTCAGACGCAGGCAGAGCCCTTTGTCCTTTTTTGTCACTGTGCAGACCACCTTGGGGGCTGATTATGCTCCTTAAACCTCCTGGGAACGCTTATGGCCCCCAGCACTGCAAAAAGGATTAAGTCAACTGAGAAGAGACATGTTTTTCCAATTAGTTAAAAATCACCCATGTTGGAATTTTTGCAAAACTGGCTGGTTGCTTTCCCATTACCCAAGATTCCTCATTCTTTCTTTCTGTATAATTTCATAAGGTTTTCAAGTAAATTTGATACTAAAGGCCCATGACCATGAAATAAACAGGACACTCACAGCGAAACGCTAAAGCCAAAATCTCATCTTCCATGCGCCATGCAATGAGAAAGGAGATGGACAGTAACTTCCACCTACCAAACTTCCCTACCCCAGGTTTCTGAAGACACATCAACACGTGCAACGACATTTGTGTTTGGATATGCATTTTACTACATACGTACATCTTTAAAAAGATTTTTCCCACTGACATTTATTTCTCATGCCAAGTCGGGGCCAGCCGCCAAACTGGGGAGACCAAGATCCTGGAGTCAATGCGCTCATTCTCCTTAAAGGACCGTGACACCAGCCAGAGAGGCGGAGAATGTGGTAAAGGCAGGGAAAACACGATTCTTCCACCTAGGAAGACAGAAGAGCTCTCCCAATGGGCAGGGCAGCTCTGGGAGCAAGTCACTAATAATAGCAGGAATATTACAGCCAGTGCATCAACACATGGGATGAATTTAACAAGGCTGGTTTTGTTTTTTGTTTTTTTTTTTTGTATGATGGAGTCCTGCTTTGTCACCCAGGCTGCAGTGCAATGGTGTGATCTTGGCTCACTGCAAGCTCCGCCTCCCGGGTTCAAGTGATTCCCCTGCCTCAGGCTCCCGAGTAGTAGGGACTACAAGGCGGCAAACAAGGCTGTTCTTACTTCAATTTTGCAAAGTGAGGAAATGGAAGCCCAAAAAGGCTATGTGTCCCAAATCATTTATTGAGTGGTAGTAAAGCTGGGATTGGAACCATGCTGTCTGGATCTGAAGCCCTATTGTGCTGTTCCATCAGGCAGGTCCTCGTGGACAGAATTCTAAGATACCCCTTCCCCTCCACAGACACGATTCCAACCCGTTGGATACACCTTCCCCCAGTCATTCAATCGAACACGAATCTAGGTGTTGCTGTGCAGTGATTCTGGAGAGGTAAAGTCCCAAGTCACCTGACCTTAAGGTAGGGGGCCTGAGCCAATCACATGAGCCCTCTCTAAACCTGGGCCCAGGAAATCAGAGGCTGGAGAGCAGGAGGCAGATTCAAGGCTCGTTCCTGAAGATGGAGGGGACCTCTAGGAGCCTCCAGTTTACAGCCGGCAAGGAAATGGGACCTCAGCCCTACAATTGCAAGGAACTGAATTCTGCCAACAGCCTGATGAGCCTGGATGCCCATTCGGGATTCTTCCCAGAGCCTCCTGAAGAGAGCTCAGCTGGCTGACACCTTGATTTTGGCCTGAAGAGGTCCTGAGCAGAGAACCTAACAACACCCTACCAGACCCCGACCCACAGAAACTGTGAGATATTAATACATTTGTTTTTTTAAGCTGCTAAGTTTGTGGCAATTCATGACGTGGCATTACAGGCTCTGACCAGAGGTCTCAAGCACCAACCCCGGCTGTCATACCTATGGAAGACACCATGTCCGCAAATGCCTCTCCAGGCCTTCAAGAGACCTCATGTGGTCACATGAGACTCCCAAAGTCCCCTTAGGGCACTGTCCCTACTCTCTGCAGGAGCCACGTGAGGGCGGTGAGGACTGGCTGTGGAATTTGAGGCTTCTAAGTCCTGGCCTCCCAGGGCCTCAGGCATCTTACCCATGTGTGCTATTAACGTGATGTATTACTTGATGTTAACCTTGGCCAGCTGGCTGAGGCAGTTTGTCAGGTTTCACCACCGTAAAGTTACTCTTTCATCCCCCTTTCCATTCTGGAAGGAAGTCACTGTGCACAGCCCACACTGGTGGAATGGGAGGCACCCTACACTTTTATTTACTAAGTTTGGCCACTCTGTCTATCACACCAGCACACTCCAAGTACTCCACAGCTCCATGAGGCTGGTGACAATCACATTGGACAGTGCAGCTCTATTTTAGAACATCAGGAAAAAGTACCCAAACATCAGTCACTCAGGTACCACTGTACTATTGTTTACTTAGTAGTTTTCTGTAAAAGGGCTCACTTTTTTTTTTTTCCCCGAGATGGAGTCTCGTTCTGTCACCCAGGCTGGAGTGCAGTGGCGCCATCTCAGCTCACTGCAAGCTCCGCCTCCTGGGTTCAAGCGACTCTCCTGCCTCAGCCTCCCAAGTAGCTGGGACTACAGGCACCCACCGCCACACCCAGCTTATTTTTGTATTGTTAGTGGAGACAGGGTTTTACCATGTTGGCCAGGCTGGTCTGGAACTCCTGACCTCAGGTGATCTGCCCGCTTTGGCCTCCCACAGTGCTGGGATTACAGGCGTGAGCCACTGCATCCAGCCACCGGGCTTTTTAAAAAGGGAACTTGATATCACTACCTTGCAACGGCCCAGCATCAAGATGGCCCTGGACGTCCAAGAGGTGGAGCAGCCCTGTTCCTCCACATGGGCTTTTTCCATCCTTCCTTTCTTCTCCTCCTCAGAAGCTTGGGGCATGCATGGACCCCTTGGTCCTGGTACTCAGGGCTCCAGGGTCCCCACCAGAGGAAGCCTTCACCAGTTCACAACCAGTGCCACGGGCAGCTCTGACCCCTCCTGTGGCCCAGCTATCTCTGGGCCAGGAAGCTGTAGATCTGTGGCTGCCAAGCCTGGTTGATGACGAGACCCACCGGAGAGCTTTCTAAAAGCTTAGACTTCCTGAGCCCCCAGCACGTGGATCCTAATTAAAGATATGGGTAGGGACCAGGTTAAAAACAGCCCAGGTGGAGCTGATAATCAACTACTTTTGACAACACTGAGTCCTACATGCAGGATGACCAAGCTCAGCTGTGCTCTGGGAAAACCTTCACCTGAGGTAATGCACAGCTGTCTGATGGAAGACCCCAGGGCAGGTGCTGACTCTTTTTTCTCTTGAGACGGAGTCTCAGTGGCACTCTGTCACCCAGGCTGGAGTGCAGTGGAACGATCTCGGCTCACCGCAACCTCCGCCTCCTGGGTTCAAGTGATTCTCCTGCCTCAGCCTCCCAAGTAGCTGGGACCACAGGCGTGCACCACCATGCCCGGCTAATTTTTCTATTTTTGGTAGAGACAGGGTTTTGCCATGTTGGCCAGGCTGGTCACAAATTCCTGGCTTCAGGTGATCCACCCGCCTCGGCCACCCAAAGTGCTGGGACTACGGCTGTGAGCCACCACGCCCAGACTGACTCACTTTCTAAAATGAGCAGTACCCGCTGGAGGAAAGCGTGTAGCTTGGCATCTTCCCAAGCTCACAGGATGTGGAATTCGGTGCTGACAGGCCCTTTGGAGAAACTCCTTTCCCTGTCCTGTGTGAGCAGGAGGAAGGGAGGCTAGGCAGTTTGGTATTTCTGGGTGTACAGCCTCATTGTTTCTTCCTTTTCTTTCTTGCCCATATTACATCTCAGGTCCCTTGGATCAGGGACAGAACTAGATTGTGCTCCTCTAGGTGGCCACCCACTGCACTTTAGGGCCTGGTAACTGGTTTAGTGAGTTCCAGGTTCACAGAGGGAGACGAACTGCTCAGGATGGGTCATACCCAAAGCCTCCGCAGCACCAGATTGAGGTGATTAGGTGACGAGATTGAGAGCAGATTTGGGACTCTTCAGTTGATGTTATAATGGGATGAGACCTTGGGGCAGGGTGAATGTATTTTGTATTTGGTATGAACACACATCTTTGGGGTCTAGTAGGCAGAATGTCCCTCCCCACACAACGATGTCCACGCCCTAATCCCCAGAACCTCTGAATATCATACACCTTACGTAGCAAAAGGGACTTTGCAGATGGGATTAGTCAGGGCATTGGGATGGGGAGATTAGCTTCGATACCCAGGTGAGCCCAATCTAACCGCACAAGTTCTTAAAAGCACAGGACTTCCTCGGGCTTAAAACAGGAACGATAAGGAGGAATGGGAGGTCCAAGAAGATACCATGCACACAGGGGGCAGCCACGTGTCTCCTTCACCTCGTGTATCCAGAGTCTGGAACCCAGCAGGTGCTTGGCGACAGAAAGGCCACTAAAGTGAACTTTGAAGCACCAGATTCCAGTTAACAGTCATGCAGACGAATTATTTAACCTCTCTGACCCCACGTCATCCCTTCTCTATGGATATCAGAAGGGCAGTGAAAATAACCCACCCAAGGTCATCCACTGAATGAACAGTGGGGCTGGCCCCACTGCAAGCCCCTCAGAACCCATCTGGTTGCCAAATCCAGCACTCTCCCCACCCCCACCTGGGCTTGGCCATAATGGGCAGAACTCCTGGGTAGACAGGGGTGAAGTTTCTCATGGCCCCATTTTGTTCCTTTGCTCCATTCTGTGCCCTTGTTTTCTGGTGACGGGTTGTCATCCCATTTTCTGTGCATAGACCAGCAGGGGGGGCCAGCGCCCGTGTAGAGACCATCAGCTCCCAGAGCTGCCCTGGGGAAGAGCTGCCCTAGGGAAGGGCCTGGTCCTGGCCACCCACAACAACAGTGCCCTTAACGACAAGGGGCACCTATTGGTTCACCACCTGGCTCTTCGGCTGCCAGGTAGATGCCCCTGGAAAAAGGACTTCATCTCCGTGGCTGCGGTTTTCACAGCTGTGAAAGGGGATGGGAAACAGACCTCCCAGGCGTACTGGGACAGTAAAATGAAGCGACTCATGAGACGGCTTCCAGCACAGGCCCTGGCACTTAACTCTTAGCTGAATTTGCATTCTTTTATTTTTATTTTATTTTATTTTATTGAGACAGAGTTTTTCTCTGTCACCCAGCCTGGAGTGCAGTGGCGCGATCTCTACTCACTGCAACCTCCATCTCCCAGGTTCAAGCGATTCTCCTGCCTCGGCCTCCCAAGTAGCTGGGACCACAGACACACATCACCACACCCGGCTAATTTTTTGTATTTTTAGTAGAGATGGGGTTTCACCATGTTGGCCAGGCTGGTCTTGAACTCCTGACCCCAGGTGATCTGCCCGCCTCAACCTCCCAAAGTGCTGGGATTTCAGGCATGAACCAACACGCCCAGCTGAACTTGCTTTCTTTATCAAGAGACGTTCAGTCAATCTCAAAGGACTCTCATTTCAGATTCTGCCCAAACCACATGAATCGTTTTTTGGACTCGGCTGTCTCGCTCCTTTTCCTCCACCCTTTTATGTCTTTACCAAATCTTTCCTCTGTGCTTAAAGAGCACTCCCCAACAGTCTAGCCAGCACCCTCAGGCCTGCTATAAACTACACAGGGGGCCCAATTCAAAAGGCGCTACTAAGCAGGGGGCTCCTTTCTTCTGAAAACTGCTGCGGGCCAAGTGTAAATTTAAGACACTGTGCCTTTGCTTGTATATTTCCTCTGTCTTCTAGCCTAAAACCCAGCCAGTCCTAACATTGACCGACTGCCCATGTATGTTACCTAAGACCCCATGCTGGGCAGGGATACTGAGATAAGTAGGACACAATCACGACGTCACTGGAAGCGCCTCCAACAGGGACAGAGATAGCAACAGATGATTTCAGAACAACGTATGTGCCTGTCTACAAAGATCCACTCTCAGGAGTGGATCTTGGGATTCCATTCCCAAGAACTTACCCGGTACCACCCTTTGAAGGATGAATTGTCTCGGCTTCACAGACTTCCAAGGCCAAAGTCAGACAGGAACGGGCAGGACCAGGACTGGGCCCCACGTTTGACTAACATCACTGTCTCCCTTATCACAAGGAGGAAGAGGCCCTTTGAAGATGTCCTTTCGCACGGGCTCCGAAATATCTGCTAAATGTAGGTCATTATGACTGAAAATGCATTTTTCCCCTTGTCCTTGAAGCAGGCAGCTGCTCTGTAAGTTTCGGCTGTAGCCTGATGTTTAGCAACAGCAGCCCTAGCCCATCTGCTGGCCAGCAGATCGCAGGGTTGTCACCCTTGGAACTGGAAGGCATTCTACACACACTGTGTCTTCCAGGTGCTTTTTCTCCTCAACCATGAAACCACACACCCACAGGCCAGGCAACAAAGCGCTCAGTTACTTCACATGGTCATTCCTTCCTCCTCCTGCTTCACCTGATGCAGAAGACTTTGTCAGTAAAACTTGAGCATTACAAGAATATGCAACAGAAAGAATTAGAGAACTTGGCAATCCAAAAGCTGCTAAATGAGGGTTTTCTCCATTTGGGGGGTAATGTAAAGCAGTTCCAAGAAAAGTGAAGTCACAGCCACGGTTGCTTATTTTCGGTTTTAGAAAAAAGCCAATGTCAAAGGGGAAGCAGCTCTGCCCCAGCACAGCCTCCACTGTCTGGCGGGGGGCGCTTGCTGATAAGCCATCTTGGATTTGGCACCAGAAACCCAAAACCTCTGACATATGTTTTCATCTGGTGATGTCAGGGAGGAAACTCAAGCCGAAACAGTGAAAGTTGTTAACATTCAAAGAAACCACACAGCTCAGCTAACATGGTGAGGCAACACCCTTCCAGCACCAAGCCACCAGCATTTCTGAGGGGACTGTCAGGAAAAACACACAGTGCCCTCCTTTTCCTACCTCCACCCCGCCAACAGACTCCTGAGATGCATTATTGCTCAGGCCACCATGTCAGCCCAACTAGCATTTTTCAATGGACACTACTTACCAGAAGTTGGGTGAGGACAAATGGGGCAGGATACGGTACAGGTGGTTTTCGGCAGCTTGGGTCTTTTTTCTAGCACACAAGCAGGTTTCGCCACAGTAGGGCAGACTTCAGGTTAACATCTGGGGAGTCTACCACACATCCAGCTCAGGGGCTACTACTGGGTGCCCCATAATAATTTTGTGAACAAGGTTTGCTTTTTTTGTTTTTTGTTTTTGAGACAGAGTCTGGCTCTGTCGTCCAGAATGGAGTGCAGTGGCATGATCTTGGCTCACTGAAACCTCCGCCTCCCAGGTTCCAGAGATTCTCATGCTTCGGCCTCCAGAGTAGCTGGGATTACAGGTGCGTGCCACCATGCCTGGCTAATTTTTTTGTGTTTTTAGTAGAGACGGGGGACTATGTTGCCCAAGCTGGTCTTGAACACCTGGCCTCCAGTGATCAGCCTGCCTCGACCTCTCAAAGTGTTTCAATTACAGGCGTGAGCCACTGCACCCAGCCATTGTGACTAAGTTTTAACCTAAGAATTCTGTAACAGATCTCACTGTCTGCACCAAAATTAAATTTAAATGCAATTAAAAGCAACTGATTGAACGACCCAGCCAGGGAGAGCACCTAGGGAGACATGATGACGAAATGGAATGTGGTGTCCCGGATGGGACCCTGGAACAGGAAAGAACATTAGGAAAAACCCAGAGAAATCTGAATGAAGTACAGACTTGGGTTAATAACATCTCAATATTGGTTCATGAATTTTAACAAATGCACTATACTAACATGTTAATAATAGGGGAAGCTGGGTACAGGTATATGGGAACTCTTTGTACTATCTTTGCAATTTCTCTCTCTCTCTCTCTCGTGTGTGTGTGTGTGTATGTGTGTGTGTAGACAAGCAAGAACATACTGATCCTCCCAGCAATAATGATTTGGTGCCTACCAAGTGTCACATACCATGTAAAAGTGATCTACATCTTCATTTATTCCTCACACCAGTGCTATGAGCTGGGCATAATCTGCATTTTACAGATAAAGAAACTGAACAATGGAGAGGTTACGTACCTTGCTCATAGTCACACGGCAAGGTTACTTGCAAATGAAGGGCTCAAATTCAGGTTGACAGGACTGCAAAGTTCCTGTTAAAGCTCAGCAATATTGCCCGAAAAATCCCAAACTGTGAACATAAAACAGTTCAAAACAAGCTTCTTGTGGGCAACAAAAATGATGCATACTTTCCAATCTGCCCGGCTTTAAAAAGAAAATAGTTTAAAAGCACAGCACACCCGAGACACTGACAACACTCAGTGCTGGAGACGATGTGGAACAGTGACTCCCCTTCATTGCTGGTGAGAATGCAAAAGCAGACTGGCAGTTTCTACAAGGCTAACCATAGGTCTACCATATGGCCCAGCAATTGCACTCCTAGGCATTTACCCCAATGAGCTGAAAACTTACACCCACTCAAAACCTGGGCATGAATGTTTACAGCAGCTCTATTCATAGTTATCAGAGACTGGAGTCAAGATGTCCTTCAATAGGTGGATTAGATAAAACTATGGTACATCCATACAATGGAACATTATTCAGTGATAAAAAGAAATGAGCTGGCTGGGCGTGGTGGCTCATACCTGTAATCCCAGCACTTTGGGAGGCCAAGGTGGGAGGATTGCTTGAGCCGAGGAATTTGTGCCTGTAGTACCAGCTACTCAGGAGGATGACATGGGAGGATTGCTTGAGTTTGGGAGGTTGAGGCTGCAGTAAGCCACGTTCACGCCACTGTACGCCAGCCTGGGTGACAGGGCAAGGCCCCATCTTAAACAAACAAACAAAAATAAAAAACTCAAAATAAATAAATAAATAAATTAGCTGGGTGTGGTGGCACACATCTGTAATCCCAGCTACTCAGGAGGCTGAGGCGGGAGAATCGCTTGAACCCGGGAGGCAGAGGTTGCAGTGAGCAGAGATCACACCACTGCACTCCAGCCTGGGTGACAGGGTTAGACTCTGTCTCAAAAAAAAAAAAAAAAAAAAAAACAGTACCTAAGGAATTCTTCATGTTTCTATCTTGTAATAAGCACGGGCATTTATTGAAAAAAAAAAAAAAAAAAAAAAGCTAACAAGCTGCAAAAAGACCTGGAGGAGTCCAGACACAATGGCTCACACCTGTAATCCCAGCACTTTGGGAGGCCAAGATGGGAAGATTGCTTGAGCCCAGGAGTTTGAGACCAGCCTGGGCAACATGGCAAAACCTTGTCTCTACAAAAAATACAAAAAAATTAACCAGGCAAGGTGATGCGCACCTGTAGTCCTGCTACCTGAGAGGCTGAGATGGGAGGATCCTGAGCCTGAGAGGTTGAGGCTGTGGTGAGCTGTGATTGTGCCCTTGCACTCCAGCCTGGGCAAGACTGAGATTGTCTTAAAAAAGAAAAAAAAAAAAAGATATGGAGGAATCTTATATGCATAGTAAATGAAAGAAGCCAGTCTGAAAAAATTACTTACTGTATGATCCAACTATATGATATTCTGGAAAAGGCAAAACTGAAAAGAAAGATCAGTGACTGTCAGGGTTGGTGGGGAGGGGTGAATAAGGGGAACCCAGAGGATTTTTAGGGCAGTGAAGCTATTCTGGACGATACTGTAGTGGTGGATACATGTTATTATGCATTTGGCAAAATCCACAGAATGTATAAGAGAAGGAATAAAGCCTAATGTAAACTAAACTTTAGTTAATAAGAATGTAATGTTGGTTTATCAAATGTACCATCCTAATAAAAGATGTTCATAGCTGGAAAAACTGGGAGTGGGGTGTGTGGAGTATATGCGAACGCTGTAGTTTCTCCTCTATTTTCCTGAACACCTAAAACTGTTTTCTTAAGTCCATTAAAAAAAAAAACTCATACAGCCTATTAAAAATTTATTAGAGGTAGAATATCAATAATCCAGGTGAAAGTCTACAACCATGTCAGAACACAATCTAACTCCTTTGATATTTACAATCTCAAAAAATTCAGGCATGGGTACTAAGCAGACAGCAGAAACCCAACATTCAAAACCATCACAGCAAAAAGTCATTCCATACAAAGACAAAAGAACTCTACACCAGGAGGCTCACCATGTCTCGCCGAAAGTTATGAAGTGGAAGTTTAGCTAATGCCTGAAAGGCGTCCTTTATCTTGATGTTTTTCATTTCAACAAGAAATTCTGAAAACGTCTCAACATCTCTGAGTAATGGAAGAAGGCATCACCTTCTCTAGCTAGGAAAAGGGATAGAGCTGCGTCTAAATGTTTGAGTGGTGTCCGAAGCAGAAAGGGAGCTGTTGTCTTTCAGGGGCCGCCATGCCTGCCGTTAGGAAATGCCATTTGACTCGCAAACTGGTTATGGTAGTTGCTGATGAAGAAGATGAGGAGCCAGGATGTCATTCCTTTTTTACACAGTCTGTCTTCCTGCCCATAACCACACTTTAATCACCATGGGCAACGACCGTACTTAAATTTTGCATTGTAAAACAGGGACGCAGCAGTAATGGAAAAAGTATCATCACTCATAAAATTTGGAAAATGCAACATGAGACTTCTGTGTCTGAGAGAGAGAGAGAGAATTAACACACACAAACCAGGAAGGAAAATGAAACACAAGCATCTGCTTTTCATCAGCAAACACAGGCAAAGCAAGGGGCAGCAGAGGCTGTGTCACTGAAGTATCCGAGGATTTAAACATTCCTACATCCGGACTCCTTGGTCAACCAAAGCAAGGCTCTCTGAGAAGCATTTGAAAAATACGCATTGAAAAGTGTCCATGAAATCCACATCATTATAAGCTTCTAAATAGTTTCGGGATTTTGGTTGTTTTTAACGACAGTTCCAACATACTCTAAGGAATATTCCTGTGTAAATCTTCTACCTCCAGTTCCCACATACTTTCATGGATGGGATTATCAGAAAGGTCTGTCATCTTCACAGCCTGCAGGCAGGGCTCAGGGCTGCAGGCCTGAACCACTCCCATCACCATCACATACTTTCCTAGAAAAAGAAGAAAAGCCCATAGTAATGTTCTTTTTTTTTTTCTTCTTTTGAGACAGAGTCTTGCTATGTCGCCCAGGCTGGAGTGCAGTGGCACAATCTCGGCTCATTGCAGCCTCCACCTCCTGAGTTTAAGTGATTCTTGTGCCTCAGCCTTCTGAGTAGCTGGGATTACAGGTGCCTGCCACTATGCCTGGCTAATTTTTGTATGTTTAGTAGAGATAGGGTTTCACATGTTGGCCAGGCTGGTCTTGAACTCCTGACCTCAGGTGATCCACCCACCTTGGTATCCCAAAGTGCTGGGATTATAGGCATGAGCCACTGTACCCAGCCATCTTCTTTGGTTTCTGATTTTACTAGGCCAAACAAAACTGTCATGTAAAATGTAACCACGCCCAAGGAATGGAGGAGACGCTCCCATCAGAGCGAGTTATAATTAGGCGGCTCTGAGGTAGGGGCAGAAAACCTCAGCTTTCCTCTAATCCTGTTCCTTGCTCAATGCTACAGAGTATGTGACTGGTTTCTGTGCACAGGACACATCCTCTTTCTGCAGACACCCTCTGACAGTTACTAAGCAATCCAATTTTCCCTCCACATTGCCGAAAAGGCTGGGCAGGCAGCCCCCCGCCCCATTGTTCCAACTGCTGGGACCTATCCCTGCCACCTCCTCCAGCACATACAAGCAAATCCACACAAGGGCCGGCTGCCACCGGCATGATCTAATGACGTATTAACTGTGACTCTCTTCCCATTCCCTTGGGGAAGTGACTCTCCTTGAAAGCAAAACTTGGCCAGTCTCAACCACATAAAACCCGATTGTGTAAAAGAAAACTCCAAATGCTGCAGGAAGGACAGGCCCGGTGCCAGCCCTGCTGCCTGCCCCGTGAGGCTTTCATTGCACTGCACGTGGGGCCTGGGGCTTTGACTGAAGCCCCAGGCAAGCTGACCCCTGATCCTGCTGTTCAACCCCAGGCAGGATGTGCTCAAGTATCTCAGAACTCCAACCCCACATTCCACCTGGGTCCCTCCGTGACAGAGGCTAGTTCTGAAAATGCACTTGCCATCCCCTCTGAAGGGGCCTAAAGTGCTGGTAGGGTTGGAACACACAGAAGTAGAATGACTGAAGGCCCACGAAGAGAAAAACAAGCCCAAGGGCATTCCAACCGGGAGAGGGGAACAGGAGCTCTACTGAGAAGGCACACACAGCCAGCCGGATGAACTCGAAGGCACGCGATGGGACAAATTGACCTTGTAGGTTCTACCCACACCCTCTCCCACTCCAAAGCAGCTCTCCGCTGTCTCTCCCTCTCCTTCCTGCATCCCCACCCCGCGGTTGCCATGACCATTCCAATGGCTCCAGCCCATCTCCTGCCAGCTTCCTCCTCTTCGAAACCATCCCCACCCCACTGCTGCAGTCAACATTGTCAAATCCACCTCCTGCCTCCAGAACTCAGTTGATCCAAGCGCGATCTAGGTAAGCATGGTTTCTCTGATTCTCCTGCAGACAGAGAGCAGCTTGAGGGCAGGAAGAGCTTCTCCTTCAACTCTGCCTCTTCAGCACCTTAGGTTTATGGAAACAAACTCCTGGATGTTCCAGAGGAAGAGGCGGTGGAGGAACAGCACTACAGCAGCAGTGCAGTGAGCAGAGTTCAAGGCCATCTTGAAGCAGGCAGGTCCTTCCAGACAGCCAATGAGGCTCATCAGGATAGAGCCCTCCTACCTTCCACCACTGCCCCAGGCTCCCCAAAGGCACGCGGCTCTATCCCCTTCAAGCCTTTGCACAGGCTGCTCCATGGAGCTGCACAATCTCCTGCCACTGCACACAGACAGAGGGTGCCCAAGTGTCCCAGTTTTAACACTGAAAGTCCCACGTCCCAGGACCCTCTCAGTCCCAGGCAACCCAGGAGGGTTGGTCCTTACAGATAACTCCAATGCATCCTTCAGGGCTGCCTCTTCCAGGAAGCCTTCCCTGAGCCCTCAAACCTAGATCAGCTGTCCCTCCTCTGCGCCACCTCACTCTTGCCTGCAATGTTACTTTGTGTTTTAGTGGCCCGCTTACCTCCCTGCCTCCCTGATGGCAGTGACTCAATTTTGTCAAGCTGGACTCAGTATTAATTAACAAGAAGAAATGACATGGCCCCTGCCAGCTGGCATTCAGGCCAGTGGGTATGTCAGACAGGTTCACCAATGCCCATGGGTTCAAACACTTATTTACTAGATGCCAGGCTTATGCCAGGGCTGAGACCAGATAGGAGACTGCCCCAGCCTGCCTGCAAGGTGCTTTGCCTGCAAACCAACACACCAAGCAGCATGGGTTACTTGCTGGGCCAAGGCTAAGGCCAAGGGTTGGCAAACTTTTTCTGTAAAGGGCGAGACAAATATTTTGGGCTTTTCCCGCCATAGGGTCTCTGTCCCAGATAAAATTCTAGCTGGGGTGGGACAGCGGCCCGAGACATTCTGTAAATTACCAATGTATTCCAATAAAACTTAACTTATGAACACTGATGCTTGAATTTCATATACTTTTCACATATCACGATTTTCTTTTCAACCATTTAAAAATGTGAAATCCTGCCAGGTGCAATGACTCACACCTGCAGTCCCAGCACTTTGGGAGGCCAAGGTGGCCAGGAGCTCCAGACCAACCAGTCTAGCCAACATGTTGAAACCCCATCTCTACTAGAACTACAAAAATTAGCCGGGTGTGGTGGTGCACACCTGTAATCCCAGCTACTCGGGAGGCTGAGGCATGAGAATCGCTTGAACCCAGGAGGTGGAGGTTGCAGCAAGCCATGACTGCGTCACTGTACTCCAGCCTGAGAGACAGAGCGAGATTCTGTCTCAAAAATAATAATAGTAATACATAAAAATTTTAAAAGCATTTTTAGTTCGCAGGACACATGAAAAGAGGAGGCCTGTAGTTTGCTGACCCTGTCCTAGACCAACGCTGCGGCTGAGGGCAGGCAGACAGAGGGAAGGCTGATGGGTAAGGCAGTGGGAAGACGGAACAGGAGCATGTGGCAGTAAACGAGTCCTGATATTTTGCATCCTCACTGTGAGCCAGGTGCAGTACTAAGGCAGTTGTTTACTTATTGAATCCACACAACACGCAGGAATGATTAGCTCCTTTTTACAAAATAGTACAAGTCCAGAAAAGTTAACAAGAGTGCTCCAGGCAGCTCAGTTGGGAAGGGGTGGAACCAGAAATTCGACCTAAGCCTTTCCGAGTCCACAGCAGCTCAGGCCAGACCACAGCCCTATCTGCCTCTAGTTAGACTCCAAGACTGAGCAGGAAGGGCCCTTAGGAATGAAGTGATCTTGGCCTGATTTCCCAGGAGAGGGAGCTGAGGTGAGGGAAGGCCCATGGAGCCTCAGAGCTCCTCAGCTTAGACCTCACATCCTCTAGAAGCCTCCCCGGGCCACTCAGCACCTTGCACATCCTCATGGCTCCCCAAAGATCAGCGATCCTCTGCGACACTTGCTCACTGCCTGTCTCCCAGCAGACTCTATCTAGGTCTCGGCTGCAGCCCAACACTGCACATGAGGGGCTGATGTACAACACGTGCTCAACTGACATCCCAGGGAACAAGTGAGATGGATGCCCATTGCCTATCACTCAAGACTATTGGTTCTTGGAGCACTTATGTGTCAGGAACTGGGCCAGATGCTGAGGATACAGTTGTCAGGACCACACAGCTCTGGCCCTCCAGTAGCTTGGGCTGGCCCAGTGGTTCTCAAAGTATGGCCCCCAAACCAGGCGTGGTGGTACAGGCCTGTAGTCCCAGCTACCCAAGGAGGCTGACGCAGGAGGATTGCTTGAGCTCAGGGCCAGCCTGGGCAACACGGTGAGTCCCCTATCTCAAATAAATAAAACATTTAAAAAGTCGAAAGTATGGTCCCCAGACCAGCAGCATCAGCATCACCTGGGAGCTGGTTAGAAATGCAAATTTCCAGCCCCACCTGGACCTCCTGACTCACAAACCCTGAGGGTGGAGCCCCAGCCATCCCAGCTTTACCAAGCCCTCCAGGAGAGACTGATGCTGGCTCAAGTTTGAGCATCAGTGGTTTAAGAGAGGAAGCAGGCAGGGCGCAGCGGCTCATGTCTGTAATCCCAGCACTTTGGGAGGCCGAGATGAGCAGATCACTTGAGGCCAGGAGTTCGAGACCAGCCTGGCCAACATGGCAAAACCCAGTCTCTGCTAAAAAATACAAAAATTAGCCGGGTGTGGTGGCACATGCCTGTAATCCCAGCTACTCGGGAGGCTGAAGCATGAGAATCGCTTGAATTCGGGAGGTGGAGGCTGCAGTAAGCTGAGGTCGCGCCACTGCACCCCATCCTGGGCGACAGAGTGAGACTCCGTCTCAAAAAAAAAAAAAAAAAAAAAAGAGAGGAGGCAAACATGAGTGAGCTACAGCCCAAGACAGTTCAATTAAGGAGAAGTACAGGAGGGTCTCCCGTTCCTAGGGGCTAGGGAGGACTTCCCTGAGAAAGGCACATTTGAGCTGAGACGTTAAGGATGAGCAGAAGTTTCCCAGGACAGTATTTCCCAAAACAAGGATATCAACTGGGAGAGGGGGCTTGTGACAAACGAAGGTGCCGGAGTCCCTCCCCAGAAGATTCCCACTAGGGGTGGGAGAGTCCCAGGAATCTGTATTTGTAAAAGGGACGGCAGGTGATGCTTATCATCAGATCAACTTCACCAAGGAGGGACCGGAGCAAGGGTACCCAAGCGGGGACCCGCAGGGGCAGAGGCCCGGAGGAGGGCCAGACCCGCCCCGCCCCCGTTCGAGTGTCAACAACAAGATCGAATCTGGCCTCGGCAACTTCTCGGCGGGCAGCAGGGAAGAGGGCGCCCGGTAAGGCCCGGGCATTACCTGGGACTAGACAGGGCCGCCCGCGCGGCACCCGCTCCAGGCCGCGGACCGAGAAGTCCCCGCTCGGGTCCCTCAGCCGAGCCTCGCCGCGGTCCGCCATCACTACCCTGCCCTGCATCCACACGGCCGCCAGGTCCAGCGGCCCGCGGCCCGCCGCCGCCCGTGACAGCCGCCACGCGCCCGGGCCGCCCTCCGCGTCGCGCCGCAGCTGCTCCGCCAGCACCTTGAGTGGCGGCGACCTCGGAAGCCGCACCCCCGCGGGGCCGCCTGAGAACGAGTCCGCAGCCGCCGCCATTCCGCCTCGCCGCACCCTTCCGCCCCGCCTCCGCTTTCCCGCCAACTTTGAGAAGCAGCGGGGCCCGGCCCTCAGCCACCAATCAGGAGCGCGCTGGCAGAGCCGGCCAATGGTCGACGTCAGAAGGCGGGACCGCCGGGCGAAGAGGCCCTCTCTAGCAGCCAGGAGTGCGCATGCGTAGATAAAAGTAAATAAACGCCCTCAAGTTAGGAATGAACGGAGGAAATGGGTTAAACGAGAATAAATAATTGAAGGCAGAGAGGTAAAGAACTTCCTCTTTCAACGCATCTCAAAATTTGGCGTGGATGCAGATCACCTACAGAGTATGATTATTCATCTTTACATTGCCTTGTTTTGAGGTTAGTAAATACTGAAACGAATTAAGAGTCCGTGTTTATTGGGAGTGAGCAAGAATCCAGTCAGGAGATAAGGCTGGGGAGGGAGACGGGGAGAGCTGGCAAACTTGCCTTTTCTTTTATTATTATTTTCAGTTATATTTTAATAGCATCAAATAATTTTAAGGTTAATAAAATATATTGCTATTTTTCAGACAAGAAATGCACATTTATTGTAAAAAAAATAGGGGAAAAATGTAGAACAAGAAAATAATTGTAAAAGCCGCTTATAGATACCCACTGTTAATTTTGGGGTATATTAGCCTTTAGGCTTTAAAATATGTGTGTGTATTTTTTTTGAGACAGGGTCTCACTCTGTTGCCCAGGATGGAGTGCAGTGGCACAGTGACGGCTCACTACAACGTTCACCTCCCGGGCATAGGTGATTCTCCTACCTCAGCCTCCCAAGTATCTCGGACTACAGGCGTGCACCACCACGTCCAGCTAATTTTTGTATTTTTTGTAGAGACAGGGTCTTACCATGTTGCCCAAGGTGGTCTGGAACTCCTGGGATCACGCAATCCTGCCTCCTTGGCCTCCCAAAGTGCTGGGATTACAGGCGTGAGCCACCATGCCTGGCCTATTACTGATATACAAATAGTGTTTTGTATATTGTTTTCACTTAATAATGAACATCTTTCTGTATCAGCAAATATCCATCTGCTTCCTCTTGAATGACTGCATAATACTCGATTTGTCTTATCACATATTAAACCAATATCCTACAGTTGGACATTAAGGCTATTTCCAATTTTTCACTTTATAAATATATCCACTGTGGACCTACTTAAAAGATAAATCTTTTTTATTTATTTATTTATTTATTTTTTTGAGACGGAGTCTCACTCTGTCACCCAGGCTGGAGTGCAGTGGCGCCATCTGGGCTCACTACAAGCTCCGCCTCCCAGGTTCCCGCCATTCTCCTGCCTCAGCCTCCCGAGTAGCTGAGACTACAGGTGCCTGCCACCACGCCCAGCTAATTTTTTGTACTTTGTTTTAGTAGAGACGAGGTTTCACCGTGTTAGCCAGGATGGTCTCGATCTCCTGACCTCGTGATCCACCCGTAAAAGCTAAATCTTTTTGTGCATCCTTCAAATAAAATTCCCAGGAATCTCTCCCTAAAAATTGGATGTCCCCAGTCAGCAAAGTCCACAGATCCTAAATCAGGCAATCCTTAAAGTCAAGGTCAGTTCTTAAGAGAAACTTTGAGTTCCCAGGGCCTCCTGCAGTACCAGGCATTCAGAGAGTATTCAGCAAGAGCTTGATTTTTTTTTTTTTTTTTTTTTGAGACGGAGTCTCGCTGTGTCACCCAGGCAGGAGTGCAGTTGTGCCATCTCAGCTCACTGCAACCTCCGCCTCCCAGGTTCAAGTGATTCTCCTGCCTCAGCCTCCTGAGTAGCTGGGACTACAGGTACACGCCACCCGCCTGGCTAATTTTTGTATTTTTTAGTAGAGACGGGGTTTCGTCATACTGGCCAGGCTAGTCTCAAACTCCTGACCTCGTGATCTGCCCGCTCAGCCTCCCAAAGTGCTGGGATTACAGGCGTCAGCCACCGCACCCGGCCAAGAGCTTCATTTTTATAAAATTGAGCCAGGTCCTATTGTAAGAACTTTGTAGGAAGTATCCCATGTACCCCCACAGACCCTGAAAAGACTGTTCCACACAGGTGAGGAAACTGAGGCTTAAGGAAGCTAGAGGGCTGGCCCATAGACTCTCAGTAGCCTCTATGAGGTTTTGGCCTCTACACCTAATATGGTTTGGCTGTGTCCCCACCCAAATCTCATGTTGAATTGTACTTCCCATAATCCCCACATATCGTGGGAAGGACCCCGTGGTAGGTAATTGAATCATGGGGGCGGATACTCCCATGCTGTTCTCGTGATAGTGAGTGAGTTCTCACAAGATCTGATGGTTTTATAAGGTGCTTTTCCCCCTTTGCTCGGCACTACTTCTTCCTGCTGCCACATAAAGAAGGACGTTTGCTTCCCTTTCTGCCATGATTGTAAGTTTCCTGAGGCCTCCCAGCCCTGCGGAACTGGAGTTAATTAAACCTCTTTCCTTTATAAATTACCCAGTCTTGGACAGTTCTTTATAGCAGTGTGAGAACAGACTAATACAACACCTCAACCCTGACCTATGAAGTAACCAGGCTCCTAGGCTGAGAAAGGAGCAGGAACATTAACCAAGAGAGAATCCAACCCGTTCATGCCTGGTGGGTCCTCACTGACCTTCCCCCGAGGTACCTTAAGGACAGAGAAGTGACGGAGAAGGGAGTTAGCGTGAAGGGAGAAGCCCCCAGGCTTCTTGTATGAGCCTGGGAATCCCCCATCATTCCCTTGGCCTCCAGATTCCCTGCACCTGCTCCCACAAGCCCAACACCATGTTGCTGGCAGAGTGATCTTTTCAAAACACAAGTCTTAGCATGTCAGCACCGGGTTTATAACACCTTGATGGTGTAATCCACACATCTGGCATGTGAGCATTCCAGGCAGAGGGAACTGCACATGGAGGGGCCAGACAGGGGAGACAAAGCAAGAAGCATGTAGCAAACTGCCAGTAGTTAAGGATGGCTGGGACACAGAGTAGAAATGGAGGACTGGGGATAGATGAGTCTGGCTCTACATAACCTCATGTCTTATCCCCATTTTACAGATGATGAAACTGAGGTTCAAGCCAATGACAAGCCTGAAGCCACATGGCTAGTGAGTGGCAGAGTCAGAACTCAAACCCAAATCCACCTGACCCCAAACTTCATGTATCTTGAACTACAGGCTCCATCTCACTGTTCACACTCTCACCCACCTCCACCCATCAAAGGTGCCTCTAGACCTTTGCTTGTGTTGTTTGTTCTCTGCCTGACATGCCTCCCCCTCAGTCGCTCTCAGTTGAAACCTGGCTTAGTCATCAAGTGCCTGCTCAGCAGCAAGACCTCTTCTCTTCACAGAGCCTTTGTTGAGCCCCACCACTGGAATTAACCTCTTCCTTCCAGACCAGTTTGGTGGTGCCCCTAATCCACAGTTTCCCAACCTCAGCCCTACTGACACTGGGGCTGGATAATCTTTGTCGTGGGGGCTGTCGTGTGCACTGCAGGATATGGAGCAGTACCCCTGCTTTCCACCCACGAGATGCCATGGCACCCTCCTCAAGTTGCAACAACCAAAATATGTCTTCAGACATTGCCACTGTCCCCTAGGGTACTAAATCACCTCTATGGAGAACCACTGTCCTAAGCTACAATACTCACTGCCCTCTGTTTTGAGCCATAAATAGTTGTGTCTGTGTCTATCTTACCAGTAAAGCCTGGGTTCTCAAACTAAGTTGTCAGCAGCAGACAGACAGGTAACCCTGGTGTAGCAGGGGCAAACTGGCCTTCTGATGTCCCGGCAACAGGGGTCCATCACACTCAGCCGGTGGTTGTCGTGCAGGACTGTGGGCCCATTGTTGCTAGATCTGATTTTTCAAGACATTTTCTTTTTTTCGTTTGTTTTTGTTTTGTTTTAGATGGAGTCTAACTCTGTTGCCCAGGCTGTAGTGCAATGGCACGATCTCAACTCACCACAACTTCCACCTCCCAGGTTTAAGTGATTCTCCTGCCTCAGCCTTACAAGTAGCTGGGATTACAGGTGCCCGCCACCACGCCCGGCCAATTTTGTGTATTTTTAGTAGAGATGGGGTTTCACCATGTTGGCCAGGCTAGTCTCGAACTCCCTACCTCAGATGATCCACCTGCCTTGGCCTCCCAAAGTGCTGGGATTACGGGCGTGAGCCACCGCGCCCAGCTCAAGACATTTTCATGTATAATTTCCATGTTTAAAAAAAAAATGCTGGCAAACAATTCAATTCTGAAACAAAGGAACAAAAACAAACCATGTGCCCCAGAAAGTCATCCATGGACTGACTCTGGCCCGTGGGCTTCCAATCTGCAAACTCTCTCTAGAACGTGACCTCTGCTTCAGGCACCAAGGCAGCCTGCATGTTCACTAACGTGCAGGTCCTTAAATCTCCTGCAAAATAGCCAAGGGGCTGTAGTGTTCCACCAGCTCCAAGAGTTGCAAAATCAGCATTTTAAATTACAGTCATGAGCAGACAAGTGGGGTCTGTTGACACATGTTGGGTAAGCCTCCCCTCTAGGGAGGATTATCCCCCCTCCCCCACACCACAATCCATCACCCTCACACTCAGGCCTGAAGCAACCCCCTGTGCCAGCCTCCCCGAGCTCCAGCTTCCCAGTGAGATCAAAGATCCTTGGAAGGCGGTTTCCTGCCACCTGCACCAGTGAGGACAAAGGTAAGGTGAGAGGAATTGTAGGCCTTGGCTTTATCCTCAATCTGCTCGTTCACCAGTTCCCAGGCCAATCAGGCCAAAAATGCTTCTGGTTTCCAGAAACAACCCTACTACACTAAGAAAAGGGGTTGTTCTGGGTGGGGCGTGGTGGCTCACGCCTGTAATCCCAGCACTTTAGGAGGCCAAGGTGGGTGGATCATCTGAGGCCAGAAGTTCGAGACCAGGCTGGCCAACATGGTGAAACCCTGTCTCCGGTAAAAATATAAAGATTAGCTGGGCATGATGGCACGTGCCTGTAATTCCAGCTACTTGGGAGGCTGAGGCAGGAGAATCACTTGAACCCAAGAGGCAGAGGTTGCAGTGAGCTGAGATCATGCCACTGCACTCCAGCCTGGGCGACAAGAATGAAACTCGGTCTTGAAGGAAAAAATAAAATAAAATAAAATAAAATGGGTTGTTCTGGAAGGGTATCCATACAGTGACATCTTCAAAATAGCAAAAGCTGTTATTAGCTGAGCCCTTACTATGTGCCAAGCACCATGCCAGTCACTTCATGTGCAGAGACTCAGTTATTCCTCATGACAACCCTAAGAAGTAGATACTTTTCTTAAGCCCAATTTAGAGATGAGGACATTGAGGCTTGGACAGGTGATGTGACCTACCCCAGACCACACAGCTAGGAGAAGGTAGAGCCAGGAACCCATCCCCACCCTGGGAACCCTTATAAAGGGTTCCTCTTAGGTGTCTCAGTAATCAGGATGGTGGTTCTTAACATAACGTCTTACCCACTATCCTGGATTGGCACCGTGGAAGAATACTCTGGGGAATTTTTTTTTTGGAAATACAGGTTTTATGAAAACACACACATACACGCACACAAATTTTGAACTGTATTTAATGAAATGCCTGCCAAAGTATGCAAAGGGGCAGTGGATGGATGTCTCTTACTTACTTTGGATGCAACTTACTTTGAAATGCAACAAGAAATAAGGTGGATGGCTGGGCGTGGTGGCTCACGCCTGTAATCCCAGCACTTTGGGAGGCCAAGGCAGGTGGATCACAAGGTCAGGAGATTGAGACCATCCTGGCTAACACGGTGAAACCCTGTCTCTACTAAAAAATACAAAAAATTAGCCAGGCGTGGTGACGAGCACCTGTAGTCCCAGCTACTCTGGAGGCTGAGGCAGGAGAATGGCGTGAACCCGGAAGGCGGAGCTTGCAGTGAGCTGAGACGGCGCCACTGCACTCCAGCCTGGGCGACAGAGTGAGACTCCATCTCAAAAAAAAAAAAAAAGATAAGAAATAAGGTGGATGGATGGGTGGATAGAGGGAAGGACAGGTGGCTAGAGCTGAGATAAGGCAACTAGAGTCAACTGTTCATTGTGGAATCCGCATGGTGGGTGATTGATGTTCACTGCACAGTTCTTTCAAGAACACAACATCTGGGGACAACTGTAGGTTCCAGGGCTGCAGCACAGCCTTCCTGCATTGGAATGTCTGGGGGTGGGACCCTAGAATGATTCTGGGGCCCAGCCCTCCCCTACTCAGTGACAAGCAAACTTCTGCTCTCTCACTCACAGAGTATCACCAGGTCATGTGAAAGTCGATGCATCTTGGCCTCTGGTGCCCCTTTTTCTCCACTTCACGCAGGCCCAGGGCTGGGCTCAAGGGAGCATGGGTAGAATAGGGTAAAGTCACACCTCAGTGCCTGATGACTGACACTCTCTAGCCCTCTGCACCAGTAGTGATTTCTGCTGTCCACGGCACACTGCCATGGCGTGAACAGAATGTTTGTGCCCTCTCCTCCCAAATTCATATGTTCCACTGTATGTGGTTAACTATAATTTATTGTATAGTCTCAAAAAACTAGAATACTCTGGATGTGGTGGTTTACGCCTGTAATCCCAGCACTTTGGGAGGCCGAGGTGGGCAGGTTGCTTGACCTCAGGAGTTTGAGACCAGCCTGGCCAACGTGGTGAAACCCCATCTCTACTAAAAATACAAAAATTAGCTGGGCGTGGTTGTGGGTGCCTGTAATCCCAGCTACTCAGGAGGCTGGGGCAGGGGAATCACTTGAATTTGGGAGGCGGAGACTGCAGCAAGCCAAGAATGTGCCACTGCACTCCAGCCTGGGCGACGAGAGGAAGACTCTGTCTCAAAAAAAAAAGGGAAAAAATGTAAAAAGAAAATTTAAAAAAGGAAAGAAAAAGAAACTTAATTCCCAACGTGAAAGTGTTAGGAGGTAGGTCTTTTGGGAGGTGGTTAGGTCTCATGAATAAGGATGGAGCCCTCATGAATGGGATTAGTGTCCTTTTAAGAAGGGTCCCCAGAGAGCTCTTTTGCCCCTTCCACCTTGTGAAGACACAGTAAGCTAGAATATGAGTCCTCACCAGACACTGAATCTCCCAGTGCCTTGATCTTGGACTTCCCACCTCCAGAACTATGAGCAGCCTGGGCACAGTGGCTCACACCTGTAATCCCAGCACTTTGGGAGGCTGAGGTGGGAGCATCACATGAGCCCAGGAGGTGGAGGCTGCAGTGAGCCGTGACTGCACCACTGCACTCCAGCCTAGGCAACAGAGCAAGACCCCATCTGAAAAAGAAATTATGAGCAATACATTTCTGTTGTAGGTTTCCTAGTCTATGGTATTTTGTTTTAAAGCCTAAACTGACTGATACACATTTCCAGCTCTCTTGAGGAGTCTTTAAGCACAATCTACATCTTGGATATGATAATAACAGTAATGCTTCCACTACAACTACAGGCCAAGCATGCTGCTAGCTGCTATGATGTATTCCAGCTCATTTCATCCACAAACCCCTACCAGAGACCTACTTCTGCCCTCCCTCCCGTTATGGGAGAAAAAAAACTGAGGCTCAAAAAGGCACTAAGCCTACAATAATGAAATCTGTGTGGTACTGACATGAGAACAGACATATATAGATCCAGAGGACAGAATGAGTGTCCAAAAATAAACCCATACATCTATTCCTTTTCTTTTTTTCCAAGACAAAGTCTTGTTCTGTCACCCAGGCTGGAGTGCAGTGGCGTGACCTCGGCTCACTGCAACCTCCGCCTCCCAGGTTCAAGTGATTTTCCCGCCTCAGCTTCCTGATTAGCTGGGACTACAGGCACGCACCACCACGCCCAGCTAATCTTTGGTTTTTTGTTTTGTTTTGTTTTGTTTTTTTGAGATGGAGTTTCACTCTTGTTGCCCAGGCTGGAGTGCAATGGCGCGATCTCGGCTCACTGCAAACTCCGCCTCCCAGGTTCAAGCGATTCTCCTGCCTCAGCCTCCCTAGTAGCTGGGATTACAGGCATGTGCCACCACGCCTGGCTAATTTTGTATTTTTGGTAGAGACGGGGTTTCTCCATGTTGGTCAGGCTGGTCTCGAACTCCCGACCTCAGGTGATCCGCCCACCTCGGCCTCCCAAAGTGCTGGGAGTACAGGCGTGAGCCACCACGCCCAGCCATCTTTGTACTTTTAGTAGAGTTGGGGTTTCACTGTGTTGGCTAGGCTGGTCTCGAACTTTGGACCTCAGGTGATCTGCCCACCTTGGCCTCCCAAAGTGCTGGGATTACAGGCATGAGCCATTGCACCCGGCCCCCAGTGGCTTTTCAACAAGGGCCAACAAGGTCATTCCATGGGAAAATAATCATTTAATAAATAATGCTAGAACAATAAGAAAAAGAAGAAAGTTCAACCTCTCTGTCTATGTATAGAATGGACCAAAGGCCGAAATATAAGAGCTAAAACTGTAAAACTCGTAAAAGAAAACAGAAGGGTAAATGTTCACAACCTTGGGTTTGGTGATGGATCTTTAGAGATGACAGCAAAAGCACAAGCAATAAAAGAAAAAAATAAATTGGACTTTATAAAAAGTAAAAACTTTTGTGCATCAAAGGACATTATCCAAAAAGTGAAGACAATTCACAGAATGGGAAAAAATATTTGCTAGTCATATATCTGATGAGGGTCTAGTATCTAGAATATATAAAGAACACTTGCAACTCAACAACAACAAAAAAACCCAATTTAAAAATGAGCAGCCCTCTCCCTCTCCCTCTCCCTCTGCCCCTCCCCTCTTCCCTCTTTCCACGGTCTCCCTCTGATGCCGAGCCGAAGCTGGACTGTACTGCTGCCATCTCTGCTCACTGCAACCTCCCTGCCTGATTCTCCTGCCTCAGCCTGCTGAGTGCCTGCGATTGCAGCCTCACGCCGCCACGCCTGACTGGTTTTCGTATTTTTTGGGTGGAGACGGGTTTTCGCCGTGTTGGCCGGGCTGGTCTCCAGCTCCTAACCGCGAGTGATCCGCCAGCCTCGGCCTCCCGAGGTGCCGGGATTGCAGACGGAGTCTCCTCCACTCAGTGCTCAATGGTGCCCAGGCTGGAGTGCAGTGGCGTGATCTCGGCTCGCTACAACATCCACCTCCCAGCAGCCTGCCTTGGCCTCCCAAAGTGCCGAGATTGCAGCCTCTGCCCGGCCGCCACCCCGTCTGGGAAGTGAGGAGCGTCTCTGCCTGGCCGCCCATCGTCTGGGATGTGAGGAGCCCCTCTGCCTGGCTGCCCAGTCTGGAAAGTGAGGAGCGTCTCTGCCCAGCCGCCATCCTATCTAGGAAGAGAGGAGCCCCTCTTCCCGGCCGCCATCCCATCTAGGAAGTGAGGAGCGTCTCTGCCCGGCCGCCCATCGTCTGAGATGCAGGGAGCACCTCTGCCCTGTCGCCCCATCCGGGATGTGAGGAGTGTCTCTGCCCGGCCGCCCCTACTGGGAAGTGAGGAGCCCCTCTGCCTGGCCGGCCGCCCCGACCGGGAGGGAGGTGGGGGGGTCAGCCCCCCGCCCGGCCAGCCGCCCCGTCCGGGAGGGAGGTGGGGGGGTCAGCCCCCCGCCCGGCCAGCCGCCCCGTCCGGGAGGGAGGTGGGGGGGTCAGCCCCCCGCCCGGCCAGCCGCCCCGTCCGGGAGGGAGGTGGGGGGGTCAGCCCCCCGCCCGGCCAGCCGCCCCGTCCGGGAGGGAGGTGTGGGGGGTCAGCCCCCCCGCCCGGCCAGCCGCCCCGTCCGGGAGGGAGGTGGGGGGTCAGCCCCCCGCCCGGCCAGCTGCCCCGTCCGGGAGGTGAGGGGCGCCTCTGCCCGGCCGCCCCTACTGGGAAGTGAGGAGCCCCTCTGCCCGGCCACCACCCCGTCTGGGAGGTGTACCCAACAGCTCATTGAGAACGGGCCATGATGACAATGGCAGTTTTGTGGAATAGAAAGGGGGGAAAGGTGGGGAAAAGATTGAGAAATCGGATGGTTGCCGTGTCTGTGTAGAAAGAGGTAGACATGGGAGACTTTTCATTTTGTTCTGTACTAAGAAAAATTCTTCTGCCTTGGAAAAAAAATAAAAAAATAAAAAATAAAAAATAAAAAAATAAAAATAAAAATAAGCAAAGGACCTAAACAGACATTTCTCCAAAGAAGGTATATGGTATGGTTCGGATGTTTTTTTTCCTCCAAATCTCATGTTGAAATGTGACATCATTCCAGTGTTGGAGGTTGGGCCTAGTGGGAGGTGTCTGGGTTATGGGGGCGGATCTCTCATGAACAGCTTGGTGCTGTCCTTGCAGCAATGAGGTCTCACTCTATGAGTTCATCTGAGGTCTAGTTGTTTAAAAGAACCCAGCACCTCCTCCCTTCTCTCTCACCACATGACATGCCTGCTCCCGCTCTGCCTTCTACCAAGAGTAAAAGCTTCCTGAGGCCTCACCAGAATCCGAACAGATACTGGTGCCATGCTTGTACAGCCTGCAGAACTGTGAGCCAAATAAACCTCTTTTCTTTTTTTTTTTATTTTTCGAGACAGGGTCTCACTCTGTCACCCATGCTAGAGTGCAATGGTGTGATCATAGCTCACTGCAGCCTCAGTCTCCCAGACTCAAGTGATCCTCCCACCTTAGCTGCCCAAGTAGCTGGGACTACAGGTGCACGCCACCTCATTTTTGGTAGCTAACTTTTTGTTTTTATTTATAATAGAGACAAGGTCTCGCTGTGTTGCCCAGGCTGGTCTCGAATTCCTAAGCTCAAGTAATCTTCCCACCTTAGCCTCCCGAAGTGCTGGGATTACAGGCATGAGCCACCGCGCCCAGCCCTCTTTTCTTTTCTTTCTTTCTGAGAGGGAGTCTCGCTCTGTCACCCAGGCTGTAGTGCACTGTCTTGACTGCCTCAGCCTCCGGAGTTGCTGGGACTACAGGCACGCACCACCATACCCAGCTAATTTTTGTATTTTTAGTAGAGACGAGGTTTTACCATGTTGGCCAGGTTGGTCTTGAACTCCTGACCTCAAGTGATCTACCCACCTTGGCCTCCCAAAGTGCTGGGGTTATACGTGTGAGCCACTGCGCCCGAACCTCTTTTCTTTATGAGTTACTTAGCCTCAGGTATTCCTTTATAGCAACAAAAGTGGACTAACACCATATACAAAAGCCAGTGAACACATGAAAAGATGCTCAATATCATTAGTCACTAGGGAAATGCAAAAAAGCACTAAGCTGAATTCGAACCTGGGTCTGCCTGACTCCACAGACCTGGGCTCCTGGGTCTGCTCCCTTCCTGTCCCCACACCTGTCCACACCTTCTAAGGGCCACTCTAGGGAGCTGAAGCAGCCAGGCCTCCCAGGAGTGTCATGGCCATGGTGGGGCTGGAGATGATGAGATTCAGTCTTGGTGAAATCTAAAAACTCGATGGCCAGTATCCCTACACAAACAGTCCTGGTCTGTCTGGGGTTGCTGCTGGATCCCAAAACAATGCCTGGGGCATAGCTGTTCAGTACATATTTACTGAATGAATGGACGAATGACAGGGTTATGGCTTGAGAAGAGTAACAAGTCAGGTTCCCAGGGAAGCCCACGGACGAGTGAGCAGGTTTATTGGGGAGTGCTCTTGGAGGCAGCACCTGCGTGGGAGTGAGGTCAGCAGGACCAGGCAGAGGAGTTGAGCTGCGATGCAGATGCAGTCGCAACAAAGGCCTCAGTCATCCCTGGGGAAAGTTCTGGAGCTCAAGTAGCACAGCAGAGCTGTCCTGCCTGGGGAAAAGGGGGCCGGGCTTTTGTACTCCATATTCACCAGTCTTTGGAGGTGTGCTGACCCGTGGGGTAGGGGGTCTAGGGGGCCATGCCCAGAGAGGGACTCAGCTGGGCACAAACCATCAGCCACCAGCTCTCCCAGCAGCTGGGGAGTGACTGCCTCTGTGTAGAAGGGGGACCCGGGCACACACCAGTGTCCACTACAGCAGGCATTTGGTCCTCTCTCTCCTTGGGCTCAGTTTAACTCAGCTGCATGTAGTTACCACCAACATCCATTCATTCATTCAACAAACATGTGGTAAGCACCTACTATATGCCAGATGCCATGCCAGCCCGTGGCTATGGAAACGTACACGGCAGATGCAGCCCCTGCCAAAGGAAGCAATAGTCAAGTGGGGCGACAGACACAGAAACAGACACCACAAGATCACATCACTGCTTTCATCTCCTACTCACTGCTTTGCTGTTCGTAGACATGCCAGGTAAGCTGCCTCAGGACCTTTGCTCATACCGCATCTTTGATATCCATTGTATAACTGATACTGACAGCTCGTCTCAACTCATATTAAGCCACCATTCAAGTGCTCAGTCACCCCATGTGGCTTGTGGCTTCTGTATTACAGCAGCTCTGAGTCGGGGAAGGCAGGGGCTTTTTTCTGTTGGCTACAGGTCCCTGGACATGAATTATCCACATTTTCCTCGACTTTTCAATAAACCAAGAAGGAGACCTGCTCCGTCACTGGCAGGACTGTGCACTCCCTGTGGAAACATCTGTTTGCAGCCCCCCACCATGTCCTTGTCATTAATTTCATTAAAAATTATCTTAAGATAGAGTCTTGCTCTGTGGCCCAAGCTGGAGTGCAGTGGCATGATCATAGCTCACTGCAGCCTCGACTTCCTGGGCCCAGGTAGTCCTCCTGCCTCAGCCTACTGAGTAGCAGGGACCACAGCTGCATGCCACCACACCTGGCTAATTTTTAAATTATTTGTAAACATGGGGTCATCACTAGCTGCCCAGACTCGTCTCAAACTCTGGGGCTCAAGCGATCCTCCTTCCCTACTCTCCCAAAGTGCTGAGATTACAGGTTTGAGCCACTGCGCCTGGCGAAAGTTAGCTTTAATTCAGCACTTACTGTGTGCCTGACACTGTTTTAAGTCTTTGCATAAATTATCTTTTTTTTTGGGGGGGGGCGGACAGAGTATCGCTCTTGTCGCCCAGGCTGGAGTGCAATGGCGCAATCTTGGCTCACTGCAACCTCCTTGTTCCGGGTTCAAGCAATTCTCCTGCCTCAGCCTCCCAAGTAGCTGGGATTACAGGCATCTGCCACCACGCCCAGCTAATTTTTTTGTATTTTTAGTAGAGACAGGGTTTCACCATGTTGGCCAGGCTGATCTGGAACTCTCGGCCTCCCAAAGAGCTGGGATTATAGGTGTGAACCACCATGCCTGGACACGTAACCTCATTTAAGCCTCCTGATCACTCTGTACAGCAGATACAATGATTGTACCCATTTTACAGATGAAGAAACTGAGGTTCAGAGAAGTCAAAGAATGTGCTCAAAATCACACAGCTTGTGCAGGGAAGAACCTGATATGAAACCCTGGCAGGCTGGCTCCAGAGCCTGTGTTCCTAATGTGTTAGGAATGTGTTCTCACTCATTCACACTCAGTCATTCAACAAACACTGGCTACTGGATCAAGGTGGAGGTACATGGGGCTGGCAAGTCAGGAGCTCTGGAGCCAACTGTTTCTCTGCCACTGCCTGGTTGAGTGGCCTTGGGCAAGACACTGTCCCTCTCTGAGCCTCACTTTCCCCTTCTGTGGAATAAAGGGACTGGACCATCCTAACTCATGTTTTTTCTACAGAGAGGACCTCTGTCTACAGCCAGACTTGATAATGAATTCCCCAGGAGTCCAACCTCTGGCCCTAAAAAGGGGGTTCAAGGAAATCCTCATACCCCACCTCTTTCAACAGCACTGGCCAATGGCCCCCATGCTGCAGGTAAAAACATGGCCAAAGATATGGATGAAACAAAATCCAATCCAGCCAGGCACGGTGGCTCACGCCTGTAATCCCAGCACTTTGGGAGGCCGAGACGGGCGGATCACGAAGTCAGGAGATCGAGACCATCCTGGCTAACACGGTGAAACCCCGTCCCTACTAAAAATACAAAAAAAATAGCCGGGCATGGTGGTGGGCGCCTGGAGTCCCAGCTACTCGGGAGGCTGAGGCAGGAGAATAGTGTGAACCTGGGAGGCGGAGTTTGCAGTGAGCCGAGATTGCGCCACTGTACTCCAGCCTGGGCGACAGAGCGAGACTCCGTCTCAAAAAAAAAAAAAAAAAGAAAAAGAAAAAAAAATTCCAACCCAAAAACAAAAGGCAACATTTATTGAGCACTTACTCTGTGCCTTATGTGTCTCATTCATCCTCACAATAACCCAATGGAGTTGGCACTGTTCTTATACCCATTTTACAGAAGTGGGAGATTGAGGTCTACAGAGATTTAACTTACCCAGGTCAAACAGAGCAGAATCACATCCGCTCACCATACAACCCAGCGTTTCCACTTCTGGGTGTCTAACCTAGAGAAATAAAAACTTAGATTCAAGGCTGAGTGTGGCATCTCACGCCTGTAGTCCTAGAACTTTGGGAGGTCGAGGTGGGAGGATCACTTAACCCCTGAGGTCAAGGGGGCAGTGAGCTATGATCACACTACTGCACTCCAGCCTGGGCAACACAGCAAGACCCTATGTCAAAAAGAAAAGAAAACTTACATTCACACAAAAACCTATACATAGATGTTGAGGGCAGTCTATTCATCATCACCCCAAACTGGAGACAACCCAATTTAACAGAGGAATTTAACAAGCTGTGGTACATCCACACCATAAACTACTACTCAGCAGTGAAAAGGTGTGGACTACCGATACAACCAGCAACTTGGATGAATCTCAAATACTTGGTGTTGGGCAAAAGAAGCCAGACCCAAAAGTACACATCTACAGGATTCCATTCATCTGACATTTGGGCATAGCTACAACTCTAGGGACAGAAAACAGACCAGTGATTGTCAGGGGCTGGGAGCAGGGGAGGGGATGATGACAAAAGGGTAGCAAGTGGGAATTTTTTGGAGGGATGAAATTATTTTGTGTACTGGTTGTGGTGGTGGTTAGATGACTCTCAGCTGTGTCAAAATTTAGAGAATGGGGGGCTGGGCGCAGTGGCTCACACCTGTAACCCCAGCACTTTGGGAGGCTGAGGTGGGTGGATCACTTGAGGTCAAGAGTTCGAGATTAGCCTGGCCAACATGGCAAAACCCTGTCTCTTCCAAAAAATACAAAACTTAGCCAGGCATGGTGGTGGACACATGTAGTCCCAGCTACTTAGGAGGCTAAGGTGGGAGAATCGCTTGAACCTGGGAGGCGGAGGTAGCAATGAGCTGAGATCATGCCACTACACTCCAGCCCGGTCAACAGAGTGAGTCTCTGCATTAAAAAAAAAAAAAAAAAAAAATATATATATATATATATATATACACACACACATATATATAGAATGGCACATACATACCCAGAACAGAATCCCAGCCCCGTGCAAATGACAACTTGTCACAGGTGGTGGCCCAGCTGGAAAATATTTGTTTCTTCTTCAGGGACTTCAGTCAAGAAAGCCCAGTAGTACCTAAGTTAACTACCAAGGAGAAGAGGGAGTAGAGAATGACTGCTTAATGGATACAGAGTTTCCTTTGGGAATGATGAAAATGTTTTCCAACTAAAGAGAGGTGGTAGTTGCACAACGCTGTAAATGTACTAAGCACCACTGAATTGTTCATTTCAAATTAGTTAATTTTATGTTACGTGAATTTCACTTCCATTTATTAAAAATAGGTTCCAGGCCAGGCTCACGCCTATAATCCCAACATTTTGGGAGGCCAAAGCGGGAGGATCGCTTGAGCCCAGGAGTTCAAGACCAGGCTGGGTAACAGGGAGACCCCCGTCTCTACAAAAAATTAAAAAATTAGCTGGGCATGGTGTTGTGTGCCTGTAGTCCCAGCTACTTGGGAGGCTGAGGTGGTAGGATCACTTGAGCCTAGGAAGTCGAGGCTGCAGTGAGCTGTGATCATGCCACTGCACTGCAGCTTGGATGACAGAGCAAGACCCTGTCTCTAAAAAAAATAAGTAAATAAAAAAGGTTCGACTCCCCCCTCAAAAATAGTATCCAGGGATAACTGTGCCCTAAATCTACCCCCAAGAAATTCAGGCCCTTTGAGAGGTTAAGTAACTTACTCAATGCCTCACAGCCAGGAAGAGGTTGACCCTGAAATCAGCCTGCCTCCAAAGCTCCAGTTCTTTCTACTGGAGACGGGAGAAAATGGGTTAAATATCACTCATCCCTTTCTCTCCAGGGAATTCCTCAGGAATTCCTTTCCCCTGGAGCAGTGTGACTTTATTTACATAAAAACTCTTCCAGGGACAGAAACAAGAAATGCAGACCAGTACCAGTATATTGTTGTACCTGTAACAGACCCTTTTTCTCAAAATAACCGCAATTCTGTGAAAGTGGAAGTGTTCTAGAAAATCGAGACAGAGCATCACTCCACGTGTTTGCACAGAAAGAAACAAACCTTCTGAGCAGTGCGCTGAATCCAAACGCCTGATTTCACAGGGAAGGAAGGAAAAGCGGGGTACATGAGACGTTGAAATGCACCCCCCAGGGCAGTAGGGGCATTTTTTTGAGTGAGTTTGGGATGGGGTTAGGTGGGAGGCAGGGGGATGGACAAAATGAACACCTGCCAAAGCCCCAAAGCAGTTTCTCCAACCCAGAATGCCCTGACCACCAGTGAGGGGTAGTTTCCCAACTGTCCTGGTATGAGGTTTTCTGGGGGGCCTGACCTTCATTCGAAGTTCAATGAAGCACACAGCGCCCCTGCATCAGAGATTGCTTCTGAGGGACTCAAACCTCAGCCTTGCAAAACAGCGACACTTGAGTGAACCCAGCTGGAGACAAAGGAAGTGTGAGTCAGCCCAAGAATTTCTTTTAAAAGGCCGAGTGAAGGAGGCCACAGCTGCTGAACTGGAAGACAGAATTTGCATGAGCCTGGGGCTAGGCTCTGGGCACCAACCTCCGGATGTCCTCAGGGATCTGTGAGCAGAGAGGCCTGGCTGCAAAGGGTCTGGAGGACGGCCCTTCTGCTAAGGTGTCCGCTCCCAAGGCAGAGGGCTTGGGGGAGCTGGAGGAGGCTGGGTTCCAGGAGGGGTGGCCAGGTAAGTCCTTGGGCCAGTAGGGAAGAAGTCCAACTGTGTACAAACGTTACCTCTGAGCCACACCACTACCCTGCCAGGAGGTTTGATGTGGTCCCATTTTACAGAGGGGAAGACTGAGTCTGATTTCTTCACTCAACAAGTGCTCACTGAATGCCTGGGATGCAGCGGTGAACAAAACCAACAAAAGACCCTGCTTTTATGGAGTTTATAATCTGGTGAAGGATGGGGAGAGAGCAAGAGACAATTTCGGGTGCTAAGCACATGCAGATGAAGAAAATAAACCAGGAGGGGTGGGGAGAGGGGCTTATCTGCACAGGCTCCCTCAGCTGAGACCTGAATGACAGAAGGGGCTGGTGGGCTGGGGAAGGGCCACTCCCACCAGAGGGAATGGCGAATGCTAAGGCCCTGCAGCGGGAGCGACCCTGTGTGTATGAGGAACAGAAAGGCCAGTATGGGTGCGCAGTGATGGGGGAGCAGTCAGTGATGCAGTCAAGAGGTCGGTGAGGCAAGATCAGGTAGAGACTCACAGGCCACTTAAAGGAATTTGGATTTTGCTTTAAATGTACCAGGAATGCGCATTTTTGAGGGGAGGGGTGGGGAGAGACAGAGAGAGGAGGCTGGGCACAGTGGCTCACATCTGTAATCTCAGCACTTTAGGATGCCAAAGTGGGAGGATCACTTGAGGTCAGGAAACCAGCCTGGCCAACATGTCAAAACCCCGTCTCTACCAAAAATACAAAAATTAGCCGGGCGTGGTAGTGGGTGGCCTATAAACCCATCTACTTGAGAGGCTGGGGCAGGAGAATCACTTGAGCCCGGGAGGTGGTTGCACTCCAGCCTGCGCAACAGAGGGAGATTCCATCTCAAAAAAAAAAAAAGAGAGAGAGAAAGAGAAAGAGAGAGACATGACCTGATTTTCGTTTTCAGTAGACGCCCCTGGCCGCCGCGTGGAGACTGGGCTGTGGGGGCAGAGGAGTGGAGAGACTAGCCAGGAGGCTGCAGCTGCGGTTTCACTCTACTCCCCACGGCCCGATGAGGGGAGACAAAGACAGAACTCAAGGATGGACTTGGTTTGGGACTTGAGCGACTGGGTCCATGCAGGTGTCCTTGCCTGAGGCAAGGATGGTTTGAGCCAGGGCACCCAGCCGGAGCTGGCTAGACTCCCTTTCTCCCGTGCCGCCCACCCCACAGAAGGCCCGGAGCGTTCATGCTGGCATTCAGGGACCTCCACACCCCTCCCTCCTCTTGCCTCTCCATTTTGACCTCACGCTGCTCCCCATGGCCACAGAGCTCTTGTCTCTCTCTCCTGACATGCCATGCTCAGTCCCAGCTCCAGACCTTTGCTCACGCTGCTCCTGCCTGAGGGCCCTTCCTCCTCCCTTGGCCTGAGTGGAGGCCTGAGAAGGGCTTTATAGAGCAGTGGCTCTCAAGCTAGCACCTGCCTGGATTTGAATTCCAGCACGACCACCTCCTAGCATGTGATCCTAAGCACGTTCCTTAACAGGACTCAATTTCTTCATCTGCCAAGTAAGAGTGAAAATATAAGTGCTGACCATGTGGGGTAGTTGCAGGATTAAAGAAGAAGCACTCATTCGTTTCACTCTGGGAACAAGAGAAATGTCAACCTGGTTAGCCAGTGTTACTTCCTAGTGGCACAGAAATGGCATGAGGGACTGGGCACGGGGGCCCACGCCTGTAATCCCAGCACTTTGGGAGGCTGAGGTGGGAGGATTACTTGAGCTCAGGAATTCGAGACCAGCCTGGGCAACACAGGGAAACCCTGTTTCTAGAAAAAATTAAAAAATTAGCCAGGTGTGGTGGTGCACACCTGTGGTCCCAGCTACTCTGGAGGCTGAGGTGGGAGGATCACTTGAGCCTGAGAGGTTGAAGCTGCAGTAAGTGGTGATTGCACCACTGCACTCCACCTGGGCAACACAGCAAGACCCTGTCTCAAAAAATAAAATATAAAATAAAAAATTTTTTAAAGCCTGGAGAAGCAACCGCTCTTTACTATCGCATATGGCTATATGGAAAGGGAAAAGGCTCTGGCCCACCGGGAGGGCTGTCTCCTTCATGGCCAAGTCTCCAGAGCCTCCCAGTGTCTACCCACTGGACAGAGGAACGGCCACAAGCACGCAATCATCCCTGCCCCCTGCAAGGACTTCCTACTCAGCTTTTACAGGAAGGGACTCGAAGCCAAGAGTGACACAGTGGATACACCATGGGTGGTTCCTTCCCAAGTCTTTCTGGCCAGCAGGGCCCTGGTGACATCTGAGATACTGGGTAGAGACTCATGTTTCGCTTGAAATGCAACAGGGACTCTTTGGAGGGTTTTCAGAGAGACAGAGGAGAGGCGTGATCTGATTTTCACCTTCAGTAGAATGAAAGTGAACCCACATTTCCCAGGGCAGCTCTACCCTGGCCAGTCCCAGTAATGTGACTTCCCTCAGACTCCCATGGGTGGCTTCATGCCGCAGATGCCAGGGATGGTGGGGCCTGCGGCCAGCTGGGGGCCGGGTGTCCTGCCTTCACCTACATCCCCTCTACACCCTGCAACCAGAGGCTTGAAAAGGGGAAGCCATAAGTCAGATCAAGCCTAGGCTGTGGTGCCCACTGCCACTGCTGTGGGATGTCTGCTGGAAGATGAGACCATGAGGTTTACAGGAATTGGAGCCTCTGACTAGCACTGAATGTGAAAGCAAAACTCACACGCATGCACACTCAGGCTATTGCAGACACAAGCAGACACATGGCGGCACATTCACTCCCATACACATAAGCATATATACACGCACATACACACACATGCATGTGTGTGCATGACTGCATACACAGGTGTGCATACACTCATCCACTCATGCATACACTCTGAGGCGCAGGCACACATACGCATGCACACAGACACAAAGGCTCCCAGACCCCTCTCACGTAGTCTGCCCACTTGCAACCGTAGGCTTGCTCTCCCTGGACCTCAGACCCACTCACATTCCCAGCTCCTGCCAAGAGATACACCCATTTTCCACCAGTGGAAACACACACACTCACACACACCCAAGAGCCCAGGACCATGGCCTCCAAGCAGCCCTGCACACACAAGAGAGCTGCTTGTACATGGGCACTGTCCCACAAGCCTGCCAGACCGCATGGTTGTGCACACATGCACACAAGCGCACACCAATATCCCTTCTCTCTCTTTCTCTCTCTGAGTTCACAGAGGTCAGCCTCAGAAACACAGAGAACACCTTGCTCAGGCCACTTTGACTGCAGCCAGTGGCACTTTCCGGGCCCCTTGCTGCCCCAGCCTTACCCGGCATCAAAGTCTACACTCCTGGATTTCACTGGAGTGTGCCCTCGGCCTGGAACACCCTTCTGCCTGCTCTTCCCCCTGTCCCAACATGCCAAATCGCCAGCTCTCCCCTGCCCATCCAACCAGGAAGCTCCCAGCAGTTACAGGGCACTAAAGTGTGGAGGTCCTGGGCCAGCTTGTGCTCCTCCATAAAAGTCTTAACCTCTCTGGACCTCAGAATCCTCATTACTAAAATGAAGTTCATTATTAGCATCAGACAAACCTTATTTCCTTGAGAAGGGTTTCATGTCCAGCCAAGCACATAGTAGGGGCTCAGGAAAAAAGCTCATTAAAAGAATAACAATGGGCCTGGCATGGTGGCTCACACGTGTAATCCCAGCATTTTGGAAGACCAAGGAGGGAGGACTGCTTGAGCCCGGGAGTTCAAGATCAGCCTGGGCAACATAGTGAGACTCTGTCTCTGTAAATAAAATAAAGTAAAATAAAATAGGCCGGGCACAGTGGCTCACACCTGTAATCCCAGCCCTTTGGGAGGCCAAGGCGGGTGGATCCCTTGAGGTCATGAGTCTGAGACCAGGCTGGCCAACATGGTAAAACTCTATCTCTACCAAAAACACAAAAAATAGCTGGGCATGGTGGTGGGTGCTACTTGGGAGGCTGAGGCGCGAAAATTGCTCAAACCCACAACAGGGGGGTTGCAGTGAGCCGAGATCATGCCATTGCACTCCAGCGTGGGTGACAGAGCGAGACTCTGGCTCAAAAAATAATAATAAAATAAAATAATTTGAAATTTTAAATGCTCAACATACCATGTTTGTAATCCCAGCACTCTGGGAGGCCGAAGTGGGGGTACTGCTTGAGCCCAGGAGTTGAGACCAGCTTTAACAACATAGCAAGACCTCATCTATACAAATAATAATAACAAACTTAGTTGGGTGTGGTGGCATGAGCCTGTGGTTCCAGCTACTTGGGAGGCTGGGTGGGAGAATTGCTTGAGCCTGGGCAGTCAAGGCTGCAGTGAACCATGATTGCGTCACTGCATTCCAGCCTGGGCAACACAGCAAGACCCCATCTCCATAGATTAGATAGATAGATAGATAGATAGATAGATAGATAGATTAGATAGATAGACAGACAGACAGACAGGTAATAAACCAATGACAATGACGTCCACAACAGACTGAGACCCTGCCATGTTTAAAGAACCCTGTGAACCCTCCCAGCAAACCTAGCAGGTGACAGGGCTCCCATCTCCCAGAAGAAACAGGCCCAGAGGGCAACGTCTTCTCCAAGGTCAGTGGGGTCTGCAGCAGAGCTCATGCCTCTTGATCCCAGCCCAGTGCATCAGGCGAGGGAGGCCGCTCCAGGCATAAACCTGGCGGGGCCTGCCCAATGCAGTTCTGGAAGGCCGCCGGCCCACCGCACTCCCCACAGGTACTGAGGGGTCCCTGGCCAGCTGGTGTCAGGGACCAGTGAGCAGGGGACCCAGGAGCTGCATGGTGGGCACAGAAGTGAAGAGACACAGGCCTAGAGAGGGGAGGAGTTTTACCCAGGATGTCAGTTTCCCGAGGCCACAAGCAACAAGTCATGAACTCAGTGGCTTAAAACAATAGAACTTGATTCTCTTACAGTTCTGGAGGCCAGAAGTCTGAAGTCAAGGTTTCAGCAGGGCCCTGCTTCCTCCAGAAGATGGAAGGGAGGCCCCTTCCTTGCTTCTTCCAGCTTCTGGTGGCTCCAGGCATTCCTTGGCTTGGAACTGTGTGATTCCAGCCTCCACCTCCATCTGCACAGGGCCTCCTCGCCTCCGTGTCTGTGTCCAAAATCTCTCTCTGCCTCTCTCTTCCAGGGACACCTCACATGGGATTTGGGGTCCACCCATGTTCTCGTTTCCAGATCCTCAGATCCTAAATTTAATGACATCTGCAAAGACCCATCTTCTAAATAAGGTCACTGTCACAGGTTCTGGGGGGGTTAGAACGTGGATTTATCTCTTTGGGGACACTTTTAACCCACTACACCTGGAAAGCAAGCAGCAGTGCCAGGCACAGCTCTCCCCTCGTCCCAGCCTTGATCTGGGATCTCATTAAGAAGACCAGGGCTGGGCCAACAGAGAGCCGGGAGCCTCCTGGCCTGGCCTGGAATCCTGGCCTTGCCTGTTACTTGCTGTGGGACCTCAGGCAAATAACTCAGCCTCTCTGTGCCTGTCTCTTCACCTGTAAAATGGGGATGACAGTTCTTACCTCATGAGGGAAATTAAATGAGTTGATGTAAAGCATCAGAACAGTGGCTGCCTGGAACCTAGAAAGCTCTCAACAAAAATTTGATAGATCAATACAGAAAATGGTGTCGGGGCTGGGCGTGGTGGCTCACGCCTGTAATCCTAGCATTTAGGGAGGCCAAGGCAAGTGGATCATCTGAGGTCAGGAGTTCAAGACCAGCCTGGCCAACATGGTGAAACCCCATCTCTACTAAAAATACAAAAAATTATCCGGGCATGGTGGCGGGCACCTGGAATCCCAGCTACTCCAGAGGCTGAGGCAGGAGAATTGCTTGAACCTGGGAGGCGGAGGCTGCAGCCAGCCAAGTCACACCATTTACTCCATCCTAGGCAACAAGAATGAAACTCCATCTCAAAAAAAAAAAAAAAAAAAAAACCAAAAAAAAACAAAGGGAAAATCATGTCTGGACACCCCGGACCCTCAGTAAGTGCTAACACTGCCTGAGGGAACTGGCCATCTTCCGGAAAATTCCTCACCAAGCATCTCTCTGGATTCCCCTCCTCACATTTTTGGCCTCCTGGAGGGAGACAGTGGAGGTCACCATCTTGTCAGATGAGAACACAGCCCTGGAAGTGGGGGAGCCCCAGACCTGGTGTCCTAGCCCCAATCGAAGGTCTCATGTGATGGGTCCCAGAATGGGTTTGCTCCCTGACATCTTCAAAGGAAAAAGAGAAACCAGAACAAGTGAATAGGTTTTTCATAAAGCAGAAGCCCATCTGGGGCATAGGAGAGCAGAGAGTGGTGGAATGCATGTACGTGTGCATGTAGGTGTGTATGCATGTGCGTATGTATGTGTATACGTGTACGCGTATAAGCATGTGTGTATGTATGCATATGTACATGTGCATATGCATGTGCATGTGTATGTATGTGTATGCATGTATGTGTATGCATGTAAACGTGTATGCATGTATGTGTATACAACTATGTGTGCATGCATTTGTGTATGCATGTATGTGTGCATGCATGTGCGTATACATGTATGAGTTTATACATGTGTATGTTTATGCATGTATATGCATATGCATGTGTATGTGTAGCATGTATGTGTATATGCATGTGTGTATGCATGTCTGTGTATGCATGCATGTGTATATGCATGCATGTGTGCGTGCATGTGTATATGCAGGCGTGTATGCATGTAAGTGTATGTACGTGTATGTATGTGTATGTATGCATGTATATATGCATGTATGTGTATGTGCATTAGGTGTGTGTGTTTGCACATGTGTATGCACATATGTATGTTTGCATGTGTGTATTTTTTTCTTTTAGAGATGAGGGCTCGCTGTGTTGTCCAGGATGGTCTTGAACTCCTAGCCTCAAGAGATCCTCCAGCCTCGGCCTCCCAAGGTGCTGGGATTACAAGCAGATCCACCCTGCTCAGCCCCCATGAGGAGCAGTTCTTGAAGGGTGGCCTGGGGCCAGCAGCACTGGCACCACCTGGGGACAGGTGAGGAATGACCATTCTCAGGCCCACCCCGGCTACTGGAGCTCCAGGTGGGTGCTGCAGGTGGCACTGGTGCCTACTGATGTTTGAGGACCACTGGCCTTAGGGATGCAAAGTACAGATGGGGGAGCCGGCCCCTGAGGACTTGAATCCCAGATCTGCCACCTCACAGTTGCATGGCTACTTCCTGTCCCCGGGCATGCATCTCTCAATGAGTTCTTAAGCATCCAGAGCAGCACTTGGCATTTCAGGGACCAGCTTCCATCTGACGATAGGAGCTAACACACGTGCACCAGCTAATTATCTTTTCTTTTAGGAAGGGATGAAAACCATAGATAGTATTTGATTTCTTTGCAACTCCATGTTTGGCGAATTTTTTAAATTGGTAGTTAACTCTACCAATCCCTCCATACCGCAGTCCCCAACCTTTTTGGCACCAGGGACCAGTTTCTTTTCTTTTTTTTTTTTTCTTTTTTTTTTTGAGATGGAGTCTCCCTGTGTCATCCAGGCTACAGTGCAGTGGCACGATCTTGGCTCACTGCAACCTCCACCTCCCAGGTTCAAGTGATTCTCCTGCCTCAGCCTCTGGAGTAGCTGGGATTACAGGTGCCCGCCATCACGCCCAGCTAATTTTTGTATTTTTAGTAGAGATGCGGCTTCACCATGTTGGACAGGCTGGTCTCAAACTCCTGACCTCAGGTGATCCACCCACCTTGGCCTCCCAAAGTGCGGGGATTACAGGCGTGAGCCACCGCACCTGGCCCAGGGACCGGTTTTATAGAAGACAATTTTTCCATGGACTAGTGGGTAAGGGATGGTTTCAGGATGATTCAAGCACATTACACTTATTGTGCACTTTATTTCTGTTATGACATTATAATATATAATGAAATAATTATACAGTTCACCATAATGTAGAAGCAGTGGGAGCCCTGAGCTTGTTTTCCTGCAACTAGATGGTCCCTTCTGGGGACGATGGCAGACAGTGACAGATCAGCAGGCATTAGATTCTCATAAGGGGCACGCAACCTAGATCCCTCGCACGCGCAGTTCACAATGAGGTTTGCATTCGTATGAGACTCTAATGCTGCTGCCGATCTGACAGGAGGCGGAGCTCAGGCAGTAATGCGAACAATGGGGAGTGGCTGTAACACAGATGAAGCTTCACTCACTCACCTGCTGCTCACCTCCTGCTGTGCAGCCCGGTTCCTAACAGGCCACAGATGAGTACTGGTCTGTGGCCAGGGGTTTGGGAACCCCTGCCTCTATGTTTATATTTTTAAGTCTGCTGATCTTTGAAATCCTCAAATCAGGGAACCAGTGCTGAAGAGGTCTGAGGTTACTATGGCCCTTTCACAAGTGGGTAAACTGAGGCTCCCTGACCCACCCCCACCCCCGGGGGCACAGGAGCTTGCTCTTTGGACCCTCCTTGCACTGCCCCCACAGGAAAGAACACTTGATGTCCATGGAAATCTTGCTGAGCTGGCCCTGGCAAGGAAACAGGAATGGGGTGCTCTGGGAGCTGGGCCATCCCCAGGCTCCTGCAATTCCTCAGAGCCTCCCCTGGGCAGTGGGGACCCCCAGGGAGCCAGAACACGACCGACCTTGGGTCTGAGAAGGTGCTGCAGGGATGCTCACAGCAACAACTGCAGAAATACCAGGCGCCATTCATGGTTGTTGGCTCTGTGCCAAGGGCTTGGTATTCATTCAAGGCCTGCTCTGCAAAGGGAGGATGGCACCACCACAGCTCACTGCAGCCTCGACCTCCCGGGCTCAGGCAATCCTCCCACCTCAGCCTCCAGAGTAGCTGGGACTACAGGCGTGTGCCACCACTCCTGCCTAATTAAAAAAATATACATATATTGTAGAGTCGGGGCTCTCTGTGTTTCCCAGGCTGGTCTCCAACTCCTGGGCTCAAGCATTCCTCCCACCTCAGTCTCCCAAAGCATTGGAATGACAGGCATGAGCCACTGCCCCTGGCTGACATCCCCATTTTTACAGCAGAGGAAACTAAGCCCCAGAGAACTGAAGCTATAGGCCCAAGATCACCAAGCCATTAAGTGGCAGAGCAAGAATGCGATCCCAGGTATGGGGAACCTCAAAGTCTGGGACAGTTCCAGGCTTCGGGGCCTCAGGACACTCCCATAACCATTCTCCAAGGCACCCACCCCAACCTGACCAGGGCTGAGGAAAGGTAAGGCTGTGGCTCCCAAAAATCTGGTTAACCTCCTGCTTCAGTCCTTCCTGGTGGCTTCCTCCCACCTTCAGAATAAACCCAAACTCCTCCCCACGTGACCTGCCAGGCCCCTGCCTACTTTTCCAGCCCCAGCTCCTCCATCCTCATCACTCACAGAGCTCCGGCCACGCAGGCCTTTCTGTTCCTCCGCACGCCAGGCTAAGTTCACCCCAGGGCCTTTGCACGTGCCGTCACTGCACCCAGGACACTGTTCCCTCTGACATTCACACATCTGGCTCTTCCTCCTCTTCCTCCCCATCTTAGTTCAAACACGGCTTCTGCCAAGAGACCCCACTACCCCCAACCATCTGGCTGGTCTAGATTCCACCCCTTTGCTATCATCCTCTGTTACATCATCTAATCATTTAACTTCCTCCAAAACATCATTCTGCCTAAATTAATCTTATTTATTTGTTCATCACTTGTCTCCCCCACAATGGAATGTGAGCTCAGTTCTGCAGCCTGTGAGATGAGGGCTTGGGTCAGAATTCCAGCCCTGGGCCAGCCACGGTGGCTCACACCTGTAATCCTAGCACTTTGAGAGGCTGATGCAGGAGGATCACTTGAGTCCAGGAGTTACAGACCAGTCTCAGAAACATAGTGAGCCTTGACTCTACAAAAAATAAAAAATTAGCCAGGTGTGGTGGTGCGTGCCTGTAGTCTCAGCTACTCAGGAGGCTGAGGAGGGAGAATTGCTTGAGTCAGGGAGGTTGAGGCTGTAGTGAGCTATGATCATGCCGCTGGGCTCCAGCCTGAGTGAGAGCGTGAGACCCTGTCTCAAAAAAAAAAAAAAAAAAATACATTGTGAATGGTCTATGTAAGTCATAATAAGGTTAGTAAAAGGAATCTTTTTTATTATACTTTAAGTTCTAGGGTACATGTGCACAACGTGCAGGTTTGTTACACATGTATACATGTGCCATGTTGGTGTGCTGCACCCATTAACTCATCATTTACATTAGGTACATCTCCTAATGCTATCCCTCCCCAGTAAAAGGAATTTTTAAAGGAGTTGTATAATTCAGCTGGCTATAATTAAAAATTATAATAATCTTTCTAGAGATGCATCTTTAATATTAAAAAATACACTAATACAAAACTAAATAATTGGTTAAAACAAGATTTTTTTTTAATTTTTTTTTTATTCTTTAGACAGAGTCTTGCTGTGTCACCCAGGCTGGAGTGCAGTGACACAATCTCAGCTCACTAAAACCTCAGCCTCCCGGGTTCAAGTGATTCTCCTGCCTCAGCCTCCTGAGTAGCTGGCATTATAGGCATGTGCCATCACACTCAGCAAATTTTTGTATTTTTAGTAGAAACGGGGTTTCACCATGTTGGCCAGGCTGGTCTCGAACTCCTGACCTCAAGTGATCTGCCCACCTTGGCCTCCCAAAGTGCTGGGATTACAGGCATGAGCCACCACGCCCAGCCAGAAACAAGATTTTATTACAAATACTGACTTATTTTTAATGCAAGGAGTTTTTAAAATTTTTGAATTCCATATTCTTTTTATCATTCTTCAGATTGATATGTTTTTTGAAAAGGCCTTGAATGATACGCTCTCTCCACCTTTTGTTGGCTCCTGTAACTTTTACTAATTGTCTAAAGTAAGGGAGAAATATTTTTTGAAAACAGGCAAATAAAAAGTATCTTTTGAACACTCAAAAACAATTATGATTGGGAGGCCGAGGCGGGCGGATCACGAGGTCAGGAGATCGAGACCATCCTGGCTAACACGGTGAAACCCCGTCTCTACTAAAAAATACAAAAAAAATTAGCCAGGTGTGGTGGCGGGCGCCTGTAATCCCAGCTACTTGGCAGGCTGAGGCAGGAGAATGGCGTGAACCCGCGAGGCGGAGCTTGCAGTGAGATGAGATCGCGCCACTGCACTCCAGCCTGGGAGACAGAGCAAGACTCCATCTCCAAAAAAAAAAAAAAAAACCAAAAAACAATTATGAATTCCCGCCCTGCCTCCTTCCAGCTGTGTCTCCTGGGCAAGTGACTTTACTTTCTCTGAGCCTCAGTTTGCTTATCTATAAAATGGAAACAGAAACCCTTCCTCACTGTGTGGTTGTGAGATTTAGACACGGTAATGGCTGCGAAGCACACAGGTGCTTCATCACACTTGCTGGTTCTCTCACCTTCTGCAGGCATTTGAGGACGGTGCTGTTTCCCGATCTTGCTGTACCCCACCCGCCCCACTCCATCCCTCTCCAGTTGCCAAAGTTTCGTTTCTGGGAAGCAAAACAGAGGTGCACAAACACGGCAGATTCGTGGTCTGTCACAGGGGGATTTTGGGGTCCCCCCACGCTACCTGATTTCCAGGCAAGCTGCCTGGGCACAGCAGTTCCGGACACGGGCCCAGGTTCCGGATTCCTTATGCCGAGACTGAAGAGCGAGCCCACTTGGGTCTGTTTCATAACCTCTCGGGCTTCATCTTCTTCATCTGCATAATGGTTTCACATTCCTGGCCTGGGAGCCTCCTGATTCTGAGAAGAGCCACATAAGCAGCACTCCTTTCTGCTGCTGTCCTGCTCTCTTCCTGTTGTTCCCAGGCGGTGAGGTGGAGGGAGTCAGAGGGTTGGTGCGGGCGGGCGGGTGAGGAGGCTCCTAACGAGGCCAGGCATCTCCTGGGGATAAGAAATTCTCCTCCGGACAGAACGGATCTGGGACCAGCAGGAGGGGCAGCGCTCCGTGCCAGGCTGGCTTGTCAGCTGAGCTCAGCTCACCAGCACTGATGGATGGCCCTGTGAGGCAGGGACAGGGCACGGTCAGACATCCAGAGAGCAAAAGACTGTGTCCCCAGCGAACAGCAGCCAGGCGGTTCATTGAGCACTTGCTATGTGCTGAGAATTCTAAGGACTTGGCTTGCATTTGTGCCTTCATCCTTACAAACAACCCCTTAAGGTCAGTCTTTAGAGGCCAGGAAACCAAGGCACAGGGAGGTGATGCGATGGCCCACGGTCACAGCAAGGCAGTGTGAAGATTCCTACCACACACACGGGACCCAGAGAGGCACGCTGGTCACTTAGCTCCATGGCCCTTCAGGGACAAGGACCTAAGTGAGGAAATAAATGACGAGAGTGAGGCAGTGGGGCAGTAGGGGAGGGGAAAAGAAGGGGCTATCCATCCCCACCAAGAGGACAGCAAGGACAGGGGGCAGGGTGGGTGGGCAACTGAGGGCAGAGGCCACTCAGAGGAGACCCCAGGGGTCGCCAACTGCAAGAGAGGGAGCAGGTGACAGGAGAGTGGGCCCTAAGGCAGACCCAGCCGGGACCCACATGCTGGGAACAATAAGGGGTGCCGGGCCCCTTCTGGAAGGCGGCGCAGCAGCTCTCAGCCGCCTGAAATGGTGCACTCCCTTTGAAGCAGTAATTCCTCTTCTTGGAACCTCTCCTAAGGAAATTCTCCCCTTCCCCCTCCTGCTGGGGGCCAAGGAACAAAGCGGGTGGCTTTGTCTCCTGGCGGCCAGAGCTGGAGACCACACGCATTTCCTGAGACAGACACGGCTGCCCTGCTGGAATGTGAGGCGCCTGCATCCCGCCCTAGCACCTGGACCAGGAGGGCGTGTTGGAGGATGAGTGTATGGAGGAGATGGGGAGGGGGAGGGGAGGGCTAAGGGGCACCGTGGGTGGCCAGTACTCACCACTTGGCTCATGGTTCATTAACCATTCTGAGTTCATCCTGCGGCCCTTCTTGGGCTGGATATTTTTTTATTTTTATTTTTTGAGGTGGAGTCCTGCTCTGTCGCCCAGGCTGGAGTGCAGTGGCACAATCTTGGCTCAGTCAGTCTCTGCCACCGGGTTCAAGCAATTCTCCTCCCTCAGCCTCCCCAGTAGCTGAGGTTACAGGCGCGTGCCACCACGCCCGGCTAATTACTTTTTATTTTTAGTAGAGATGGGGTTTCGCTGTGTTGGCCAGGCTGGTCTCGAACGCCTAACCTCAAATGATCCACCCACCTCGGCCTCCCAAAGTGTTGAGATTACAGGCGTGAGCCACCGCAACCAGCCCTTTTTGGCTTTTAGACTAGTCAAGTGCAGTCATGAGAAAGGGGAAAGAGTAAAATGAGGAGTTGGATCTGTAACTGCCTGTGAACAATTGACTGAGATAACTTACTACCTTCAGACCAGACAAGTGCACTCATCTTAAATGTGCAGCTTGATGGCTTTTTTTTCCTTTTTTTTTTAAGAGCCAGGGTCTCACTCTGTCACTCAGGCTGGAGTGCAGTGGCACGATCATGGCTCACTGCAGCCTCGACCTCCTGGGATTAAGCAATTCTCCCGTCTCAGCCTCCCAAAGGGCTGGGACTACAGACTATGTGCCACCATGCTGGGCTAGTTTTTGTATTTTTAGTAGAAACAGGGTTTTGCCATGTTGGCCAGGCTGGTCTCAAACTCCTGACCTCAGGTGATCCTCCCACCTTGGCCTCCTAAAGTGTTGGGATTACAGGCATGAGTCACTGCGCCTGGCCTGGATAGCTTTTTACACAGGTGTATACCATGACCCACATCAAATTCAGACTTTGGCTACTCAAAGTGCGGTCCTCAGACCAGCAGTACTGACCTCTCTAGGAACCTTGCTGGAAATGCAGAACTGCAGGCCCCGCCAGCACCTTCTGGGTCAGGATCTGCATTCTACTGTACAAGACCCCGGGAAAGTCGTGTGCTTGGTAAAGCGGGTGTGCTGGCAGAGGACACAGACGGAGGCTCCTAAGCCTGAGGGCAGATGCCTAGCCCCAGGGCCTGGAACAGGATCTGAGGTGCTGCCACCTCACTTGTCACTAGTGCTTGGAGACCCTGCATTTCACGATTCCCAGGAGAGCCTTTCCAACCCCATCAATTCACTGACAAGGGGAAGGGACCATCCCAAGGTCCCACAGCAGGTCACTAATAGATCCAGGGCACAAGCGGCCCCGACCAGGCCTCTTACCCTGGGACTTTGCTACTTTGTACCTCAACCTACCCATCTGCAAATAGGCATGAAGATCTCCACCCAACCCGCCGCCCATAGCAGTGGAAGTGTACTGTAGACACTGAGTCTTGCTGTCATGTGGTGGGGGGTGCCTGGCACTTTCTCAGGCATGTCCCTGCACTGTCTCATTGAAGCCACGCAACAAGCCTATAAGGCAGAAACTTTAGTATCACATTAATATCAACATATTCACATCAGTCCGGGCGGGTTGGCTCATGCTGGTAATCCCCACACTTTGAGGGGCCCAGGCAGGAAGATTGCTTGAGCCCAGAAGTTTGAGACCAGCCTGGCCAACAAAGCAAGACTCCTGTCTCTACAAAAAATTAGCTGGGCTTGATGGTGCATGCCTGTAGTCTCAGCTATTCAAGAGGCTGAGGTGGGAAGATCACTTGAGTCCAGAAGGTCAAGGCTGCAGTGAGCTTTGATCTTGCCACTGCACTCCAACCTGGGTGAGAGATGGAGGCCCTGTCTCAAAAAAAAAAAAATCAATGTATCCATAATAATGTCAACATTATATCAATAATATTGTGCCATTTTACAGGAGAGAAAATAAAAGCTCAGAGAAGTTAAGCGACTTGCTCGAGAAGCTACAAAGTGGGGCAGCCAGGACTTGAACACAGACAGTCTGACTCCAAAGCCCTCCAAAGATGTAGGTTAATTTTAACCTACATCTCCCAGAAAATGAGCAACAAAGGATGTCCAGCCCTCCAGCAAACTAGTTTAAGAAAGAAACTGTCTTTCTTTTCTTCTGTACTTGAGGTGGGGTGGGGGCAGGGAATAAACAATAATCATGCATGCGCATGACTTAAACAAAAATTCAAAGCATCCAAGGACTTCACAGAAAAAAAACTGGTTCCCCTCCCACACCATTTCCAGATCTCAGTTATCCTGCCTGAGGCAACCTCTCTGATCAATCCCTTGTGTGCCTTTTCAAGATATGCTCTGCACGACCTGGCGCACCTGGACACATACATTGCTTTTCCCACTCACATGAATGGGAGCCCACTCTCCCTTCAGACCTGGCCCTGGCCCTTACCACCCTGCACTGATCCCCCATCAGCCCATAGAGGCTACCTCGTGGGTTATGGCGTGGGATGCCCTGCAACCCCCTCACCCCACCATGCTGCTGAGCACACAACTTCTTTCCAGTTGTTTCTGACCACAAGCACTGTGGAGCCAAATCACCTCACACTCCTAGGAGTGCTTCTGCAAGACACCTCCCAGAGGTGGGACTGCCCCACCTGGGTGTGTATGATTTTGACCTTGGCAGATACAAGGGGCGTTTCTTACCTGCTAGCCTTGGACAGGGCATAAGATGTCTGGCGCCTCCAGTGCCCAGATCCTGGGTGGGGAGTGAGGGGAGGGGCTTGGAGTAGGGAAGGACAGCCTTTCCAAGAAACTGAAAGTGAAACCAGAGAAAGGTGTGGGCACGTGGTGGAGGCTCCTTGGAGTGAGGGACCTGTCCATCTAGCTGCTTCTGCAGAAATAAGAGCCAGGAGCCCCTCTCTCTCTGATAGTCCTGGGGTGACAGTTCTGTCTCCCACAAACCCCAGCCCTCTGGACTTGAGCTTTACACTGGGCCAGGGCTTGCAGGTGGCAAGTTTCCTGTGTCCCAACTGGAACAACAGTTATATGGCACTGATTTGTCAAGTCATGCTAGTGCCAACCTCCCTTGGGCGAGACAGGGCCTAAACTTTATTTATTTATTTTTTTGAGATGGAGTTTTGCTCCTGTTGCACAGGCTGGAGTGCAATGGTGCAATCTCAGCTCGTGTAACCTCCGCCTCCTGGGTTCAAGTGATTCTCTTGCCTCAGCCTCTCAAGTAGCTGGGATTACAGGCATGCACCACCACAGCTGGCTAATTTTTGTATTTTTAGTAGAGACAGGGTTTTGCCATGTTGGACAAGCTGGTCTCAAACTCCTGAACTCAGGTGATCCACCCACCACGGCCTCCCAAAGTGCTGGGATTACAGGCGTGAGCCACCGTGCCTGGCCAGGGCCTTAACTTTAAATTTTACGGCCATTTATTGAGTGCTAGCTAGGTGCCAAGGACTGTTTCAAGCATAGTACAAACATGAGTCCCTTTAATCCCCAAAACATCCTATGAAGTGGGTCCTGTTATTATGCTCATTTTACAAACGAGAAAACTGAGGCCAGACAGGGTAAGCACTGAGTCCAAGGCCATGGAGCTATGGAAAGGCAGAGCGCTTGTCCTCACCACTGAGCTCTGGGCAGAGGCTCTCACAGGCAGGTCTGTGAAAATACCTCGTGCTGGGCCCCTCTTGAGTTCCTGACCCTGTGAGTGGGAGGTGAGCCACAGAGTCTGGTTTTTGGTTTTTGTTTTTGTTTTGACACACTGTCTTGCTCTGTTGCCCAGGCTGGAGGGCAGTGGCGCAATCATGACTCACTGCAGCCTTGAACTCCTGGGCTCAATCCATCCTCCCACCTCAGCCTCCAGAGTAGCTGGGACTACAGGCATGCATATGTACATATATATATATATATATATGGAGTGCAATGGTGCAATCTCAGTTCACTGTAACCTCCACCTCCTGGGTTTTATATATATATATATATATATATATATATATATATTTTTTTTTTTTTTTTTTTTTTTTTTTTTGTAGAGGTGGGTTTTGTTACCAAGACACCAGAGGTTCAGACTAGGTCCTGCTGCTCGCCACACAGAAAGCCAATGACTGAGATGACGAGTATTACCAAGGAAAGGATGAAGGCTTTAATCCGGTGCTGGCAGCCAAGCAGATGGGAGGTCAGCCACAAACCCACCTCCCTGACCAACTAAAACTAGGGGTTTATACAGCAGGAAAGAAATGTAACGATGTGCAAGAAAACAGGAACTAGGAGGGGCAAGGAAACAATCGTGATGAATGAGGGCCCCTCCCTGCCCCTCCACATCTCATTGTCTGGATGTGGTGGTTAGTTTCAGTTCTTTGATACTTTTTTGAGAGGCCTGAAGGTCCTTTCCTGATATAGAACTCACGTAAACAAATAAAAGCTTCAAGTTTTAAGACAAGAAGGGTCAATTTCTTTGTTTATCCAAAAAACTATCTATGGGACTATTGGGTCAGTTTCAGTTTCGCCATGTTGCCCAGGCTGGTCTTGAACTTCTGGGCTCCAGGGATCTTCCTGCCTTGTCCTCCCAAAGTGCTGGGATTACAGGCATGGGCCACCGTGCCCAGCCAAGAGTCTGCATTTCTAACAAGCGCCGGGTAATTCTATACGTTCCATAGGAGCCTTTACTGGACAAGAGCTGGTCTTCAAGGCCCTCCAACCAGAGATTCTTCACGGAAGGTCTCATGATACCCACACATATCCCAGAGCCTGTGGCCTGGGCTCACCAGTGAGCCCTAACCTTGATCACTTTGAAATAAGGAGCTGCCCACACACAACACACCCACCAGAAGGTGCAAAGTGAAAATGGCAAAACCAAGAGTGGTGAGGATGGGGAGCAACTGGAACCCCCACTCACTGCTGCTGTGAACGTAAGTTGGTGCAATGTTTCAGAAATCTGCTTGCCACAGATTTCCCGAGGCTGGGCACATACACAGCCTATGACCCCACAATCCCACTTCCAAGGATATGTCCAACAGAAATGTGGTGGTACGTTCTCCAAAAGACACGTTCAAGCACACACACATCAGCGCTATTCATGACAGCTCCAAACTGGGAACAGCAGAGCTTGTTGACATCAGGTCAGATAAACCTATGGTCTATTCAGACAGTGGAATATTACACAGCAGTGAGAAGGAATGGATACAACTGCACATAACAGGCTGAGTTCAGTGGCTCAAACTTGTAATCCCAGCACTTTGGGAGGCCAAGGTGGGTGGAGCACTTGAGCCCAGGAGTTCAAGACCAACCTGGGCAACATGGTGAAACCACATCTCTAGAAAAAGATACAAAAATCAGCCAGTGTGGTGGCCTGTGTCTGTAGTCCCAGCAACTGGAAAGGCTGACGTGCAGGATCACTTGAGCCCAGGAGGTCAAGGCTGCAGGGCGCTATGATCACACCACCGTACTCCAGCCTGGGCAACAGAATGAAAACCAGTCTCAGAAAACAAAACAAAGAAACAACTGCACACATCAACAAGGTGAAGCACCTGGACATCATGTTCAGAGGAGGAAGCCAGGCACAGAGAAGCATACACCACGTGATTCTGTTTATAGGACGTTTGGTCACAGAAACAGACTCTGGTGATACAGTCTGATCCCCAGGGAGCTGGGGGGAGGGAAGAGAGGGACTGAATAGGCAGGAAGCTGGCACTGTTCTCTATCTCAGTCTGGGTGGTCACCACACGAGTGTGTACTCATGTACAATTCCTTGGAAGATTTGTGGACCTTACTGCATACCATAATAATTTTTTTTTTTAAGACAGGGTGTCACTCTGTTGCCTAAGCTGGAGTGCAGTGGCACAAACTCGGCTCACTGCAATCTCCACCCCCCGGGTTCAAGTGATTCTCCTGCCTCAGCCTCCCGAGTTGCTGGGATTACAGGCGCCTGCCACCACGCCCAGCTAATTTTTGTATTTTTAGTAGAGACAGGGTTTCACCATGTTAGCCAGGCTGGTCTCGAACTCCTGACCTCGAGTGATCTGCCTGCCTCGGTCTCTCAAAGTGCTGGGATTACAGGCATGAGCCGCCGCGTTCTGCCAATAATTTTAAAAACTTTTTGTATCTTTATTTTATTTTTGTATTTTTTAGAGACAGGGTCTGGCTCTGTTGCCCAGGCTGGAGAGCAGAGGCTGGAGTGGAGTGGCTCACTGTAGCCTCAAACTCCTGGGTTCAAGGGATCCTCCCACCTCAGCCTCCTGAATAGATGGGACCACAGGTGTGTGCCACCATGCCTGGCTAGTTTTTTATTTTTTGTAGAGACAGGGTCTGGCTCTGTTGCCCAGGCTGGTCTTGAACTCCTGGGCTCAAGCAATTCTCCTGCCTCAGCCTCCCAAAGTGCTAGGATTGATGGCAGCGGTGGCCCATGTGGAGCGGCCTCTGCCGTCACTCCAGCTGCAGCAAGGAGGCATGGCTGGGGCTGCACATTCTCTGGAGGTGGCAGGAGCTGGGGACAAGTGGGAGCCCCGCCCCTTTTGAGTTAGTGGGGTGGGAGCTTCCCGGATGCAGCCACAACTGCCCAAGTCGTGCCTGCAGACCTGGGCGTCCCGCTCCATGGAGCAGGCAGGAGCCCTGCCCCCTCCTGGGTACAGCTGCAGCCACCCAAACCACAGCTGCAGATTCAGGCCTCCCACCCCACAGAGCAGGCAGAAGCCTTGCACTCCCTGTCTCCAGCACACCTGCAGCTGCCCAAATTGCAGCTGTGGACCCAGGCATCCCTGCACTCTTGGTGGCCCAGGAAGACCCCCCTCCCCTCACAGGCTCAGAAGTGCCTGCTCCCACTGCCTGGCTTCTCCCTGCTGTCGGTGCCCACTCTGATCTTGGAGCAAAGCAAAGCCCGGCCAGGTGTGAACACCCGGGGCAGTGCTGACATGCTAGTCCCCTGCTGCCTCAGCCCCCTCTGGACTTTGAGCACTGACAAGCATAGAAGGGAAGTTGAAGGGGAGCTGAGGGCAGCTTGGTGCTGACCTGCAGGCACCCCTTGGCACCTACAGCCTGGGCCCATGAACGGCAGCAAGAGGCAGACAGGTTCCTTGGTGCAGGCGCTGGGTCCCCGGTGAGGCCCCACCTTCACCCAGGGAGGGTCCGAAGGCTGTGGGCCAGGCTGCCAGTCCCACAGGACCAGAGTGGGAACTTGTGGTGCCTTTTCTGGGCCCACTCACGGCCACCCATGGACCGTTTGGCATGCATTTCCTCTTCTCTGAGACCCATAAAAGCACCGGACTCAGCCAGAGCTGAGCAGACGTCAGGTCAACCAGCTGCAGAGAGCAGCTACCCACTCCAAGGCCTCCTCTGAGCTATTCTGTCACTCAATAAAGCTCTTCATCACCTTGTTCGCCCTACGCTTGTCTGCGTACCTCATTCTTCTTGGAAGCAAGACAAGAACTCGGGAACTGCCGAATGGCAGGGCTGAAGGAACTGTAACACAAACAGGGCAGAAACACGCCCGTTGCTTGCCATATTGTGGGTGAAGAGAAGGAGAGAAGAGCTGTGGCCCTTCAGGGAGCCCAGACCTGGGAGCCCAAGTCAGGACTGGGACTCCCTCTTTGGGGCCCTGTGGTTCCTGGAGCCTCCAGGCTTCCAGGCACCAATGCATTCCCCAGTGGCAGCCGTGGAGGCTGCCTGTGGTACACCTGGTCCCGCCGCAGCCTCGCAGAGAGCTGGCGCCTGTGCGGGCACCTGGTCCCTGCCCCGTTGTAGCAGCCAGTGTGCCTGACTATGCACAGTGGCCAGACCCCATGCGCACTTGCTCACACACCCCTCACTGTGCCACACCTGGCTTGCCCAAGCAAGGGTGGGATCCAGGCTGGTAGTGTGAGCCGAGCACAGCCTGCCAGGCTGAGTGGGCAGAACTAGCCCAGTGGGCCCAAGCAAAACTTGGCCAAAAGATGCCACCAGCCACAGAGGTTTCTGGCCATAAAAGCAGCACCCCAAGGATCATGCAACAAGATTACAGGCGTGAGCCACCACGCCCAGCCTAAGAAAATTTTTAATTGTAATAAAATACACATATGACTTACCACCTGAACCATTTGAAGGGCACAGTTCAGAAATGTTAAGTACATTTTTACATTGTTGTGCAACCATAACCGCCATGCAGCTCCAGAACTCTTTTCATGTTACAAAACTGAACCTTTCCACCTGTTAAGCAACTCCCATTTCCCCTCCCTCCTGCCCCAGCAACCACTATTCCACTTTCTGTTTCTCTGAATCCGACTTCTCCGGGTACCTCCTGTGAGTGGAATCAAATGACCTGTGTCCTTTTATGACTGGCTTCTTTCACTTTGCATAATGTCCTTGAGGCACATCCATGCTGTTGCATGTGTCAGAGTTCTCTTCCTGTTTAGGGCTGAATTATATTCCACTACATGTTATCTTAGTCAATCTGGGCTGCTATAACAAACTACCATAAACTAGGGAGTTTATCAACAACAGAAATTTCTTTCTCTTCTTCTTCTTCTTTTTTTTTTTTAAGAGAGAGTCTCACCCTATTGCCCAGGCTGGAGTACAGTAGTGCAATCTCAGCTTACTACAACCTCCGCCTCCAGGTTCAAGTGATTCTCCTGCCTCAGCCTCCCGAGTGGCTGGGATTACAGACGCCCACCACCACACCTGGGCAATGTTTGTACTTTTAGGAGAGACGGAGTTTCATCATGTTGGCCAGGCTGGTCTTGAACTCCTTCCCTCAGGTGATCTGTCTGCCTCGGATCTCCCAAAGTGCTGGGATTAGAGGCATGAGCCACTGCACCCGGCCAAACGTTTATTTCTTACAGTTCTGGAGGCTGAAAAGTCCAAGATGAAGGTGCTGGCAGATCCAATGTCTGCTGGGGGCCTGTTTATTGGTTCACAGACCGGAAAGAAGGATTCTTGTTGGATCTTTAATGGCGAAAGGTGTGAACCCGTTCTCATGGGATTGTTTTATAAGGGTGCTAATCCCATTCATGAGGGCTGTGCCCTCATGAACTAATCACCTTCCAAAGGCCCCGCCTCCTAATGCACCATCACAGTGGGGGTGAGAATTTCATCATATGCATTGCCGGAGGGCCCAAGCGTTCAGACCATAGCAATGTGTATTAGGTTGGTGCAAAAGTAATCGCGGTTTTTGTCATTACTTTCAATGGCAAACACCACAATTACTTTTGCACCAACCTAATATAAACCACATCATGTTCATCCATTCACCCATTAATGGGCATCTGGGTTGCTTCCACATTTTGGCTATTGTGAATAGTGCTGCTATGAACATGGGTGTACAAAAGGTTTTGTTGTTGTTGTTGTTGTTTTTTGAGATAGTCTCACTCTGTCACCCAGGCTGGAGTGTAGTGGCGTGATCTCAGCTCACTGCAGCCTCCACCTCCTGGGTTCAAACGATTCTCCTGCTTCAGCCTCCTGGGTAGCTGGGAAAACAGGCATGTGCCAACATGCCCAGCTAATTTTTGTATTTTTAGTAAAGACAGCATTTGCCATGTTGACCAGGCTGGTTTTGAACTCCTGACCTCAAGTGATCTGCCCGCCTCGGCCTCCCGAATCTCTGGGATTACAGGTGTGAGCCACTGCGCCTGGCCAGATTTTTTTGCTTTTTATAGAGATGGGGTTTTGCTATGCTGCCCAGGCTTAATCTAATTTTGTCTCCACGAATTTGCCTATTCTGGACATTTCCCATAGATGGAACCATATAATAAGTGGTCTTCTGTGCCTGCCTTCTTCCACACACCGTGTTTTCCACGTTCACTCATGGTGTAGTTTGAATGTAGTATCGTGGTTTAAAATCAGTTCTCAGAACCTCATTCCTTTTTTGTTGTTGTTGAATAATATTCCATCGCATGCCTCGGGAACTTTTTATTTTTATTTGTAATTTTTTTGAGACGGAGTCTCGCTGTGTCGCCCAGGTTAGAGTGCAGTGGTGCCATCTCAGCACACTGTAAGCTCCGCCTCCTGGGTTCATGCCATTGTCCTGCCTCAGCCTCCCAAGTAGCTGGGATTACAGGCATCCGCCACCACACCTGGCTAATTTTTTGCATTTTTAGTAGAGACAGGGTTGCACTGTGTTAGCCAGGATGGTCTCGACCTCCTGACCTTGTGATCCGCCCGCCTCGGCCTCCCAAAGTGCTGGGATTACAGGTGTGAGCCACCACGCCCAGCCAGGCCCGGGAGCTTTTAAAACATACCGATGCTGGTGCCCCAACTGAGACACACTGATCCAAGTAGCCTGAGGTGGGGCACCACGATCTGTAGAAACCTCCAGGTGGTTCCATCTGCTTCCAGTGCTGAGACTCATGCTGCTTTCTCTGCTTGGGGATTCCAGGGTAGATATTACAGGCAACATTTCAGCCCGGGGTTCCGCAGCTGAAGTGGAATCTGACTTCCTTCCTCCATTTGGCAGCACGAATGAGATGCTGACTGCATGCGTGGCACTGTGAGACCCAAATGACCATGACGGAGACTTTCCCTCATATGGTTTGGTGTCCTTAACTACTGGCACAGGAGGCCTGGTGTATGTTTAATAACAAGTAGAATGAAACAAGAATGGAAGGAGAGGACGACTGCAGGGGTAGGCAGTATTACTTAAGTAAAGCGAAGGTTCTGTCTTTGGGGAATGCTGACCCCTAAAATGGACACAGTGAGAAAAATGCTTCCACAGGGACCATATTTTGCCTACAACTTTAGGAGATTCTCTACCATGAAATCTACCCATGACCCGTAAGTTGAATCCCTTGTTTCAGAGAGAGAGAATGATGTAATTCACACATTGAACACTATTATTATTATTATTGTTATTATTTTGAGACAAGGTCTGTCTCTGCCACCCAGGCTGGAGTGCAGTGGAGCAATCTTGGCTCACTGCAAGCTCCGCCTCCCGGATTCATGCCATTCTCCTGCCTCAGCCTCCCTAGTAGCTGGGACTACGGGCGCCCGCCACCACGCCCGGCTAATTTTTTGTATTTTTAGTAGAGACAGGGTTTCACCGTGTTAGCCAGGATGGTTTCGATCTCCTGACCTCGTGATCCGACCGCCTCGGCCTCCCAAAGTGCTGGGATTACAGGTGTGAGCCACCGCGCCTGGCCTCTGAACACATTATTTTCTAAGCACTTACGACTTGCTAGGTGCTGGGACTGAAGCCATGAACAAAACAACGTCCTTGTTCTTAAGGATATTGTGATTTGGTGGAGAGAAGCAGCTAGCACACAGAGAGGCAAGACAGAGCACCCGATTGTCCAGTGGTATGGGCGGATAATGTAAGGAGGCACCCAAAATGTGTCCCTTCCAGGCACAGCAGCCCCAGGACACTTTGCTGAGATCTGGAAGCTAGGAAGGCATCAGCCATGCCCTAATGCAGAAAAGCATTCCAGGCAGAGGGAACGGCAACGTGATTTCAATTCCGGCAACTGAAACATAACGCATGTGGAGGGGTGGGGGAGATGGAGTCAGAAAGGTGGGTCGGGGCAGGGTGAGAAATCTCAAGACTATTGGAAATGGTTTTGTGGAGTGGGGGCGGGTGGGGGCTCCTTTTCCAGCACAAGGACCCAGCAATGTAAACAGGACAGACTTGACCCAGTTCTTTTGGAGCTGGGAATGTTAGCACTAGGGAACATATCTGAGTCACAGGGCACCAGTGTGTGTTAGCGGCAGTGAGTCCATACGAGTCTGCAGCAACCTCAATTCTTGCCTCCTCCGAAGAAAGAATTCGACGCAGGGGGCATAAGGCAAAGAGAGGCAAGCTCTAGAGCAGGAGTGAACATTTGTTAAAAAGTTTTAGGGCAGGAATGAAAGGAAGTCAAGTTCACTTGGAAGAGTGCCAGGCGGGCGACTTGAACGAGTCAACTGCCCACTTTGCCATTTGACTTGAGGTCTTATATGCTGGCACGCTTCCAGGGTTGCACTACTTCTCCCGATCCTTCCCTTGGGGTGGGCCGTCCCCTTAGCCGTGGCCTGCCTGTCCTTGGGAGGGGAGCATGCGCAGTGTGTTTACTGAAGTTGTGCGCATGCTCACTTGAGGCGTTTTTCCCTTACCAGTCCAGCGTTCCTAGAAGCAGGTCACAGACCAGACTCTGCCATTCTGCCTCTTAGTATGCATGCTTGAGCCAACTCTGAGATCTTATCGCAAAGCTGCTGATCATATTTCTGGTGTTTTTTAATCTATTGGGAGCCTGCCTTTCCTCAGTGCTGGCTACAACCAATTATTATTTTGGAGAGACAGTTAAATCACCTGACCATCACCTGATGGTGGCCTGACAGTCCTGGTTGGGGGGCACCCTCTCCTGCCCTGCTTATGTCTGACTGCCTACTGTAACAAGGGCAGACAGAGGGCAAACTTATTTTACAAAATGCGTCTCAACAGGTGAAAGGCGGAGGGTGGAGGCATCTTGGGCCAAGAGAGGCAGGAGGAAAGGCCCCAGGCTGGAAAAATCAGGGGCCCCCTTTGCAGATAAAGTGTCCACAAGTGGGGCTTGTACAGACCTGAAGCAGCTGCAGGAACACTGGCCATCTGCCAAACAGAAAACGAGACTAAAGGTGTTTCAACAAAGTCAAGAGAGATGGAGGAGACCTGCTAGTGTTTGGGAAAACATTGAAACTGGGCAAAACCAGCGCATCCAAACATTTTCTCTGAGATTGAAAACTTTATAGATATAAGAAAAGTATGTATGTGTGTGTGTATATATATATATAATATACACATACATATATACATACATATGTACTTGTCATATGCCAGGTGCTGGGCCATATGCCAATATATTACTATTTAATTTTTGTTTTATTTTTTGTAGAGATGGGGTCTTGCTATGTTGCCCAGGCAGGTCTCGAACTTCTGGCCTCAAATGATCCTCCTGCCTCAGCCTCCCAAGTAGCTGGGATTACAGGCTTGTGCCACCACCTCTGGCTAATTTTTAAACTTTTTTGTACAGGTGGGGTCTCACTATGTTGCCCAGGCTGGTCTCAAATTCCTGGGCCCAAGTGATCCTCCTGCCTTGGCCTCCTAAAGCACTGGGATTACAGGTGTGAGCCACCATACCCAGCCTAAGATATTACTTTTATTCACATCCTTATTGTTGCTTTTGACAGCTTCCTGGGATTCCTTTTGGCACTCATCTGTGTCCCATGTGTACTGGCCCCAAAAAGATAAGTTCACATCTTAACCCCTTTCAAAGCCTTATGAAGGTGACTTTGTTTGGAAATAGGATCTTTGCAAACATGATTAAGTGAAGGATCTAGAGATGAGATCATTCTGGATTAGGGTGGGCCCTGAATCCAACAACAAGTGTACTTAGAAGGGTAGAAGACAATGGAAAGGAGGCCTTGTGAAGAGGGAGGCATAGACTGGAGTGACTAATGCATCTCCACACCCAGGAGCATTGGGGGTCGCCAGCAGCTCCCAGAAGCTAGGGAGAGGCATGGAACAGATTCTCCCCTAGAGCCTCTGGGAGGAACCAGCCCTGCCTGCCAACACCTTGACTTTGAACTTCTGGCCTCCAGAACCATGAGAGAATACATTTCTATTGTTTTAAGCCACCCAGTCTGTGGGAATTTGTTACCACAACGTTGGGAAATGAATATAATGTATATAATTAATAAGTTCACATCCACCACTGAGGGTCTTGCTGATATTTTATATGACATTGTGGGGAAGAAGATCAGACACTTCAGGGGATCTCTGGCTGATCTTGATTCTATCACTTACTGCATAACTCTGGGCACGTTCTGTGGCTTCCCTGGGCTTCTGTCTACTGGGGAGAGCAGTGGTTTACGTGAAATATGTGAAATACTCCACCACTGCTAGCAGCTGTGATTTCCATGGTCATGGCTACAGTCTCACAGTCAGTCAAATGGCTTTGGCAAGCAGGGTCCTCTGCACCCTACTTTAAATGGGAAAGTAGGAAAGGAAAAGGGCAGGAGGAGTAGGTTTCAGAACAGTGAGGTCTAGATGGGGAATGTTGTTCCTTGGGAAGTTCCAAGTTTCTAACACAACAAGGGTGGCTTTGTTTTTTTTTTTTTTTTTTTGCTTATTTTTTGTTATTTATTTATTTATTTATTTATTTTGAGATGGAATCTCACTCTGTCACCCAGGCTGGAGTGCAGTGGCCTGATCTTGGCTCACTGCAACTTCTGCCTCCTGGGTTCAAGCAATTCTCCTTCCTCAGCCTCCCGAGTAGCTGGGACTACAGGCGCACCCTACCATGCCTGGCTAATTTTTTGTATTTTTTTAGTAGAGACAGGGTTTCACCATATTGACCAGGCTGGTCTCGAACTCTTGACCTCGTGATCCGCCTGCCTTGGCCTCCCAAAGTGCTGGGATTACAGGCGTAAGCCACCGTGCCTGGCCAATTTTTTGTTATTTTTTAAACACACCTGCACATGACCTTAGCTTGTTTTTTTGTTTGTTTTTAAAATTAGAGATGGGGTCTCACTATGTTGCCTAGGCTGGTCTTGAACTCCTGGGCTCAAGTGATCCTTCCATCTCAGCCTCTCAAAGTGCTGGGATTAAAGGCATAAGCCACTGCGCCCGGGCAAGGGTGACCTTCTAAGAAGAGGTAATGGGGGGGATTTACAATCTGAAAAAGCCCACCCAGGGTGGACCCCTTGTGGGCTCAGCAGGCACAGCTCCTGGGGCTATGACACTTCAGGTGCCCACGGAAATGTTTTCATTTAAAGTTCTTTTAAAAGAAAGGAGGAGAACACATGGGATCATGATGACAATGTAATAACAAATCCATCCTGCATTACGTTTGTCGTTATACCAATGTGGTCGTAAGTACAATTTCATTTTCTCTTTTTTATGGAAGAAGGTGTCCATGGAAACCACCATGCATCTCTGGACAGGCCACCAGGAGAGAGACAGATGCTGAGGACCAAGAACGCTTGGCCAGCCTGAGCAAGGCGTTTCAAAATCCAGGCCAGCAAGGGAACAGAGAGGCCCAATTTGGAAAGCAGTCCTGGCCCAGCCTGCACTCTCTGCCCTACTTGTCATCGAGTCACCATCATCCCGTGAGGGGCACTGCCCCTGAAGCAGCAAACTCAGTTGCTTGCTGTGACAGGCACTGCTAAGGTATTTAATCCTCCCAACAGCCCTATTAGGCAATGGCCGTGAGAGTTGTCATTGGACAGATGGGGAAACTGAGGCCAAGAGCACCCCTGCACAGTGCCTGGTATACCATAGGTGCTCAGCAGATATCCTCTGAGTGTGACCTGGGTGGACAGAGGGAAGTTAAGTCCTATGCTGGGACTTAAACCAAGCACTGGGCTCCAGACCCCCTGCTAGAACCACCACCCTCCGGCCTCTCAGCACATGTGCCAGGCCCTACCCTGGTGATGTTTCTAATCCTTACATAGAATCTACAAGGCTGATCTTACCAGCTCTGTGTCCAAATGAGGAAACTGAGGCTCAGAGACACAAACACACCTGACCAGGTTCCACCTGACTCCACAGGCAGCTTCCTTTCCCTCCCTCTGCAGACTCATTTGATGCAAAACTGGGTCTTGTGTTTGGAGGTTTCAGGGAGGGGCCCAGGATTTGTGGCTGGGGGGCCTGGGGAAGGTCGAGCCAGCAGTGCATGTTCAGGCAGCCTTACTGTTTACCTGGGGCCTCCTCGTCAGAGCAGAACACCCAGCGGTGGCAGAAAACAAGAAATGACTGCCTGCTGGCCTGGGGTGGGTGGGGGAATGGCGGGGGAAGCAGCTATCCAGGCTCACCCTGGCCCAGCCTTCCTAGGCTGTGGGTCTTAGAGAAATCAGGTTTCAGGGCACAAGAGAAGAGTCTGGGGGTGAATCCATGGCTTACTTTCACCAGGTTCCCCTGGGGGAAATGAAGGGAACCTCAGACCTGAGTGCCCCTCATTGGCCCTGACCTTGGATAAGTCTGGTCATCTCCCTCAGCTTCAGTTGGTCCACCTGTAAAGTGGGGCCTTCAGGGATAGGAGTGCCAAATCAGATACTTCCAGACTGTGGACTCTCACGCCAGAATCAAAGCCATGCTGGCCTCAGTCTCCTCATCTTTATTATTTTGTGTTATTATTATTATTTTTTGAGACGGAGTCATGCTGTGGCCCAGGCTGGAGTGCAGTGGCATGATCTCAGCTCACTGCAACTTCTGCCTCCTGGGTTCAAGCGATTCTCCCGCCTCAGCCTCCTGAGTAGCTGGAATTACAGGTGTGCGCCACCACGCCTGGCTAATCTTTGTATTTTTAGTAGAGACAAGGTTTCACCATGTTGGCCAGTCTGGTCTTGAACTCCTGACCTCAGGTGATCCACCCACCTCGGCCTCCCAAAGTGCTGGGATTACAGGAGTGAGCCACCACACCCTGCCAGTTTTCTCGTCTTTAAACGGGATAATGATACTTGTCTCAAGGGCTTGTCCTAGAGAGCAGACACGTGGGCAGTGTCCGGCACCATTGCCCTCATCATTAGACAAGTGCATCCATTTCTTAAACGTGCAGACCCCTGAGGCTGGGCCTGGGAACATGCATGTTCACAGGTGTCCCTGGAGGTTCTCACCACAGGGTCTGGGGACGTGACAGCTACAAAGAGTTCTCAAAGTACTTTTTGCTCTCATTTCTTCTTCTTTTTTTTTTTTAACCACAAAGCTACCATCCACACATGCTGAAGCACGACACCCAGGACAAAGGGAGGTGTGTTGAAGCGCTAATCCCCTCCCTTTCTTTAATCCGAACTTCGGGGGAAAATAATGGTGAAACAATTGGTGTGTATTTTACATTTTGCCCTCTTCTCAGATGAACACATTCAGAAATAGTTTGGGCTTCCTCTTCTAGTTCTATTTATTTTTAAATTTAATTATTTGTTTATCTTTCACTCTTTTTGTTTGTTTGTTTGTTTTTTAAAGACAGGGTCTTTCTGTCACCCAGGCTGGAGTGCAATGGTGCAATCATAGCTCACTGCAGCCTTGAACTCCTGGGCTCCAGTGATCCTTCCACCTCAAGCTCCTGAGTATCTGGGACTACAGGCACACGCCACCATGCCTAGCTAATTTTTTAAAAATTTTTTTGTAGAGATGGGGTCTTGCTGTGTTGCCCAGACTGGTCTCAAACTCCTGAGCTTAAGTGATCCTCCCACCTCAGCCTCACAAAGAGCTGGGATTATAGCTGTGAGCCGCTGTGCCTGGCCTATTTTATTTTTTGTAACCCAGGCTAGAGTGCACTTGTGTGATCAAAGCTTACTGCAGCCTCAAACTCATGGGCTCAAGCAATCTTCCCACCTCAGCTTCCCTAGTAGCTAGGGAGTACGCTCAGCTATGTTTTGTATTTTGTGTAGAGATTGGGTTTCATCATGCTGCCCAGGCTGGGCTTGAACTGGGCTCAAGTGATCCTCCCGCCTCAGCCTCATGAGTAGCTGGGATTATAGGCGCACAACACCTTGCCTGGCTTTTATTTTTTATTCTAATTTTATTAAAACAGGACTCATAACTATTCATGTTTTCTACATCCTTTTTGAGAGCCTCCTACATCGATACACTGAGCACAAACACCTGCTGCAAATGCCTCGACTGCTACACTGGAAAGATGGGGCTTTTCACCCCTTTTCCAGATGGGGAAACCAAGGCCCCAGCCTGAAGTGAGTTTGTGTCTGGAGGTTTCAGGGAGGGGCCCAGGATTTGTGGCTGGGGGGCCTGGGCAAGCGAGTCCAGGCCGTGGGGCTGCAGCTGAGAAGTAGAGCATGGTGACTGGGTAAGTGGCTGTTTGTTGCCAGGGCTGTGCCCACGGCGTGGCAGTCTTGGGCTCTGCAGACATTCCCCGGGGAGGGCACATGCAAGAAGCTGGCTGTGCCTCTGCCATGAGCCTCACGTGCCCCTCTCCCCTGCCCAGGCGGCAGGCAGTGGCTTTGGGCCCCTCCTCCCCGTCAGAGCGGCTAGCTGCACAGCCAGACCGCAGACCAGGCGGGGGAAAGTGCAAATGAACCCCAGCTGGCAGCTGAGTTTCTCTTTCCCGTCAAGCAAGTGCCTTATCGTACCGATGCAAGGCGAAGAAGGAGGTGGTGGTGTCGGGGGAGTCTGCAGGGAAGGGGGGAGCCACTGGTGCTGTTTTTATTTTCTTAAGGAATAATGTTTACACGTGAAAGTGCATAAACTATGTTGACTTTAAGTGTCCAGCTTGATCATTTTTTATACCTATATAGTCACCACTCAAATCAGGATCAAGGGCACCCTCAGCCTCCAGAAGGTTCCCTGGAGCCCCTTCCCAGTACACAAGCGACCCCCGGCCCCACTAGCAGAGGTAACCACTGCTGTGCCATCTATAAATAGCAGTGAGATTTGCCTGTTCTTAAACTGTACATAAACCAATCAGTCACTTGGGATGCGTCCCTTCTTGTCTGGTTTGTTTCACACAACACAACACGTGCGAGAGCGGTGCATGACGTGGTGTGTGCAATGGTTTGCAATGTTTTATTGGGGAGCAGTGTCCCATTGTATGGAGGTACCTCAATTTGTTTATCCATTCTCACTGTTGATGGATATTTGGGACGTTTCCCAGTTTGGGATTATTAGGAGCAGAGCTCCTATGAATATCTGTGCACAGATCTTGATGGGCACATGCTTTCTTTGCTCTTGGGTAAATACCTGAGAGTGGGACTGCTGGGTCTCAGCGTAGGTGAATGTTTAACTTTATAAGAAACTGCCCATGGTTTTCCTGCCTGGCTGCCAGAGCTGCTTTAGGAGCTCAGAGGTGTGACTGGTACAACTGCTTGGGGGACCCCAATCCACATCAGAGCAAACCTACAAAACACATCTATGGGCCACATTAAACATAGACTTTAGGTGTACAGCTACTTTTCAGAGAGGCTTTTCTAATTTTACTTTTTGAAGTTATTTGGCCCTGGACCGCTCTGCTGTGTGGGCCTGCTGGAATTTCCTGGCAATGGTATTTGGGTAGTCTGACAACAGACAGCGGAACCCTCAAAGTGTTTTTCATTTCCAGTGAGATTTTTATGAATAACGTAGTCCTTCCCCTTCCTCTGAGGCTTTGTGAACTCCTATTCACACCTCAAAACCCCACTCCAAGACCCACGCCTCCCCAAGTGACAGTTCATTTTCTATATTTATTTGTGTAATTATTTGTTTACTGTAGGCCTCCCCTTTGATGAGGAGCCCCCTGGGAGTGTCAGGCTCTCTGCTGTCCCCCCAGCACCAGCACAAGGCTTGGTGAATACTTGGGACATTTAAGATTTGCCAAATAAATGAAAGACCCAGGTTCTGAGTGCAGCCCCTCAGAGCCTCTCACCCCCACCCTGGACTCCTCCACAGAGGGGAAGCCTGAGACTCTTTGTAGGGACTCTCCTAGGTCATAGAGATGCTGAACTCCAGTAGATCTCTCTAATTACAGGGCCCACAGGGCCAGCAGTATAGATAGGTCACCCACTCCACCCAGCTGGGTGTGGGGAGGAGCCGCCCTGTCTGGAGGTGAGAGGGGCCCAGAGGTCCCACAGGTCCTTGCAGGGCCCAAGCAAGTCTGGGTCAAGACGCTGATCCTGTCTCATGATCCTTCCCCCGACTCCTCACCTGAACACCTCTGGACGTGTGGGGTCTTTTCCAGGTTTGCTTATTATTACTATTAATTTAAAAAGGAATAGGGCTGGTCATGGTGGTCCACGCCTATAATCCCAGCACTTTGGGAGGCTGAGGTGGAAGGATTGCTTGAGCCCAGGAGTTTGAGACCAGCCTGGGAAACATGGTGAGAACCCGTTTCTATTTTTTGTTTTTTAATTTTTAAGAGGAAAAAACAGAAAAAGTAGTAGCGTAAATGCAACGTGGGATTCTAGATTGAACCTTGTGTCTTTACCAGCCCTCTAGGTGATTCTGGTGCATGCTAAAATTTGAGAACTGCTAGTCCACTGAATATATTCCAGAGAAATTCTAGCCACAGCAGCACTGTTTATAATGGCAGAAAATTGGAAACAGCCCAAGTGTCCATCAAGAGGGAATGAAGGCCAGGCATGGTGGCTCACATCTCTAATCCCAGCACTTCGAGAAGCTGATGTGGGTGGATCACTTGAGGTCAGGAGTTCGAGACCAGCCTGGCCAACATGGCCAAACTCCATCTCTACTAAAAACACAAAAATTAGCTGGGCGTGGTGGTGCATGTCTGTAGTCCCAGCAATTTAGGAGGCTGAGGCATGAGAACCACTTGAGCCTGGGAGGCGGAGGTTTCAGTGAGCCGAGATTGTGCCACTGCACTCCAGCCTGGGCAACAGAGTGAGACTCTGTCTCAAAAAAACCCCCACAAAAAACAAGAGGCAATTAAGACAGTTACAAGGTAGGCACATAAGGATTACTATGTAACATAATATGTAACTTACCACTATGTAACAAGGCAAATAGAAGCGCAAGGCCCCTCTCTTCATCCAGGCATCTACGATGAATCTCACTCAGGTACCCCTCAGCGACAAAGCAAGTTATTATGTGAGACATAGAGTGTGAAGCCAGACCAAGATTTCAACACCCCAAAACTGTTCTCACTGTTCGGGGACACAAAGCTTTCAACACCTCAAAACGGTATTCTGATCATTTGGGGACACATACTTACACATATAAAGATGGACTTCGAATCGATAAACACCAGTGTCCAGGGAGAGGAGGGATGGGAATGACAGAAGGAAGGGGTAAATGAGGGCTTCCAATCTGCCGAGATTGTTTTCTAATTTAAGCCAGGGATTGGAGATGAGATACTTTGAATGCCTGAGAAGCTTCATTAAAATAATTTTTAATGGACACATGCTCTTTAAAAAATGATTCAGGCTGGGTGCAGTGACTCACACTTGTCATCCTAGCACTTTGGGAGGCTGAGGTGGGTGGATCGTTGGAGCCCAGCAGTTCGAGACCAGCCTGGGCAACATGATGAAACCCTATCTCTACAAAAAATAAACAAAATTAGCTGGGTGTGGTGTTGCACACCTGTAGTCCCAGCGGGAGGACTGCTTGAACTCGGAGGCAGACGTTGCAGCTGAGATGGCGCCACTGCACTCCAGCCTGGGCAGCAGAGCGAGACCCTGTCTCAAAAAAAAAAAAAAAAAAAATTTAAATAAACGAATTAAACCCAAATGAATGTTTCCTTTTAATGCTTTTAAAAGCAAAAAGCCACAATATATACATTGTCAGCCCCATGCCAGGGTACAGTGAGGCTGGCTCTAGCTTTGTGGTTATACCAGCAGCACTGCGATCATCTGTTTCGTATGTAGCCTCTGCTCATCTATGTGAGATCCTTTTCTTTTTCTTTTCTTTTTTTTTTTGAGACAGAGTCTTGCTCTATCACCCAGGCTGGAGTGCAGTGGCACAATTTCAGCTCACTGCAACCTCCACCTCCTGGGTTCAAGTGATTCTCCCGCCTCAGCCTCCTGAGTTGCTGGAACTGCAGGCGCCCACCACCACGCCCAGCTCATTTTTGTATTTTTAGTAGAGACAGGGTTTCACCATATTGGCCAGGTTGGTCTTGAACGCCTGACCTTGTGATCCACCTGCCTCGGCCTCCCAAAGCTATGTGAGTTTTTTTTGGGCTGTGCTGACCACAATAGAGCCTCGAGTCACATGTGGCCACTGACTTAAAACGTGGCTTGTTTGAACTGAGGTGCACTGTAAGGATGAAATGCACCCTGGATTTCGAAGACTAGGTATGAAGAGAAGTATGTAAAGTAGCCCAACCATTCTATATTGACCACTTGAAGTGATGATATTTTGGATATACTGAGTTAAATAAAACATTAAAACACCATTTAAATGACATAGAGCTCACATTTGTTTCTTGCATTATATTTCTTTCTTTCTCTACTCTTTCTCTTTCTTTCTTGAGATATAGTCTCACTCTGTTGCCCAGGCTGGAGTGCAGTGGTGCAATTATAACTCATTGCATCCTTGAACTCCTGGGCTGAAGTGATCCTCTCACCTCAGCCTCCCAAGTAGCTGGGACTGCAGGAGCATCACACCACACCTGGCTTTTTTTGGTCGGGGGAGGAGGGTAGAGACGGGATCTCACTATTTTGCCCAGGCTGGTCTCAAATTCCTAGCCTCAAGCAATCCTCCTGCCCTGGCCTTTCACAGCACTGGGATTACAGGCATGAGCCACCTTACCTGCCTGGCTTGCATTATCTTTCTATTTACTGACCCTGATCAACAGGATAGATTTATGCAAGCAGAATCAAGCAGAACTGCTCGGAGCAATACTACCCATGGAGATGTTGCTGAGATATGTGGTTAAGTGAACAAAAGTTGCAGAAGTGTGGTGTGATCCATTTATTCATCAAACAACTCCCTCCTCAGTCTCGTCTATTTTTCTTTTTTTTTTCACATCAGACGGGTAACATGCCAACCTTGTAACAAGGTTTGAGGGAGGTGCATCTTACACACCCTCGTGAACACCAGACCATCGTGCTTGGGAGCCACAAAACCACCTCATCTGTCATTCTCTGTTGTTGCACATTCCCACCAGCAAACAATCCTGCTCTGCTGTCCCGCTGGAAACCAAACCCCAACTAAACCAAATATTCTCCCGGCCCAGTTACGCTGCCAGCCACATTCCCGTTTTTCTGTTCTCTTTGGCAGTGAAAGTCCTTGAAAGAGTGGCCAGTGTTCCTTCTAAACCCCACCCCCAGGCTTGGCACGGTGGCTCACGCCTGTAATCCCAGCACTTTGGGAGGCCAAAGAAGGTGGATCACTGAGGTCAGGAGTTGGAGACCAGCCTGGCCAACATGGTGAAACCCTGTCTCTACTAAAAATATAAAAATTAGCCAGGCGTGGTGGCAGGCACCTGTAGTTGCAGCTACTCTGGAGGCTGAGGCAGGTGAATCACTTGAACCCGGGAGGCGGAGGTTGCAGTCAGCCAAGATTGCACCACTGCACTCCAGCCTGGGCGAAGAGCGAGACTCCATCTCAAAAAAAAAAAAAATAATAATAATAATTAAAATCAAATAAATAAATCCCACTCCCACCAGGTTTGCCTGGCCCCCACTGCTACACACAAACTGTTCTTCTGAAGGTCGCCAGTAACTGCCACATTGCCATGTCCATGGGTGACCTCTGAGTCGACCTCTGATGTGATTGACACAGCTGCTGCTTACCCCCTCCCCAGTGCCCTTTGTCCACCGGGCTTCCTGGACCCAGGTCTCTTGGTTCCTCCTACCTTCCTAGCTGCTCCTCCTCAGCTCCTGATTTTTTTTTTTTTTTTTTTTGGATACAGGGTCTTGCTCTGTCACCCAGGATGGAGTGCAGTGGCACGACCTCAGCTCACTGCAGCCTCAATCTCCTGGGCTCAAGTGATTCCCTGACTCAGCCTCCTGAGTAGCTGGGACTACAGTGTGCACCACCACACCTGGCTAATTTCTGTATTTTCTGTAGAGATGGGGTCTTGCCATGTTGGCCAGGCTGGTCTCAAACTCTTGAGTTCTTGAATTTTTTTTTTTCTTTTTTTGAGATGGAGTTTCACTCTGTCATCCAGGCTGGAGTTCTGTGCGTGATTTCAGCTCACTGCAACTTCTGCCTCCTGGGTTCAAGCGAGTCTCATGCCTCAGCCTCCTGAGTAGCTGGGACTACAGGTATGCACCACCATGCCTGGCTAATTTCTGTATTTTTAATAGAGACGCGGTTTCACCATGTTGGCCAGGCTGGTCTTGAACTCCTGACCTCAAGTGATCCGCCCAAATGAGCTTCCCAAAGTGCTGGGATTACAGGCATGAGCCACTGCACCCAGCCAGCTCCTGACTTCTTAATGCTTGGTCCTGGGCACTCTCTTCCTCTCCATCATCCCCTTCGTGCTTGAGGTAGGCAAAATAATGGCCCCAAAGATGCTCATGTGTGAATCCCTGGAACCTGTCAATAAGCTGCCTTATGTAGCAAAAGGGACTATCCAGATATGATTAAATGAAGGACCTTGAGATGGGGAGATTGTCCTGAATTACCCGGGTAGGTCCAGTGTAATCACAAGAAACCTCATAAGGGAAAGACAGAGGCAGGAGAGCCAGAGTCAGAGAGAGATTCGAAGAGGCTATACTGCTGGCTTTGAAGACAAGGGAAGGGGCCATGAGCCAAGGAGGAGGCCTCTAGAAACATGAGGAAAAACAAAAGGCGGAGAACAGATTCTCCCCCAGAGGCTCTGGAAAGGAATGTCATCCTGCTGGTACTTTGATTTTAGCGCCTTAAGACCATTTTGAAATTCTGACATGCAGAACTGTGAGATAATAGGACAGGCATAGCAGCTCATACCAGTAATCCTAGCACTTGGAGAGGCCGAGGCGGGAGGATCGCTTGAGGCTAGGAATTTGAGACCAGCCTAGGCAACACAGGGAGACCTCTCTCTACAAAAAGTAAGAAAAAAAGTAGCTGGACACGGAGCCAGGCTTCCATTCCAGCTACTCAAGCAGGCTGAGGTAGGATCACTTGAGCCTAGGAAGTAAAGGGTGCAATGAGCCGTGATCATGCCACTGCATTCCAGCCTGGGTGACAGAGTTGGGGGCGAAAAACCATAATGAACTCGTGCTGTTTTAAGTTACAAAGTTTATGGTACTTTGTTACAGCAGCAGCAAAAACTAAATCAGTGATCCTGGCCAGTCTCCTGATTGTAAACACTGACAATGCCCAAATATATCACTTCCAGGCTAAATGTCACACTCAGATACTCAGCTGCCTACTTACTGGACACCTCTACTGAGATGTCTGAATTCTGGACCCTCCTCCCAAGCCTTCTCCATACATTAGAGTTGGTGGCAATGCTATCCTTTGAGATGCTTGAGCCCAAAGTCTCGAAACCAGCCTTAACTCTTCTGTCCCTATCGCTCCCCTCATCCAGGCTGCTGGTGAGTCCTGCTGGCCCCATCTTTAACACACAACCAGATTCCGACCACTCCTCACCATCCTCCTCTACCACCCTGGTGTGAGCCTCCACAGCCTTGGGCCTGTGTGACAGCAACAGCCTCCCTGCCTCCACATCTGCCCCTACATTCTTCTCAGCACAGGAGCACAGGGGTCCTTAAGACAAAGAGTGTCACTCTTACGATCCCCATTTCATTTGGTGTAAAAGTCGAATCCTCAGGGAGGCTGACAAGGCCACCTATAATGTGGTGCCCCCCTCCCACCTCTGTGACTTCATCTCCTACCAACCCCCACCTCTCTCTGCTCCAGCCATGCTGGCCTTGCTGTTCCCTGGGCACAGCAGAAGGGCTGTGCATCCCCACCCCAGGGTTCCCCTTGTTCCCCCCTTGTCCCCACCCCATCATGTTCCCCTTGCCTGGAGCACTCTTCCCTGATGTCCTCATGACTAACTCCCTCACTGCCTTCAAAATCTGCTTAAATGTCACCTTCTCAACAAGGCCTGCCCTGAGCACCCTGAATTGCCACTTGTCCCAGTTACCTCCATCAGGCCCAAGGGTTCTCACTGTGCCCTACTTTTTCTGTGTTCCTTTCAATATAAAGTATCGTTTATCCATCTATCATTCTTATTGTTTTGCTCATCTCCTGCACTAGAACATAACTCCACGAGGGCGGGGATCTTTGTTTTGTTCATGGTGTTGAAAACAGTGCCCAGCATAGAGGGCATTCAATAAATAAATGAATGACTGGAAAGGTATCAGGGGTGAGGTGGGGTTTTTTGTTGTTGTTTTTTGTTTTGGTTGGGGGGACAGGGTCTAGCTCTGTCACCCAGGCTGGAGTGCAGTGGCATGATCATGGCTCACTGCAGCCTCAACTTCTCATATTAAGCAATCCTCTTGCCTCAGTCCCGAGTAGCTGGGACTACAAGCCTGCGCCACCACGCCCACCTAATTTTTGTATTTTTTGTAGAGATAGGGTTTCACCATGTTGCCCAGGCTGGTCTCGAACTCCTGGGCTCAAGTGATCCTCCTGCTTGAGCCTCTCAAAGTGCTGGGACTACAGGTGTGAGGCACCATACCCAGCCTTTAGAAAGGTTAACAATTCTAAAGCCACCATACGTGCAGAGTGAAAGGGAACAACTAAGTAAATGGATGGAGGATGGTAGGAGCCAGGCTTCCCACTGTTACAGATGAGCAAGGAGAGGTATTTAGAATGATCCATGTGATGACCATGGATTAGAGTTGGAGATGTTAGCATGAACAGGTTTAGCTAAAACAGTACCATAGATGGTTACCTATAGAAATATAGATTTGTGTACATACAGGTTAGTACACACACAGATTTCCTTGCTCTGTCCGCTAAGACGGCCAAGAAGCAACAGCACCCTACAGCCCTGAGCACATCTTGCACCCTGATCTTGGTTTCTAATACCATTCACCAATGAAAGGAACCAGGGCTCCTTGCAGAAACAGCTGATTCTAGGTCTAAGACAGGAAACAGACAAGATGAGCCTGGAGCATCTTGTGGTGCCAGAAAGTTAAGGAAGTGCTCAAAATCTCACAATGATGGAGTGTGTCACAGGGACATGGGAGATAACTGAAAGGCATCCAGTAGCCAATGCTGGAACAATTTGAGCAACAAAATACAGTAGAATTGGATTACACCCAAAGTATACAGGATCCATGGATCCATACTGATATAAATGAATGAATAAATAAATGGAGAAGAGACAAATCTCCAGGGTAGAAAATTCCAATAAGTGATGAAGATGCCCTGCCCTGAAGGAGGTGGAGCTTAACTCCCCATTCCTTAGGCATGGGCTGCACAGAGTGACCTCCTTCCAAAGAGCACAGTATCAAATGCAGGGGAAAACAGTAGCTCTGCTATAAAGAAACCTGACAGGCACTGCCTCAGCCAGGCATCAAGTTAGTCCTCCTGAGAGCACGTCCCCTTTGTAGGACGTGAGGAAAAGGGCACTCACCTCCTGGCTCTTCCTCCCAGAACACATAACCCCAGTCTAATCATGAGAAAAGTATCAGTCAAATCCCAATGGAAGCCAAGGACAGCGGCTCATGCCTATAATCCCAACACTTTGGAGGCCGAGGTAGGCAGATCACAAAGTCAGGAGTTTAAGACCAGCCTGGCCAACATGGTAAAACCCCATCTCTACTAAAAATACAAAAATTAGCCAGGCATGGTGGTGCTTGCCTGTAATCTAAGCTACTCAGGAGGCTGAGGCAGGAGAATCACCTGAACCTGGGAGGGGGAGGTTGCAGTGAGCTGAGATCATGCCATTGCATTCTAGCCTAGGCGACAAAGCGGGACTCCATTTCAAAAAAAAGAAAACAACTCAATTGAGTGACACTCTACAAAATACCTGACCAAATCAACAACCTAACAATGCATCCTAAAGAACTAGAAAAGGGCAATCCAAATCCAAAATTAGTAGAAAATAAGAAATAAAGATCAAAGCAGAAATTAATGAAATTGAAACAAAATAATACAAAAGATCAACGAAACAAAAAGTTGGTTTTTTGAAAAGATAAAATTGTCAAACCTTTAGCCAGACTAACTAAGAAAAAAAGAGAGAAGACCTAAAGATATAAAATCAGAGATGAAAAAGGCCAGGCGCGGTGGCTCACGCCTGTAATCCCAGCGCTTTGGGAGGCCGAGGTGGGCAGATCACGAGGTCAGGAGATCAAGATCGTCCTGGCTAACACAGTGAAACCCCATCTCTACTAAAAATACAAAAAATTAGCCGGGCGTGGTGGCGGGTGCCTGTAGTCCCAGCTACTCGGGAGGCTGAGGCAGGAGAATGGCATGAACCCGGGAGGTGGAGCTTGCAGTGAGCTGAGATCACGCCACTGCACTCCACCCTGGGCTACAAAGCGAGACTCCGTCTCAAAAAAAAAAAAAAAAAAGAAAAGAAAAGAAAAAGAAGGCATTACAACAGATACTGCAGAAATTCAAAGCACCATTAGTGTGGCTACTATGAGCAACTATATGCCAATAAACTGGAAAATCTGGAGAAATGGATCAATTCATGGACACAGACAACCTACTAAAATTGAATCATGAAGAAATCCAAAATGTGAACAGACCAATAACAAGTAATGAGATCGAAGCCTTAATAAAAAGTCTCCCAGGAAAGAAAAGCCCAGAACCTGGTGGCTTTACTGCTGAATTCTACCAAACATCTAAAAAAAAACTACCAATCCTACTCAATCAAACTATTCCAAAAATAGAGGAAGAGGGAATATTCACAAAATATCTGACAAGTACTCCTTAAAATTGTCAGTGTGACCGGCTGGGTGCAGTGGCTCATGCCTGTAATCCCAGAACTTTGGGAGGCCGAGGCGAGTGGATCACCTGAGGTCAGGAGTTCGAAACCAGCCTGGCCAACATGGAGAAACCCCAACTCTACTAAAAATACAAAATTAGCTGGGCGTGGTGGCGCATGCCTGTAATCCCAGCTACTGGGGAGGCTGACGTAGGAGAATCGCTTGAACCTGGGAGGCGGAGGTTGCAGTGAGCCAAGATTGTGCCACTGCACTCCAGCCTGGGCAACAAGAACAAAACTCCATCTCAAACAAAACAAAACAAAACAACTGTCAACATGATCAAAGACAGGAATGTCACAGCCCAGAGGAGCCTAAAGGGAGACGGGATCCTGGAACAGGAAAACATTGAGGAAAAACTAAAGCAATCTGAGGAAAGTATAGACTTTGGTTAATAATAATGCACCACTACTGGTTAAAGAATTGTGAAATGCACTATCCTCACATAAGATGTTAATAGTAGCAGAAAGTGGGTATGGCACCCTGAACTGGATCTTGGAACAGAAAATGAGCATTAGTAGAAAAGCTGGTGAAATTCAAATAAAATCTAGAGCTTGCTTGGTAAGTACTAATGTGCCAAAGTTGGTGTTTTAATTGTGACAAATGTGCCCCAGTGATGTAAAATGTTAACAATGGGGGAGACTGGGAGACTGGGTGAGAGGTATATGGAAATCCCCTTACTAACTCTGCAACTTTTTTTTTTTTCCCTTTTGAGACAGAGTCTCGCTCTGTCGCCCAGGCTGGAGTGCAGTGGTGCGATCTCGGCTCACTGCAAGCTCCGCCTCCCGGGTTCACGCCATTCTCCTGCCTCAGCCTCCCGAGTAGCTGGGACTACAGGCGCCCGCCACCGCACCTGGCTAATTTTTTGTATTTTTAGTAGAGACGGGGTTTAACCGTGGTCTCGATCTCCTGATCTCGTGATCTGCCTGCCTCGGCCTCCCAAAGCGCTGGGATTACAGGTGTGAGCCACCACGCCTGGCCTCTTTTCTTTTCTTGAGACAGGGTCTTACTCTGTTGCCCAGGCTGGAATGCAGTGACGGGATGACGACTCACTGCAGCCTCAGCCTCCTTGGGCTCAGGTGGTCCTCCCACCAGCATAGCTGGAACTACAGGTGCATATCACCATATCCAGCTAATTTTTGTATAATTTGTAGAGAGGGAATTTCACCATGTTGCCCGAGCTGGTCTTGAACTCCTGGGCTCAAGCGACCCACCCACCTTGGCCTCCTAAAGTGCTAGGATTACAGACATTGTTTTCTTTCTGTTCATGGAAATAACTCATTCAACATACCCTTACAGTGAAAAATCCCCCCAAAATACAGAAATGAATAAAGTAGAAAGTGAAGCCTTCCATTATTCCACCTCCCACTGTCAGGTCAATGTATCACATTCTAGACTTTTTCCTCTGTGTATGTGAGTGTTAATTTCTAATCTTTTTACAAACATGGGATGACACCCTACATTTTGGCAACTCACTCAGTTTCGATATAGCATAGACCTCCTTCCATATCAGTCCACATCACATCACTCTCCAGGGTTCTGAATGCTTGTGAGCTATTCCACAACATGGGTGAAACAACTGATTTACCATTTCCTTAAGATGAACATTAAGCGATTTCTAATTTTCCCCCACAAACAATGCTTTAATGAACACCCTCCATCTCACACCTGTATGAACACGCAGGAGAATTTCTTTGGGATAAATCCCTGACTATGGAATTGTGGCTATGATGGCACATTTAAAACACTGTCATCTTACTGCTAAATTATCCTTTCATTATTCTGGGAATGAACTGCCTGCATTCACCCCTCCCAGTGGCACAGCAGGGCACATATCCCCTACCCCTGCCTTCCTCCTTTGGTGATGTCTTTCCTTGAACAGGGCGGGGGTGAGAGGCCACTGTGACAACACAGACGTGGGGGTCGGCAGAGGGACAAGCCATGTGGCTGCCCAATTAGGACCTCAGGGAACAGTATTGGATGTCCCCTTATGAGACTCAGCGTGTGTTTAACTGGCAGGAGTCTTGGTGATTTCTAATCGCCAGTGCCAAGGACAATACCCAACAGAAGTGGGGTGGCTGGCAGGGAGAAGCTAAACGTCGTTTTAAAAATCATGATAACACAATTTTAGATTTGGAAAAAGCCAAGAAAAGAATCCTATCATACAAAGCATCCATTTGCCATTCACTTATTCATTCAACAAATATTTCAGTTCCTTTTAGTTCAGGTTATTCTCAGTATTAGGATTGTCACACTGAACAAAAGAAAGTCTCACTGAACTTCCATCCCACTTGGGGAGACAAATTATAAACACAGTATCAGTGAGTGGCAAGTACTGTATTAGAGTAACAGCCAGCTGCTGTGACAAACCCAAAATTTCAGATGACCACGGAAGGCTTCAAGATCCCAGACGAGGCCAAATGTCCCCACCGCCTAGCTCCAGGGCATCCTCTTCCCAGAACTCAGAACTAATCTCTGTGGCTGGGCAAAGTGGCTCATGCCTGTAACCCCAGCAAGTGATTCTCCTGCCTCAGCCTCCTGAGTAGATGGGATTACAGGCAAGAGCCACCATCCCAGCTAATTTTTGTCTTTTTAGTAGAGACAGGGTAACTCACATGGTCTCAGAGGAACCTGATGAGATGTCGAAGATTGATAGTCACCCTGGACTGGGTGTGGTGGCTCACGCCTGTAATCCTAGCACTTTGGTAGGCTGAGGTGGGTGGATCACTTGAGGTCAAGAGTTTGAGACCAGCCTGGCCAAAATGGTGAAACCCCGTCTCTACTAAAAATACAAAAATTAGCCACGCGTGGTGACATATGCCTATAATCCCAGCTACTCAGGAGGCTGAGGCAGGAGAATCGCTTGAACCTGGGAGGCAGAGGTTGCAGTGAGCCAAGATGGTGTCATTGCACTCCAGCCTGGGCAACAATAGCAAAACTCCATCTAAAAAACAAACAAGCAAACAAAAAAACCAACCAAACAAAAAAAAGTAAGTGTTAGAGGATTGGGGGTAACAATTTTACCTCAATCTAGATCTGAATCAATTAATGAAAAGTTACTGCTAACCTACTATGTGCTACTGTATCCCTCTTAGTGACAATAGACTTTAGCTTCAAATTCATGGTTTCCCCATCTTGCTGGGGTCAGGGGTGGGCTCCATCCCCTTCGGGGAAGAGAGTACTAACTGTCTACCTGGTATCCATCAGCCCCTTCTCCTTTCTAGGAGCCCTGCTTTACCCCAGGGGGCAGTGTGCTTTTGCAGGGAGGCCAGTGATCAGAAGGGGAAGTTGCTGGACAGGGCATCTGGGAAAGCTCTTTATACCATGAGGATTCCATTGAGGCTGCTGTGAGCTATGATTGCGCCACTGCACTCCGGCCTGGGCAAAAGAGCTAGACCTTGTCTCTAAAAAAGAGACAAGAACTCCCTTTGCCACCCCTCCTCTTTCTCCTTCCTGCTTGCACGGTGGATATGGGTGGGACTCCAGCAGGGCCAAGTTTAGCCCTTAGTGTGCCTTTGTTCAAATTTGGAAGAGACTTCTGCTGTGAGCAGGCAAATTAGGAAAAAGACAGCTCCGATGGGCTGAAACATTCCCTGTGAGTACAGGGCCTGGAGTGGCAAGTAGACCACAGGCTGGATTTCAGTCCCTACTCAATCCCTTTGGCAGGGAGCTTGGAGCAGGACACAAACTGCACAACCATCCCTGGCAGCCCTGATCTTGGACTATGAGGCAACTTTGTGGATGGAAAGCACTTGCTGAAGGCAGAGCTAAAAGACAAAAGCCTGGACCCTTGAAAAGGATGGAGCCTCACACCAGCCCTGGCTGACCTCCCTGGGTTTTCTTTTGTTCTTTTTAAAAAAATTTAATAATCTATTTTGAAATAATTTCAAAATTTCAGAAAACTTGCAAGAACCCCTGACAAACACCTCCCCTTTACACAGATTGGCCAATTGTTTTTTCAAAAAAATCTTTTTTATTTTTTTTTTATTTTTGTAGAGATGGGCTCTATGTTGCCGAGGCTGGTCTCGAACTCCTGGGCTCAGCCGATCTTTCCAAAGAGCTGGATTACAGGTGTGAGCCACCGCGCCTGGCATGGCCAGTTGTGAACGTTCTGTCACATCTGTTCAGCTCCCCGCCCCCATCTCTGTCTCCTCTCTCTCCCTTCTTCTCCCTCTTTCTCTATGGGTAAATCCTTGAGAGTAGTTGGCAAACATATGTCATCACCCCTAAATCCTCCAGCATGTGTATCCCCCAAACAGGGACAATCTAATGACCCCCGAAATCACCTCTGACTCCTTAAGAAAAACATAAAACTTCCACCCAACTCACTCATTTCGGTTTTCTGTTTAAGTAGCCAAACCAATTCTAACTGCTCCCCTCTTTACCCTTAAAATCCATGGGGCTGTGGAAAAGACCACACCATGACCAGTGCCCTGCACCATGCTCTGCTCCAATCCCTCACACCTGTTAGCACCTTTTGGCCTCACAGCTTTTCGTGTTTGCAATTGAGCTGAAAGTCAGGTAACATAAAATACATCATTTTAAAGTGTGTAATTCAAGGCCAGGTGTGGTGGCTCATGCCTGTAATCCCAGCACTTTGGGAGGCTGAGGCGGGCAGATCACTTGAGGTCAGGAGTTCGAGACCAGCCTGACCAACAAGGTGAAACCCCATCTCTACTAAAAATACAAAAATTGGCCAGGTGTGGTGGCGGGCGTCTGTAATCCCAGCTACTTGGGAGGCTGAGGCAGGAGAATCGCTTGAAGCAGGAGGCGGAGTTTGCAGTGAGCCAAGATTGCGCCGCTGCACTCCAGCCTGAGCGACAGAGCGACACCCTGTCATTCGTTCATTCAAAATTAAATAAATAAATAAAGTGTGTAATTCAGTGGCATTTAGTACAGTTACAATGTTGTGTAACCACCGCCTCTATCAAGTTCCAAAGCATCAGCCCACAAGGAAGCCCCCCACCCATGGCACAGCTGCTCCCTGCTCCACCCGCCCTGGTCACCCCGATCACTTTCTGTCTCCACGGATCCCCTGCTGCCTGGCCCTGCATAGAAACAGAACTGCACATCCTGCACCGCCTCAGAACAGTTGCAGGAGCAGCTCTTTCTTCCCAGGTGCTCCTCCCTCCTCTTACTATAGCATCCATTTAGGGTTCACTTCGCCAGCACCCCTTTGGGGCTCTCCCTAGAGCCTCACCTGAGGTCAAGTTCTCCCAGCACATATCCTCAGAAACCCGAGGTTTCCATTATCAGCATTTGTCACTATTACAATTATTCTTCAGGGCTGTTTCATTCATGCTTTCTGTAGTTAGATTATAAAGTCTATTAGGGGCAGGGTGTGGTGGCTCATATCTGTAATCCCAGTGCTTTGGGAGGCAGAGGCAGGAGATTTGCTCAAGGTCAGGAGTTTGAGACCAGCCTGGGCAACATAGGGAAAGCCCGTCTCTACAAATAATAATAATGGCCAGGCACGGTGGCTCATGCCTGTAATTCCAGCACTTTGGGAGGCTGAGACGGGCAGATCACTTGAGGTCAGGAGTTCGAGACCAAGCCTGGCCAACATGGCGAAACCCCATCTCTACTAAAAATACAAAAATTAGTTGAGTGTGGTGGTGCATGTCTGTAGTCCCAACTACTCGGGAGGCTGCGGCCAGAGGTTTGCTTGAACCCAGGAGGCAGAGGTTGCAGTGAGCCAAGATTGTGCTACTGCACTCCAGCCTGGGTGACAGAATGAGACTCTGTCTCAAAAAAATAAACAAAATACATAAGTAATTAAAAAAATAAAATAATAATAATAATACTTCTTAACAAGGGCATGTCTGTCTTGTTTATCACTATATACCAGGGCCTAGGCCAAAATCCGGCATGGAACAGGCCAAAATATTAACAGTAATATTTTGTTAATTGAATAACTAGATGATTGCTCCCACGGAGGAGTCATCTTGTATCGCCCCAGCTGTGACATAGGCAGCCCCTACACTCGGGGGCCTGCCCGCCTCTCAAATGCCCATATATGGACATGATGCAGGCCACCTGGCCATGGTTTGTGAGGTCCCAGCCCCTTTGCCCTCACAATGACCAACGGCCCCCTGGCATCTATAACAGGCCGCAGAGCTGGCCCCTGACTCACAGCCCACAGAGTTCCACCTGCTCACAGGTTGGCTGGCTCAGCCAAGGTGGTGCCCTGCTCTGAGCATTCAGGCCAAGCCCATCCTGCACCATGGCCAGGTACAGATGCTGTCGCAGCCAGAGCCGGAGCAGATATTACCGCCAGAGACAAAGAAGTCGCAGACGAAGGAGGCGGAGCTGCCAGACACGGAGGAGAGCCATGAGTAAGTGGGCCCAGCTGAGGGTGGGCTGGGGCTGAGGCTGGGAGCTCTCAGGGCCCAGCCTTCCTCTCACCACTTTTCTTGGTCTCACCAGGGTGCTGCCGCCCCAGGTACAGACCGCGATGTAGAAGACACTAATTGCACAAAATAGCACATCCACCAAACTCCTGCCTGAGAATGTTACCAGACTTCAAGATCCTCTTGCCACATCTTGAAAATGCCACCATCCAATAAAAATCAGGAGCCTGCTAAGGAACAATGCCGCCTGTCAATAAATGTTGAAAAGTCATCCCACTCTTCTCTCCTTGTTCTTGAGAGGGGAGGCTCAGTGGGGAGGAGGGCTCGGGGATGAGCAGAGGGGGAGAGGGCCTGGGCATGCAACGGGAGAAAGATGTCGGTGGGGGGGACATGAAAGACAGTTGTCACGCTGGGTTTTGTTCCAAACTTTTTTTTTTTTTTGAGACAGAGTCTCGCTCCGTCGCCCAGGATGGAGTGCAGTGGCGCGATCTTGGCTCACTGCAAGCTCCGCCTCCCAGGTTCACTCCATTCTCCTGCCTCAGCCTCCCGAGTAGCTGGGACTACAGGTGCCCGCCACCACACCTGGCTAATTTTTTGTATTTTTAGTAGAGACGGGGTTTCACTGTGTTAGCCAGGATGGTCTCGATCTCCTGACCTCATGATTCACCTGCCTCGGCCTCCCAAAGTGCTGGGATTACAGGCATGAGCCACTGCACCTGGCCATTGTTCCAAACTCTTAGTAGTACCAACAAGTCACAACCCAAACCTGCCTCCCTAAGATACAACAAGAACCAGTCTCCCCAAGTCACAACCAGAACCTGCCTCCTAAACCCTCTTAACAGATCCCTACCCAGTGGGGTGCTCTATCCAGGTCTCTCGAGTTTGAGGACCCACTGTGTACATTTCCCCACTCTGCTTGGTGACCTCATCTTGGCAGCTTGAAATGGACCATGGAGTATTTACAGAAATCAGCAAATGCTACAAATCTGGGTTCCCTCCATCCCAGGAACCCCAAAGCCAGTTAAACATTTACCAGCTGGAGCTCAAGATTGAACCAGCTCATCCCATCTGACCTGTCCCCTAGCTGCCCACCCGGGTTTATTTCAGCCCAAAGCTGAAATTTCCACTCTTCAACAAAGGAACTCTTAGGTTATAACTTAAATAGATTAAGCCAGTCACCATCAGGAAAATTAAATTCAAAACTGCTTATTCCTCACTCTGTGCCAGAAGTTTTCATCCCCATTTGGGTACAGAGATAACTTGTCCAGGTAGCAGTGGAGCTGAACTTTTCACATTTAATCAAGCACCATTAAGGAAGTCTCTTATCTGCCATCCTGTAAACTCAAACATTTTTGTTAACCACCGGTTTCTTTACTCTTTGGGGCACGGTTTCACAACGTTATGTCCACCGAAGAAACAAAGGTTAACTTGTCCATCTGGTCGGATCTAAGTCCACACTCAAGCTGCTTGATATACCACCTATACTAAAATTTCTAAGGCAAGAGTTTAAGACCCCAGTGAGATCTGGGGAAGGACATAAGAAGTCCTGCTGGGCACTGGTCTCCTTGGCTCACCCACAGCCTAAGAAAGCCCACCTCTCCGATTCCTTGACACAGGCCCTGGGTCACAGTCATTTCCTGATGGTAGAGCAAACCCAGAGCATTTTGGCAGAGACCAGAGGCTCTGAGACCCAGTTCCCTGAAGTGACAGGGCCCACCAAGCACCTCAGAAATGTCACAGTATGACTTCTGTTTATGGGACACCAACTGTGTGCCTGGTATTCTGCATACATCACTTCCTTTTTTTTTTTTTTTTGAGACAAGGTCTCTTTCTGTCACCCAGGCTAGAATAGAGTGCAGTAGCGCAAACACAGTTCACTGCAGCCTCAATCTCCTGAGCTCAAGTGATTTCCTTACCTCAGCCTCCTGGACTCCTGAGTAGCTGGGACCACAGACATGCACCACCTTGCCTGGCTAATTTTTCTAATTTTTTTGTAGAGACGAGGTCTCACTATGTTGCCCAGGCTGGTCTCAAACTCCTGGGCTCAAGCGATTCTCCTGCCTTGGCCTCCCAGAGTGCTGTGATTACAGGCATGAGCCACTGCACTCACCTACGGTGGGTATCAACAACCATGTTCTTTCAAGTGAGCACATGAGAGTTCAGTGCTAGCCCTGGCACTACCATGACCCTGATCACTTTAGCAATGACTCCCCATAACACACTCGGATCATGATAGCAGCTTGGCTGGACAGGCAGACCCCTGGGTGTGCCTTTTTTTTTTTTTTTTTTGAGATAAGGGTCTTGCTCTGTCACCCAGGCTGGAGTGCAGTGGTGTGAACGTGGCTCACTGCAGCCTTGATCTGTGCTCAAGCAATCCTCCCATCTCAGCCTCCTGAGTAGCAGGAACTACAGGCACATGCCACCATGGACCCAGGCTATTTTTTTTATTTTTTGTAGACAGAGCCCTCACTATGTTGCCCAGGGTGGTCTCAAACTCCTGGGCTCAAGTGATCTTCCCACCTCGGCCTCTCAAAGTGCTGGGATTACAGGTGTGAGCCACCACACCCAGCCCCTTCCTATGTTTATTTTATTTTATTTTATTTTTTTAGACGAAGTTTCGCCCTTGTTGCCGAGGCTGGAGCGCAATGGTGCCATCTCAGCTCACTGCAACCTCTGCCTCCTGGGTTCAAGCAATTCTCCTGCCTCAGCCTCCTGAGTAGCTGGGATTACAGGCGCCCGCCACCACTCCCGGCTAATTTTTGTATATTTAGTAGAGACAGGGTTTCACCATGTTGACTAGGCTGGTCTTGAACTTCTGACCTCAGGTGATCCACCCGCCTCAGCCTCCCAAAGTGCTACGATTACAGGTGTGAGCCACCGAGCCCTGCCCCGCCCCTTCTTATTTTCATCTGCAAGCTTTGGCCATGGAGATTTGACTTAGCGGGACGTAGGGTAAGGCCTCAGCATTCATATTTTTAACACGCGCCCTCGAAGAGCTTGAGGGCCATCATAAAGGACCTTCTTATCCCTAAAGAGAGGCAGCATAGAAACACCAAGGGCATGGCAATATCACCCATCACCTCCTGTAAGGATCTGAAGATTAAGCCTCCTGAATTTGTTTCTTATTGCCACTGTGACAGATCATCACAAATTTTGTAGCTTTAAACAACATAAATGCATTATCTTACAGGTCTGCAGGTCAGAATTCTGAAAGAAGTCTCATGGGGCTAAAATCAAGGGGTCAGCAGGGCTGTGTTCCTCCTGGATGCACGAGGGGAGGATAACCCATTTCCTTGTCCATCCCAGCTTCTAGAGGCCGCCTGCATCCCTTGGCTTATAGCCTCTCCCTCCATCTTCAAAGCCAGCAGTGTGGTGTCTCCCAGTTTCTCTTCCTGTGACCCTCCTGCCTCCCTATTCTCTCTTCTAAGGACCCTCGTGACTGCACTGGGCCAACCCAGATCATCTGGGATGATCTCTGCATCTTCAAGTCCTTAAATTTGTGTATCTGCCACATTCCCACATTCTCCCTGCCCTCCATGAAAGGGAAACTGGTTTTGCAGTTTCTGTGATTCTGATCCCGGACTTTAATGGGATCATCAAAGTTCAATGAGAAGCCCCGGCAAGGCCGAGCGGGAGGGGAGAAGATGAATATTTTGGAGGCGGAGAGGGGAGCATTCCCTGGGCTAGGGAGGAGGTGGAGAGCCAAGGGTATGACTAAAACCAGGCTGTCTCCGTCTGAATGCTGGCCCGGCCTGGCCTTCTCAGCAGAGTGGCCTTGAGCAACTCAACTTCTTCATGCCTGTTTGCCCCACAGAAAATGAGGATTGTAAGAGTGAGGAATGCAAGGGTGGTGGCTCACACCTGTAATCCCAGCACTCTGGGAGGCCGACATGGGAGGCTCACTGAGGCCAGGAGTGTGAGACCAGCCAGGGCAACATGGTGAAACCCTATCTATCTCCACAAAAAATACAAAAAATTAGCTGGGAGTGGCAGCACACGCCTATAGTCCCAGCTACTCGGGAGGCTGAGGTGGCAGGATCATCTGAGCTGGAGGGGTAGAGGCTGCTATGATCCATGATTGCACAACTGCACTCCAGCCTGGGCGACAGACAGTGCCTCAAAACAAAAAGAGGAGAGAGAGAGAGAGAGAGAGAGAGAGAGAGAATGAGTGAATGTATGGGAAATAAATGAATCAATGCTTGGCACATAGGAGCTATTAGGGAACTGTTTGCTGCTGTTGCCATCTTAACAGTAAGCTGTGTGCACAGAGATCCAAGCACGGAAGTCCCTTCCACATGGTGGCTGTGGCACAGCAGTGAGTTGGCAAGGAAGCTTCCAAATGACAATGTGCGCACCCACCGGCTTGGGGAGATGAGGGCTTGGATTAGGCAATAAAACACCTGCCATCTGTATGGTTCACCTACTGCAAGAGACAGAGGACATGCTTTACAGGCAAGGCAAGGGGGTCTCTCGCCCTTCCAGCCCTGCAGCTTGGGTGCCAGGGCCCTGCTAGTTGTGACCCCTGGCCCTGTGCTGCCCTCACAGAGGAGGCTGGGCAGGGTGGGGACTGGGCGGGGCCGCAGAGTCATAGTGGGCGCCCCCTTTATATACAAGCTCCCGGGGAGCCTTGCAGACCAGACCAACAGTAACACCAAGGGCAGGTGGGCAGGCCTCCGCCCTCCTCCCCTACTCCAGGGCCCACTGCAGCCTCAGCCCAGGAGCCACCAGATCTCCCAACACCATGGTCCGATACCGCGTGAGGAGCCTGAGCGAACGCTCGCACGAGGTGTACAGGCAGCAGTTGCATGGGCAAGAGCAAGGACACCACGGCCAAGAGGAGCAAGGGCTGAGCCCGGAGCACGTCGAGGTCTACGAGAGGACCCATGGCCAGTCTCACTATAGGCGCAGACACTGCTCTCGAAGGAGGCTGCACCGGATCCACAGGCGGCAGCATCGCTCCTGCAGAAGGCGCAAAAGACGCTCCTGCAGGCACCGGAGGAGGCATCGCAGAGGTCTGCCTGCGCCCCCGCCTTGCCCTGCATGTCCCTGACCACCCCAGGCACAGGAGGGAGGCGGGGACCCACCCCACCTGACAAAAGCTCCAGCCCCCTAACCCCCGTCCCCACCCAGAGTCCCTAGGTGACCCCCTCAACCAGAACTTTCTTTCCCAAAAGGCTGCAGAACCAGGAAGAGAACATGCAGAAGGCACTAAGCTTCCTGGGCCCCTCACCCCCAGCTGGAAATTAAGAAAAAGTCGCCCGAAACACCAAGTGAGGCCATAGCAATTCCCCTACATCAAATGCTCAAGCCCCCAGCTGGAAGTTAAGAGAAAGTCACCTGCCCAAGAAACACCGAGTGAGGCCATAGCAACTCCCCTACATCAAATGCTCAAGCCCTGAGTTGCCGCCGAGAAGCCCACAAGATCTGAGTGAAACGAGCAAAAGTCACCTGCCCAATAAAGCTTGACAAGACACTCGCTGGCCTGTCGGGTTTTCTTTGCACGAATCACACAAACCTGGCTTCCCTCACGCCCAGGGCGGGTAGAGGCTTCTCTGCAGCCCTTCCTCAGAGGCAGGTAGGGCGGGAGTTCTGATGCTCTCAGGACACCTAGGAGAGGGTTACTGTGCCTGGGAGGCCACCCTATGATGCTGTCCTGTCTATTGTGCATCCTTCCATGGTGTCAAAGGCCACATTAGTCTGTCTGGATCCCCCTCCAGTGAAGAACCTGATCCTACCTCATGAAAGGAGAAAATGGTTAGAACAGATCGAGTCCTAATTAAGTCACAAAGATGCCAAGGCACCTTGTGGCCATATTTAAATGCCTACTGTGTGCCACAGTTTAAAAACACAACCCATCTTGAGTGTTGGGTGGTTGGAAGTGTAAACGGTGGGGGCAGAGGTGGGGGCACTGCTCAGTGCAGGCCACAGCTTCGAGGTGGGAAACAGGTCTGGCATGCTCCAGCAACAACTTGGTCAGCACAGAGACGGCAAAAGGCAAGGAGTAGATGAATGCAGAGTAATGGGCTGCGCTGTGTGAGGCCTGTGCTGGCTGAAGCCTCTGGAGACCCAGGCAGAATCCGATCCTTGTTGCCTGCTCTCCTCGGCCTGTGGCTGCATCACTCCTCCCTCCTGTCTGAAATCAAGGACCCTTGTGATTGCACTGAGGGACTTTCTGGACAACCCAAGATAACCTCCCCATCTCACAATCCTTACATCATAGATTCCAGGATCAGGAAGGGGGCACTTCGGAGAGTGCCAACCTTAGCCAACCATAGCCACTGAGGACTGGGGGGATAAGACTGGCAAGATCCAATCCATATGTTGGCAAATGGATTTCTGGTGCTCAGAAATGACCAATCTTTAGGAAGCAACGAGTTTCTGAAAACAAAACAACAACAACAAAAAAAAAAACAGACGGAGTTTCGCTCTTGTCACTGGGGCGGTGTGCAGTGGTGCGATCTTGGCTCACTGCAACCTGCACCTCCTATGTTCAACTGATTCTCCTCCCTAACCTCCTGAGTAGCTGAAGGAGCTAAACAAATTTTTTTTTTTTTTTTTTTTTGGTATTTTTAGTAAAGACATGGTTTCACGATGTTGGCCAGGCTGGTCTCGAACTTCTGACCTCAGATGATCTGCCTGCCTCGCCTCCCAAAGTGCTGGGATTACAGGTGTGAGCCACCACGCCTGGCCTCAAAAAATTTATATTTAAAAAATACCATTGCAGTGTACAAACGACTCATTTCAATGTATAAAAGACAAAGTCCTAAACCCCCTCCCCCCATGCTGAAATTGTGCTGCACAGATGTGGAACCTTGCCAAGGGGCAGCTCCATGATGTCTTCTCTGTGGCCCCAAAACACTTAAGAGGATGTCACTCCACCCTGACCTGGGTAGAGTGGCCTCTGGTTGGTGGTGTCCATCTTGCATCAGTCAGGGACAAAGCAACCCCTTGTTCATCCCAGCTTGGTTTCTGGCCTGTTCCCATGCCTTGGACAAACAAACAATGCTTAGGAGCCATTGCCTTTCAAGAAGATTTCACACTTTCAGGCCCCCGAAGGAAGACTTCCAAGGGTTCCTGAGTTTTATGAGCTTACAGAGTGCATACATTTTAAGCACACAGCTTGATGATTTATTTCCAAGGGTTAACAGTCAAGAAACTCAACAGAGACAGCTCTCTCTGGCTGGCGATTTCTGGGATGTGGGGAGGAGTCTGTGTGTGCCCCTCCTGCTTCTAGAAATTCAATCCCTAACTCCCATCCCAGCTACAAGGGAAACTTTCTCCAGGGCAAATGAGGACTATGGTGTGGCATCCGAACTGGCCCCAGTGCTCAGCCTTGCAGACCTCCCCTGTGGGGGCTGGGAGCTGCCAGTGGCTGAGGTGTGAGTTAACTGTTGGCTCAGACCCAGGTTCCCAAGTGGGGATGGGCTCCCTTTGTGATGTCAGCATCCTGCCCCCACTCGCAGCCCCTTCACCCACCGCCTCACCTCCTTGCCCAGAGAGACAGGCAACGTAGACCATGGGTTCCCGCTGTGCCAAGCTCAACACAGGCCAGAGCCCAGGCCACAGCCCAGGCCACAGCACGGGCCATGGCCGGGGCCACGAATCCTCCATGAAAAAGCTCATGGCCTGTGTGAGTCAGGATAACTTCTCCTTGTCATCAGCGGGCGAGGAAGAGGAGGAAGAGGAGGAGGAGGGGGAAGAGGAGGAGAAAGAAGAGCTGCCGGTGCAGGGCAAGCTGCTGCTGCTGGAGCCTGAGCGGCAGGAGGAGGGCCACAAGGACAACGCCGAGGCCCAGCAGAGCCCCGAGCCCAAGCGGACACCCTCCTGACCCGCAACGAAGGCCCAGGAAGGGACGCCCACTGCTGCTCCGGCGACAGTGTTCAGAGAAGAGTCAATAAAAAGTCTCTGAGGAATCCTCCCTGTCTCTGGTTCCCCTCACCCTATCCCTTCTGGCCCCACGTGTGCACGTGTGTGAAGGCGTGTGTGTGTGGGTGCACACGGAGGGAGGCCAGCTGCCAAGGAAGGCTGAACAGCAAGGCTCGGTGACCTTGTTCCCAAGCCCCAGCCAGAGGTTGAGGGGCTTTGAGAGGGGGAAATCATCTCCGCCAAATCTTCCCATCTCTGGGACGGGAAATTCCTCTGCGAGTCCCAGCACACCCCAGCCGAGAGCATCCAGCGGGACAGGGTAACTGCCTTCATCGCAGTCCCCACTGTGCTGCCCCAACTATGGACCGTCTTTTAAGAACACTGGCTTGGGAGTTCAGCAGACCTGGGTTCAAACTTCTTTTCTGGTAGCTGCGTGCCCTTGAGCAAGTCACTGCGTGTCTTTGAGCCTCAGGCTGCCCCTCCCAGCGTTTAGGGGAAGCTAATAGCTACTCATGGGTCAGATGATCAGAAAAATTAGCTCAAGTGATGGGTGGGACCAGGCCTGGCACCAGTCAGTGCTGAGCTAGGACAGGGATTGTTGCTGGGGTCATGGTGGTTCCTCTAGGTCCTTCTTGGCTGCAGACTCTTCCACTGCCAGTCTATGCTGCTGGCAACCACCTGCACCCCTACCTGGAAGCTCACTCCCGCCTTCTTCAAGGGGTCTAGCCCTGGGGGCGGAGACAGTACCCCATGAGAGCAGTAGGCAAAAGAGGCCCAGGGAGGCGACTGGGTACAGACACAGAACCTAGGCCCCATCCTCTCGCTCTGGGCTCGGTGCGCCTTCCGCAAGGAGCTTCGGAGTGCGTCTGCTGCCCACCCTACTGCCGGCTCCTCCCTCACTCCTTCCATCCCAAAGAAGCCACAAATGCGATCTCCACCACATTCCCTCACAGTCCTCCAAGCACCAGCCACCTTGAGCTAATTCTCTGGATCAGCTGATCCCCTGTTCCCGAGGGGATCCTAGTTGGTACCGTGGCAGTGGGGCTGGGGGATGGGGAATTTTCAGGGAAGCCTCGGTTTCTCTGGGGGCCATGTTTGACGTAGGAAGGAGCCTTGGGCTACCCTGTGGGGAGGCCACGGCTCTGCCCGGCAATGGCCTAGGGCAAGGGAGGCCCTGTTATCCCACTACTCCCAGACCCACAAATGACTCGGTTGGTCAGCCTTGTCCTTTTGTCCAAGGCCCAAAGGTCCACCCACCCATTCATTTGCCCAGGAAACATGAGCTGAGTCCCTGTTGTATGCCCCACATGGTGCTAGTCACAAGGAGCCCTGGTAATAAAACATAGTCCCCGCTGTCCTGGGAGAGAGTTCACTGTCATGGGTGCGGGGGCAGGTACGTGACGTGCCGCACACCCGCTGCTGGGAGAGGTCAGCCCTCCCTGGGAGGACTGGAAAGGTGTGTGGAGGAGAGGCTGGTTGATGGCAGGCCACGATCTCCATTCCAGGCTATGTGCTTCAGGATGGGAAAGTGGGGCGTTGGCAGTGGAGGAGCAGGAGACCATGGGAAGGGGGGTCCAGAGACCCAGAGAGTCTTCACGGCTTGGTCTAGCATATACCCCACAACCGGACCTGCTGAGGCCACCCAAGGCAGGGCCCTGAGAACCCTGCTGCAGCTGTCCCTCTAATCGCCGAGAATCCCTTAGTGACCTCGAGAGGAGGCCAGACCTGAATATGACTGGCTCTGCCGTGATCGGCTAAGGGACTCTGGGCTGGTTACTCCACCTCTCTGAGCCTGTTCCCTCTTTGCTAAATGTAATCATAGTATCTGCCTCATGGGGTGCATAAGTTTCTTGGGGCTGCCATACCAAATGACCACAAACTTGGTGGCTAAAACAACAGAAATGTATTCTCTGCAGTTCTGGAGGCCAGAAGTCTGAAGTCGAGGTGCCAGCTGGGCTGATCTCCCTCCGGAGGCCTTAGCAGAGAATCCTTCCTTGCCTCCTCTAGCTCATACAACTCCAAGCTCGTCTCCATCTTCCCATGGTTTCCTCTTCTCCCTGGGTGACACCTCTTCTGTCTCTCATAAAGACATTTATCATTGGATTTAGGGCCCACCAGCTAAGCCAACATGCTTATCTCAAGATTCTTAGCTTAATTACATCTGCAAAGACCCCTTTTCCAAATATCACATTGACAAGTTCTAGGAGTTATAACGTGGACATAGATTTTTGGGGGTTGCCATTCATTCCACTACAAAGGGTCACTGTGAGGTTTGAGGGCAAAGCTGCCTGGAGAGGGTAAGGTCCAGAGCCCAGCCACATAGAAAGCATTCAGTAAATGAAAGCAGTTCTCACTGTAAGAAATTTGAAATGTTTATTAAGAAATAAACTGCAAAGGCTGGGCATATTGGCTCATGCCTGTAGTGCCAGCACTTTGGGAGGCCAAAGCAGGAGAAAACCTTGAGCTCATGAGTTCAAGACCCACCTAAGCAACAAAGTGAGACCCCATCTCTACAAAAATAAAAATAAAAAAATTAGACAGGTGTGGTGGCATGCACCTGTAGTCACAGCTACTTGGGAGGCTGAGGTGGGAGGATCGTTTGAGTCCAGGAGGTGGAGGCTGCAGTGAGCTGTAATTGTGCCACTGCACTCTAGCCTAGGCAACACAGCAAAACCCTTTCTCAAAAGAAAAAGAAAAAGAAAAAAACTTCCATAAAAGCAGACGATTGCAAATCCTCATAGCAAGAGGCAAAGTTGCACATGGGCAGAGTGAGAGGTTGGCTTGGGCCGGAGGCCTGCTCGGGGAGGACAGACAGAGACAGAGGAAGTTCCATGCAGAGAGAAGTGGGAAAGTACAGGGCCAAGGGCTAAGCCCAAAGGCATCGGCCAAGACAGGGAGGGGTGGAGGGCTCTGGATGGAAACCCAAAGACTAGAAGATCAAATGGCTTAGTGTTCAAACATAAGTCTGGGCTTTCTTCTAGAGGTACTGGGGTATCTGAGCAGGGACGGCGTGATTCAAACGGTATGGCGAGGCTTCGTTAGCAGGAAGGGGAGGAGAATCAAGAGGCAGAAACTGAAGGAGAGAGACGGGTTTCCAAGGGCCTCCTGTAGCTTGACAGGCATCTCAGGCTCACGAGAATACCAGGAAAGAAGGAAAGACACCCCTTTGTCACATACGGCAATTAAGCCTCAGAAACCACAATGGCCTACCCAAGACTGGACATCAGTGCAAACTGGGATTTGAACCCGGCTCTGAATTTCCCGACTTTAGATCTGGCTGGGGAGGTAGGCTTGCCAAGCGAGCCCCAGGACCACCCCTTGGTCCATGTGGTTACTCATCTTTCATCCATCCACCAAGCCATCTGACCAATTCATCACCTCCCCATCATCTGGGCACTAATCATCTGTCTTAACAACTGCCCACCATTCAGCTGCCATCACCAGGGTCAGGGCTGCACTCCTGGTACCCAAGTTGCCCAGGGCGTTAAGAAAAACACCTGATGATGCTGGTCAGTGATGTTTACTGAGCTCTTATTGTGGGCTGGGCCTGAGCTAACTGCTTGATATAAATTCTCTCCTTTATTAATAATTCTTCTAATGTCCGAATGAGGTCAGTACAATTATTATCCCTATTCTGCAGAGATGGGGAAACTGGGACTTGTTCAGGCGAATTCCCAGGGCTGACCATGTGGAAAAAGCAGATCTGGGATGCAGACTCAGCTTAATCTGACCCAAGGGCTCCTACCCTGAACCAGTAGCTGGGACTATCCCCAGGGTACCCCTGAGAGCTGCCCCAGCCTGGGGGTGAGGGTAAGGGGTAGGGGGCTTTGTCTTGGCTGAGCCACATCTCTCACACCCCTGTGGCCTGGGCCATCATAATCAGCCCCAACTATATAACCAGGTGGGCTGCCAGGGCCTCTGTAAAGCTAGGCCTGCTGGGAGAGGATGAGGAGGAGGCCCTGCCCCTCCAAACGTGGCCTCCTATGGACACCCAGACTCACAGCCTTCCTATCACCCACACTCAGCTCCATAGCAACTCTCAGCCCCAAAGCCGCACCTGCACCCGCCATTGCCAAACCTTCAGCCAGAGTTGCAGACAGAGCCATCGTGGCAGCCGGAGCCAGAGCTCCAGCCAGAGCCCGGCCAGCCACCGCAACCCAACTGGAGCCCACAGCTCATCCGGCCACCAGAGCCAGAGTCCCAACACTAGTCCACCACCAAAGCGCCACAAAAAGACTATGAACTCCCACCACTCTCCCATGCGGCCCACCATCCTGCACTGCCGCTGCCCCAAGAACAGAAAGAACTTGGAAGGCAAGCTGAAAAAGAAAAAAATGGCCAAGAGGATCCAGCAGGTGTACAAAACCAAGACGCGGAGCTCAGGTACCCTTTAAGGAGGTGGGGAAGGGCCACCGAGCCCACAGATGATGGAGAGCAGACCTTGGGGGCAGTGAGAGGAAGGCTGCAGCCAGGTCACAAAGGAACCACAGGCAAGAAGGAAGAGGGAGAAGAGAAACAATGGCAGTTGGCTAGCTGAATGTATGATACATTGACGGAAAGTCTCTTTGAAATTGGATGGGTTGATTAGGAGGATGGAAAGATGGACAGATAGCAGATAAGCTAGATGAAAGCATGAATGGAGTTGAGAGGTTGGGTGGATGACTGGGTGGGTAAACAATAAATAGGTTATAGAAAGGATAGTTGGAAGAATGCATTGGCTGAATGATAGGAAGTTTGGATACGATTAGCTGGATGGATGGATAAATGGATGAATGCACTGGCTGGCTAGTTATTTGGTTGGTTAGGTAGATGATCAGTTTGAAGATTGTGGTTGGTGGATGAATTGGTTAGAAATAGAGTTAAATAGTTGTAGAAGTTTTGATGGGTTGGTTTGATTGGTTAAATATTATCTTAATAGAGTAATATAGAGTAATTGAATAAACAGAGAGAAGAATAGATATCTAGACTAATGGGATAGAATGGGAAAGAAATGTTGAATAAATGAATGGAATGAGTGAACTAATGAATGGGTGGATGACAAATGGAAGGGATAAATGGATGGATACCTGGATTCACATAGGTCAAAAGGACACTGACGGTAGTCTAAACTCTATCTATGTCCCATATTCAATCACAAATGAGTAGTTGTAAGACCTTACAGGAGGTCAAGGAGGTCACTGACTTCATGAAGTGCTCAGCTATTAAAGGTTCCTTTCCCACTCTTATCCCTTAGGATGGAAATCCAACTAATGAGACCGCACTCCTTGGCTTGTTCCTGCGTGTTTCACCCAAAGGAGAAAATGCTAGGATGAAGTCAATCTTCTTGCAGGAACATGTTACTATGGTGATTTCTACGCAACACTAATTAAAGCTTGTACCTGGAAGACTATCCCTGAGTAGTCATAGTCATTTTGATTTCACTAATAAAGGTGTTATGTGTTTTGGGGGCCTGCACAGGGGCAGAAATGAATGGGGGTAGGATGCCAAGAAGCCTGCAGAGTCCACTCTGCTTGGATAACAATCTTTTGCCCTGTATGCTCCCACATGGGTGTGTACACATGTGGACACACAAGATGCACACATGTCCACAACCTATTCACGTGATCCACATGTATGTAGCCCAAGAACACGACAGGAGACAGGAAGAGGGGTTCAGAATGTGCCTTTTGCAATCCAGAGCATCCTGAGTTTGAATCCTGGCTCATCTTTCGTACTCGCTGTGTGACCCTGGACTGTGACCAACCTCTGAGTCTCACTTGTTGATTCTGTAACATAGTACCAACCTCAACGTTCCTCAAAGCAGCCATTTCAACAAACTTTTACTAAGGGACCAAAGTCTGTTCAGGGACTGTGCTGGGCTCTGGGAACAGAACTAGAGAACACACAAGGCCCTGCCCTCATGGAACTTACAGTCCAAACACACAAGACTTGTCAGAATGAGCTGTATCAAGGGAGCAGGGTGATGTCATGTCCCCGTGAGGGAATGAGCCTGGGTTAGAACCTGTGTTCCAGAGGAGCTGGCATAGAATCTGAAGGTGCTGGGACATGAGCTGGGGGCACCAGGTGGGGGCCAGACCATGCCGGGGTTGTACCAATCTCCGCAGGAAGGAGCTTGGACATTATTCTTGGTGTGAGAAGTCAGGGGAGGGTCTCAACTGGGTGAGTTGATAGAGTCTGGTGTGTGCTTTTTTCTCTGAGACCATCTCACTCTGTCACCCAGGCTGGCGTTTAGTGATGCAATCATGGCTCACTGTAGCCTTGATCTCCCAGGCTCAAGCCATCCTCCCGCCTCAGGTTCCCGAGTAGCATGACATGCATCACCATGCTTAGCTATTTTTGACTTCTCGCTCTGTCGCCCAGGCTGGAGGGCAGTGGCGCCATCTCAGCTCACTGCAACCTCTGCCTCCTGGGTTCAACCAATTCTCCTGCCTCAGCCTCCCAAGTAGCCGGGATTACAGGTGCCCGCCACACCTGGCTAATTTTTGTAATTTTTTTCCCCCACTGTGCAGGCAAGTTTTGTCACTGCTTTTTATTTTTATTTCATTTTACTTTAAGTTCTGGGATACATGTGCTGAACATGCAGGTTTGTTACACAGGTATATATGTGCCATGGTGGTTTGCTGCACCTAACAACCCGTCATCTAGGTTTTACGCCCTGAATGCATTAGGTATTTGTCCTAATGCTCTCCCTCCCCTTTCCCACCACACCCCAATTTTTGTATTTTTTTAGTAGAGACGAGGTTTCACCATGTTGGTCAGGCTGGTCTCAAACTCCTGACCTCAAGTGATCCACCCGCCTTGGCCTCCCAAAGTGCTGGAATTACAGGCGTGAGCCACTGTGCCCGGCTTATTTTTTTACTTTTTGTAGAGATGGGGTCTCACTATGTTGCCCAGGCTGGTCTTAAAAACTCCTGAGCGCAAGCAATCCTCCCACCTCGGCCTCCCAGAGTGTTAGGATTACAGGCGTGAGCCACTGCACCAAGCCTGGTGTGTGTTTTCTTTTTTCTTTTTTTTTTTCTGAGATGGAGTCTTGCTCTGTCGCCCAGGCTGGAGTGCAGTGGCGCCATCTCGTCTCACTGCAAGCTCCGCCTCCCAGCTTCACACCATTCTCCTGCCTCAGCCTCCCGAGTAGCTGGGACTACAGGTGCACACCGCCACGCCCAGCTAACTTTTTTGTATTTTTAGTAGAGACAGGGTTTCACCGTGTTAGCCAGGATGGTCTCGATCTCCTGACCTTGTGATCCGCCTGCCTTGGCCTCCCAAAGTGCTGGGATTACAGGCGTGAGCTACTGCGCCCGGCCACCTGGTGTGTGTTTTCAAAGTGGTGCTGGCTGCTGTGTGGAGACTGGACTGCAGGGGATGGGACAGGGTACAGCAATTGGCAGAATGGCAGCCCGGTCTAGCGGGGTGATTTTCCACAACGGGTGGGCTGGAGGTTCCTCCCAAGATAATGCCCAGAGTCCTGCCTTCCTCATTCCTCTTTCGCAAACATTTACTGAGCACCCACTTGTGTGGGCTTTGGGCTAAGGCCAAGGAGGGAAGATAAGGGTGAACCAGACAGAACCCTGCTTCCAAGTAGGAAACCTGCTCTCATTTGCAAAATGGGCACCCTTGCTGGGAGGTTGGGAGAGGTCAGTGTGTCATGCATGTGACATGGTGTCTGGGCTCAGTGCTTGGCACTCAGTAAACCTCTGCTGTTAACATGGCATAAAAAGTACCAGGCAGATTTTCGTGAAGGAATGCCGGCTGCCAGACAAAAGGACTGGGGAATGGTCAGGGTCTTGGGTAAATTGGCTTCTGACCTTCATACCCACAAGCCTTGGTTTTAGGGTCAGACTCAAGTTTGCCCTAGTTCTCACTATCCTAGCTGCGGCGGCTGGGACTAGACCACTCTGAGCCTCACTCTCCCCCTCTGTCTAATGGGCTCATCGTTCTGACATACTGGGGGGCGGGGTACCCAGCAGCCTGGTGTGTGATAAGCTGCCCAGCATAGCGCCAGACACAGGGTCACTTTGTTTTCTTTTGTGCTGCATTTGACATTTGGGCTGAAGGAACAGGGTGAACAGGTGAAGGGAGGTGGGGCAGGAGTAGAAATGAGTGGTGATGGGCTGTCTGCAGGGAAGGGAAATGGACCCAGGTGTCTTGGGGAAGGCCTTGCAGGACTCCAAGCTTTGCTGAGCCCATCCCAGGCAGTGGCATGACATGGAAGGTCCTCTTTCAGATCTCAGCTGTGTGGCCTTGAGCAAGTCATGTCCCCTGTCTGCATCCTGGTCTTTTCTGTAAAATGGGAGGCTAATGGTGCCTGCCTGGAGGGGTCCCAGTGGAGGTTCATTGAGATAATGCACCTGCAAGCATCCAAGAGAGGGCCTGGTCCACCCGATCAATGCCACTCAATGTCACCATCAGTCTCCTTTCCTTGGGTCCCTTTATCCTCCTCTCACAGCAGGGAAATGTTCCAGGTTGTTTCTATTAGGAGAGGGTATGGGGAAGCACCCAAGCATACTCGGGAATTCCATTTATCGAGCACCTACTAGATGCCAGATGTTTTGACATAAATATTTCCACGGAATCCACGCTCCTCAACAAGAGACATTATTGGTCCCACTGTACAGATGAAGAAGCTGAGACTCAGAGGTGAAACAACTTGGTCAAGGACTCCTGGCAGGCAGGTCTGAGATAAGAGATTCATGTTTTGCCCAAAACTTACTGGTTCCCAAATGTAAGGCCACATTAAGCCATGATAGTCACTGACACATCGGTGCAAAAGAGTTAGGGAGGCCCTTCTGGGGAACATATTTTGAAAGAGGAAGTGGAGACAGGGTTAGACATAAAGTCAGGGACTTTGAGCCCCACTCACCAAAGGACCTCCCTACTTCCTGGGCAGTGTCCTTTTATGATATGATTACTGAAGGTAAATCTTTTATTATAAGCCAATGGACTGGGTCACACGTGTGGCTTATGGACCTACCTTTAACTCCACATTTCCCTGAAAGCAACACCAACACAACCAACACAAAAGTGGCACAAACACGGATAGTCATATATACAATCATAGCTCACCACAGCCTCGAACTCCTGGCCACACGTATGAAGAAGCAGCTGTTCAAACCCACTCAGACACAGAGACCCACATTCACATGTGGACCCCAAGTACACATACACACCCCTACATGTGCATGAAGGCTCTCAGTCACCTCCCCTGACCCTTCCCACAGGAAACACACATGTAGGCAAGCACTCACAATACACGCCACCCTTGTACAGTCAGACGTACAATGATGACAGGAAAAAATAATCCAACCACAGATTCATGCTTTCACTTACTCGGCTTGGGGTGGGTGGCAGCAGGTTGGGGACAGGCCTGCTGGAGACCCAAATTCAGGAAATGGAGAGAGACAGACAATAAATCCAGCCAGCAAGAGAGTACGTGGGTTCTGAAGATGAGCTGTCTTGATACTCAGAGATTTAATTTCAGTGGGCTACTAGGGGGTGAGGTGAGGTCTGGGGAACAATGAGGTGCAGCCTGTCCTGTGGTGGGGTTAGCTGCAGGGCTGTCACTCCTGTGGGCCTGAGGGATCACCAAGGGGAAATGCAGTGGTCCTGGGTTGGGGCAGGAGTCGGGAATGGAGTGGGTCAGATGAGAGGGCAGACCCTGGTGGAGATGCCCATGTGAGCTATGATTCGAAAGGAAAAACATCTCAAACCCTGCAGCCACACAGACCCAGCTTCAAATCCCAGCTCTCCCATTCCCTCGCTGGGTGACCCCAGGACTATTCCTTAATCTCTCTGAGTCTCAGGTGCGTCTCACACTTTGTAAAGAGAACCGAGGAGGCCATGCTGTTCACTGCTGCATCTCCGGGACTTAGCACAGTGCCTGGCACATATTAGGAGTGCAGTAAGTATTTGTTGAATAAATGAAAGAAGAAGCAGGCATTAAAGCAACAATGAGAAGCCACCACTTACCAAATCATCAAATAGGCAAAAATGGAAAAAGTAAGATAATGGTGAAGGCATGGGGAAACATTGTTGAATGCTTTTGCCCAGAAGGTAAATGTGCACAGCACGCTGGCAGGTGACTGGGTGGCACCTATGAACATTCAAACGGTAAGAACGGTTTATCACATGTGTGCCAAGAGGCTGTACAGGGAGGTGCAGGCCACGCTGTTTGCAAGAGCAAAAATACAACCTATGTGTCCACCCACCGGGGACGGCTAAATGAACATACGCTGAGGAGTATCATGCAGTTCTTAAGGAGCATGGGGTCGATCTATATGTGATCTAGCCAGATTGCCAGAGTATCTGTTGGGTGGAAAGTGCAAGATGGAGAAAGACATGACATTGATAGAGGGAAAAGTCCTACACAAAGGAATACTATTTTTTTTTTTTAAATAATTGGGGTCTTGCTCTGTCACCTCGGCTGGAGTGCAGTGGCACAATCATAGCTCACCACAGCCTCGAACTGACCACAAGTGATCCTCCCAGCTCGACCTCCCAAAGCGCTAGGATTACAGGCATGAGCCACCACACCTGGCCAAGGAACATAATTTTTATGGGTCAAAATACAAGCATGTAGATGCATAGAAAAAGATCCCAGGGTGGGAGCAGTGGCTTATGCCTATAATCTCAGCGCTTTGCGAGGCCCACGCGGGAGGATCACTTGAAGCCAGGAGTTTGAGACCAGCCTAGGAAACAAAGTGAGACTCTGTCTCCCTAAAAATGAAAAAATTAGCTGGGCATGGCAATGCGTGCCACCTACATGGGAAGCTGAGTCAGGAGGATTGCTTGAGCACAGTGGGGGTGGGGTGGGGGTGTCAAGGCTGCAGTGAGCTGTGTTCACGCCACTGCACCCCAGCCTGAGTGACAGAGGGAGACCCAGTATCAAAAAATAAAAATAAAAATAAAAAAGATCCCAAAGAACAGACCAAGCTGGTGCCTGGGTTACCTAGAGGGAGGAAAATTGAAGGAAAAAGAGGATAAAAAAGGAATGAGCATCAGTGAATGTGTCTAATGGGTGCTCAGCGAAGCTCTGTTGAATCTGGAGAGGCAGTAAAGGCATGTGGATATAACATCAGCCCCTGCTCTGGGCTTGCTGGTTTGGGCAAGGTGACCCAGAACGCTCTCCCACAGAGGGACTCATTACTCCAGGGCAGGCAGAGGTCCAGTCCAGCCCTCTCCCTTCCTCCAGACGAGTCTCCTCCTAGAAGCCACTAGGGCTGCCTTGGGGTGTCCGGCTTACCTTTGGCCTCATGCTCTGCCCAGGGCCTCACATTCTTGTCATGCTCTGCCCGGAATATGTTCTCCCTCCGTTCCCTTGGTGAGAGCTCTTTTTTTTTTTTTTTTTTTTTTTTTTTTTTTTGAGACAGGGTCTCCCTAAGTCACCCGGGCTGGAGTGCAGTGGTGTGATCTCAGCTCACTGCCATCTCTGTCTTCCGAGCTCAAGTGATCCTCCCACCTGAGGCTCCCAAGTAGCAGGGACCACAGGTATGTGTCACCATGCCCAACTAATTTTTTCATATTTTTGTAGAGATGGGGTTTTGTCATGCTGCCCAGGCTGGTCTTGAACTCCTGAACTCAAGTGATGCTCACTCTTTTTTTTTTTGAGATGGAGTCTTGCTCTGTCGCCCAGGCTGCAGTGCAGTGGCGCCATCTCTGCTCACTGCAAGCTCCGCCTCCTGGGTTCACGCCATTCTCCGGCCTCAGCCTCCCAAGTAGCTGGGACTACAGGCGCCCACCACCACGCCCGGCTAATTTTTTGTATTTTTAGTAGAGACGGCGTTTCACCGTGTTAGCCAGGATGGTCTCCATCTCCTGACCTCGTGATCTGCCTGCCTCCGCCTCCCAAAGTGCTGGGATTACAGGCGTGAGCCACTGCGCCCGGCCGTGATGCTCACTCTTTACAACTCGGTTGAGGGTTACCCCTCCCTGAGCCTGTTCAGGGCACTGCCAATTGGGCCAGTAGACGCTGGGCTTCCCACATCGTGGCATGGGAGGAGACTGCTGCTGCTCTGTGTGCCCTGAGACCAGACGCCTCCTCAGAGAGAACTGGGCCCTATTCTACCTCTCATTGCGATACCCGACATTCTCAACAGCATCACCACAGTGAGGGCCCATGGACATGAGGAATCTTCCTGCTCCACACTCTAACGTCCCCAGCCTGCTGCGTGCTAGCTCTTGTGCCTAGTTTCATAGTTTCTGCAAGTTCTTTGCCCCCTATGTCACCGCTACTGGTCCTTGCTGTCAGCTGCTGACACCTAATTTGTCACTTATGGGATGGGGTGGGGTGGGTAGAAACCTGTTAGGCTTGTTGGAATACTGTGCAAAAATGGAGTGAATAGGCCACGACAAAGATCCCAAGGGATTTACTGAGGAACAGGCACTGTGCTTCCCAGGCTCGGGCTTTGTGAGAGTTCTCTGGACCACTGGATTCAGTCAACTTGCCTGAAGCCACACAGCTGATGGGGAGGGGAGCTGGGACTGGAAGCAGGTGTGTCTGGACCCCTCCACCAGCATTCCTAGAATTCTACTTTCCTGCCCCTCCTATTTTGCAGCTGTTAACGAAACAATCTTGACTGCTTTCTGAAAGCCAGTGACTACTGACTACTTCAAGTAACAGCTGACTTCACCTCTCCTTTCTTCACCTGTGCCTGCTAGAAGAGTCTCATCAAGTCTCCAGGACTGGCGCCACTTTGGAGTCAGCCACTGGCTCATGCCATCGTTCCCTGGCCTCTCACACCTTCTCCTTGGACTCAGGTCCTCTGAGCTCACACCCCTCTACCCGCCACTGAGACACACAATCGTTCCTGTGGTGGGAGCAGAAAGGATCTACTCCAAACATCAAAGCAACCTCTCCCGACAGAGGACTTCAGGCCAGGTTCTGCCAAGCCCCAGGGCTCCCCAAAACACCTTCACCAAGTTCCACCAGTTCCCTGAGTTGTGCTCTCCTCATCTGATCAAGGGAAACACATAATTTCCAATTCACAGGACCATGGGAAAGTGTCCCAAGGCCACTACTACAGCTCATCGTGGCTAAAGCCCAGCAGCTGGGAAGGTCAGCAGCTAGAAGGTTCTTTCCACACTCAGTCCTATGCTGTCGCTTGGGCCTGGATGGCTGGTCCATGCACTCAGGGCAAAATCCAAAGCCCTGCCACAGCCCAGCAAGGCCGTGCCTGATGGATCAGACCCTGCCAACCCCTATGCCTCACCCCTACACCACCCCCTGGCTCGCTATACCAACTCTCCTTTCCTATCTTCAAGCACCCCCACCACAGGGCCTTTGCACTGGCTGTTCTCGCCACCTGGGGTCTTCATCCCACTTTTAGAAAGACGTCAGTGCTAATGTCACCACCTCCAAGAGGCTTTCCCTAACTTCCTTATCTCACCTTACAAACACCCAGTCACCCCTTTCTCTCTGTTTCTTTCCCACATAGCACCCAGTATGGTCTGCACTGATGGTGTGAATTCACTGACTCCCCTAGGTCTGCCTGAAGACCTCTGAGTCCCCTGCGCCTGGCACACAGTAAGAACTCAGTAAATATCTGCTGAATAAATACTGAAGAAGTGAAATAGATATGTTATTATCCCATCTTGCAAATATGGAAACTGAGGCACAGAAAAGCTAAGAAGCTGGCCCCAGGCCACATACTTATGAAATGACCCATTTAAATTCAGACCAGCGGTCAGCAGAATCCACACTGTGAGCCCCACTGCTCGGGGTTCCCAGGGGCACAGACTCCCATGGGAACCTTCCCGACACATGGGTTAGAGGAAAAGCAGGGCTGAGGAATTCCGGGGCAGAGGCTAGTTTCACGATTACACACCCTGGCCAGGAGCTACTTTTCCCAGCAAGGCGCCACCAAAGCCGGAAAGAGAAACTGAAAAGCTAAGTGCCATAAGCCACCAGGATCTTGACTTCCCCCAGATGCTGGCTGGGCCCCTCACATTTGGGGTACGAGGATCTGCCAAGATAGGGAGGAGAATGTTTCCACACATCTGGCTGTGGCTGTGGTTTAGTAAGCTGTGGATATAGGGCTGGTCCATCCGCCCTGTGACAAGAGGTCATTGTGCCAAGCACCGACTCCATGCCTGGCATTTTGCCCTTGGCTCTGCATGTCTGGCTGCTCTGTGAGGTACGAGATGTCCAGAGATCACTTTGCAGTTGGGGCAAATCAGGTCCCAAGAGGACAGGTCACTTGCCCAAGGTCATGCAGCAGGTCTGGGGTCAGAGCCTGGTCCCATCCTACCGAGCACTCTGAGCCCCTCAGGGTTTCGCACTGCCTGGCTTCCTGTGAGCCTGGTGCCCAGCCCTCCAGCAGAACAGCCCACAAGGTGGATGCTTGTCAACCAGCAGATTTCCTTTTCTCTTTCGGCATCTGGATTTGGTTTCATTTTGAACACAGGACTTCAGAAAATGAAACCAAAGCTGTCTGTCACTGGTGGCAGTGAGGAGAACCCACGTGTGCTGAGTGTACCTTTAGAAGCTTTCCTGCTCCCTTGCTGTGCCTTCCCTGGCCTGTGGTCCCTGGACTAGGGCTTCAAACATAGATATAAGGCAGTGCTTTGGGAAGCCAGGGCAGGAGGGTCACTAAAGGACAGGAGTTCGAGACCAGCCTGGGCAACGTAGTGAGACCCCATCCCTACAAAAAATTTAAAAAATTAGCCGGGTGTGGTGGCATGTGCCTGTAGTCTCAGCTACTCAGGAGGCTGAGATGGGAGAATCTCTTGAGCCCAGGAGGTCGAGGCTATAGTGCCTCCTCGATCCTATCACTACACTCCAGCCTGAGCAACAGAGCTACACTCCATCTCTTTAAAAAAATGGACACAGGGGTTGAAGCCATGCGTCTGTGGGCTCCAACACACTGCCACACCCACAGGCACCCTCAGATGAACAACAAACATCTACCGACTGCTTATTAGACACTACGGGCTGTTTTAAGCACCTGACCCATAATCACTCATTTAATTCCCATACAACCCCGGGATGGAGGTACTATTTATTTATTTTTTTTTGAGACAGGGTCTTAGTCTGTTGCCCCGGCTGGAGTGCAGTGACACAATCGTGGCTCACTGCAGCCTTGACCTCCTGGGCTCAGGCAATCCTCCTGCTTCAGCCTCCCAAGTAGCTGGGACTGCAGGTGCAATCCACTACGACTGGCTGATTTTTGTACTATTTTTTTTTTTTTTTTTTTTTTTTTGTAGAGAGGGGGTCTCACTTTGTTGCCCAGGCTGTTCTCAAACTCCTGGGCTCAAGCAATCCTCCTGTCTTGGCCTTCCAAGTGCTGGGATTATAGGCATGAGCTACTGCGCCCTGCTAGAGGTACTATTATTATCCCCATTTCACAGATAAAGAAACCATGGCAGAGAGGTTAATTACATGCTCAAGGTCACAAGAATAGAAAGGTGCAGATTTGGAACTGGGTCTCCTTGTATTCCATCACCCTCCACAGAGTGTGGCCTCCAGCAGATGTTCAGTGGACATCTCTCGAATGATCACACACCTGACCTCTGGTGCAGGCAAGGTTCTGCATCTTCTCTCACCCCCTCACGCACGCGCACGCACACACACGCACAACCTAGGAGGCTACACCAATGACCACCACCAGCCCTGGCCACATGCAGATTCAGGGCACTGATGGGGTGCTAAGCTGGGCTGATTCTGGGCCACTCCCTGTGTTCAGGAGGTTAATAAGGACCTAGGCTCTGCCTGGGGAAAGAGGTATCGTGGGGCCAGGGAGGCGGGAAGGGACTGGGCACCAGGGCTTCCAGGAGAGAAGCCGTCTGAGAGCTGTCTGTAGAGGGCAGTGTGTCCCAGTGTGAGGCCAGTAACCAAGTGCCCAGCCTAGCCAGGTTTTTATGTGGCCCCTTGTGATGCTGGGGCTCCTCACATGCCTTCATTCAAAAATACACGGAGCAGCCAGGCACCTACTCCATGGCCTCGCACGACAATCGGAATCACTAAATCACAAACACGTGTGCAAATTACAGCCCCGACCACCGACCGCCCACCATCCCAAGCCCCGGCCGTGTGTGTGGTGGGAAGGCAGTCTTTGAAGGGCAGATGCCTGACGGAGCAGTAGGAGGGGGAAATCTATGAGGAAGGGGTCGGGGGAGAGGAGGGCTAGGAAACCAGGTTTGGGGATTCATCACGTCTGAGAATGCACCATTTTTTCACTGGGCTCCAATTTGATGTCGTCCAGCTGCACCTCTCCCCAAAATGAAGACGGGGAAGGCGAGATCCAGGTCCAGAGCTCCCAATCTGCAAGCCATTGCAAATCCCAGCCCCTCCCCAGCCTCAGTTTCTTCCGCAGCCGGGTAGTGGGAGCGCAGGGAGGGCAGTCGAGGCCACCAGGGACCTTGCCCGGCCCCGCCCAGTTTCCGAGGAACTGGGCCGGGGTGGAGGCGCCCGCGCCGCCAGGGGTTCCTCTGAAGCCTGTGGTCAGGCCGCCGCTTCCCGGGAAGCCCGAGCCAAGACCAGAGACCGCGGCCGGCCGGGGCTTCGGGACAGCAGGGCGGGCGACTGAGGGCGTCGACGGCGGGTGGAGCAGGGGCTAGGAGGGGGTCTACGGGTGGGGTCAGGCTCAGGGTTGGGGACACCTTCTGTGGCCTCCTAGGGGGATCTGGCTGCAGGGGAGGAGAGGACAGGGCTCTGCCCCCGGCGGGTGTGGAGACAGCTGGGGCGGAGGAGGGTGTGTCAGGGCGCGTCCCAAGAGGGCCTGGCGGCAGAAAGTGGAACCCGAGGTAGCGGGGCAAAATCGGGGTCGCCAAGTCCGAAGGAGGGGTCCGAGAAGTGGCCGGAAGGCGCAGGGTCGGGGCCAGAGCCCCTCGAGAGGCGGGTGCTGGGGCAGGTGCGAACAGGCGGGCAGAGGGCCCCGCGGGAGGGTCCAGAAGAGAGGGAAACAGGGCCGAAGCGGTCCTCGCCGGACGCCACCGCGGAAAGAGAAACCAAAAGTGGAGCTGGGGGCGGGGCCGGCAGGGGGCGGGGCCTCCCGCCGTCGCCAGCCCCGCCTCCGAGCCGGTTTAAAAGACTGGCGCAGGGGCGGGCGCCGAACAGAGCGAGCTGCGGCCGTGGCAGCTGCACGGCTCCTGGCCCCGGAGCATGCGCGAGAGCCGCCCCGGAGCGCCCCGGAGCCCCCCGCCGTCCCGCCCGCGGCGTCCCGCGCCCCGCCGCCAGGTGAGCCGGGCCCTGGGCGAGGAGGCGGGAGGGAGGAGGGAGGGGAGTCCAGGGCAGCCAGGAGTCGGGCGAGCCTCGGGGGCTGCAGAATGGGGTCGCGGCCGCGATGCCCCTGACCCTCGCCGGCCCCACCCAGGCCGCCCCCCGCGCGCGGGGCTCCCGCAGCACAGCCTTTCTCCGGCCCTAGCCCAAATCGCCCAGACCAGGCGCGGATCCCAGCCTGGCCAGCAGGCGGCGGGCGCGGGGCGGCGAGCCGGGGCCGGACGGCTGGAGCCAGAACCGGCTGCTCTCCACGCCCCCCTCTCGGTGCTGCCCGGAGGCCGGACTCCGCCTCCACCGAGCCCCCACCCGCCGGGAAGAGCTCCGCGGAGTACAGAGCCCATTTTCTAGCTGTGTCCACTGAGGCTGAACGGATCCGCGCGGACTTGGTGCTCCGTGCTCGCCCCCTAGGGCCGGGTCCGCCGGGAGCGCCGCCCTCCGGAGTTGTCCGGCCGGCGCACACCTGCCCGGCCCCGCAGCGCCCCAGCTCACCTCTTTGTCTCTCCCGCAGCGCACCCCCGGACGCTATGGCCCACCCCTCCGGCTGGCCCCTTCTGTAGGATGGTAGCACACAACCAGGTGGCAGCCGACAATGCAGTCTCCACAGCAGCAGAGCCCCGACGGCGGCCAGAACCTTCCTCCTCTTCCTCCTCCTCGCCCGCGGCCCCCGCGCGCCCGCGGCCGTGCCCCGCGGTCCCGGCCCCGGCCCCCGGCGACACGCACTTCCGCACATTCCGTTCGCACGCCGATTACCGGCGCATCACGCGCGCCAGCGCGCTCCTGGACGCCTGCGGATTCTACTGGGGGCCCCTGAGCGTGCACGGGGCGCACGAGCGGCTGCGCGCCGAGCCCGTGGGCACCTTCCTGGTGCGCGACAGCCGCCAGCGGAACTGCTTTTTCGCCCTTAGCGTGAAGATGGCCTCGGGACCCACGAGCATCCGCGTGCACTTTCAGGCCGGCCGCTTTCACCTGGATGGCAGCCGCGAGAGCTTCGACTGCCTCTTCGAGCTGCTGGAGCACTACGTGGCGGCGCCGCGCCGCATGCTGGGGGCCCCGCTGCGCCAGCGCCGCGTGCGGCCGCTGCAGGAGCTGTGCCGCCAGCGCATCGTGGCCACCGTGGGCCGCGAGAACCTGGCTCGCATCCCCCTCAACCCCGTCCTCCGCGACTACCTGAGCTCCTTCCCCTTCCAGATTTGACCGGCAGCGCCCGCCGTGCACGCAGCATTAACTGGGATGCCGTGTTATTTTGTTATTACTTGCCTGGAACCATGTGGGTACCCTCCCCGGCCTGGGTTGGAGGGAGCGGATGGGTGTAGGGGCGAGGCGCCTCCCGCCCTCGGCTGGAGACGAGGCCGCAGACCCCTTCTCACCTCTTGAGGGGGTCCTCCCCCTCCTGGTGCTCCCTCTGGGTCCCCCTGGTTGTTGTAGCAGCTTAACTGTATCTGGAGCCAGGACCTGAACTCGCACCTCCTACCTCTTCATGTTTACATATACCCAGTATCTTTGCACAAACCAGGGGTTGGGGGAGGGTCTCTGGCTTTATTTTTCTGCTGTGCAGAATCCTATTTTATATTTTTTAAAGTCAGTTTAGGTAATAAACTTTATTATGAAAGTTTTTTTTTTAAAAAAAAATAAGTTTTCTAGCGAGTGTGCTTTGGCCAAAAGTTTAACTTGGTTCTGAACAGGTCCAGGGGAGAGGGTCCTAAGGCTGACCTGCTGGGCTGCAGGTGGTGTACGGGGCCTGCCCTGTGGCTGGGCATCCCTCACGGTTCCACCCACAACTCTCCAGGGAGAGAAACGGTTGGTCTAGTTTTGGCGTGTGTCCGGTAAGACAGCAGCTCGCGTTTGAGCACTTTGTGCGTGCCAGCCCTAATTCTGTGCTTTGCATACTTAAATTTACTTAATCCTATAAAGAGAGGCACAACCCTGTGAGGCACGGGCTCTTATTTCCATTCTACAGAAGGGAAAACTGAGTAAATCTGCCTGTGGCCATTCCTGTCAAAGACAACACTTGGGCCTTTTTTTGGCTGTCCACTAAACATCTGCTTGAAATGGATAACAGAGAGGAAACTTCTTTGGTTCTATGACCACAACAGCTTCCAGGAAGGGGTGGGGGTGGGGGCTTAGTGAGTTTTTGGACAGAGGAGTGGCACATTCTGAACCAGCATCAAGGGATACTCAGTTGAGATGAGATGGGGGATACAGGGCTGGGTCTAGCTTCCTTCTTCTCACCCTGCTCTGTCTTGTGTACTTTTTGGTGAACACACAACTTGGAGCCAGAAGGAGACTGTGTGGTCTGTGGTGGCGGGAGGGTGCTGCTGGCGGCTAGGGCAATTCCCCTTGCCTCCCTGGGCCTCCACCTTTCTAAGGGCAACTTTCTGCGCATCATAGAGGAGGTGGATGTTTTCAGGAGCCAGGGAAGGGAAGAGTGGCTCCAGGACGTTTGTGGGGCTGGCCCACAGCACCAGAAAGTGTCCAGGACCTGGGTTTCTGGCAACTTCTGTGTCTTTGGCCAGCCTGACACATGGGCCATGGTGGTAACTTGAGGGTTGTACTCAACACATGGTGAACTGAGTCATTTTCAGATTTAGGGTTAAGCAGCCTGGTGGACACGTCATACTTCATCTTTAGAAGATAGAGTGGCCCTCTTCAGCCTTGGAGACACATATAATAGTGTTCTAATGCTTAATAATACTTTTCAGACTTGAAAGTACAACATAAAATTAACTTGATGGTCAGAGAGTCAGAGCAGCCCAGGCCTGTCTTGGGGATTAAGTAGGCTCCAGGACTTTAAGGATGGCCAGAAGAGATTTAGGATCTCAGAGAGCTTTGGCAATTTCATCCCTTAATAAGGTGAAGTGGGAGGGAAGGAGGTGATGTCTTGTCTCTATCTCCAAAAATCTTGCTTTTTCTTTTCTTTTCTTTTCTTTTCTTTTCTTTTTTTTTTTTTGCCACACCCCTGCCCTTTCTTCTCTGCTGTGGATTAATTAAGTCCTGTCCTTGTTCTTTCCTGTCTGTTGCCTGCTGTGGGCAGTGTCTGGAGAAACAGAAATCCAAGATGGCAATGCTTGGGGATCTGGTTGTAATACTAGTATACTCACAGACCCTTAGTGACCACTCAGTGGCTGTGCTGGCCCCATTTTACAGATGGGAAAACGGGCTCCAAGAGGCAAAGCAGGACCACAACAAGGGGTGGAGCCAGGTTTTGCAAACCCACTCAGGACTTTTTCAGAGGCTGGGTACCACTAGGCAACCGGAGGACCTAACCGCTGCAGTAATAATAGCAGCTGCTCATATTTCTATGTAGCATTGTCTGTGCAGGAACTGCTCCCAGGTCCCGCATCACCTGTGTAAAACATTGAACTCACACCCAGCCTTCCGATGTAGGGACTGTGAACATCCCCGTTTTACAGATGGGAAAACAGGTCCTCCTCAAAAGAGGGGTCAGCTAGCAGGTAGCTTGCAATATGTTACAGTTTTTTTTCCTCCTTTGAAAAAAGTATGAAAATCGTATTTTCCTTACGCAAGTGTTGGGTATCCAAACCCATTCCCCTTGCAGAACTTGAAGCAGAACAGCTAAGAGTAAAGGCCCCCTCTGATCACACTTCCCAGAGCTGGCCCCTTCCTCCCTTTATGAGTCACTTAAATCCATACTAACATAGGTACAGTGACCTAAAGCCCTGGGAGCTGCACCCCACGTCCCGTGTGACAAAGTGTGTGCAGGCATCACTGAAGGGGGAAAAGGCTGTGTGTGTGTGTGTGTGTGTGTGTGTGTTTGTGTGTGTGCGCGCGCACCAGCGCCATGTGGCTTCCCGGGTGGTGCAGATTCTGTCTCTCTCTCAAACCTCAGCTTCATGATTCAGCAGCGCTGACGTCAATTTACAAGAATGAAAAGTGAGAGGAGGGTTTGTGTGTGCAAGAGACTGAGTTGGGGGCCCAGGTGCAGTGGAGGTGTCCTCCCCACTGAGCGGGTGAGCCAGGGCAGTGTGGGGCGGGCACCATGGGAAAGGAGGCACTCTTTGGAATGACAAGGACTGTGTGTGGGTGTGGGGACAGCCTGTGACCAGCCTCCAAGCCACCCTTGAGCTGAAAACTCTGGCCCCCGTTTTCCAGATGAGGAAATGGAGGCTCAGACAAGTGCAGCCACCTACTCAAGGTCACACAGCTCGTAAGTGATGGCCAGGACTTGGACCAAATCCATCCCACTCTAAACAACAAGACAGGTTTCTTCTTCTTTTTTTTTTTAAGACAGAGTCTTGCTCTGTCACCTAGGCTGGAATGCAGTGGCGAGATCACAGGTCACTGCAGAATCAAACTCCTGGGTTCAAGCAATCCTCCCGCCTCAGCGCAGGGACTGAGTAGCTGGGACTACAGGTGTGAGCCACCACACCCATCTAATTTTCTTGTTTTTGGTAGAGAGGGGGCCTCGCTATGTTGCCCAGGCTGGTCTCAAACTCCTGGGTTCAAGCGATCCTCCCACCTCAGCCTCCCAGAGTGTTGGGATTACAGGCAGGAATCACTGTGCCCAGCGCAGGATGGGTTGCTTAAATAGTGGGAGAGGGGATGGGATAAGGGAGGAATCTGGTGAAAATGCATATTCCTAGGCCTCAGCCTACTTGATCCTCCCAACCTTATGAGTAGGTACTGTCATTATCCCAGGAAGCGGCGAACTGAGCCTCTTCTATGACATAATAGGTAGAAAGTGCTTAGCGCACAACTTAGCATGCAGTAGGCGCTAAATACATCTCTGAATGATGCGGTGCCAATAATGATAGTTGAGGTTAATATAGCAAACACTGACTGAGCACCTCCTACGTTACAGGCATTATCCTTTTCCTCCTCTTTTTCTTTTTCTTTCTTTCTTTTTTTTTTTTTTTTTTAAGAGATAGGGTCTCACTCTGTTACCCAGGCTGGAGTGGAGTGGTGTGATCACAGCTCCTGTAGCCTTGACCTGCTGGACTCAAGCGATCCTCCCACCTGAGCCTCCTGAGTAGCTGGGACTACAGGCATGCACCACCATGTCTGGCTAATTTATTTTTGCCAAGATGGGGTCTCCCTATGTTGTCTAGGCCAGTCTCCAACTCCTGGGCTCAAGTGATCCTCTCACCTCAGCCTCCCAAGATGCTGGGACTATAGGTGTGAGCCACTGCGCCCAGCCAGGCATTAATCTAAGCCGAAAGGATACAGGAATGAACAAAATAGAGGGGTCTGAACCCTGCTTACAGAGTTTACATTCAGGGCCTTGGACAGTAAATAACCAAACATGAAATAAAGGAAAAGGAACATTCCAAGTACATAGTGACAGTGGTCAGATGAAAACTCGACAGGGTGGTTGGACAGTGGATGGGGCTCTTTTAGAAAGGTCAGGAGGTGACACTGAAATTATTGTGCCTGGAATGACAGAAAGGCACCAGCCCGGCAAAGCCAGGAGATGAGATGAGCAGTCCAGGCAGAGGGAAGAGCGAGTGCAAAGGCGCTCAGTCAGGAAGGAGTTCGGCCCGTTCAAGAAGGCTGGCAGAGTGGGAGGGGTGAAGAAGCGGGAGGGATGGGCAGGGGCCCGGGCACGTGGGGTCCTGTAGACCTTGGTGGAAAGTGTGGATTTCAAGATTGATGGGGAACGTGGAGGTAACCTGATCTGGCCTGGCTGCTGGATGGAGATGATCTAAGCAGAGGGCCTGGTGAAATGGGCTTCGGCTTCCTGCCTCATGGTGTATATTTACAAGGGAGCGGTTCATTCTCGGCCAGGCCCTTTGGCTCCAGCCAATCAGACCAACGGCAAGGGAAGGCCACAGGACCTGCCTGGTGGATGCTGGGCCATGGTGGGTGTGGCCAGTTCCACCTGGATGCCAGCTTTGTACCTCTCACCTGGCCTCCCACTGCCATCACTCGGAGCCTCCCCAGGGCTAGGAGCTTACCAGGAATAACATGGTGGGCTTGGCCTGATTTGCGGGTAGGGGGTATCTAATTTCCTCTAGAGAAGGAGGCACAGTTTTCACCAAAGCACATTCGCACAGGGACAACGGTGCTCAGGTGGGCGCTCAAATTGTCCCAACCGTGGTCCTGGCTCTGGGACCCGACAGACGGCCCTCGGGGGGAACAGGTTCTACAATGACTGTATGGCCCCAGTACAACCTCCCCCATCTCCTTCCCCCGACACCCAGGGCGAGTCCAGCATCCCACGCCGCAGCCCTGCACGGCTCCCCGCAGCGCACAGAAGGCCCAAGTCCCACGACGGCCCAGGGATCTGGGCAAGGCACTCACCGCGCTCCCTCCTGTTTCAGGGCCTTTGCTCGTGCCGCTCCCTCGTCCCGTGCATCAGGAGTGCTGTCTACCAGCCGGGGTCGGGGTCGAGGCAGACAAATGAAGTCGGGTCGGCTTTTGTCCAGCTGACGCCCCACGGCGCCTGCACTCTCGAGAGGCCACCACGCGCCGCGCCAGTGACGTCATTGCGCCGCTCTCCCCACCAACCGCTGCCCCAGGCCCACTCGGCGTGGCTCGGCCACGCTCGGCTTGACTTGGCTCGGCTCGGCCACACTCGGCTTCCCTCGGCTTCCTCTCGGCCTCTCGGCAGCACTGCGGGCTCCGCAGCCCTTCTGGCCTTCACGTGGTTCCCAGTTCTCGTGGTACGTCCTGCCTGCCGGGATCTCAGGGCTCTTGGAAGACCCCAGGCCCGGGGAGGGCATGTCCCAAGGGCATGCCAGGTCAAGGCCACAATAGCGAGCCCTCTCCCACGCCCTGTAGTCGTCGGAGACCAACGTGTTCTCCCACCCCATTCCGGTCCACAGCAATCCCTGCCTACCCAACCTCACATAGACCTTAGGTCTTGAACCTCTTTTCCTACCTGGAAATGAGGTTAAGAACTACCCACCTCATGGGTGAAGTTCAATCAGAGGATGCCTGAAAAGTGCTTAATACGTGATGTGTGCCCAGTCATTGGAATCAGCCCTCTCTGCTTGATTCTTTCATTGCTGCTGTTTGTTTGTTTGTTGTTGTTGTTTGAAACACCGTCTCATTGACTAGGCGCGGTGGCTCACGCCTGTAATCCCAGCACTTTGGGAGGCCGAGGTGGGCAGATCACTTGAGACCAGGAGTTCGTCACCAGCCTGGCCAACATGGTGAAACCCCGTCTCTACTAAAAATACAAAAATTAGCCGGGCGTGGTGGCATGGACCTGTAGTCCCAGCGACTAGGGATGCTGAGGCAGGAGACTCGCTTAAACCTGGGAGACGGAGGTTGCAGTGAGCCGAGATCGCACTGCTGCACTCCAGCCTGGGTGACAGAGCAAGACTCCGCCTCAAAACAAAAAAACAAGCGAAAAACAGTCTCACTGTCGCCCAGGCTGAATGCAAGGACACAATCACAGCTCACTGCAGCCTCAAAATCCTGGGCTCAGGCAATCCTCCTACCTCAGCGTCCCAAGTAGCTGGGACTACAGGCGTGCAACACCACACCTGGCTATTTTTTATTTTTTTACTGCAGACGGTGGTCCTGCTATGTTGCCCAGGCTGGTCTCGAAATCCCAGCCTCAGTGATTCTCCCACCTTGTCCTTCCAAAGTGCTGAGGTTACAGGCATGAGCCACCGCACCCAGACAGAACTATAATAATAATTATTATTTTGCGTCATAGCAGCTGTGCAGAGGATTTGAATCAGCACAGCCATGAAGTCAGACCCACCTGGTCCCATTCTCAGGTTGCTTCTTGCTAATAACAGCGGTGACTGCCAGCTCACCCATGTCGCTAGACGCTAGGCATGATTCTAAGTAATTCATGCGTAGTATCCCAATTAATCCTCACAAGAACTGTATGAATCAGGTATGACTATTACTACCTTCATTTTGCAGATGAGGAAACTGGGGCACAGGGTTAAATAACGGGCTTGGGTCACACTGCAGGTAGGTAGCAGAGCCTTGGTGGGGGGCATGGATTCGAATCTCGGGCAGCCTAATTTTATAGCCATGCCTTCATTTTCATCTCTAAGCTGAGGCTGTCACACCAGTCACTGGAGCTTCACTTGTATTTTTTTTTTTTTTTTTTGCCAGATCTGTCCAAGTCCCCAGCTGTTCTGTTATTTAATTAATATTTCCTGCAAATTAAGTTACATGATTTCCTTAAGTTAATTTTATTTCAAGGGAAATGTTTTATTACCATAGATGGAAGGTAGAATCACCCGCAACAAAGAGGTAACCCTTAAGCAATGAAATGAAATCCAAAAATTGTAAGTTCTAGCTAGATACTGCTGTGTGCTGAGCAAAAGGTCTGCTCCATGTTTGGTTTAGAGACAGAAAAAGAAAGAAGGAGGCCGGGCACAGTGGCTTGCGCCTGTAATCCCAGCACTTTGCGAGGCTGAGGTGGGCGGATCACCTGAGGTCAGGAGTTTGAGACGAGCCTGGCCAACATGGTGAAACTCTGTCTCTACTAAAAATACAAAAATTAGCTGGGCATGGTGGCGCACACCTGTAATCCCAGTTACTTGGGAGGCTGAGGCCGGAGAATAATCACTTGAACCTTGGAGGTGGAGGTTGCAGTGAGCCGAGATCATTGCCACTGCACTCCAGCATGGGAGACAGAGCGAGACTCTGTCTCAAAAAAAAAAAAAAAAAGAAAAAGAAAGAAAGAAAGAAAGAAAAAGAAAAGAAAAAAAGAAGAAGGAGAGGCCGGGCGCGGTGGTTCACTCCTGTAATCCCAGCACTTTGGGAGGCTGAGGTGGGTGGATCACGTGAGGTCAGGAGTTCAAGACCACCCTGGCCAACATGGTGAAACCCCATTTCTACAAAAATACAAAAATTAGCCCGGCATGATGGCAGGTACCTGTAATCCCAGGTATTCGGGAGGTTGTGGCGGGAGAATTGCTTGAACCTGGGAGGGAGAGGTTGCAGTGAGCCACGATCGTGCCATTGCACTCCAGCCTGGGTGACAGAGTGAGACTCTGTCGGGAAAAAAAAAAAAAAAAAAAAAAGGAGAAGGAGAAGGGGGAGTATTAGCAAGCATTGGAGAGGTGTTTATGACACAATAGCACCAATATGAGACTTTCTTTTTGACTTAAGCAGAAAGACTACAAGAGGATGAAAATATGAAATCATGGTTTCACAGAGGAGGAGGGGCCTCGATGTTTTATAAAAATGTCCATGTTTCACCTAAAACCCCCACCCAGAGACCCTCCAGGGCACTCATCCCATGCCTGGAGAAACACTGCCAGCTGTGTGTTATTGACAAGTAGCCCCTTCACTGATGCTGAGCCTCAGTTTCCTCACTTGTGAAATGGCATAGGCACCCAGAGCTCACAGCGTGTGAAGGATTAAAAGAAAGTGATAATAGGCCCGGCGAGGTGGCTTATGCCTGTAATCCCAGCACTTTGGGAGGCCAAGGCAGGAGGATTGCTTGAGCTCAGGAGTTTGAGACCAGCTTGGGCAACATGGTTGAAAACCCATCTCTACCCACCACCCCCCCAAAAAAAAATTAGCTGGGTGTGGTGGCATTCACCTGTAGTCCTAGCTATTCCAGAGGCTGAGGCACAAGAATCGCTTGAAGGTGAAAGGTGGAGGTTGTGGTGAGCCAAGGTCATGCCACTGCACTCCAGCCTGAGTGACAGAGTGAGACCCTGTCTCAAAAAAAAATAAAAAATAAAAAAGTGATAATAAACTGTGGAGCCCAGCATACATGCTCAACTAAAGGGATGATATTCCCAGGGCAGGCTGGATCCTAAGTCAGGGGACCCTGCCTCTGACCCCAGCTTGTACTGTTGAAAATGAAACCCCCAGCATGCCCAGCCCTGGGCATATTTCTGCCATTTGTCTCACCTTTGCCAAGTCCTCTTGTAGCCAGCCTTCTGACAGGAAAGGCCACAGTTGCCAGAAGTTGGGTCAAAGTGAAACTATCTCAGGTCTAGCCTGGGCAGGGGTGTGGGGGCAGGGGAGGAAGGCACACTCAAGCCTTAAAGCAGGCTCCCCTTCACTGGATTCACAATGGGGAAACTGAGGACCAGAGATGTGGGCCCCAGCTCCCTTTGCAGGCATTAGGAGGGAATTGGGTATGATTACCCAAATTGCAAATTTGATCACCTTACACCCCCAGTTATACACTTAGCTCCCACTGGAAATAAAAATTACTATCAGCTCACCCTTATCTAGCACATTCCAGTTAGGTATTATTATTGTCTAATTTTACAGACAGGGAAACTGAGGCCAGGAGAGGTTATGTTTCTTGTCCATGATTTCAAGGTAGTCAAAGTAGTAGAAGCAGTATTTGAACCAAACAAGGTGACTCCACAGTGTTCCAGCAGCTCTCAACTGCTAGATATTCAAATATGACCCCTTTCCCGTGAAACTTGAGGCCCCCCCGCCATCTGGCTTCAATGTACATTTCCAACCACACCTCATTCCTGTCACATTCCTCGTCTGCTCCCATTTACCCCAATTTCTCATGGTTCCCTAGGCCTTCCTAGCTCCCCAGGGAAAGCCTTTGCTGTTTCCCTTGCTTTCTTTTCACTTGACAAACTCCTACTCAACCTTCAAAACCCAACTCAGCAAACATCTCCCCTAGGAAGCTCTCCTTAACTTTTTCTGCTGGGTCCCGCTGCCTCTGCTAAAGTCCACGTGAGGGACTGCCAAGAGGTTTGCTCTGTCTCACAGATTGAGTGCCAAGAGGGCAGGGACCTCTCTTTGAGAGAGTTTAACCTCTGTAACATAAGCAAGTTTACTTAATCACTGATTAAACCACTTTGTGCCTCAGTTTCCCCATTTGTTAAGCATGAATTATCACTGTCACTATTTGCCAGGACTGTGAAGGGGGTGTAAATGCATGAACATCATAAAGTGCTTAGAAGCATGCCTGGTACAAAGGAAGTTCTCTAGGAAAACAAAAAACAAAAAACAAACAAAAAAAAACAAAACAGAAATGTATCTAGAGGTCAGATACCAGTCCCACATCGAGTGCAGATAATGGGCTAAGTAACCAAGGAGCAATGGAGACAAGGATGTAAATGGGGTGGGGCACGATGGCTCACACCTGTAATCCCAGCACTTTGGGAGGCTGAGGCGGGTGGATCACTTTAGGTCTGGAGTTTGAGACCAGCCTGGGCAACATGGCGAAACCCCGTCTCTACTAAAAATACAAAAATTAGCCAGGTGTGGTGGTGTGTGCCAGTAATCCCATCTACTCTGGAGGCTGAGGCAGGAGAATCACTTGAACCCAGGAGGCGGAGTTTGCAGTGAGTTAAGATTGCACCACTGCACTCCAGCCTGGGTGTCAGAGCAAGACTCCATCTCAAAAAGAGAAAAAAAAAAAAATGCAATGGAGGAAAGGAGGAACCAGGGCACGGGGGTGAAGGAGACACTAACCCAGCCCCTCCCTAAGTGCAGGTATGGTGTCCTGCCCCGTTATGTGTCAGGCATAAAACTGGTGAACATTTTCTTTCTTTTTTTTCCTCCAAATTCCTGGTTTAATAAAGACTTGTTTGTTTTGAGGAAAAAAGTTCCCAAATATCAGGCTGTTCACAAAAATAACCCACAGTATCAACTTTAGAAAACAAATCTTTTTTTTTTTTTTTTGAGACAGAGTCTCGCTCTGTTGCCCAGGCTGGAGTGCAGTGACACGATCTCAGCTCACTGCGAGCTCCGCCTCCTGGGTTCACGCCATTCTCCTGCCTCAGCCTCCCAAGTAGCTGGGACTACAAGCGCCCGCCACCATGCCCGGCTGATTTTTTTTTTTTTTTTTGTATTTTTTAGTAGAGACGGGTTTCACTGTGTTAGCCAGGATGGTCTCGATCTCCTGACCTTGTGATCCGCCCGCCTTGGCCTCTCAAAGTGCTGGGATTACAGACGTGAGCCACGGCGCCTGGCCTAGAAAACAAATCTTCAGACTATAACACTAATTATTTTTCTAGAGGCTACATTTGACATGCCAACTCTCATTCACAAAAATACATTGTTACATTTGCATTTGTACATTGTTCATTGTTATGCATGCCAACTCTCATTCACAAAAATACATCGTTACGTTTGTACATTTGTTACATTGTGCATTGTTACACAGCACACTAATGTAGGGGTGTAACACACATACTTCGAACTCAAAGCTGCTTTCAGGAGCTGCTCAACTCAATGAGATTGCCTTTGCAGTTAGGAAAGCAATTACTGAACTTACGTATGAATGAAAAGAACTGTACTCCCTGCACGACAAGATATTATTTTGGAAGCAGTTGATAACACCATACATCCTTTTTACTGTTAAAGTCATAAAGAGATATCAAAATTAAAAGCAAAAATTACAGGGTAAGACTTAACAAAACTACTAGGAGTGTCAAAGGAAGTGAAAATGGGACTAGGCGCAGGGTAATATGAATTAATGAATACGGGAAGGACAAGGGTGAGGAGGACAGTGAGCATGTGCTGAAGACACTAGAGGAGAGGGTCTGGTGAAACATTTGATCTTAGACAAGCACCTAGGTAAAGAAATAATGGGAGAAGATTTCTAAGCCCCACCATGTGCTTAAGAGTCATCTTCACCATTGGTGCTGTCTCTGTCATCCTCTCCTTCCTCAGCCTCTTTTTCATCATCCTTGATCAACTCCAGCTGGTCATCCCCCAATCTTCATTATCCTCATCATCCAGTAGGTCCCTCTCCTCAGCAGAGTCATCTGCACCACCTTCAGACTCTATCTTCACATGAGTCTCACGTGAGCTGCTGCTCTGCTTCTCTTCTGACTTACCATTCTTCATCTCTACTGCTTGTTTGCTCTGTTTCTTTTCCATTTTTTCCGGGTCTTCCAGGAGAGAATCCACTTTTTGTTTTATCTGGGTCAACTCCTGCTTAATGGCCTGAAGGTCATCTCCTTTCAACTTTCCAGACTTGGAAGATCCCCGCTGTCCACTCTTAGAATTGAAGCCACTTTTGCCCCTTTGTGAGGTGTTTCCTGATACACGCTGATGTTTCAAGGGCACTACAGCCCGAGCAATAGGAGGAGGAGGAGGTACACGTGCTGGGTAACTGTACATCCTATCATAATCCCGTTGAAAGTCATAGTCCAAGTCAAAAGAGGAGCTGAGTAGAGGAATGGAGAAGGGTGTTCTGTTTCTGACCCGTACGTCTCCACTGCTGATCATTTCATACCTGCTTTTCCTCGGTTCACTTTTGGCTCTGCAGCCAGGTTACTATGTAAAACCTGGCCAGCGATTATTCTGCCATCTGCTGCTGCTACAGCGGCCCGGGCATTTCTCTCATTAACATACTGAATGAAAACAAAGCCCTTAAGAACAGCGCAGCCCACAATTTTGCCATACTTCTAAAAGATTGCCTCCACATCAGATTTCTTGACCACAAGAGTGTTGAGATTCCCAACGAACACGCGTTCATGGAGCGAGGATCTCTCTTGTTGGTAACATTGCTGGCCGTTGTGTTTGATGATAAGATTTCTCACAAAGCTGAAAATGTAGCTGAAGATCAAAAAAGTCTCACAGGAGCGGGCAGGGAGAAGAGATTCAATTCTGAGTCTCCTACTCCCGGGTTCTACGTGGAGAAGCCAACTACTGCTTGAGGTCGGCAACGCGGCCACAACCGCTCAGTCTTCATCTCTTCATCCCCCACCCCCTTTAAAAAAAAATAGAGACAGAATCTTCCTATGTTGCCCAGGCTGGTCTCGAACTCCTGGGCTCAAGCAATCTACCTGCCTCAGCCTGCCAAAGTGCCAGGATTACAGTGGTGAGCCACCACACCTGGCTGCAAACATTCTCTTAATGGTTGTGTTGATTTCAGTGTGTATTAGGGAAAAATGTATCTCATAAAACCTTAGATGTGATGGTTATTATTCCCTGAGACAACACTATAGTAGACATTTAGATTGCTTTAATGTTCAGGGGAACATCTGTTTCGAACAATACGGTGAAAAATTGTTTTTGGGCATGGCAGCTGACACCTGTAATCCCAGCAGTTTGGGAGGCCAAGACAGGTGGATTGCTTGAACCCAGAAGTTCAAGACCAGCCTAGGCAACATGGCAAAACCCCATCTCTACAAAAAATACAAAAATTAGCTGGGCCTGGTGGTGCATATCTGTAGTCCCAATACCCAGGAGGCTGAGGTGGGAGGATCACTTGAGCCTAGGAGGTCAAGGCTACAGTGAGCTGTGATCACACCACTGCACTCCAGCCTGGGGTGACAGAGTGAGACAACAATAACAAAATAACAAATAACAAAAATACAACAATAACAAAAACATTGTCTTAAGTGAACGAGGCAGTTTGAGGAATGCTGAACAAAGAAAAGAAAGTAAGAGAGGCATATTGGGGGAAAGGAGGCAGAGAGATAGAGAGAGTTGGGGAGATGAGGGAGAAAGGGATGGAGCCACCCAGAAAGGATGGAGAGAGAAGGAGCAACACACACAGATGGAGGGACAGAGAGGGAGAGGAGAGAAGGTGGGGCGAGGGAAAAATGAGAAGGGAAACAAGACAAGAGAAAACAGGGAGAGAACCTAAGGACAACAGAAAGGAGACATGGATGAATGAATGAGCGAGTGAAGGAATGAATAATCTAAGGCATGTATAAAATAAATGGTGAGGCTGGTTGCAGTGGCTCACACCTGTCATCCCAACAATTTGGGAGGCTGAGGCAGGAGGATGGCTTGAGCCCAGGAGTTTGAGACCAGCCTGGGCAACATAGTGAGTCTCTCATTAGTACAAAAAATACAAAAATTAACCAGGCGTGGTGGTGCATGTCTGTGGTCCCAGCTACTTGGGAGGCTGAGGCAGGAGGATTGACTGACCTGGGAGGTCGAGGCTGCAGTGAGCTGATTGTGCCACTGCACTCCAGCCTGGGCAACAGAGCAAGATCATGTCTCAGTAAATAAGCAAATAAATAAATAAAGGACAAATGGATGAGCCAGGGACCAGGAGCGAGGACGCAGGCTTTCAGATGCTGTATCCTGCCTGGGAGCCCCCAGTGACAGCTGCTCACTGCACCCACCCTCATGCCTGTGTTGCTGGGGCCAAGCGGAGCCACTCTGGGCTCCAGGCCTGGTCTATGTCCCGAAGTGGTGGCTATTTTTGACTCTAAGAGGCTGTGACTGCGCCACCCTCCCCTTCCCACTGAGAACCCTGGGCACCTGCTTTGCTCCAGCTCCAGAAAACTGAAAGTAAAAGCCGTCCCAATCATCCTTTGCCCCAGCCTTCCTGTCCCTCAACTGGTTTCTTAGAAATCAGCCACCTGGGCTTCCAGATGCAGCCTGGACTTCCTCTCCTGCCCAAAGGCCCCCTCCTCCGGGAAGGTGTCATGTTGCCAGCAAAGCCAACATCAGAGGCCTGTGCTGGAGTTGGGTGACCCCCAGAAAGCTTAGAGGGCATCTGCTGATCCTGCAAACGTTGATTCAGTGCCTTCTGCATGCCAGGCACAGAGCAGGCAGAGGAATCTGAGCCATTCACAGTTAGGATAAAAAGGATATAGGTGCTGGCTCATACCCGTAATTCCAGCACTTTGGGAGGCCGAGGTGGGCAGATCATTTGAGGTCAGAGACCAGACTGGCCAACATAGTGAAACCCCATCTCTACTAAAAATGCAAAAATTAGCCAGGTATGGTGGCGGGAGCCTGTAATCCCAGCTACTCGGGAGGCAGAGGCAGAAGAACCACTTGAACCCAGGAGGCAGAGGTTGCAGTGAGCCGAGGTTGCGCCACTGCACTCCAGCCTGGGTGACAGAGCAAGACACTGTCTCAAAACAAACAAACAGATAAACAAAAAACCAACCAAACAACCAACCAAACAAACAAAAAAACGGACTCAGACATGGCTTCAACACTACCGGACCCAGGCCTCAGCAGGAGCATGGCTAATCAGGCCTAGGAATTGTGAGGAGGATGATAGGAGATGTGAAATCAGGGGAGGCTCCCTGGAGGAGTTGCTGTCTGAGTCTTCAAACATGGGTGGCAAGGAGTTTCCCCCAGAAGCTGCAGGAAAGACATCTCAGGCAGCAGGAACAGCATCAGCAAAGGCCTGGAGGTGTGATCTCTAGCAATGGGCCCGTGTTACCTGCCATCATCAGAATAACTGTCCCTGTAGTAGCCATGTGCTATGGTTTGAATATTTGTCCCCTCCAAAACTCATGTTGAAACTGAATCCCCAGTGTGGCAGTATTGACAGGTGGGACCTTTAAGAGGTGACTGGGTCAAGAGAGACCCATGGATTAACGGATAGAATGAGTAATAGATTAATGGGTTATCATGGGTGTGGCCCTGGTGGCTTTATGAGAAGAGGGAGAGAGATGTGAACAAACACACTCAGCCCACTCACCATGGGATGCCCTGTGCCACCTTGGGACTCTGCACTGAGTCCCCACCAGCAAGAAGGCCCTCACCAAATGCAGTCCTTGACCTTGGACTTCTCAGCCTCCATAACCTTTCTTTATAAATTACCCAGTTTCAGGTATTGTGTGATATGCAACAGAAAATGAACTAAGGGCCAGGCACAGTGGCTCAGGCCTGTAATCCCAGCACTTTGGGATGCTGAGGCAGGCAGACCACCTGAGGTCAGGAGTTCGAGACCAGCCTGGCCAACATGGTGAAACCCCATCTCTACAAAAATACGAAAATTAGCAGGGCATGTTGGCAGGCACCTGTAATCCCAGCTACTCAAGAGGCTGAGGCGAGAAGTTGCTTGAACCCAGGAGGCAGAGGTCGCTATGAGCCAAGATCGTGCCACTGCACTCCAGCCTGGGCGACAGAGGGAGACTCCATCTCAGAAAAACAAAAAACAAAAAAAAAAAAAAGAAAGAAAGAAAACAGACTAAGATAGCATGTTTCTCTATTTTTTGCAAGGGAAGAAACTGAGGTTTAGAGAAGTGTTATCTGCCCAAGACTGCACAGCCTGAGTGGAGATCCAAACTTTTCTCACGTGAGATACAGGCAGTGCCCCGATCCCCATCATGGCTGTCAGGTCCGGACTAGGGCCTAGGTTCCCACTCTGCCCTTAAGGACTAACTTAAATCCTTGGCACCATCCTGTAGGGAGACATGTTTGGGAGCGAAAATAAGGCTTAGAGAGGTAAAGTGACCTGCGGCGCTTGGATTCACACCCAGGTCTGTTGGAGCCCAAAGTCCCTCCTCCTTCCGCTATATGAGGCGTCCCAGCCCTAGGAACACAGACCTGAGCCGATGGTCTCTGTCCCACATTCTAAGGAGCTGGAGGGCTGGAGAGCAGAAATCACGTGTGGCGTACTGTGAGCCAGAGCTTTGCTCTCAGGGAACTGTCTGGCCCGCATGCTCTATGGTCCTGAAGGAGCTGTCAATCACAGCACCCTGGCCAGAGATGGGTGTGGACCAGACCTGGCCAATCAGAGTTCCCCATGCCCCAATTCAGGGTAGGGACATGACCTAAGCTGGACCAATCAGACACCTCCCTTTTCAGCTGAAACTAACAGAATTGGCCCTAATTTAGCCAATTTAGCACACTGGCCCTAATTTAGCCAATGTGCCCACTGTATCAAGAGAGTTGATGAGAAAGACACGAGACAGAGCCCTGATGCATTGTGTGATCGCCTGCATCCAGCCATGCCTGAAGTCCACCTTGATGTCCTTGTTCCATGCGCCACATTTCCATTTTCACTTATGCTGCCTGAGTTTTGTTTCTGTCACTTACAACCCAGAGTCCTGGGTAACTGGAGTCTGGAGAACAGCATGGGTCAGAGGTCAGGTTTGGCTGGAATGAAGTGAAATGGAGCCACATGTCTTAAGAAGAGACACAATGATCTTCCAGTGTGAAAGAGCCAAGACCAGTTTTGCCAGGAGCTGGGGCCGACAGTGGCCCCCGTCACTTGCTGATGTCTGTGGTCAAGGAAAGCTTGAGGGAGAGCAAGTGGAACGCAGGGCTTCTACACTTTCACACCCCCTGATTTGTGGTTGCTTTATTTAGCTAGTTAGTTTTGAAATGGAGTCTCTCTGTCACCCAGGCTGGAGTGCCGTGGCGCGATCTCGGCTCACTGCAACCTGTGCCTTCCGGGTTCAAGCGATTCTCCTGCCTCAGCCTCCCGAGGAGCTGGGATTACAGGCGTGTACCACCACGTCCAGCTAATTTTTGTATTTTTTGTAGAGATGGGGTTTCACTATGTTGGCCAGGATGGTCTGGAACTCCTGACCTCAAGTGATGCACCTGCCTTGGCCTCCCAAAGTGCTGGGATTACAGGCATCAGCCACTGCGCCTGGCCTCACGGTTGCTTTTAATAACTTAGTATTTATTAGAGCAGTTTTAGGTTTACATCAAAATGGAGTGGAAAGTACATAGTGTTCCCATGTTCTCCCTGCCCCCACGTGCACAGCCTCCCCCTCATTAACATTCCCCACCAGCCCATGTTATTTTTTAATTTCCACATTTGTTTCAAAAAATGTTTAAAGAACCTACCAATAACGTTAGTATTAAATAAATTATATATATATACACACACATATGTATGTGTGTGTGTAATGTGTGTATTTCTAACCTGATTTCTGCAGATACACACACATATATAGTTTTTTCTTTCTCTTTTTTTTGAGACACGGTCTTGCTCTGTCACCCAGGTTGAAGTGCAGTGGTGTGATCACGGTTCACTGCAGCCTCAAATTCCTTGGGTTCAAGTGATCCTTCCACCTCAGTCTCAGAGTAGCTGTGACTACAGGCACGTGCCACCACATCTGGCTAATTTTTAAAAATTTTTTATGGATACAGAGGTCTCACTATGTTGCCCAGGTTGGTCTCGAACTCCTGGCCTCAAGTGATCTTCCTGCTTTGGCCTCCCAAATTGTAGGGATTACAGGAGTGAGCCACTGCACCCAGCCTATTCTCTCTTTAGAAAAGAAAAGACACCATTTCTTATGACCCATATTGCAACACACTTTTTTTCCACTTAGCATTTCATAAGCATCCTTCTAGGTCATTGACTAGCTAGGGAGGAGCTGTCATCCCCATCAGGGCAGTAAGGAAGCCCAGGCCCAGCCAGAATGGGGAACGGACCCAGTGTTGACCTTGGGATGTGGTTTACTTCACCAAGTGCTCCTAACCGTCCACTGCGGGTTTGTTCCCTTTTCATGGATGGGAAAACTGAGGCTTAGACTGGGGAAGTCACTCTGGCTGGGAGCCCCAAAGCCCTGGGCCAAGTGGGAAGCGGCTGCTGGTCAGTCCCTGTCAAACTAGACACAACCAAGGCTTTGAGGCTGCATTATGAGAGGAGGGAGACTGGCCTCCTAGGGAGCCTGCATGGAGGCCTGGCACTCCAGTCCCTAAGGGACAGCCTTGCCTCCCTCCTGCCTCTGCCAAATTGCTGGCCCTGGAGACGTGCTGTTGTTCAACTTTTCAGGATCCATCTGGTGCAGAGACGCTCCATGGCTCTGGCTCAAACTGCGATGGCACGCCAGGCACTGCTGGAAGTGCCATGTACACCGTCTCAGTCATCCTTTCTACCACCCCATAGGGGGAAAACTGTTACAATCTCCATTTCTCAGATGAGAAAACTGAGGCCCGGAGAGGTGAAACAACTTGCTCAAGGTCACACAGCTAACATGTGGCAAGGCCAAAATTAGCCTTCAATGAGTTGTGTTTTTATTTATTTATTTATTTATTTATTTGAGACAGAGTTTCAGTCTTGTCCCCAAGCTGGAGTGCAGTGGTGTGATCTCGGCTCACTGCTGCAACCTCCGCCTCCTGGGTTCAAGTGATTCTCGTGCCTCAGCCTCCTGAGTAGCTGGGATTACAGGCACGTGCCATCATGTCCAGCTAATTTTTATATTTTTAGTAGAGACGGGTTTTCACCATATTGGTCAGGCTGGTCTCGAACTCCTGACCTCGTGATCCGCCTGCCTTGGCCTCCCAAAGTGCTGAGCTTACAGGCATGAGCTACTGCGCCCGGCCCTTCAGTGAGGTTTAAAGCCAGACAGAAGCATTAATATCCAGGTTGGAAACTTTATAAATGTGTTTTACTTTTTTTTTTTTTTTTTAAGCCGGGGTCTTGCCCTGTTGCCAGGACTGGAGTGCAGTGGCATGATCCTAGCTCACTGCAGCCTTAAACTCCTGGACTCAAGCAATCCTCCAGCCTCAGCCTCCCAAGTAGCTGGGATTATATAGACTGTGCTACCACACCTGGCTAATTTTGTTTTGTTTTGTTTTGTTTTTGTAGAGACGGAGTCTATGTTGTCTAGGCTGGTCTCAAACTCCTGGCCCCAAGTAATCCTGCATCAGCCTCCCAAAGTGTTGGGATTATAGGCATGAGCCACTGCACCTGGCGGCCAACTCTGTAAATTATTAACTACACACACACACACCACACGCTTGCACACACATGTGACAGCTGGCTGAGCGGTCTTATGTGGTATGCCACAGGGCTCCGGCCTCAGCTAATGCTCTTCCTTCCTTCTTCCTGGATTCCTTCATTAGAAGCCAGACAACCTGCTTATTGCAAGGACAATGAATTCACTGGGCAACAGAGCCAGATCCCAAACAAACCCTGGACTGGGACACTGAGTGGGTACAAAGATGAAATTGAAGACATAAATATCCTACATTTGGCTTAAAAATATCAATTGCTCCAATAGAAGGTGACTTTTTTTTTTGAGACAGAGTCTTGCTCTGTTGCCCAGGCTGGAGTACAGTGGCGCCATCTCGGCTCACTGCAACCTCTGCCTCCCAGGTTCAAGTGATTCTCGTGCCTCAATGTGTAACTGGGATTACACCACGCCCAGCTAATTTTTTGTGTTTTTAGTAGAGACAGGGTTTCGCCATGTTGGTCAGGCTGGTCTTGAACTCCTGACCACAAGTGACCTGCCCGCCTCGGCCTCCCAAAGTGCTAGGATTACAGGCTTGAGTCACCACGCCTGGCCAAGGATGACTTTTGATCTTAACACTATAGTAGGATATAAACTCAAGATTAACCATGAGCGTGGTGTGGCTTGCACAAGTTAATGTAGCAATAGGGCCATCCTCAGCAAGCATGCGCCAAATGAGGAGAGACTGGTTCTCACTCTGGAGTGAGATGGCCAGAATGAGAAGGGACACAGAATGAGATCGTGCTGGCTTATATGCTGTGTACACATGAATCCTGAGCTCTGACACCATGCCTGCACAGGCTCACGCTTGTGGGTGACAGTAAGTGGTGAAAACCGAATGGAGAACATTTATATCTGTCCTGGGTGCACAGTGTGCTCAGTAAGTGGAAGTGGCTGTGGGTTTGACAAGGAGAGGATGGGTGAAAGAATTAGGAGCACTGCCATTATTATTACTGGTGACATATCATTAGATAGGAGATATAAGAGATATAAGATATATATTATGGCCGGGTGCAGTGGCTCACACCTGTAATCCCACTTTGGGAGGCCAAGGCAGGAGGATCGCTTGAGCCCGGGAGTTCAAGACCAGCCTAGGCAACCTAGTGAGACCCCCGTCTCTACAAAAAAATAATATTTTTATTTGAAAAAGTATTATAACATAAGGCCTATTGTTTATTGAGCACCTATTATATGCAATCACTCTGCTAAGCACTTTGCAGGATCTCATTTCAGTCTGCAGTTTTCCAGATAAGTCATGTTAGAGCATCATATGAAATTGCTGGTTTTGGAGGTCGAAACCACAAGAGTGTTGGCAATTTCATATGGCTCAAGCTAATATCATTTTCATTTTATAGAGGAGGAAACTGAGGCCCAGAGAGACCAAAAGCCTGACAGTCTTTCCTTCCCAAAAGCAGGTTAAGAAAACCCCATTGGCCTGGAGGCTTCTGCCTTTTCAGAGGAATCAGATTTTGTCCTTGGTTCTTCCTCCTCACTCCCCATCTCACTCTGCCCCTGGGCCCACCACCCCGCCCCATTGTGGCCAGGTCTATATTTACAACTGGGGTTTCTGTGAACTGGGGAACTGAGGAAGTGACTTATCCCAGAGTCATCACCGAGATGGTGGTACCCAAGAATTTGAGTTCTCAGCCACCCCACCTCCACCAAAGTGAGGTTTTAGCCCCTTCTCTGGATTTCTAGGGCCTAGTCAGCCAGAAACAGAAACTATCCGCCTGGATCCAGAGAGGCCCCTGTCTGGTGGGCAGGATGAATGGGGTGGGAGATTTGTTTCCATTTCTTTTCTTTCTTTTCTTTTCTTTTCTTTTTTTTTTTTTTTAGATGGAATCTCGCTCTATTGTCCAGGCTGGAGTGCAGTGGTTCACTCTCAGCTCACTGCAACCTCTGCCTCCTGGGTTCAAGTGATTCTTGTGCCTCAACCTCCTGAGTAGCTGTGATTACAGGCGCCCACCACCACGCCTGGCTAATTTTTGTGTTTTTAGTAGAGACGGGATTTCACCATGTTGGCCAGGCTGGTCTCGAACTCCTGACCTCAAATGATCCGCCCACCTCGGCCTCCCAAAGTGCTAGGATTACAGGTGTGAGCTACTGCGTCTAGCCTTGTGTTCATTTCTCTGAGAGCAACACTGAGGCACATCTGTGCTAAGTCTGATTGTCAGCTGCCCTGAGAAGCTTGTTCAGGGGCAGAAACAAGAGGAAGTGGGTTTCTGGGCACCTAGGGGTCCCGGGCTGGTGCAGCCCGGCCTGAACATCACAGAGGCTGGCGGAGCAGCCCCTGCCCCACCGCTCCCGGGGTTGCCGGTGACCTGGCAGCTGAGCCGAGGGCCGCTGGGCTGGAGGGTGGAGTGCTGCTTCCAGGTAGTCAGACTGAGATAGACGCGGCCGCGGAGGCAGCGGAGGAGGAAGGGGGCAGCCTTGTCCCCGCTGTGCGCAGCCCGCCCGCCAGGCACAGCCGGTCTTCGGGGAAGTCGCCGAGTTGGAGTTCCAGGAAACGATAACGCTTGTTGAAACCTCTTTCTTGTGGCCTGGTCTCGTCACATGGCTTGATGGGGACCAACGTCAGGCAGGGCCACAGGCCTGAGCCCGCTCGCACCCGGCAGCCGCTGCCACCCCCAGTTCCCCCCATGAAGAGGGAGGAGGGGGTTGGGCAGGAAGGTGGGCATTTGCTGCTTCCCCATCCCAGGCACCTGGCGGGCCACAAGCAGACTGGTCCCCGCTGGCTGTTTTCACCCCAGTAACACTCCTTGTAGGCTGGCTAAGCTGGCCAGGCCTCAAATGCCCCCTCCAGCAAAACGGGCTGAGAATGCCTAGGCTACAGGCTTGCTGCCAAAGTGAAGACAGAGCTTCCTCCTGCCCCTGGAACATAGCAGATGCTGAGGATCTAGAAATTATTTTTTTTCTCTTTTCTTTTCTCTTCTTTTTTTGATAGAGACAAGGTCTTGATATGTTGCCCAGGCTGGTCTCAGACTCCTGGGTTCAAGGCATCCTCCCACCTCATCCTCCCAAAGTGCTGGGATTACAGGTGCGAGCCACTGTGCCTGGCCAGAACTAGAAATTATTTGCCCCTTTCCTATGAAGCCAGGGAATGTGTCTTTCATCTTGCTAGAGCAGGGTCTTTCTTTTTTTCTTTCTTTCTTTTTCTTTCTTTCTTTTTTCTTTCTTTCTTTTCTTTCTCTTTTCTTCCTTCCTTCTTTACTCTTCTTCTTCTACTTCTCTCCCTCCCTCCCCCTCCCCCTCGCCCTCCTCCTCCCCCCTCCTCCTCCCCCCTCCCCCTCCTCCTCCCCCCTGCCCCTCCTCCTCCTCCTCCTCCTCCTCCTCCTCCTCCTCCTTCTTCTTCTTCTTTTACTTTTTCTTCTTCCTTCTCTCTCTCTCTCAGCAGAGTCTCGCTCTGTCACCCAGGCTGGAGTTCATGGAATGATCTTGGCTCACTTCCACCTCCATCTCCCAGGTTCAAGTGATTCTCCTGCCTCAGCCTCCCAAGCAGTTGGGATTACAGGCATGTGCCACCACACCCAGCTAATATTTTTGTTTTTTTGGGGGGCATTTTTAGTAGAGATGGGGTTTCATTTATGTTGACCAGGCTGGTCTTGAACTCCTGACCTCAAACGATCTGCCCACCTCAGCCTCCCAAAGTGCTGGGATTATGGGCGTGAGCCAGTGTGCCCGGCTGGAACCAGAAATTCTTTACTCCTGTCCTGTGAAGTCAGGGAATGTGTCTTTCATCTTTCTAGAGCAGGGTTTCTTGACCTTGGCTCTATTCACATTCAGAGCCTGGTATGGGAGGCTGCACTGTGCACTTTAGGACGCTTAGTGGCATCCCTGGCCTCTACCCACTAGATACCAGTAGTACCCACCCCTACAGCGATTTGTAACACTGAAAATGTCTCCAGACATGCCCAGATGTTCCCTGCATGGCAAAACCCTGATTTAGATTCAGCGCCTGACACATAGTAGTTGCTCAATAATTAGCAGGTCTTCAACCAGCAGGTCTGGTTCATTTTCACACCCTACCACCTGGCATCCGAGGGGTGCCAAGGGGTAAGTTGGGAGGCCATTTACCCTCCAATCTTTATCAACACCCATCATAAATATACTATCTAAATAAAACCTGTGCTGGAGGCTTAGAGTTTGAGGACAGCAAAGTGAATTGGGGTGGGTCAGTCCTGAAACAAGGAGGGAAGGGAAAGGCCACGTGCCTGTCAGGGAGACGCCCCTGGCCCCATCCCCCTGCTTGCTTCCTGGAAGCTGGCAGCCTGCTTTCTCTGCAGTCAGGAGGTCACAGGGATCCTCTCAGACGACGCTTCCGATGCTGGCTTTGGGATCTTACAAGGACAGCCAGATCCCAACAAGCCTCCCCTGTCCACACGTCCTGCCACAGACATGGAGCTTCCAAGGGTCTTCATTTCCCAGTATCTTTTTCAGTTCCCTGCTCTTCAATACGAACGTGCAATGGAGGGTCACTGAAACCTTGAGGGCAGCTTGTAAAATGAAAGTCAAAGACCGAAACCAAGAGAGGAAAAAAACTCCAAAAAAACAGAGCCAGGTGGGGAGAAACAAAAGTCTTCGAGAAAATAAGGAAGCTTCAGAGAAATAAAATATATTGCATTCATATAAGAAGAATAAGATGCTGTGAAAAGGAACACTCAGAATAAGAGAATAAGAAAGAACTAGAGGCTGGGCACAATGGCTCACGCCTGTAATCCCAGCACTTTGGGAGGCCGAGGCAGGGGGATCACGAGGTCAGGAGATTGAGACCATCTTGGCTAACACGGTGAAACCCCACCTGTACTAAAAATACAAAAAATTAGCCGGACGTGATGGTGGGTGCCTGTAGTCCCAGCTACTCGGGAGTCACATTATTATTATCATTGTCATCCAACTCGATGTGCTTCTTTCTAGCCAAATGACCTTGGGACAATTCCTTCACCAATTTGAGTTTGTATTTCCCCATCTATGAGATGGGGAGACATTATCCCCAAGAAGGATCAGAATAGGGCTGAAATGAAATAAAAATAGCAGCTGGGTGCGGTGGCTCACGCCTGTAATCCCAGCCCTTTGGGAGGCCTAGGCAGATGGATCACTTGAGGTCAGGAGTTCGAGACCAGCCTGGCTAACATGGCGAAACCCCTTCTCTACTAAAAATACAAAAATTAGCCGGGCATGGTGGCAGGTGCCTGTAATCCCAGCTACTCGGGAGGCTGAGGCAGGAGAATCGCTTGAACCTGGGAGGCGGAGGTTGCAGTGAGCTGAGATTGCACCGTTGCACTCCAGCCTGGGCAACAGAGCGAGACTCTGCCTCAAATAAGTAAGTAAGCAAGTAAGTAAATGAATAAATAAAAGTTAAAATAGCCCCCTTTGAAGGACCCTCCTGCGTCTGTCCCCCACTTTAATACCTAAGTCTGAATCACCCCTGGCTCTTAGGCCTATCCATGAGGAGCCCAGAGCAGAGGCTCAGGGAGGGTTTGTGGGCCTGATTCAACTCTGACCTCTGAGCTGTGAAGGACACTGTCCTTCCCAGGGCTGGTCCTGCCACTCAGGACTCCTTCCTCTCACCTGCTTCCTCCTCAGAAAGGCCTTTGTCCACTTGACTGTCCCTTGGTCCTGCTCCAGGCCTCCAGGGCTCTCCCAGTACGATGTTGCCATCAGACAACACATGAGGCTTTGCAGAGATGCCAACAGGAAGGGCCCTCTGGCATCTGGCCCAGGATCAGGCCTTACCTGGCAGATCCAGAAGCAGAGACCTTAAAAGGGCCAAGGCAGGTGCTGTGCAGAGTCCTGGCTCTGCAGCTCAAGGCGGCTCCACATCAGAGTCCCACCACGGCTCCTTCTGCCGTGCCAATGGGAGCCAGTTCACTTCTTGAGCTCTTGCGTCGCAGCTGAAAAATGGGAATAACACTGGCATTTATCCTATAGGGGCATATACATTGTTCATTTATTCAACAAACATTCACTGAACATTTATTATATGACAGGCATTCTTCCTGGCTCTGGGCTGTTGGCAGTGAATAAAACAGACCAAATCCTCTGCCCTTGAGGAACGTATGGTCTAGCAGGGAGAGAGGCAAACTCTAGCCAACAAACCTGTTAAACAGTACGTGGGCTGGGCACGGAGGCTCACCCCCATCATCCCAGCACTTGGGAGGTGGAGGTGGGAGGATTGCTTGAGCCCAGGAGTTTGAGACCAACCTGGGTAACACAGCAAGGCTCCGTTTGTACAAAAATTATTTTAAAAATTAGCTGGGTGTGGTGGTGTGCGCCTGTGGTCCCAACTACTCTGGAAGCTGAGGTGGGAGGATTGCTTGAGTTGGAGAGGCTGAGGCTGCAGTGAGCCAAGATCATGCCACTGCACTCCAGCCTGGGTGATGGAGCAAGAACCTGTCTCAAAAACAAAACAAGCAAAAGCAAAAAACTAACAAACAAAAAATCAGTATGTCAGAGGGAAGTAAAGTAAAGCAGGCAGTGGCGGGTGGGGTGTGGCTAGGAGGTGCCAGGTGTGGGTTGGTATTTTATTATGATGGCTAGGGAAGCCTTCTCCAAGAAGCTGGGAGCTGGAAGGGATGAGCAAGCTGCCCATCTGGACGTAGAGCCTTTCAGGCAGGTGGAAGAGCAGGTGCCAAGGGCCTGAGGTAGGACTGTTCCCAGTGTGTTCAAAGAAAGGTCAGTGTGGCTGCTGCAGCATGCGTGAGGGGTGAGAAGTCAGAGGTGAGGATGGAGAGGTGAGGAGTAGAATCAGATCACGCACAGACCATGGGTCCTGGAAAGGAGCGAGGCTTTGAGGCAGAGTAGGACGGGAGTGTCCTGAGCACAGAAGATTTTAAATGAGATGGTGCATGCACGACCATCTGCAGTGTGCCTGGCGCGGAGCAGGTGCTCCCTAATTGCTGGCTGTTACTATTACTGTTGCTGCTGTTGTTATTATTGAGAGACTAAGAAGCACATTGGAAACCATGAAAACCCAGAGATGCAAATTTTAATTGCCAGAGAGAGATTTTTCAACATTTTCAATGTGCTGTCATGAAGTATGAACCATGCAAATGTAGGTTTGACTACTTCGTTTTGTGGAAGAGCCACCTACGGCTAAGAGAGGTTAGAAGACTTACCTGATGTTGCACAGTGACAAAGGGTGGAGTCCAATTCACCAGAACCCAGGTCTGTCTCCTGAATCCAGGATCGTGACTGCTGGTTTGGCCGTGGGGGCTGAGAGGCCTTGGTACAGTGGGCAGACGGGAGGTCCCTGTATATGAAGGGCAGAAGCTTGGGGCTGCACCTGGGACCCTCCAACATCATTGGGAGAAAAGCCTGGAGCTCTCAAGCTCTGACCTGGCACAGTCAGGCAGACACGGCTCACAAAGACCAAAATAACCAGAGGCATCATTAAGGATGTCTTCGGGGTCAAGTAAAAGGAATCCTGATGTAAACCGGCTTAAAGAATCTGGAAATGGGCCAAGCATGTGCGGCTCACACCTGTAATCCCAGCACTTTGGGAGGTTTAGGCAGGAGGATCGTTGAGGCCAGGAGTTCAAGACCAGCCTAGGCAACATAGTGAGACCGTGTCTCTACTTTAAAAAATATTTTTTTAAAAAGGATCTGGAAATGGGCCAGGTGTGGTGGCTCACATCCGTAATCCTAGTGCTTTGGGAGGCCAGAGTGGGAGGATTACTTGAGGACAGGAGATCGAGGCTATAGTGAGCTATGATCACACCACTGCACTCCAGCCTGGATGATAGAACAAGACCCCATCTCTTAAAAAAAAAAAAAAAGGAAGAATCTGGACATGTAATATCTTGTTCAATAGGAAATCCAAGTTCATTTTCCTTCCATCTTTCAGCTGATATCTCGCTGTTGGTTTTATCTGAGGTCAGTCCTAAGAGGGCCAGTGAAGTTTCAGCCACCACATCAGGAAGAACAGAAAACCATGTCTCTCCCTGGGGCTTCCCTTAGGAGCAAGGAAAGCTTTCTTCATGTCTCATTGGCCAGAATTGAGTTACCTGCCCATTGTTGAAAGTCAGTGACCTAGCCGGGCGCGGTGGCTCACACCTGTAATCCCAGCACTTTGGGAGGCCGAGGTGGGCGGATCACCTGAGGTCAGGAGTTCAAGACCAGCCTGACCAACATGGAGAAATCCCGTCTCTACTAAAAATACAAAAAAAATTAGCCAGGCATGGTGGTGCCTGCCTGTAATCCCAGCTACTCAGGAGGCTGAGGCGGGAGAATTGCTTGAACCTGGGAGGCGGAGGTTGCGGTGAGCCGAGATCGCGCCATTGCACTCCAGCCTGGGCAACAAGAGCAAAACTCTGTCTCAAAAAAAAAAAAAAAAAAAAGAAAAGAAAGTCAGTGACCAGGAACTGGAAGTTTTTTTTGAGACAGGGTCTCACTCTGTCTCCCAGGCTGGAGTACATTAGAGTGATCACAGTTCACTGCAGCCTCGACCTCTCAGACTCAAGCAATCCTCCCACCTCAGCCTCCCAGATAGCTGGGATACAGGGAAGCACCACCACACCCGGTTAATTTTTTATTTTTTGTAGAGACAGGGTCTCACCATGATGTCCAGGCTGGTCTCAAACTCCTGGGCTCAAGACGTCCTCCCGTCTCAGCCTCCCAAAGTGTTGGGATTACAGGTGTGAGCCACCTTGATTGGCCTGGAACTTAATTGACAAGGGATGATTGTTGGGGAGTTCATCAGAGTGATTGAAAAACCAGCCCTGCCAGGCGCAGTGGCTCACGCCTGTAATCTCAACACTTTGGAAGGCTGTGGTGAGCAATTCATTTGAAGACAGAAGTTCGAGACCAGCCTGGCCAACATGGTGAAACCCTGCCTCTACTAAAAATACAAAAATTAGCCAGGCGTGGTGGCAGGCACCCGTAGTCCCAGCTACTTGGGAGGCTGAGGAAGGAGAATAGATTGAACCCGGGAGGTGGAGGTTGCAGTGAGCTTACGACAATGCACTCCAGCCTGGGTGACAAAGCAAGACTGTTTCAAAAAAAAAAAAAAAAAAAAGAAAGAAAGAAAAGAAAAAGAAAAACCATTCCTAACTCTTCATCCCTCCCTGTGTCCCTGCCCTTGGCAGTGTGACTTTGCTACTTCTCCCATCAAGAAGTTGAGTCTAGATCCCCATCCCTAGAATTGGGCTGCTTTGGCCAATAGGATGAAATGAAGGGATGAAGTGACGCGGTGATGTGCTAGATCTCAGCCTAGGCCTCAAGACACCTGTGGCTTCCACTTGCTCCCTCTGGACTCTGCCAACACCGGGAGAACAAGCCCGACCTCTCAGACTCAAGCAATCCTCCCACCTCAGCCTCCTAGATAGCTGGGATACAGGCAAGTGCCACCACAGGCTGTTGGATGATGAAAGTCACATGGAGCAAGAGGAACCCTTCTCAAGCCCTGTACTCTGTGCCCCAGGACCTTAGCATGTGCTGACCGTGCCCTCTGGACTGCTCTGGCTCATCTCCCGTGACTTAAGGCCACTGTTCTGTTTGGAGACTCAGCTCAGGCAACCCTCTCCCAAGAGGCTTTGCAGAACCATCCCCGGCCCCAGCCTGGGTCGAGGGCCTCCAGGGTTTCCTGTAGCCCAGTTTGTGTCACTCTGCTTTGTGACTCTCTATTCTTCAGTCCAGCTGCCTCATTCACAGATATGGAAACTGAGGCCCAGAGAGGGGAAGTGACTTGCCCAAGGTCACCCAGCTGAGGGCCGTGTTCGCTGCTCCTCCAGCAGGTTTTGTTCTTTCCTTTCCTCAGCATCTCAACCCACGAGAGCCTGGATGTGGCGGTCCCATGGCGGGAGAGGGGGCCTGTGCCCCCACCAGGTGCCCAGTCTCGAGTCAGGATGAGACTCCTGGAGGGTCCCCTGGGAGTCTCCACTGGCAGCACCCCCTCCCCACATCCCCGCAAGGTGGGCATGAGCAGCATTCCCTCTTCAGATGAGGATGTGAGGCTCAGAGGGAAGAGGCGGGCCCGGTCACGTGGCCATGGAAGGATGGGGGGATCTGATCCCAGACCTTTCTACAGCCTGCATTTGGCCTTCTCCATGGCTTTGGGGCAGAGCCAGGGCCGGCCACCACGGAGAGGAGCAGACAGAAACCCAGGGCGGGCAACGGGGAGGTCTCAGGCTGGATGGTGGGGAACCACCGAGGCAGGAAGACGCAGAGCAGAAAGTGAAAGGAACCAGAGGCCTAGAATAGCTGCGGGTGACAGAGCCAGGGGACTACAGACGCTGCCAATAAGAGAAACCAGGCGGCCCACGGAGGGGCGGGGCACCCACTCCTCAGAGAGGCGGCCCCTAGCTGAGGAGGCCCATGGCCAGGTCCCTGCTAACCCGGGCAGCCCCCGCTTGGCTTGGCAGCCTGGGTGGATGCCCAAACTGTGGGAATGGAATTGGGGTGAAGGGCTGTCTTGGGGCAGAGAGGGGCCCACTTCTAACTTTAGGCCGACCTCTGCATCATTTGGATCAATCACCATGAGCTTATAAGATCTGGGACCTGCAAAGCTCATCAAACAGTGCAGCTGGTGAAGCGGGGGCCGTGCCGTGAAGACAAGCCTGTTGGTTAACATCTCCTAGTGGCTGTCGATGTCTGTCTCCGGTGGCAGTTCCCTGCTGTGGTTATGCTGCAGGCTCCAGAGCCAGGCGGCTGGGGTTCAATCCGGGCTTGGCCTCTTGCTGGCTGTGTGACCTTGGGCAAGTCACTTCACTTCTCTGGGCCTCTGTGACTAATATCACTGACTTCACGGGGGTGTCCTGAGGATTAGCTGAATGAGTATAAGTGAAGCACATGGAACAGCTCAGAGAAAGTGCCTCATAAACAGCTTTTATTATCCACTGTCTCCATACACTGTATAGACACACACACACACACACACACACACACACGGGGAAAGTCCCTCCAGGATGTGCACAGGGACTCTTTTTTTTTGTTCACTTCTGTGTCTTCAGGGCCTAGAACAGTGGCTGGCACACAGCGGGTGCTCAATAAATGTTTGTGGAATGGAAGGAGCAGGGGAAGGAGGCGGGGAGGGAAGGAAGGGATGGGAGCGAACAGAAAGTCGGCTATTGCCCAGCGTGGGGCATTGATTCTGTTGCTGTGTTTCATTCCCCTATCACATTGCCATGCACCGCTTTGGTTAATTGAAAAACACTTGTCTTCAAGGAGAGCCAGCAACAGAGCAGGGAGGTGGCTTGCAAGCTGTGATGGTCTTTCAGTTCAGGCTGGCCCCAAGACACCCCCACCATGGCCTGCTAAGATCCCCAGAGACCCCCCTCTCCCGGGCCAGGGCCGGCGGTGGCAGCTGTGCGGCGTGTGGGCAGCTAGAGAGGTGACAGGAAGCTCAGCAGGACAGGCTGTTCCCAGCCTACCAAGAACCTCGAGGCGAGAGGACAGGCTGTTCAGGGCTGAGATCTGCATGCTCCCAGCCCCTCCCGCCCAGGGGAAGTGTCACCAGCATCCAGGGCGGGGACCTCTGCCCTGGCCTGGAGATCTTGTTGCTCTTCTGATCTCTGTGAGGAACTCGGCCCGCTTGCTTTCCAGGAACTGCCTCCTGCAACCGGCGGGCAGATGGTTCACAGGGAAGGCCCGGGGGCCCAGCCCTGCCTACCTCGCACCCTGCGCTGGGCTGCTTCGGACATGCCACTCACCTCTCTGGGCCTCAGCTTCCCCACCTGCAAAACAGAGAAAATAGGGCACCACATGTAGGCATACTGTGAAGATTCAGAGCAAAGTTCAACTTTTTTTGTTTTACCATTAATTACTTTATTTATTTATTTTTATTTATTTATTTTCCTGAGATGGAGTCTCACCTGTCCCCCAGGCTGGAGTGCAGTGGCGTCATCTTGGCTCACTGCAACCTCCACCTCCAGGGTTCAAACCATTCTCCTGCCTCAGCCTCCCGAGTAGCTGAAATTACAGGTGCATGCCAACACGCCTGGCTAATTTTTGTATTTTTAGTAGAGATGGGGTTTCACCATGTTGGCCAGGCTGGTCTCGAACTCCTGACCTCAGGTGATCTGCCCGCTTCGGCCTCCCAAAGTGCTGGGATTACAGGCATGAGCCACTGCACCCAGCCCCATTAATTACTTTAAAACAAATGGTGGCATCTAGGCACAGTGGCTCATGCCTGTAATCCTAGAATTTCGCAAGGCTGAGGTGGAAGAATTGCTTCAGGTCAGGAGTTTGAGACCAGCCTAGTCAACGTGGTGAAACCCCATCTCTACTAAAAATACAATAATTAGCTGGGTGTGGTGGCACACACCTGTAATTCCAGCTACTCGGGAGGCTGAGGCATGAAAATAGCTTGAACCTGGGAGGCAGAGGTTGCAGTGAGCTGAGATCATGCCACTGCACTTAAGTCTGGGTGACAGAGTGAGAATCTGTCTCCAAAAAAGAAAGAAAGAAAGAAAAAGGTGGTAAAATACACATCACATAAAAATCACCAATTTAAAGTACAGTTAGGTAGCATTTAGTACGTTCACAGTGTTATATAACCATCAGTCTAGTTCCAGAATGTTTTCCCCACCCTAAAATACAACCCCATATTCATAGCAGTCACCCGCCCAACCGCCCTTGTCCCAGCCCCTGGTAAACCCTAATCTATCTTTCTTTCTTTCTTTCTTTCTTTCTTTCTTTCTTTCTTTCTTTCTTTCTTTCTTTCTTTCTTTCTTTCTTTTTCTCTTTCTTTCTTTTTCTTTCCTTTCTTTCTTTCTTTCTTTTTCTTTCTTTCTTTCCTTTCTTTCTTTTCTTTCTTTTTCTTTTCTTTCTTTCTTTCTTTTCTTTGTTTCTTTCTTTCTTTCTTTCTTTCTTCCTTCCTTCCTTCTTTCCTTCCTTCCTTAATTCCTTCCTTCCTTCCTTCCTTCCTTCTCTCTCTCTCTCTCTTTCTTTTTTTGAGACAGATTCTCGCTTTGTCGCCCAGGCTGGAATGCAGTGGCGCCGTCTCAGCTCACTGCAAGCTCCATCTCCCAGGTTCACGCCATTCTCCTGCCTCAGCCTCCCGAGTAGCTGGGACTAAAGGGGCCCGTCACCACGCCCGGCTAATTTTTTGTATTTTTTAGTAGAGACGGGGTTTCACCGTGTTAGCCAGGATGGTCTCGATCTCCTGACCTTGTGATCCACCCGCCTTGGCCTCCCAAAGTGCTGGGATTACAGGCGTGAGCCACCGTGCCCGGCCAACCCTAATCCACTTTCTTCTTCTGTGGATTTGCCTATTCTGGACATTTCATATAAATGGAATCATACAGTAAGTGGCCTTTTGTGTCTGACTTCTTTCACTCAACATATTTTCAAGTTCATCCACTTTATGTAGCATGAATCAGTCTTTTATTACCATGATTCCTACAATCCATTCATTACTTTAAAAAAAAAAAAAAGGACTTCAAAAAGTGTTTATCGGCTGGGTACAGGGGCTCATGCCTGTAATCCCAGCACTTTGGGAGGCCAAGGCAGGAGGGTCGCTTGAGTCTAGGAGTTTCAGACCAACCTGGGTAATATAGCAAGACCCTGTTTCTACTAAAAATACAAAAATTAACCAGGTATGGTGGTGCATGCCTGTAGTCCCAGCTACCAGGGAGGCTGAGGTTGGAGGATCGTTTGAGCACAGGAGTTTGAGGCTGCAGTGGCCTACGATGGTGCCACTGCATTCCAGTCTGGGTGACAGAGGGAGACTCTGTGTCATAAAAAAGTGTTTATCAAGGGAAAACACAATCACTTACATGCACGCATCTGAGTGTCCAACTTGGTGAGTTCTGACATAGTTTTATGCCCACAGAGGCACCACCCAGACTGAGGTCCAGGGCGTCTCTAGCACGGTCCCTCAGACCCTCCCCACCTCCTGGCCAGAGGCAGCCCCTCCTCTGACTTTTGACACTATTGATGAGTTTAGCCTGTTGCTTCAGATGAGTGAAAGTGGACAGTGGGGATGTTTTCTAGCTCATCTCATTCCCTCAACGCCATGTCTGTGAGTTTCATTCACATCGTGTACGGCAGGAGTTTGTTCTTTTGCATTGCTGAGTGGTATTCCACTGCATGGCTGTTTCACACTTTATTTTTATTGTATTTTACTTTTTTATTGAGAAGGAGTCTCACTCTGTCATCACCCAGGCTGGAGTGCAGTGGTGCAATCTCAGCTCACTGCAGCCTCCACCTCCCGGGTTCAAGTGATTCTCCTGCCTCAGCCGCCTGAGTAGCTGGGATTACAGGCACCCGCCACCACACCTGGCTAATTTTTGTATTTTTAGTAGAGACAGGGTTTCCCCATGTTGGCCAGGCTGGTCTCGAACTCCTGGCCTCAAGTGATCCCCCTGTCTTAGCCTCCCAAAGTGCTGGGATTACAGGCGTGAGCCACTGCGCCCGGCTCCTCTTTCACACTTTATTTCTCCATGACCCTGTTGGTGGACATTGGATTTGTCTCCCCTTGGGGGCTATCCTGAGCCATGCTGCATGTGCAGGCCTGTGGTGGGCAGGTGCCTCGTTTCTCCAGGTTTTTGCCCAGGACTGGGATTGCTGGGTATAGGGTATGTGTATGGTTAGCTTTTGTGGACACCGTTCATATTTCAGATGGGTTGAATGACTTCCATTGCCCATAGTGGCACCTGAGAGTCGCTGGGCTTCCCCATCCTGAACAACACTCCGTACGGCCAGCCCTGCTGATTTTCATCCTCCTCTTGAGGGCCACTGTCACTTCTTTAGATGAAGTAAATATAATGATGAGAGAAAATAGCAACATAAATAGCCAGAGTTGATAATAATAGGTGGCTAATGCCTTCCACCACCCCAAGCCCTGGGCCAAGCACTCACATCACAACCATCCTAGGAAGTCCAGTGATTACCCCCCATTTTACCCCCATTTACCAAGGCACAGGCAGGGCATGGTGGCTTATGCCTGTAATCCCAGCACTTTGTCAGTCTGAGGTGGGAGGATCACCTGAGCCCAGGAGTTGGAGACCAGCCTGGGCAACATAGTGAGACTCCGTCTCTACTAAAAATAATTTTTAAAATTAGCTGTTGTGCACCCTTAGTCCCAGCTACTCAGGAGGCTGAGGCAAAAGGATGGCTTGAGCCCAGGAGGTCAAGGCTGCAGTGAGTTATGATTGTGCCACTGCACTCCAGCCTGGGCAACAGAATGAAATCCTATCTCAAAAACAAAACAAAACAAAACAAAACAAAACAAAACAAAACAAAACAAAACACCGAACAGAAACTGAAGCACAGAAGAAGGGGTCTCATGGGCTGCCAAGGTCACACACCCAGCAGAAGGAGCTTAGTCTCGAGTTGAAAAACCTCAGCCCACCTGGACCCCGGCCCCGACTCTGCCCTGACACAGGGCCCAGCAGGCTGTGGTTTGGGGATTTCTCAAAAGGACCTTCTGGAGCTCTATATGAGAAGCATAGATGGAGAATCCGACTCTCATCCTGCAGCCCCTCTCACACTCACCACACACCCATACACACTCAAGCATACACACACTCACACAAATGCATTCACACACATGCTACGCCCAAACACATTACACCCTCGCAAACACACACCATACATCTCATACACCACACACTCTTATACAATATACATATGCCATGCATTCTCACACACACGCTTACACACTTCCACACTCGCACAAATACCCCGCATGCATATATTCACATGTTATCACACACCTACTATGAACATACACCACACATTCCCTTACACTCAGCCTTTAGAAAGCACAAACTAGTCTGGAACACTTCTATACAAAAGGCAGTGGCAGGCTGGGTGCAGTGGCTCATGCCTGTAATCCCAGCACTTTGGGAGGTTAAGTTAGGAGGATCACTTGAGGTCAGGAGTTCAAGACCAGCCTGGCCAACATGGCGAAACCCCATCTCTATTAAAAATACAAAAATTAGCCAGGCGTGGTGGTGCACCCCTGTTATCCTAGCTATTCAGGAGGCTGAGGCAGGAGAATCGCTTGAACTTCAGAGGCGGAGGTTGCAGTGAGCTGAGATCATGCCACTGCACTCCAGCCAGGGCGACAGAGTGAGACTCCGTCTCAAAAAAAAGAAAAAAAAAAAAAGGCAGTGACAGGCAAGGGGACATTACTTCAAAGCTAATTCCCCCATTCCTGCTCCCTCCTGTATTAAAATCTAAGAAGGGTCCTATGGAAAATATCCCCCAGTGGGCAGCACTGGTGACTTCTGGGGGGCTGGGGATGTTCCACCAACAGCCCCACCAAGTCTGTAGTGCTTGTTACCCCGTGTCAGCCTGGGTACTGGCAGCCTTCTCTGGATTATCTCTCTTGACTGTCATCATGATGGGTCCGGTCCAAGATAGGATGTTATCCCCATTTTGCAGAGGAGGAAGTTGAGGCCCAGAGCAGGAAGTCACTCGGTCTAAGGCTCTTGCTCAATGTTGCATTTACAGAGAGAGGCTGCATTTGCCTCTTTGCTTTCATATCTGTCCTCTTGCTCAACTCTGTATGGTGAGAAGCAACATATCCTAGGCCTCCTTGCCAATTGACTCTCTACTGAGTTAAACAAATGGGAAGCCTGGCGGGAGGCTGAAGAGTGAGAGGAAGGGATAAACATGGTATTTCTCCCTCTCTCTGCTTCAAGTGGCATATTTGCAGCAGCAGGGACTTCTTTGTGGCTCCAGCATCCCTGGCAAAGTCTAGCCTTTGGAATGGTTCAGTTGCCATTCCTGCATTTCAGATGGCCCCAGCTCCTGGGCTCTGGTAATACAGGGTCCTCCGGTTTTCCCTCTTGCACTCCGGGTGGTACTGGCTTCCTGCTGATGCTCATCTCTGGTAGTCTCATCATTCATGTATCCATTTCCCTCTGTTTGAAATACCTGATGTGGTTTCTGTTTCCCTGAGTGGACCCTAATGGACATGCACCAAGGCAGGGATTTGAACCCAGATCCTGTGACTCCTGAGACTCAAGTGTAATCATTCTGTGACACTGTCTCTTAGTTGAGCCTTCCCTTGAAATTGTCTCCAGCTCCAGAGATTGCCCCATGTACATGTGTCTCTCACCTCCCTTTTGTCTAATAGAGCTGAGTTGCAATACCACTTATCACCAGTAGGGAGAAACCCATTCGGTGGCAAGTGCTCTGGCAGAATTTCATGTTTAGAAAGCTTTCCTCCTAACTTGTTCCTCAGTTGGATCAGAAAGCAAAAGTAAATTTAAATTTAAAAGAAAGGTCTCCTCCTACTAAAGGGAGTAATAGCTTCATTTGTTTGTTAACCAGCAGGGTAGTTAACTGTAAGACCATCTGGCCAGTTGAGATCCTCAATGAACAGAATTCTCAGCAACAGTGGAGAGTTTACACATTCCTCCCTGCCTACACAACACTGGCAGGAAGAATGGATGCACAGTTTTCCAGCGGTTTTTGCCAAAAATAGCTCCCAGAGGACCCAGGCATGGAACTTCTGATCTATTTCAGTGTATTCTTTGGGTCTAGAAATTTCTTATGGCTGAGCTGGAAAGTTCGACACAATGAGTTGTTTCCCTCTTTCAGCAAGCAACCCATGTAGGAGGGTGGGTCTGGAGCCAGAAAGACCCAAGTTAGCATCCAGGTCTTTCAGTCACCTGCTGTGATGCCTTGGGCAAGTTGCTGAACCTCTCTGAGCTCTGTTCCTCTTCTCTGTAAAATGGGGTTGATAATACTTGCCCTGCAAGATTCTTGGGAGAATTAAATGAGCTAAAGTGTATAAATGCTTGCTATACATTAAAAAAAATTGCTCATATCCTTTATTCTAGTTTTTTATGGTTTATTTCTGTTCCATGAAGACTAAGGCCTCAGCTGGGGAGGGGGTCACTCAAAATGTCTGGAGACTACTTCACTCACATGTCTGGTGGCTTTGTTGGCATGACTTGAAGGGTGGGTGTCACCATCACTGGGGACAGTGACTGATGTGCTGACATGTGGCCTCTTCAAGTGTCTTGGTCTTCCTTTCAGCATGGCAGCCTGAAGGAGTCAGACCTCTTAAGTTGCAGGTAAAGGCTCCAAGAACAAGTCTTCCAGCAAACAAGATGGAACTGTATGACCTTTTATGACCAAGTCTCAGACATCCCACGGCATTACTTCTGTAATACTCTCCTGGTTGAATTCATCAAAAGCCCACTCAGTTTCAAGGGGAGGAGATATAGATTCCATTTCCTTTTTTCTTTTTCTTTCTTTCTTTCTTTTTTCTTCTTTTTTTTTTTTTTTTTTTTTGACAGGGTCTGGCTCACCCAGGCTGGAGTGCAGTGACATGATCTTAGCTCACTGCAACTTCCTTCTCCTGGGTTTAAATGATCCTCCCACCTCAGCCTCCTGAGTAGCTAGGACTGCAGGTATGTGCCACCACGACCAGCTAATTTTTGTATTTTTGGTAGAGATGGGGCTTCACCATGTGGCCCAGGCTAGTCTCAAACTCCTAAGCTCAAGCAACCCACCTGCCTCGACCTCCCAAAGTGTTGGTGTAACACCTGGCGTAGACCCCACTTCTTAATCCAAGAAGTGGCAAAGACTTCACAGCTGTGTTTTCAAAGCACCACCCCTTTCGACTAGGCCAGTCCATCCCAGAGTATCACCCCATCAGATACGGGAAATAATGCCTCTGCAAATCAGATGGTCACTGCAGCCCTGATGGTAACAGCAAATGATCAGGAAAAACCCAAAGGTCCATCAATAGTGGGCTGGGTAAATACATCATGATGTTCCCACACAGTGGAATACTATGCAGTTTAAAAAATAGGCTGGGTGCAGTGGCTCACGCCTGGAATCCCAATATTTTTTGGGAGGCTGAGACAGGAGGAGCACTTGGGCTCAGGAGGTCGAGACCAGCCTGGGCAATATAGTGGGGCCCCATCTCTACAAAACATTTTTTGAAAATAATTAGCCAGGCATGGTGGTATGCACCTGTAGTCCCAGCTACTTGGGAGGCTGAGGTGGGAGGATCGCTTGAGTCTGGGAGGTTGAGGCTGCAGTGAGTTGTGATCGTGCCACTGTACTCCAGCCTGGGTGACAGAGTGAGACCCTAGCTCATATAAATGAATAAATAAATAAATAAATAAAAAACAAACAAGGTTATTCTGTGTATATTGATATAGAACCATTCTGAATGCTATTGTGCAGTGAAAAAAGGCAAGGTGCAGGACACTGTGTGTGCTAGGCAGCCTCCAGATGACCCACAATGATTCTCACCTCTTGGGGCCTAATGTTGTCCTCTCCCACATTAACTAAGGCTGTGTAATTAGGAGGATACAGTGGAAACATGTCTTCCAAGGCTAGGTCATAAATAATATTGCAGCTTCCACTCTGTCCTGTCTTGGACCACTTGCCCTGACAGAAGCCAGCTGCCATGTTGTGAGGACACTCAAGCAGCCCTATTGAGACATCTATGTGGTGAGGAGCTGAGACCTCCTGCCAAAAGCCACATAATGAGCCATCCAGAAAGTAGAGCCTCCAGCCCCAGTTGAGCCTTCAGATGACAGCAGCCCTGGCCAACTGCTTGACCACAGCCTCACGTGACACTGAGCCAGAATCACCCAGCTGAGTTGCTCCCAAATTCCTGCCCCTCAGAAACTGTGAGATAAAAAAGGTTTATTCATATTTCAAGCTGCCAAATTTTGGGCCTAACTTGCTATGCAGCAATAGCAATAGATAATGAATACAGTATGTACATGGATTCGTCCATTCTGACATTGCTATAAAGAAATACTAAAGACTGAGTAATTCATAAAGAAAAGAGGTTTAGTTGGTTCACAGTTCTGCAGGCTGTACAGGGAGCATGGCGCTGGCCTCTGCTCAGCTTCTGGAGAGGCCTCAGGAAACTTCCAATCATGGCAGAAGGCAAAGAGGGGGCAGGCATGTCACATGGCGGGAGCAGGAGCAAGAAGAGATGGGGGAGGTGCTATACGCTGGTAAATGACCAGATCTCATGAGAACTCACTCACTATCACAGGGATAGTACCAAGAGGGACGGTGCTAAACCACTCATGAGAAATCCACTCCCTTGATACAATCACCTCCCACCAGGCCCCACCTCCAACATCGGGGGTTACAATTCAACCTGACATTTGGGTGGGGACATAGATCCAAATCATATCAGTACAATAGTCTAACATTTGAGTAAATGTATTAAGTATTTCTGGAAGGAGGCCGGGCCTGGTGGCTCATGCCTGTAATCCCAGCACTTTGGGAGGCTGAGGTGGGCGGATCACCTGAGGTCAGGAGATTGACACCAGCTTGTCCAACATGGGGAAACTCCATCTCTATTGAAAATACAAAATTAGCTGGGCATGGTGGCAGGCGCCTGTAATCCCAGCTACTTGGGAGGCTGAGGCAGGAGAATCATGTGAGCTCGAGGGGTAGAGGTTGCAGTGAGCCAAGACCACACCACTACACTCCAGCCTGGGCGACAAGAGCAAAACTCCGTCTCAAAACAAAACAAAACAAACAAAAAAACAAACAAACAAAAAAAAACGGCTTGGCGTGGGGGCTCATGCCTGTAATCCCAGGACTTTGGGAGGCCAAGGCGGGCAGATCACGAGGTCAGGAGTTCGAGACCATCCTGGCCAACATGGTGAAACCCCATCTCTACTAAATTAGCTGGGTGTGGTGGCACATGCCTGTAGTCCCAGTTACTCAGGAGGCTGAGGCAGGAGAATCGCTTGAACCTGGGAGGCGGAGGTTGCAGTGAGCCGAGATCGTGCCACTGCACTCCAGCCTGGCGACAGAGCGAGACTCCATCTCAAAAATAAAAAGTATTTCTGGAAGGAATTGAGGAAACTGGTATCAGAAAGGGAACTGGGGTGGCTGGGGGACGACAGGGGCCAGCAGGGAAAGAGACCCTCTTATCTCTTTTGCATTTTGAACCATCTTTTCTTAAAATTGAACTAAATGTCAAATCAATAAATAAAAACAAAGTGCTGGTTTTTTGTTTTGTTTTGTTTTGTTTTGTTTGAGACGGAGTCTCGCTCTGTCGCCCAGGCTGGAGTGCAATGGTGTGATCTTGGCTCACTGCAAGCTCCGCCTCCTGGGTTCAAGTGATTCTCCTGCTTCAGTATTCTGCGTAGCTGGGACTACAGGCACCCGCCAGCACGCCCGGCTAATTTTTTGGTATTTTTTAGTAGTGACGGGGTTTCACCGTGTTAGCCAGGATGGTCTCGATCTCCTGACCTCGTGATCCGCCCGCCTCGGCCTCCCAAAGTGCTGGGATTACAGGCGTGAGCCACCGCGCCCGGCCCAAAGTGCTGTTTTCAGGCAGCCCCTACTAAGTAGCAGCTGTGATTATTCATGTCACAAGTAGTTCTCAAGCTGCCAGAAGCTTCCTGTGTGTATATGTTGGCTAGACCTGCAACCTCCATGGGTTTATGAAGAATAAGGTAGGCCCAGGGCTGAGAGGTACGTAGAAGCCCCATCATATACTAGCTGTGCGCTAGGGGTGGGCCACTTAACCTCTCTGAGCTTCCATTTCCTACCTGAAAAACAGGGATCATGGATAAAGTCATATGGGCCACGTGTTCAGCTATACGCCAGGCATGAGGTAAACACTTAATAGATTTGACTGTTATTATTGTACTTTTTTTTTTTTTTTTTTTGAGATAGGGTCTCCCTCATCTGGAGTGCAGTGGCACAATCGTAGCTCACTTCTGCCTCAAACTCCTGGGCTCAAGCATCCCCTCCTGCTTCACCCTCCCAAGTAGCTAGAAGCACGCCACCATGCTTGGCTAATTTTTAATTTTTTTTGTAGAGACAGAGTCCCGCTATGTTGTCCAGGCTGGTCTCGAATTCCTGGCCTCAAGTGATCCTCCTCCCTTGACCTCCCAAAGTGCTGGGATTACAGGTGTGAGCCACTGCACCAGCCAGATTTGGTTGTTTTTATTAATAAGGGCCAAAGATCCTGTCTTGGGCAAGGAGAAGGGAGGAACACACTGAGCCCACTGTCGCCACCCGAGGAGGTGGGCTGGAGTAGGTGGCCCACGGGGAACAAAGCTTCCCAGGATAGAAGGTGGGCAAGGGGTTAT